>NC_000009.12:116345552-116970552 GCF_000001405.40 Homo sapiens
GATTTAGTCAGGAAGTGTGGGGTTGATCTTCAGGACAACAGGGAGCTGTTGCAGGAAATGACATGGTCAGATCCTGGTTGACAAAGTCTCTTCTAGATACTCCATGTGGGTGTAGCTTGGAGTCTAGCAGTAAGACTGGTAGCAGGGAGACCCCCTCCCTCAGACAGTCATCAAAGGAGTCATGGAAGATAGGACGTGTCCTGCGTGAGATTGGTGGTAGTGAATGATTTGGAGTGATGTGACAGAATGTTGCTTCAGCAAGATGGTGCTGTAATGTCCCAGGTGGGGCTTGGGGGAGTGGGACAGGTTGTCCTGGGATTTGAGGATTTCTGTCACTAAATGTAGCATTTTCCAGGGCTGGTCAGTGGACTTTGCCTTCAAACTGCAAGCACACAGGGCACATTCCTTACTGCTGGGAATGCCTATTTGTACAGAACTTCTGGACTTGCTCTTCTTAGACACCTACTTCCGTGTGTCAGACTTGGCAGGCCTGAACTCCTGTAGAAACAATTAGACTGTTTTGGCAGTGAGGGACCTCACTCAAGCACACATCCCTTTGATGTGTGCTTAAGAGGGAAAATGTCCTTTGCTTTTAAAATCCCAGATCAACGTTTGGCATCTCCAGTCCCTAGGATTTAGCGGCTTCCTCCTTGAATGAAAGCCTCCAGGCTGCAATGATTGTCCATCCCTTGACTCCGTAGCATGGTCTTGCCCTCCACCCAGCTCCACCATCGTGTAGTTTGGTTCAAATCTCCATTTACTCTTTCATTTTTCCTAGGCTTTTTTTTGTCTTTGTACCCTTCTCTCTTGACTATTGAGCCGCCAAATCTGAGAGTAGGGAGTGGATCTTTGAGCAGTTCATGAGTTCAATCCATCCATTTTGCCAAAGGGAGAACTCAAGTAAGGAAAAGGGACTTGCCTGTGGTCTCATAACATGGAGGAAAAACATGGAGGTCTCCTATAGCCATGGAGAGTGCCTACTGTGTGCCAAACACTACAACAAGTTCCTAGTAACTCCTCTAGAGCTAATAAAAGACATACAAATCAACACTTGATGTCCTACCATTGAACTGTATTTCACAGTCTGTTTTGTGAAAGAAGTCATCATGCCCTGTGAGGTCTCAAAACCTCAAGATTCTCATCAATAAAATGGAAATCGTGATCTGGGAGGCACTATAGACAGCAGTTAAGAGCATAGCCTTTGGACTCAAGTCCAACTTATCCTTTTCCCAGCTGGTTAACTTAAGGCTGATCATGTAATGTCTCTGAGTCTCAGTCTCTGTGTCTTTGAGATCTGAAATATGTAATTCATGGAGTTATTGGGATCATTAAAAGTGAGCTAACGTTAAACACTAAGCATTGGTCTCCTAGTGCCTGGGCGAGACTCTGAGCCGTCACCTTGGGAAGAAGGGTATTTCTCCACATCTAGAGCTCAGTCTGCCACTCCTCACTATGCACGACTCTGCCTTTCAGACGGGACCCAGCGTCACAGTGACCTGTACAGAGGGCAAGTGGAATAAGCAGGTGGCCTGTGAGCCAGTCGACTGCAGCATCCCAGATCACCATCAAGTCTATGCTGCCTCCTTCTCCTGCCCTGAGGGCACCACCTTTGGCAGTCAATGTTCCTTCCAGTGCCGTCACCCTGCACAATTGAAAGGTATCAAGAACGCCTTCCCCAGCTCAGCCTTCCTTTGTCTATGGGAAACCTAGAAGCTGCATCCAGGCCCTCTTTCTGGGTCTCAAACACCAAGGGTGGGATGGGTTTTATCTATGCTCCTGACTTCTTCCTACTAATTGTATTTATGTAAACTGCCCTGCTATGCAGATAAGAAAGAAAAAAGAGTGTATGGATAATTATGACAGTGAAGCCCTTTCCAAGACCTTGGAAATCTTGCAAAAAAGAAAAGAAAGAGAGGATAAAAGTGAAGAAGGGAGGGAAGAAGGAAGAGAGAAAAAGAAAAAAAAGTTACATTTGGGACTGATGAAACTAATTCACTCTGTATGATTAGGGCCAGTAAGCCTTATGAGGTAAGCGTTACTATTATTCCCATTTCACAGATGAGGAAACCAAGCCTCAGAGGGTTTAAAGAACTTGCCCAAGGCTGCACCATCAGTGGTGGGGACCATATTGAAACCCAGGTCTGTTGTTCTCCAATGCTGGCTGCCACTCATTAAGAGGGGCCAGCTGGGCAGAGAAGAGCAGATATGGACAGGAAGCATCTGGCATCCTCCTGAGCTAGGCACCAGGGCTATTGAGGGGAAAAAGACACTGGCATACCAGAGAAGAGGTCACATTTTAGAAAAAAGTGAGTAGCTGGCCTGGGTGTCCTAGAATGCTGGGACTAGATGTGGAATGTGTTAATAACTCCAGACTAGGAAATCATACTTCTCTCAATCAATCAGAGGCTTTTGGGAAAGGGAGGTGTATAAATTAACATTGATTATTACAGACCTCATTGTGGCTAATAATAATACTTAATCAAAATGATGCAGATCCTTCCACTGCCAACTGTTGTTGGGGAAGTGTGACCTGGCTGGGGAGACAAGGCCTTAGGAGGACCATCATTTTGACAGTTGGTGATCCCAACTTTGCTTTTCCTTTGACCATACAGGGAAATATCTCTCTATTTCCATATTGATCAACTAGGACCAATTGCCACTTCATGCAACTTGGTTGTCAGCATCATCTAGTGTTCAGAGTACTGTGCTGAGGCTTCTGCTTGGATCTACTGGCAGCAAGGACTGGGCAAAGGTCCTGCTGCCTTTCTCTTGAACTTGATATTGCCACCTAATTTGCCCTCCCACCCTCATCTCAAGCCAGGGGGTAAAGAGGTGATCAATTTCAACTTTCCTTCTTTTACTTGCTTCCCTTTTCTCCTTTCTACCTTTTGTTTTTCCTTTGATCATAACATAGTTTAAGCAAAAAGGACAACAGTTTTTTTAAAAAAAACTTTTATTTTAAGCTCAGGAGGACATGTGCAGGTTTGTTATATAGGTAAATTTGTGTCATGGAGGTTCATTGTACAGATTATTTTATCACCCAGTTATGAAGCCTGCCTTAATACCCTTTAGCCATTTTTCCTGATCTCCTACCTCCTCCCATCCTCTTCCCTGTGATAGGCCCCAGTGTTAGTTGTTCTCCTCTATGTGTCCATGTGTTCTCATTATTTAGCTCTCATTTATAAGTGAGAAGATGCAGTATTTGTTTTTTTGTTCCTGCATTAGTTTGCTAAGGATGATGGCCTCCAGTTCCATCCATGTTCCTGCAAAGGATATGATCTCATTCTTTTTTATGGCCACATAGTATTTCATGGTGTATATGTACCACATTTTCTTTATTCAGTCTATCATTGATAGGCATTTAGGTTGATTCCATGTCTTTACTATTGGAAATAGTAAAAGCACTAATTTTAAACAGGCAATAAATAATAATGATAATAATGACCAGCTTGAAATCCTTTCTGCCCTCAGTTTTTGCCCCACCTGGCCCTCTCCTCTATTTGTACCTCTTGTCCTTCTTAATCTGTCTTCTTCCTCTGTACTTCCGTTAAAGTCTACCCCTTACCAAGTCTACCCCCCTGCTCCTTGCAATCCCCCCGTACCAGCCCTTGGCTAATGCAGCCAGTTGATTGAGTGATTGTCCTTATTCCAGTCCAGCTAGTGCATTTTTGTTTCCTCCAAACAATATAGTGGCCAATATTCTTTCACATTCTAACATGCTAGAGATGGACAAGAACTCAGAGACAGCTTTGGTTTAGGGACAAACAAGTTAGGTGATTTGTTCAAGGTCACAGATAAATTCATACTTTATGCATTCAACAAATGGATACCGAGGACCTACTATTCGCTCAGCAGTAGGCTAGGCTCTGGGAGTAACGAATATACAAGATACAGCCCTTGCCTTAGGATCTAGAAAGTGCCAACACCATGAGGCAAGTGCTTAGAATACCAGATTGAAGGTCTAGTATTTCTCTCCTTGAGTTCTGTTCTATGTTAATTTTAATCTTTACAGCACTCCCAAAGAGACTTGATCTCCTGGGTAATCTTTTAAATGAAGTAATAAAAATAAGTACCTCTCCTTTGACACTGCTACAAGTTGACAATTGTTTTAATGCTCATTAGAGATTGGAATTTCCTTACCCACATTTGTAGACAGGCTGGGCAGGATGTATTTTTCTGCATTAAAAGATGAACAAGTGAACTTACAGGGTCCCAAAACTTGACGGACCCAAAACTTGATGGAATCTAATCTCTAATATCAACACCTCTATGAAGAGACGTTACCCTCTACCAGGAACTTCAGGCTCAGACATGCCTTCACTTCGTGTCTTGAGTCATGTTCCCCCAGGAAATACGGTGGGGGAATGAGGACAGGAGACATGGAACTGACAAAAGTCAACAGGCTCTCTTCTAAAGCAAGTTGCCACTGTGGGCAACTAGAGCTCAGTCCCTCTGGGAAACTCTGGGAGACGGTGGAGAACATGCCTCCGAGTTATTGCAACTCTGGAAACTGGCACATGAATCCAACAACTCCACCATTAGTTTAGTGGTGCTTCCAGGGGCATTAACTCCTTGGTACTTTAAACTCACCCTGCATATGGACAGAGTAAGCATCAATGACCAGTATAATAAGCATCCATGAGCAGTATAATAGCCCTCAGGCAGAGAGTTGGCAGTGCAGTAAGCATCTTTCACAGTATACAGGCCAGTGCCAAGAAGACAAACGAAGGGCACATCATGTATCATACCCTACTTTCTTCAAAGCCACATTGTAGATGCAGGGTAGTGGCTACAGCTGGTGCACAGAAATACTGCCCAGTTGAAAACTCTCTTGGAGTTTGTTGCAGGGGTGGGGGGACATATCCATGGTCCTGAATCACCAGTGCCTGCTTTAGCTGTGGTGCACTGCTAACTTCTATTCACCCTCTTCCAGAAAGCACATTTCTGGTTTGCATTTTCTCTCTTGATTAACATTTTGGAAACTTTATGTTCTCTTGTCACAGAAAACCACGACTTTCACTTCATAATTTACCATATACATAGCTAATACAATGTACTTTTTAAGAGTCCCAACACCTTTTCCACAGATATGTTATCTCTCTTAGGCAATTTGGAGAGGGTGTGCTTCCTGTACTTTATATACAGCTCCCCTTCCCACTAACCTTGTGCATTAGCTGGGCACCCCAAAGCAATGACTGCCCCGATTACAAGGGCAATGCAAAAAGAAGTTTGTAGACACTGACTGGTATTCTGGACGCTTCTATGCTTCTATGGAAACCAAATGAATCACCTTTCTGCACACTTTACTCTTTTTACTTGATGTTAAAATATATATAGTTGTCAGTCTCACAGTTTGTCAATGTGGAATCCCCTATGGGGTTTACAGACACCAATCTGCCTTGTGCTAACCAGATGAATCATACTGACAAAGAAGAAAAATGAAAAAAATGAGAAGGAATAAGATAAGTGGAGGAGCGTACATAAAATTGCAAAGTACTTTCTCCCCTTTCTTCCTTTTCCTGCTTTTTCTTATAGTACTTGGCACCTTCTGGCACACTAAATAATATACTTTTTAGGATAATTTATTGTACTCCTCCCTGTCCCACTAGATTATAAGCATCAAGAGAACAGAGCTATTTCTATCTTGTTTTGTTTTATTTTGTTCACTGCTTTGCCTTCAACATATAAAAGTATCTGGTGCAGAATAAGCACTAAATAGATATTTGTTGAATGAATGAAGACTTCTGTGAAGATTCTTTCAGAGCTACTAATGAAGATGAAAAGAAGAAGGAAAGTGGGAGGAAGCAGGGAAGTGAAGAAAGGAAAGGAGGGAAGAAGGAAAGAAGTTAAGAAGCAAACGAAGACATTGACAACACTTTTATAGGCACTTTTCATAAATGTTGTTTTATTTCATCTTCTCAGCACCCTGAAAGGCAGAAGCAATTGTTTGCTTTCCACAGATAGAAAAATTGAGATTTGATGGCTCCGGAATGAATAATAAGGGCCCTGCTGATCATACGTAGTAGCCAACTTCCCATTAAAAACAACCATCTCTGTAGTTAGACAGAATTTGTTTTGAACCTCAGTTTTGTCTTTTGCCAACTATGATAACTTGGTCAAGTCACCTCTTTCTGAGTCTTCATTTCCAAATAAAGACTGTCATACTAAATGCACTGTTTATAGTGAGAATAAATGAGATTGCATATCAGAAGCACTCGGTACATAGTAACTGCCCAGTAGATGTCAGTTTTCTCCCTACCACTCCACCTCTCCAACCTGCAAGTCCCCGAGCCCCCGACATGTTTCCAGCCCTGATTGTCAACACCATTCAGTAATAACCAGGAAAAGGAGAGTTTGGTGGAGAAACACAAGTTTCAGGTCCTCCTCTAGTTGTCTTGGGAAGGTTTTAGGCGGGCTGTGCCTCGATAATATATGAGCTGGCAGTGAAAAGCCTAACTCCCGTGTTTTACTTTTATTTGCAACGTTCCCCATCAGACCAGCTTCCCAATGGCAGTCAGCACTCTGTCAGAGCTGGCATGGGCTACGGGGGAAGTGCTGCTCTTTCACCTGCTTTGGCAAAGCTTCACTGAGCACCAGGACCTGAACAGAAAATCAAATCTCCTAACACAATGCTGTCACTTCCAGGCATTGGTGGTGGGAGCTGGGGGAGGTGGTAGGCAGGACAGATACAGGGGTGCTGGGCCCAGGGGGAGAGTGGCAGCTTGAGGTCATGCACTCACTGATATCAGAATTTGCTGTAGTTTCTGGTGGGAGTTTTTGCTGCCAAGTATTAGAAGGCAAGTGCCTCCATCTCTGTGCTCAGATGCCCATTTGTAAAGTAAGAAAAATGGATTCAAGGATTGTGAGTGTGTCTTTTCTATGCAGCAGAAGAGGCTCAGGATCAGAAGTCAGAAGCCTTGGATTTTAATTCACTGTAGACATGGGGGTAATTCACTCCCCCCATTTAGATCTCCTCTTCTTTGTGGCAGCTCTCTTGATTTCCCTAGGCTCCTCAGTTGGAAGTAGAAGGGGTTGGAATTCCACATAAGGGATCTCCTGGTTCTTCAAGTCAGCTAAAATCCAAGTAGCTATACATTAGCTTGGCTATCAGAGACTCCTCCCTCCTCTAACCCTGCTTGCCTATGTCTTCCAGGCAACAACAGCCTCCTGACCTGCATGGAGGATGGGCTGTGGTCCTTCCCAGAGGCCCTGTGTGAGCTCATGTGCCTCGCTCCACCCCCTGTGCCCAATGCAGACCTCCAGACCGCCCGGTGCCGAGAGAATAAGCACAAGGTGGGCTCCTTCTGCAAATACAAATGCAAGCCTGGATACCATGTGCCTGGATCCTCTCGGAAGTCAAAGAAGTAAGTGGGGTTGGAAATGCAAACTTATGGTCTCTGGGAGGACAAGAGTTAGGTTCAAATGCCTGACTGGACGGAAGCACTCATTTCTTCACTGGAGGTAATGACTGCCATTCATCCCATTCTGTTCTGTGAGAAGCTAGAAGGATTTGTTAATAATATTAGCTTTGGGTCAAACAGAACAAACTTTAAGTTTCAGCTTGGCTGCCTAATGGCAATGTGATCTCAGACAAATGACTTTACTTCTCTGCACTTCATTTTTTTTTTAAGCCACAAGAGGGGTATGATAATAACAGTTACCACGTAAGGTTGTTATGAAGAACAAATGAAGATGTGCATGTAAAGTGCTCACAAAATGCTTTGCACGTAGTAGTTGTTCAGTAAATGGTGGGTAATCATAACATGATGGTTCCAACACACATCAGAACACTCTGCAAAAAAGGGGAGAGAACCTGGGGCTGAAGGGCATGAGTTTTGTCTCAATCTACATGTAGCTGGAAGCATGACATTTCTGCCTGCTCTTGCTAAAGGAGTTCTGTGGATGAATTATCCTTAATTCCTGCACGGGTCCCACCAGAACCCAATAGGTCAGGTGGGGAATCAAAACTAGGAAATAGGAAATGGGGGCCCAGCTGGTGGTGTTCATGCAGGGCATGGATCTAGCCATTTGGTCCTTGAGATGTCTCCTGTTTGATCCTTTCCTTGAAGACGGGCCTTCAAGACTCAGTGTACCCAGGATGGCAGCTGGCAGGAGGGAGCTTGTGTTCCTGTGACCTGTGACCCACCTCCACCAAAATTCCATGGGCTCTACCAGTGTACTAATGGCTTCCAGTTCAACAGTGAGTGTAGGATCAAGTGTGAAGACAGTGATGCCTCCCAGGTAAGCCTCCTGGAACTTGAGATTGATACCATGGTCCCTTTCCTTTCTGCTTACCAAAAACTAGCCTGTACTTCAGGAACCACTTTCTGCACTTTTGTAATCTCTGATCCTCATTTTCCTACCCGCAATACTGTTTTTGATTTGCTCAGAGATTCTTAGCTTTGAATTTTTTTTTAAGCATTGGAACTTTTATGAAGGAAATCATACATGGAATCCCAATGTATGAAGTTGATAAAAGTTAAGTTCCTCAAACAGGAAATGACCAGGGCTCTTTTCCCAGTTTGCTACCTCCATTACCACCCATGTTGGTCCTTGAAGTATTTAAAATCACAAGACTGCAACTATATTTAGACATCAATTGGCTCCTGAAGCATAAGGAAAAAGGGGACCATATTTAGATGAGAAGTACAGTTTTGAGAACACCATGGAAGAAAGGAAGAGCAGAAGGAGCAAGGTTTGAATTTTATCTCAATCCACATGTAACTGAGAACAAGTCCAACACTCCTGCCTGCCTCTGCTGAAGGAATTTTCTTCAAATCCTACACATGCCCAAAAGGATGGTACGGGAATCAAGAATAGGAAAAAGGAACAAAAGGCTGAAAAAACCTTAAGTCCACAAGGAGCTCCATCTCCATCAAAGCAACCATGCAGAGTTGATAACCCAAGTCCTGTGTTTCACAGGTGTGCAAGGATCATCAGCCAGGTGGGGATAGATTTCAGTGCAGGCGTCGTCTTCAATCAGTCTTTATTGGTCTTTATTGTTAGCCTCCAGATACCAGGCACTGCCAAATCACCATTCTGAATCCCTCTCACTCCCTCCATATCCAAGCAATTACTGAGTCATACCCATTCTCCCACAACAGCATCTCCTGAAGCTGTTCTCTTTTGTCCCCAATGCCACTACCCTCACTCAGGCCAACATCAACTCTTTGATGAGCCACCATGCAGCTTCGTGATCATTTTCCTGTTTTAATTCCTGTGCCTCTTTCCAGTACATTCTTCACATTTCAGCCAGAGTGATTTGAGCAATTATGTCAATCTCTCTGAACCAGGAGCCCCCGTCCCTTAGGATAAAGTCCCAACTCCTTAGGGTGACATTTAAGACCCTTCCCCCATGCCAATAAGATGGATTTTCCCCCCACACCTCTGCATTCTCTACCTTAAAAAGAGTTATCCTTGTACCTTTTTCAGCTGTCTGACACCTCATCTTCCTTCGCAATTTAGCCCAGGCACCCTTTCCTGCAGGAGCCCTTCCTCAATATCCCTTCCACTGCCGGGCTCCGTGCCCCTCCTCAGGTTCCCCCTTCACAACATTGGCCACACTGCGTTGTCACTGCCTGCTTTCATTCCACATCCCCACACTAGGCTGTGAAACAGTCCTTCACTGCATCTGCACCCTTCCCTGTGCCTCTCAGCACTTAGGACAGTGCCAGGCACCTAGTAGGTACTCAGGAAATGTCACAGGAATTAAGGGCAGGAGGAAGGACTGCAATGAACATCAAAGGCAGGTTCCTCCTTTTACAGATGAGAAAACCAAGACTCAAAGAGGTTACTCAACCCCCCATGGTGACACAGCTGGCATCGGCTGAGTCACAGTCAGAATCCAGGTTCCCCTGTCTCCAGCTGTAAATGGGCTGAGTCCAGTAGGCACCACCTGAGAATCCTGTTCTCATACACTCTCGGCGTCTGTTTGCATTCATGGGAGTCATTCCCATCCTTGACTGCCAGGGAGGCAGAAGCCAGTACCGGAACAAACAAAGGCTAGAGATTACCACGGCCTCTTGCAGGCTGATCAGCTTCCCCCTCACTCCCTTACATAAAACTGTTGCTAACAGTTACCCAAACTGCTGAGCCAAATAATATTCTGGCTGCGGTCATGTTATCAAACTGAAACTCAGCCTGCCTGGGGCCTTCCAAGTAACTTTCATGGCCAGTTTGTATTTAAAGGAGAGGAAAGTGTAAATGTATCAGACGACTCAAGCAGCTCTGTTTGGCAACTAACGGAGAGGCTAGTCGCAAAGGAGCAGGGTATTGCTTGTCTGCTCAAAGAATGAGGGTGTGCGTGCCAAATGGACTCCTAATACAATTGACGTTTCTACTTTGTACTGAAAATGAATTTCCTCTACCCTCAGATCAGGGCCTGAGAGCCAAATCTAGTATTCACCTCAGATTCCCTCTTGCTGCCTATAAACATAGCAGAAATGCATGGCCCAGAGCATCTTGAATCAGCTTGTATGGAGCAGGGATTCTTTGCTTTCCAAACAAGTTTCAGATCCTGGCGGGAAAGGATAGGGGCTGTTGTAGGGGAGAGTCACACACTCTCTTCCACTGCCACTAAAAGCAAATAAAAACCTGACTTTATTCATTCCTTGGGAGCCAGTATGACACTGGATCTGTAGTTTGAGTTCAAATCCCAGCTTTATTACCTAGTCACTAGAGGCCAAGTTACTTAACTCGTTAAGCTTCACTTTTCTTGTGTATAAAATGAGGAGAAAGAATACTACATACCTAATAGTTTGTTTGTGAAGGTTAAATGAGGTAATGAAAATAGAGCATGTCTATGGGTACCCACTGGCCTTGTGCAGTGCACAACCTGTGCAATCATATGTGGTAGCCCTGGGGAATACACAAATGAACTAGCCTGCTTTAAGGTCACTCCAGTGGCGAGAATCCCTTATGCTCTATGTGAGCTCCTGGAGGGTCTAGAAACACAACAGATTGCAACCTAGCCCTCTGCTGGCTAGCTCTAAAAACTGAGAAGTTTTCTGTTTTCTGCATATGGCTAGCCAGTTTTCCCAGCACCATTTATTAAATAGGGAATCTTTTCCCCATTTCTTGTTTTTGTCAGATTTGTCAAAGATCAGATGGTTGTACATGTGTGGTGTTATATCTGAGGACTCTGTTCTGTTCCATTGGTCTATATATCTGTTTTGGTACCAGTACCATGCTGTTTTGGTTTCTGTAGCCTTGTAGTGTAGTTTTAAGTCAGGTAGTGGAATGCCTCCAGCTGTGTTCTTTTTGCTTAGGATTGTCTTGGCTATATGGGCTCTTTTTGGCTTAAAACCTAGATGACAGTTTGATAGGTGCAGCAAACCACCATGGCACCTGTATACCCATGTAACAAACCTGCACGTTCTGCACATGTATCCCAGAACTTAAAGTAAACAAAGCAAAATAAAAACAAAACCTGAGAAGGAGGCACCCATCCTGCATGAGGCCAGGATGTGGAGTAGAGAGACCAGCATGAGCTTTAGTCAAACCTGGTCCCTTGCTCAAATAAACCTGTAGAATAAATAGTCCTCTAGTTCCTGTAGACCAGCACTTTCCAGTAGAACTTTCTGCCATGATAAAAATATTCATATCTGTGCCAGGCAAATGATGACCACTAGCTGAATGTAGCTATGGAGCACTTGAAACATGGTTGCAGCAAATGAGCAACAAAATGTTAACTTTTATTTAATTTGAAGTAATTCAAAGTTGAAGGCAAATAGCCATACTTATACAGTGGCTACCATATCAGATAGTCCAGCTCTAGCACTTACGGTATTCTCGTCTCTTTAAACCATGACAGAGAACCTTAATAATAACAGCTTTCTTTGTCTTTGTTTTTGAGTGTCAAATGTGTGCCAAGCTGCTGCTGCAGACTTGCTCTCTTTTGACAGCTCACAACATACAGCTGGAAAAGAAACAAAATCCCCATTTTACAGATGCAGAAAGAAGGCCCGGGGAGGGTAAGTTCTTGCCCATGGTGACAAGAGAGCAGGTGATGTTCTTTCTGATCTCTAGCTCTGCTCTTTCCACTGCTCCCAAACATCTTCAGGCCAGACCAGTAGTGAAGGGCAGAGATTTTATCCCCAGGGGGTGAGAAGCTACTCATCTCAGGATTTAATCCAGCTCAGATGGCCCTGAGCTAGTTGATGAGATAACATAGGCCTGTGGGGGCTTTATAGGTGAGTCAGGGAGTGGCCAGTCTTGGGATGGGGACGGGGTCTTTGGAAGATGCATCAGCAGGGGAGGACAAAAGCTAGAGGTGCTTTGTGGGCAAAGTGATGCACCTAATGATGGATTTCAGCAACTCAGCAGGAGCAAGAGAGAAAGGGAGCGGTGGAATCTTCAACACACCCAGCTCATTGCACAGATCACAGAAGGTGGCTGTGAAAGCCTTTCTGCCATAAGGGGTGTAGAGCTGCACTCTCCATTTGTGAGCCCTGCCATGGACAAGGTACAGCTCACATATGTGCAGTGCCTCAGCTAGGTTTTCATTTCCGGGTTGTTAAATGTTTGGCCAAGCACCCAGGATGTCCTAGAGGAATTCAGAAGAGTCACAGACCCATGTGATGTTAGAGCTAGGCAGGACCTCAGAGACCCCCACTGTAGCTTGCTTGTTTTACTGATGGGAGCCCTAAACCCCAGAAAGGGAAAGAGACTTATCCTGAGTCATACAAGCAGAGCCAGTTCTTAAACTACGTCACTTTGCAATTCACACTTTCCACTCATCCTCCCTTGTGGGGCAACATGTCACCCCTGTACCAACCTTGGAAGACACAAAATGCATGTGAGGGCATTGACTGGGAACAGAGACAAATGATTCACAGCAGTTGAAATAATGAGCACTTACTACATGCCAGCCACTGAGATGAGCACGTTAGATTGATTGCTTCATTTAAGCCCCATGGCATCTGGCATTATTGCCCCATTTTACAGATGGGGAAGCTGGTGTAAACTGGTTTGCCCTGTTTTATACAACCAGACATGGTGGAACTGACACTCTTGTTTTTAAGTCAGCATGCCTCCAAAGCTTAGCCATCTAGCTCCTGCACTCACTGCCTGGTTTTGTCTTGCTCGGATGCCACTACATTTCTTTCCGCTATTATTTTGTTTATTTTCATGTCTTCTAAGGAGAAGAAGTCTACTGCTTCTCCCTCTTCCTTCCTCTTCTCTTCTTTCCCTTCATCCCACTGGGGTACAACAGCTTACAGTCAAGAGACATGGTTCTGACATTGGCAACCTTTGTGACTTGGGCACATTGCCTCCCCTTTCTGGCTGCTGTCAGTTCCAAAATGTACTGTTGGTTGGGTTGATTCTAAACTTCTCTTAGAGACAGTACAGCAAAGTGAGTAAGAACCTCATCTGACGATTACAGAGCTCAGTATGTGTTAGGCTTTAAATGCTTTATATAATTGGACTCACATGATCCTCATGATCACTCTCTCAGGTAGTAGACTCCATGCCCATTTAGCAGTCAGGGAACTTGAGGCATAGAGAAGTTAAAGAGCATCCCCAAATCTACCCAGCTGGGAAGTTGCCAAGCTTGCATTTGAATTCAGGCAGTTTGACTTACACCCAGGCTCTTAACCATGACACTAGCATCATTTGAAAACTCACTTTTTCACTTTCTAACAGAGTCAGTTTCCAAGTCTGCAAAAATAATATAATTTCTACTCTACTGTATTGTTCAAGTGATTTTTAAAGCACTGGGCATGTTATAGGTGTTTGATAATATTATTATATGCCTTCAGCTCTCCGTGGATCTGTGTAGCTAAAGCAGCAGGGGAGTTAGAGCTCAATATGCGCTTGTAAAAACAGATGCACAGGCACAGAGAGGCAAACTGTTTTGCTGAGAGATTTTCAGCCCTCTTATAAGAGATTTCACCTTAGCATGAAGAATTGTACAACTGGAGTCAAACATACCCAGTCAGTTCCCTGACAACACCTAGAAAAAGTACCCTCTGGTCTTCCCAGGTTGGAGCTTCAGTGATGCCAGATCTTCTCTGGTCAAACCAGACTCAGTCAGCAATAATTGACTATGAATTTCTGCACCAGGTGGTAGGCAATTTCTGAATGCACTAGCATCTAGTCTTAAAGAAGGATTTAAAAATCCAAAGAGGCTCCAGAAAGTCTGCATGCAGAGGGCACAGCAAGGGCAAAGATGTGGAGGTGGGAAAGCAAGAAAAGTTTGCAGGAGAAACAAAGTGATTCATTTGTCTAGCAGGAAGGATACATACATAGCAAGAGATGGAGCTAGAAATGTCATCTGGATTCCATTGTAGAAGCCCTGAAGTGCCAACCTACCAGTATGCCTTGTTCTGAAGGCTAAAGTGTCTTAGCAAAAGGATGCTATATATTTTTAAAAGCAAATTTTGCAACACAAAGTGCCAGATGAACTGGGCAGGAGAGAGATAAACCAATGATAACAAAACCAGTGCTTTATGCTCCCACCTTTCATTCATGGTGGGGCCTCCCCAGTGTGAAACTCCATGAGCAGACTCCGGCTACTTCTAATACATTCTCTGTTACAAACCAAGCTCTCCAGCCAGCCCTGGCCCAAGTAGTGCTGAGGTCTGCAGCCCTTTAGGGGTTGGAATCCAAATGCATCACAGGCCCAGGCCAAGGCTCCAGGAAATTGGGGTCAATTTCCTACTCCCCAGAGGGCCCAGGAGAATCATGGGGCCTAGAGCCTGGGGCTCTGAGAAGGAGAGTCTGGGCTCTTTGAAGCCACATGAAGCTGCGTAAGTTTGCCACGAGCCCCTACAGAACCTCTGGGAGTGAACTCTGCAAGCCGCCTTGCAGCTGCATGCTCAGGATGGGCCACCCTTCTCCCAAGGCCAGAGAGGTTTCCATTGCAATTGTACCCTCCTTTTGCCGGCAAAGGAGAGGCCTGGAAAGGGGCCCCTTTCTCTTCTGAATCTTGTCTATCTGCAGCTGTTTTCTCACATAGGGGAGCCTCAGCCTACATCAGTTCTTTTAAGGAGTTTATTCATTTTCTCATACATTCATTCATAATTTATTCCCTCATTCATTCTTTTCTTCATTTACTCACTTGTGCATTTATTTCCTCATCTGTGTGTTCATTTATTTTCTTATTTCTTAAAGAAATACATTCTATCACTCTCCACCAATTCACCCCATCTTTTCGTAAACAAACAATTCTTGAATGAGCAAAAATATCTATTAAGTGATGAATGAATGCACTGAGTGGCCTGGACCTTTTAGGCATTGTGGAAAACCCTGAGGATACAAGGTTGAATAGGGCACCAGCCTGGGCCTTGAGGAGCTCATTGTCTGGTTGCAAAACAGATGATAAACAAATAGGTAATGTCCTGTCAGAGACATTCAGGTAGTGCCCCATGCAGAATTGAGATGGCAGGAGAGCAGGATGGGTTGTGCCAGATAAGGTATTTGCAAGGTAGACAAGGGTGGGTAGGAAACAATAGCAGACAGAAGGAGCAGTGAGCATGAAAGCACAACATACGATGCCTTCACAAATGCAGGCAATTTAAACTGAAGTTCAAGGTTGGTGGTGGTGCTCTGGAGAGCAAGAAACTGGAGAATTAGGCAGAATTAAGGCTGGGAGGGCTCTGGAGCCAGCACAGGAGTTTGCATGGAAGCTGAAGGTCACAGGAAGCCATTGCATAAATTTTTGCATTGGTGGAGCACAGCCAGCTCCTCTGGCCTCATGTCAAGTTTCTCATCTTATTATAAGCCTGAAAGGGGTAGAGAATATATAGCTTGTTCTTAGATCCTTCACAATATGGGCCCCCTGCACAGAAACCACCTGTGATTCTCCATTTCTGTTCGGTAAAGTCTAAACTACTTAAGTTGGCATTTAAGGCTCCACGCTTTATCTGTGTTACCAGCTCATCTTCCCCTGCTTCATGCCTTGAGTCATAGAATTAGAACCACAACAGGCTCTCCAGCACACACGATATTTTTCATCATTTGCACACGCCCTTCCATCTTCCAGGAATATCTTCTGTTCCTTTTCTGCCTGCAATTCCATGCATCCTTGAAAACCCTTTTCCATATATCATCTCCTCTAAGAGGCCTTCCCTGATTGTCCCCTCATAACCAGTTACTCTTCCTTGTGTACTCACAGCACTGGTGTGATATTTGCCCTGCCTCACTGAACACAGTCACACTGACATGGCTGGTGGATCACATGACTGCCATTCCCACTAGATCGCAGAGGCAGGCACTGGCTCTCTTCACTTCTGCACCCCACAGAGCTGGGCACAGATTGGACACTAACGAATCTTACTTGAATTAGCTTTCTGAAATTCGGAGGTTGGAAGGGGACGTCAAGAAGGGATTATGTCTTCAAGCTGCATTTGCCTAATGCTTTGCAGAAGATTGAGAAACTATAATTCCCTATTTTAAAGAATTGGGAGGAAAGCACAGATATATAAGTATCCCCATATCACCCTCTTCATGCCATTATTGTTGGAATGGAATGAAATGGAATAGAATGGAATGGAATGAAAGAAAGAGAAGATGAGAAAAGGAAAAGAAATGTCTTGGAAAAAAAGCTTCTCAGCTAGACCCAGATTATTATTTATGACAGAGCCCTGACATAGGATACTTTCTCACTATTTAAGAGGAAGTAAACTTTAGTGTTCCTCATTAACCCATGCTGCTACTCTCTGTGTCATTCAAGGAGCTGATGGGCTCCTACCCTCTCAATTTAAAAAAAAAACTCCCACACACAAATCAAAACTATAATTGGCTCTGATTGAAATTTCTGAAAGACTACTAAGCTCGGACTTGGGAGTTTGGCATTCTGGAAAGCCTTGAACAAGTTTCTTCCTGGTCTGAGTCCTCAGTTTCCCCATATGTAAAATGGAGACACTAACAATACCCCTCTTTCAGGGTGGTTGAGTTTCAACCATTGTTAAGAAATTGTTTTGGAACACTTCAGAGCTCTGGAGAGATGAAAAATTCTTTTCTGTTGTATTCAGAATAGCTTATTCAATTGGGGCTGGTGTCTCTCTTGGTCCTAACTCTGTTTCTCTGTTGTTCAGGGACTTGGGAGCAATGTCATTCATTGCCGGAAAGATGGCACCTGGAACGGCTCCTTCCATGTCTGCCAGGAGATGCAAGGCCAGTGCTCGGTTCCAAACGAGCTCAACAGCAACCTCAAACTGCAGTGCCCTGATGGCTATGCCATAGGTATGATGGGCCCGAGAGGGGAGCAGTAGGAGGGGCAATTCCTTCCAGCAATGCAGGGCTAATGCCTGGGTGGGTCATTGAACACCCTGGCCACATGAGTTCCTGCGTAGGCACTACAGAAAGAGAGATGAATTAGTGTAGACCATGTCCTCCCAGAAAGAGGGTCAGGGACAGGGATATGGTGACACAATGGTGGGTGAGTGTGCACAGTTACAACAGAATACAGAAAAGCTGTCAGGTGCCTGGTGGGGACACAGAAGACTCCCACAGGAAGGGATGCTTACTTGGGGATTTGAAAAAGCTTGTCGGGGAAGAAATGCTATTGCAGGCAGAAGAAACTCTGTGGCTGAGGAGCAGGAGTTATGAAAGCACACATCACATTTAGGGAAGCAATAGCAGTCTGGTGCAGCTTCTTTTATTATTAATCTTGAAATTTGCATCATACTAAACATTCATGAGTACCTGATATAGTTCAGGCCCTTCATCAAGCACTTGAAAGGCATTATATCTTATCCTCACAATAACCTTTAACAGATGAGGGAATCAAAACTTGAGGGGATAATGGAACATGCTCCCAAATCCTGAGACCCATCCTATTCCAAAGTCTGACTTCTTTCCATGGCATCTCAGCTGCATCCAAGATGAGCATAAACTGCATTTTCAAAATACTCTTTGCATGGTGACAGGCCAGCTCGAGAAATACACACAGTGAGAAGAGACAAGCTGGGATTGTATGCCAGGGATTTGCCTCGTTGAAACCAGGTGTCTGGACACATGCATTAATCACCAGCACCACAGCTTTCCGGGGTACTCAGAGTGCATGGAGTGTGACCTCATTTAAGGGCAGTGATGCTGACCTTTTGGGCTGATTCCCTAATTGACCATGATGAAAAGCCTAGGGAACTGAACATCCTTTCTCCTGGCCAATATGATTTATAGAGCAATCACCAGGGGTGTCTGGTGTAGAAGGTTATCTGAATGTGCATAGAGCCAACATGATCTTCATCCAGCAAACAGAGAGTTATCACTGCATGTCCAGAAGCAAGGCCTGTGTGGTTGGAGAGGGAAGGTTCATGGGGACTGTCCATCCTTTTTTGAAGATGAAAACACATGCCCTCAGATAGCAGAAGTTCTTCACTGTAACTTACAGTGGGAATCAGCACTCTTGTGTTTAGCCCAGGACACTGGCTCCTGCATGGGTCAGAAAACACCAAAACACATGATTGCTCTCGCTGATGGTTTGGAAGGTACTTTAAGATCTTATACAGCCACCAATTCATGAGATGCTGACCAGGAGTGTTGCAGAGAGATGGGATCTTATAGGACCTGCTAATATAGGCATTCTAGAAGGTTGGGCAACAAGTATTGCCATGGTGAGCAGCATGGGCTGCACCATCCCAAGGCCAACACTTTCTCCTTTCCATCATTCCTGATAGGTGTGCGTGGTCCTGAACAAGTATGTCTGTGATGGGGTCCCAACCTCCAGCTCAATCAGAATATGCAAGTGAATATTCATTCATACTCTTAACTGGCATTGAGTGGCTCTGTGAGAAAAAGCCTAATTAAGTGACCTTTAGGGAAAACCTACAGAAACAAATTTGCTGCATATCTATACCCACTGACACATTCAAATACATTCACACGTGCATACATAAACGCATGCCACATGCTGAAATGCTTCATAAACAAACAGCCCCAAACACACACATCATATAGTAAGCTCATGCCTAACACCTACACATCAGCCAAATACCACACAAATGCATCACTCTCACAAACACATACACACACAGGTAGCACATAAACCTATACACAGCACTCACATGCAATACATACAAATCTCATACTTCAACAAACACAAACACATTTTATGTCCCAAAACATATCAAACACACAGAAAGACGCACAAAAGGCAAACAAACCTCACAGACGCATTTACATATTTTATTCAGATGTCTCAACTGTACGCAAATGAGTACGATACCTGGCTGTCTTCTCTCCATCAGAACAGTGGAGAAAGAGGGGAAGGGGTGGGAGGGTGGTATTTCTTTACCCACTGAGTGTTTTCATGGTCAAAGCAGAAAGGGAAAGAAATCTATATGATATTGCAGCCTGAATTAACTCCTTTCCTGTACCCCAAGTCCCCACGGCTGGCACCCAGATGTCCATCTTATAAATGTGATAATCCAGGGCAGATGATGAGTGCATAGGGACACTGGAGGAGATCAGAGAGAAAAAGCCACATAGGGAGACAGGAAGACTGAGGGTGAGAATGAGAAACAAGGCAGGAGAGCAGTTTTTGCTCATCCACTCCTCAGCCCCAGCTGTATCCTCGCTTTCCTCCAAATGCGCCTGACTTCCACCTCCCAGGCTGAGCCCTTCCCTGAGGAGAATCCACTTTGCCAAGGAGAGGGATTTGATCACTGGCCTTATAAGCAGGGGTGAGATATGTGTCGGGCTTGGGGGCTGGAGGGCACATTCTGGAGTCACCCAGACCAGCTCCCCCTGCGTGCCTCCCCCAGGCCACCTGGGGAGGCTTCTGTGGCAGTTATGAGCCCTCAGAAAGTTGCTGCTGCTGCCACCAGGGCTGCCACCCTCCCCGCGCCTCCCGGGAAGGAGACGCGGAGGCCTGGTGAGATCACCACTCTGTAAGGATGCCAATAATGGCTCATATATCACAACACAGCAGCCTGGTCCTAAAGCCCCAGAGCTGGGGTAGGGGAGGAGAGCCTGGGGGAGGGAGACGCGGAGAAAGAGAAATTAAGACATGACCGCTGCATAGGACAGCAAGTGTCTCCTGTTTTGACAACCGTTTTTTTTTTTTTTTCCTCTCTTGGGATAAGATAGCCTTTGTCTATTTCTCAGAGGCTGCATTTTTTTTTTTCAAAAGGATTTTATTATCACAGCCTTGTCTCATCTTTGCTCCCTAAAAACTCCTTTAGAACTGGTCTCATGATAAAGCACACTCCATAAGCAGTTTCTCTGACTGCTTAGGGATTTTTGCTCCTTATTCTCATCACTCATCATTTTTGTCTGTGTTATCCCCATTTCTTGTCTCTCCTCTGGCCTCTCACCATCTCTCCTGTTTCGATGGCTGCCTCCTTCTCTCCTCTCTCTGTGTGGCTGCACTGTTATCGATTGTGGGGCCTGGAATTAGAGATGTGGCTCTCTCCTCACCAGCTTTGTGCCCTGAGCTTTGTGCCTTTTGGCTCTCCAACCTGTGAAACGGGTGTCATGTACATATGTATATTTGGAAGGGGGCCTCTGAAATAGCTAATACATACATATGTATATTTGGAAGGGGGGACTTTAAAATAGCTAATAGAATAGGATATTTAAAGAAAAGAGTTGACTTGCTCCTAGTGTTTGGAGGGTGGTTTCGATACTAAGAGAAATGGCCTCTTTCAGGCCTAGTCAGATTCTGACAGGTTGTTTCTTTGCCCACATGAATAAATGCCTCTTTGGGGTACTGAGTACTTTCCATGGACTAGGCTTGATTTTTCAGATGACCTCAGGATGTGTGAGGTCAGGGTAGAGAATGAATGAGCTGAATTACAGTCAACTTGCCAACCCACAGCCTGGAAGTCAACTGTCTTCACCCAAAAGTTCCTGGACCAAGGGCTTCTATGTAGTAGCCCTATCTCTATTAGTCATTTACCCCTTCTTTGACTCATTACCTGATTTTTTTTATTCCTTTATCCATTTAATCCATAACTCACTCATTCACTTATCCATTTATGTACTTACTTCTTCCTTCATACGACACCTAAATGCATATTCATCAGTCAGTCATCATGCCATTCATTTATCCATTAATCCACTCATTTCCTGATCCATTGATGTACTTATTCACTCACTGTCTCTTGCACTCATTTTACAAATACTTATTGGGTGCCTATAATCTGCCATGCACAGTGCCAAGCTCTGGACATAGAATGGGGAGCATGGGTAGTGCTGGCCCTATAGAGTTACAGTCCAGCAGGGAAGAGAGCTATTGATATCACACTCACCAAGCAAACAGGAAATGATCATGTGACAATTCTGTCATGGGCACCTAGGAGGGGCTTGGCCTGTCAGGAAACCATGAAGGTCTTCTCTGAGCAAGTGGCTTGGGATTGAGGTCTGTAAGATCATTAAAAATGCACTTGTTGGAGTGGGAAGGGTCTTTAAGGCACAGGGAAAGGCAGGGATGAAACCCTGGGGCAAGAGAAGCTGGTATTGCATTTATGTGCTCATCATTCACTCGGCCAGTGCTCACTGAGCTCTACCTGGGTGTCACACGCTGGGTTAAACTCCGAGATGAATCAAGCACATCTGATGATGGAGTACTCTCACTCAGTTGTGGAATTCAGGGCAAACTTCTTAGAAGAATTGAACTGGCCCTTGAATAATGGATAGAATTCGGTTATGGGAAGGCAGATTGGGGGACATTTCAGGAGATGGGATGAACAAGAGAAGAAGCACAGAGGATGAGAATTGTGGGACTCAGATGGAAAACCAAGTGTAGTTCAGTCCGGTTGAACCAACCAAAGAGTGAAGGTGGTTAGTGAGAGAGGAGATTGACCAGACCGCAGGAGGCACTGAGTGCCCAGCAAAGGGGGCTGTATTTTGTTCTGGATGTGGGGAGCCTTGGAAAGGTGTTTGAGCAGAGGAGGAGCTTGATCAAACTAGGGTCAGAGCCAATGAGTGTGGCAGCAGGAACCAGTCAGATGGGAGGCATGTGAATGGAGTCAGGGAGAACAGAGGTGGCCCTGCCTGGCTTGCCTTCTCCTTCCCACTGCCTTCAGGTTGGGTAGCTGAGTCCACCAGGGACCAGGGAGTGGGAGGGCCCACTCTGCAGGAGGGCAGTTTGCAGATGTTGAGGGTCTCGGGCCTGAGCTGCGCCTCATGCTGTACTTCCCTCAGGGTCGGAGTGTGCCACCTCGTGCCTGGACCACAACAGCGAGTCCATCATCCTGCCAATGAACGTGACCGTGCGTGACATCCCCCACTGGCTGAACCCCACACGGGTAGAGGTGAGTGACCAGGGACATCTACCCACCTGCAGCTAAGGGGGAGGGAAATGATATTGTTGAGCACTTGCTATGTCCCGGTTCTGAGTTCATTCTTTCACACATATTACCTCATTTAATCATCACACCTGCCCTGTGGGTGTGTGTTGCAGGGAGGTGGGGTAGAGTCGGGAGGAGACTTATTCACAATCATTTCTCTAGTCCTTAATTATTTAATACTTTCTCTCTGTCAGGTCCTATGTGAAGGGCCTTTTATTTACTGTCCACTAAATGCTGATGTCAGCCTAGGAATAAACTGAGGCACCAATAACAGAGGTAGGGAGCATAGAGCCAGGTTTCAGACCTGAGTCTGTCTGGCTGGAAAGTCCATACTCATAAGGATGGTGTTGTATGGCTTCTCTGGTGCCCTCCCATGTAGCCTTCCACTTTACATAGCCTAGGTTTCTGGTATCCTTCTCCAAGCTTTACCTGTTTTGGGGAAAGCAATTAATAGGTGTCTAGCAAACTAGTAACATCGGTTGTTTGTGGAGAACCTGCCACGTTCATGTGTCCGGTGCTTAGCACGAAGACTCCATTTTAGCCTCAGCACAGTTGTATGAGAGAAGGGTCATTGTCTGCATTTTCCAGTTGTGGACACTGAAATCTCGGAAGTGAGGTGATGGGCCCTGAACCAAGGCTTGAACCCAAACCTGAGTCTGAGCCCTGTGTGCTTCCCACAGTGCCAGGCCGGTGTGCCCCCAGCCAGATGACTACAGAGGCCCCCTCCTCAGGGCAGTGTCAGTTTGACTTCAAGGTTGGCTGTTCCCACTCGCCTTTGTGTCACCCAATCAACTGGGGCCCCCAGAGCTGATGTGGGCCCTGCTTTTCTCCCCCAGGACATCGCAGGTCCCAGGCCTTATGTGTCACTCTGGGCACTGGCTCTTCACCCTGGAGAAACCGAAAGAAGGAGGCCGGGGTTGCGGGGTGGGCGAGGTTCAGCTCTGTGTCTCTCCAACCAGCCTACTGCCTGGGGTGCTGAGAGGCCATGGAGCCCAGGGAGCTACTGTCTGCCTGCCTGCTGCAGATCACACTCTGGATAGCTGGGCAGAACCTGATACTGGGTGTACTGTTTCTCAAATGCGCTGAGGGCACGATTGCCAGGGCTTACTCAGCACTCCGAGTGTATAGACCTGGCCAGACCTCCTCCACTCCTCTGTGCGCCCCGGCATGCTCCTCCACTCCTTTCTGCTTCCTCTTTCTCTTTTGCTGTCTCTTTTTCTGTCTTCATCTTACTCTCACTAATTTTTTTCCTATCTCTGTTTTTCCACTCTGTTTCTCTCTCCTCCCTCTTCTGATATACCTTTCCTCTTGTTCTGTCTTCCTCTCTCCCACACTCTCCTTTCCATCATCCACTGTTTCTCTCTCTCTCTCTCTGCCTCTGACTCTCTGCATATCTACAAGACAGCCCTATTTCCCAAACCTCAAGCTCTTTCATCTGTTTCCTCCACCATTCCTGAACCAGAATTCCTGCACAGATTCCCCCGAGTGCCCCAGTGCACCCTGATATGCTCATATACCCAGGCATGCAGGGAGCCCACATGTCAGAATCTCAAGGCAGCTAGAGATAATCAAGGACAGGTTCCTCATTGTACAGATAGGGAAACTGAGGCCTATAGAGGAAGGCGGCTGGTCCACACAGGCAGCACAACTGGAACGACAAGCTGGACTTGTGATTGGCAGCTCTTCCAATACTACCAGCTCTCCTTCCTTTTCCCACCCGAACTCCCACATACCCGAAAGCAGGTGAGTTTGACTCACACACAAAACAGACACAGGAGACCTCCCTCTCACCCCAGTATCAGAGATCTTCTTGGCCTGGACCAGCCTCCCACTTAAGACCTTTTTCCTACCCCCTGGGCAAATTCCCACCCTTCCCTCTGTGGGCCCTGGGCACTAAAGAGTTCAGTTATGATTCACTGTGAAATAAATCCAGGGATTTGAAAGCCTGCAAGCTGCCCCCCCTCCCCACCATTGCCCACCCGCTGCCTGCCTGCCCCATCCCCCAACCCAGTTCCCTGGTCTGCCTGCCTTTATTGATGCTGGCCTACCGAGAGAACCATAATGAGGTTCAGACCTCCACTGGTCTCTGGAGGCCTCATTATCCAGGAGGAAAAAAATGTGGTAGAAAAAGGGAGGAGGGCGAAGGGCAGAGATTGATGATTTCCAGGAATAAGGCAGAAAAGCTGGCCTCTGCTGCACCCTTGCCCCTTGTGCGGTGAGAGCTACAGAAATAGAGCTGCTGGTGCCAGCATTTCCAGGCCAGAGGAGGCCCTGGATAGCTCCTCTGCTTTCTGAGGGTCTGCCTGCGAGCACCAGTGCAATTTAGATAGCTGGGGGTGAGGCTCTGCTCCAGCTGCTGCCACTTTTATCCCCGGGGTAAGAGAGTGAGAGGCAAGAACTGGCATTTATTGGGCACTTGCTGTGATCAGGCACTGGGTCAGGCACTTCCTA
The DNA here is from genome assembly GCF_000001405.40 of Homo sapiens. Lineage (NCBI taxonomy): Eukaryota > Metazoa > Chordata > Mammalia > Primates > Hominidae > Homo > Homo sapiens. The sequence goes on from NC_000009.12 coordinate 116,370,242, forward strand.
TCCTTTATTTCCACCTCCACCCCCTACCACACACGTACGACCACACACATATGTCCCTATCAGGTGGGTATTAGTCTCTTCCTGCTTCCAGTGGAAGTAATGGAATCTCAGAGGTGGAAGCCACTTGCCTAAGAGAAGGTGAAGAGAGACCCAGGCCAGTCTGATAGTTTACTTCAGCTATCCCTGCAGCCTCTATGAAATGTAGAGTAATAAAGGCAATACATTTAGTGATGGCTTACCAGGGATGTGCTGGCAAATAGTTAACAACTGGCTCTCCACAAACATTAGACTCTGCTTTGTAGCATTTCCCAATTTCTGTGATATAAATATTCCTACCGTGGCAGATTTCAAGGTTTCCAGGTTGCTGTCACTGAGCACAAAGTTGGGAAGATCCAGGCACTGCTGGCTCTTGCGAGCCTATGCAAGCCAGCTGTGGTCCACCACCGACACTTAGCCAAGACAGACTCTATTTTAAGTCCTTTGCATATATTGACATGAATGAAGAGAAAGATGACTGCTTAGATGAGTGGAATGTCAACACTGAGATCACAGGTCATGATGTGGACACCAGGACAGTGAGCTTTGTGAAGGCAGGACCACGGTCATATTAGTTACCATAGTACCTCCCTTGGTGCCTAGCACACAGCAGGTACTTGCTAAATATTTATGATTGCTGAGTCAGATGACCCAGGTTCTAGTGTAAGCTCTGGTGCCTTCCTGCTGTATGTCCTGGAGCAAATCCTGTCACTTCTCTAGGCCACAGTTTACCCAGTTGTGAAGTGAGAGCTAGGCTTCACTCAGGAGTCACAAACTGAAATGCCACCTGAACCAGGCAGGTGGAGAAATGAGTGAAGCAGGCCAAACATACTCTTTTGTATATTAAATACTGAGGCAGCCGGGCGCGGTGGCTCACGCCTGTAATCCCAGCACATTGTGAGGCCAAGGCAGGTGAATCACCTGAGGTCAGGAGTTCGAGACCAGCCTGGCCAACATGGTGAAACCCCGTCTCTACTAAAAATACAAAAATTAGGCGAGCATGGTGGCGCACACCTGTAATCCCAGCTACTCGGGAAGCTGAGACAGGAGAATCGCTTGAACCCAGGAGGCGGAGGTTGCAGTGAGCTGAGATTGTGCCACTGCATTCCAGCCTAGGCAACAGAGTGAGACTCTGTCTCGAATAATAATAATGATAATTAAAAATAAACACTGAGGCATATTAGTAGTAGTAGTATTTACTGTAAATATTTTGGAAAGAAAGACTTGCAGAAAAATATAACACCCATACACATACTACCCAACTTAATAAATAAAAACTTTACAGATACTGTTGAAGTTCTTTTCTACTTTTCTTTTTTTCAATTTTTTATTTTTATTTTTTTTTAGTGGAGATGAGGTCTCACTGTGTTGCCCAGGCTGGTTTTGAACTCCTGTCCTCAAGTGATCCTTCTGCCTCAGCCTCCTTCTTTTTTATTGAGCTATAACTTACTTCTTTAAGTGTAAGGCATTATAAATTGTTTTGGGTACACTCATGAAACCACTACTCATATTAGGATGTGGACCTGTCCAAATCTTCAGGGAGTCCTCCCTCCCCAGGCCAGGCAATTTCTCCAGCACCAAGGTAACCACTGTTTTGTTCTCTATTGCTATGGATTGGTTTTGCTTATTTGTAAATTTATTTGTAGACTTGGTCCCTATCACTACGAATTGGTTTTGCTTATTTGTAAACTTCATATAATTAGAAATCATGAGGCATTTTCATAAGTGTGTTTTCAACTTCTATAAAGAGAAACACAATGTACCTTCTTTTTTGTGTCCTAAACCTTCTTTTTCTCAGTCCCCTTCCCTGTACATGCACTTTTCAAAGTGATTAGAGGTACAGAGAACTCTTCCTCTAATCTAATAAACAAAATGATACAAACTCAATAATAGGTGGAAATGCCCCTCAGGTTCAATGCTAGAGAGAAACTGCAGGGAATGGTGGGGACTATGGCAAACTATGGAAAACACAGTTGTTGTTTTTCTGCTTCCAAAGGGGGACAGCATTAGCCAAGTGCAGCAATGTGGAAATGTGGGCCTCCTGTGGCCAAATTTTTCATTTTTTCTTGGGTACAAGAAATCTGGAGTTCTTAAAATTTGAAATCTCTTTCTTTTTTTAAAAAGTTTGGCAACTAATTTTGACTTTTTTTAAACACTTGTATGCCAAACAAAACATTTCTGTGGTTTGTGTAGCCTAGAAGCTGTTGGCTTGCAACCTTTGGATGAGATAGACTATTCCAGTCTGGAGACCTAGAATTCTGGGGTGGCAGCCTGTCTCCCATCAGTTCCTAAGAAATAGATCCAATTTGCTCACACATTGTCCCTTGCCCAGGGATGCTGAGAGTGTTTCACAATAGAAAGTGCATCTCCCTATCCTCAGAACCTTATAATGCCTTTAGGTGCTGAGACCTTGGCTTTTATAATAGCTTCTGAAAAAAAAATGGGAGGCGGAAAGAGAGGGAGGGAATGACTTAAGGAAAGAAGAGGTAAATTGCCATTTATTGACTATCTCTAATATGTAGACATGGTTTGCTAGGCAATTCTATATATGCCATTTCATTTTGTCTCCATCACTCCCCAGTGAGGTAAGGATTATCACGTTACAGATGAAGAAGCTGAGGCTCAAAGAGGTTGTCATTGCCCAATTCACATAACGACTGTGGCAGAATTAGCTAGCTAATTCCACTGCATTCCATCCTGCAAGGGCAACCCTCATACATGTCTTTTAAAAATATGCAACACATGCAGACAGAGAATGCAAAATTCAGTTGTGAAAAGAAGGTAGTTTTGTGGAAAGCCCTGCCGAGTGTCTAAAGGTCAGAGGTCGAATGGTTCTGAGTGACTGTTAAGTCCAGTCTAACTGACCTAGAGATGGAGAACTAAGTGCACTGGAGGGGAAGCCCATAGACAAAGAGATGCAGCCAGAATCTACTGATTTTTTTCATTCATTTATGGACACGCTCATACATTCGTTCATTTGATTGTCCATTTGTTCATTTACTTATTCAATAAACATCGACTATGCACCTCCAAGCAGATACTCTTCAAACACTAGGAATACGAAGTGGGAAATGCCTAGGCTTTTAAAAAGCTTACCCTGGAAAGAAGCCAGAAACTCAGTGGCTGATAACAAAAAGCAAATAATTAATAATAATAATAATAATAACTGATATGATTCACTCATAGCAGGTCCCAGAAATCAAGGAAAAAAGCTAAGGGAAAAAGGGCTTATCTTAGAAGACATCCAGGAGGGGTGTCAGATCTGAGCCTCTGGATGAGGGGGCTCTCTTAGATGCTTTCTCACATGTCTTTGGCTCTGCTTGGGGCCTGTCTTCTTGGGCCTTCATCTTTTAGATGCTCTACCCACTCCAACATTTGTCTCAAAGGGCCTCTCCACCTTTCTGAACTTTGGTCTTCCCATCGGTCAAAAAAGTAAGCTATTTTATACTTACAGCTTCAGGGGATGGTATACTTTGAAGGAGATTATGGCGTTCAAAGCCTAGACCTTAAAACCAGATAAATGTGGGTTTAATTGCTGACTGTCACTACCTATGTGTACGATTTGGGGCAGGTCATTTAACTTCTCTGTGCCCCAGTTTTCTCTTGTGTAAACCAGAGTCAAAAATAGTACCTATCTCATAGTTACGGTGAGAATTAAATGAGATGAAAGCTCTGAGCCCAGGGCTTAGAGCATAATATTTATTAAATAGAGAATTTTGTGCCGATGAGGATGAGGATACTGATGGTGATGATGATATTGACGTTGGTGGAGGTGGTGATGTTAGTGATGGTGTTTTCATGCTGGTGATGATGGTGGTGGTAGTGGTGGTGCTATGATGATGATGATAAAAAGAAGATGGTGCAGATGATGGTGGTAGTGTTGGTGGTGGTGTTGATGATGATGATGGTGGTGATGATGATGGTGGTGCCAATGGTGCTGATGATGATGACAGTGATGATGATGGTAATTGCAACCAGGAAGAAAAGATAGTCTATTCTTCCTACCACCAAGGCAGGAAATGAAAGCCTTCTTACAAAACCTGATCTGAAAAAGCTCTGGCTGGGCTAGATGTCTCACTGGTATCAAGAGGAAAAAGGCTGACATCTGAGGGGCCCCATCTGAGATCTCCCAACTTCTCCTGTAAACAGCCTAGCCAATCCTTCAGCTCCCACTGCCTGTCCCCTTTCCCAGTTCTAGCACACAGAGGGGTCCTGTAGTGAGACAGGTGGGGCGTGCAGCCCTGAGTAATAGTGGAAAATCCAAAAGCCTTGGAAAGATAAATAGGCTTATGCAGATAGTATAAAAGTCCTTTTTCCAAACTCACGTCAGGTAAACCTCAACTGACAGAAACTTGTACAACCACACCAAGACACTCCTACAGATGGATTAAATTAGCTCTCAAATAAACAGGGGAAGGCATGGGCATCGAATCCCTAGTGGATTCTAACTCTGCTGTTTTCCACTTCTTGAACCTTTACCAAATGCCCTCCAACATCTCTGGATTTTGACTGGGAACAGACTCTCATACTGAGAGAGGAAAATCTGGTTAAGAGAATGAAAGCAGGTGATCCTCTTCACCCAGCCCCATGGCTGGGAGGCAGAGGGGGAAGAACGTAGCTTAATTGAAAGAAAGGAATACTGAAACAACCCAAATTCCCTCATTTGTATTTGTATCACATTCCTTCATGTATTTCTTCACTGTGCTCCACGCTTCACCCTGGAAGGATACAGAAGTGTCTATAACTCAGGATCTGCCCTCAAGAAACTTAAGAAATTGGTACTAGGTTTACCATTTTCACAGCATTTATATGAATGCACCATCTCAACAAGTCTATGATGTTTTCAGTACCTATCTTGTGGATGAGAGAACCAAATCTCATAGTGGAAATGTACAAAGCAATTCCAAATCAGAATTGCAACCACATCTGTCCCATATCATATCCCATGACTTTTCCCATATACCACTTTATGCGTGTACTGGGGATGGGTAGACAATTTCAATAGAAGCAGTAAGATGCAAGACAGTAGATTTCACATTGCAAGACTGATTGGAAGATCATCAAGTTAAGCTCTTTCTCCAAGGTCTTTGATTTACTTGAAGGTTGATAGTGGCTACATTCAGCCTATACTAAACTGATCCTCTAAACTAGACTTGTTTAGAGGACAAGTCTAGTGCTTGACCTTAGATGATCTTCTGATGCTCTAGAAGACAGGAAGACAAGTAAAGAAATTATTGTCCACTGGTAAAATCATCTCTATTTTGAGAAGAATCTGTTCCTTTATAAAATAAATATTTATTTAGCATCCCCTCTGTCAGGCATTCCTGAAGGCATGGCATATCTAATGTGAACCTGAGATTTTATGGAGCAGAGAAGAAAGGCACCCAATCCAGTCTTGGGGTCACCTGATTCCCTCTGTCACAGCCTCACCAAGAGGCCTAATTACAATTTGGCTACCATATAGGTCTGCCCTCAGGGAGAGAATAGGCTGTTTACATGGATTTTCCACATTTTGGCCCAGGTGACTCTTCATTTTTTAATTAAAATTAATCAACTGGCCTCTCAGTCAGTTGAACAACCTCTGATCATGTGGACTTCCATAGTTGGTTGTTCACAGTTACCTGTCACTACACATCTAAGCATGTACCATTTTATTTTATTTCATTTTATTCTTTAAAGAAATAATTGTAATCTGGCATGAAAACTGGGGCATCCATGGAGAATAGAAAAGGGAACTTCCAGGATTTTTTTTTTTTTTTTTTGAGACGGAGTCTCGCTCTGTCGCCAGGCTAGAGTGCAGTGGTATGATGTCAGCTCACTGCAACATCTGCCTCCCGGGTTCAAGCGATTCTCCTCCCTCAGCCTCCCAAGTAGCTGGGACTACAGGCATATGCCACCACACCCAGCTAATTTTTGTATTTTTAGTAGAGACGGGGTTTCACCATGTTGGCCAGGATAGTCTCGATCTTTTGACCTCATGATCCACCTGCCTCGGCCTCCCAAAGTGCTGAGATTACAGGCGTGAGCCACCACGCCTGGCCAAGCTTCTAGAATTTTTATGGTAACTGTATTCCTAATACTATGTTATCTTTCTAGTCTTATTTAGCTTTCTTATTTCACCCACTTTTTAAAATATCATCATGTTGGATTTTATGTTATGAGCTTTATTAAATCATTTCTGAAACAACTGGTTATTTTCAAATCCTGGTTTCTCCACCAAACAGCTATGGAGCATGGGGAATTTACTCTCTTATGACACAAGATTAATGCCCACCTCACATCATCATGGCAAGAAATAAATAAGATAATGCATACAGTAATTAGCACAATGAATATACTCAATATATTTTAGTTGTCATTATCTTCATCATAATTATTATTTTTAAAGAGGAGGCTATAAATAAGTGCCTATAAGCTCTGCCTAACGGGGCTAGGAAAAGTGCCAAAGAAGACATAAATTTTGAGCAGACATTTAAAAGATTCTCAAAGTGACAAAATGGGGAAGGGCATTCAGGGAAGGGGAAGAGCAAGAACGAATTCACTGTGGGCAACCTCAGAGAACTGTGGGCAGACCAGTATGACACGGCAGCAGGTGACAGCAGAGGGGTTCTCTGCCTTTCCAGGGATTTGAACCATAGGTTGGTTCATAATAGCCCATGTGCTCTCAGACTGTAGTGTGCATTGGAATCATCTGCAAGGCTTGCTAAAATGCAGAGTCTCAGGGCCTGGTCTCAGAGAGTCCAATTCATTAAATCCAAAGCAGGTCTGAGGAATCTGCCGTTAATTAAACACACTCCCACGGCAATGCTGATGAAAGTGGTCTTCAGCTCATGCTTTGAGAAATGCTGCTCCACAGTTTTCTCCCATCCGCCTGCTGCAGTCACACACATGTATGCACACATACACACACACACATGCAAACACACACATGCGCACACACACACACACCCCTCCTCCCCCCACCTTATCCCAACTCCACGAATGGGTCGAATATTAGTCGAGAATTTTCTGAAAGGCCTTTCTGATCGTGTCTCTACCCTCCAGTTCTGCTTCTCCTCAACCCTTGTTCCTGCCAGGGAAATACAGAACCATGACACATGCGGTGAACACAAATATTATTTTAATCTTGTGGCTCCTGTTATTGCAAGTACCCGGGCAAGTTCTCCATGTAAAAGCCAGGGTGAGGTCAGGAATTGGAAGGTCCCAGAAGAGGTGAGGTGGTTAAATGTAATGCCAACACGGAGGTGGGTCCCTCCCAATCCCAAGCCCATCTGACCTTTCTCTCCCTCTTCCCACAGAGAGTTGTCTGCACTGCTGGTCTCAAGTGGTATCCTCACCCTGCTCTGATTCACTGTGTCAAAGGCTGTGAGGTGAGTCACAAGGAAGGCACTCCTCAGTTCCCTGGAAATAATCCTGCTGTTGTTATTGTTATTGTTATATTAATGTTGGCTATCCTTTGCCATACCTACTGAGTGTTGAAAATATCCATTTAGCAGACTTCTTGGACAGGGATTAGCAGCCTTATTTTACAGATGATGGAATTGAGGCACAGAGATATAAAGAAACATACTAAAAAGCATAGGGAATGGGTAACAGAGTTGGGTTCCAAGCCAGGCTTTTGTGGCTCCAGAGCCTGTGGTCTACAAAATATGGGATCTGTAAGAAAGGAAGGGCAGGGGGCTATAATGATTTACCATCTAGAATATGCTAATGTTGGAAATTTACCAACATTGTTACATTTAACCTTTACAGAGTCAGGTGAGGTGGTTTTATTTTTAATTTCCATTTTACTGATGACCTTTACTTGCAGACCTATTCCTTCTGCCCCACATCTTAGTCATTTACTCATGCCTCAATCCCAGAAGGAATATGAATGCCTTAGACCTAACCATTGAGCTGAAGTGAAAGAGCCTTTATAACCCTTAAATTCTATGACTTCACAGTTGAGCCATTCCTTACAGCTTGGAATTATAGAGATCTGTCTCTGTGTGTCAGTGACAAGCTTGGGAGGACTCAAGGAGCATGGTTCTTGGGAGATCAGCTGTGTCCTGAAGGGAGGGCTGTCCACGGAACTCAAAGACATTTCTGCACATCACTCTGCCCCTTGTGGCTCTTCCCAGCTGGCAGTGAAAAAGCGGCCCCAAATCCCTTCCAGGTGGATGGCCAAATCTCTGTGGTTCATCCAGAGCCCACTGAGGCAAACGCAGGTGAAAAGGATCAGACCATGCCCTAGAAAAAGTCGTATCTGATGAAACTCTTAGAATGCCAGAACCAGAAAGACTCTTTTACCTAATCTCAACTAATCTTTTATTTTTAAAATGGGTAAACAGAGACCCAGGCAGTGGCTGGATCTAAAATTTGATGGAATGCCAAAACTGGGAAGGCTCTTAATTTGATCTAGCTCTATTTTCTTGGTGTATAGAGTAGAAAACGAGGGCCAGAGAGGGGATGGAATGTCCAAGTTTGCACAGCATGATAACCACAAAGACAAAACGTAAGCCCAGCTCTTCTAACGTCCAGGCTGGTGCTTTTCTCCTGCTGCCTGCCTATGATCCATTCCCTGATCTGTGTCACAAGACAATCCCTAGGTTACACATTTTTTTCTCTGCATTGTTGAGGGATTTCCTGAGGGCACTTGACATTGTACTTGACTTTAGGAACCCCATTCTCTCAGGCTTCAATTAGGAATGGCAAAATCAAAGCCAAGGCCCTGTGGCTGTTGCTTACTTCTGTCTTTTTGGATCAATCCAGCATTTTGGGAAAAGAAAGCTTGAGTTACCTGGGCACTCATTCTGCTGAGTTGGCGGTCTGGGCAACCAGTGTGACAGCGGAATTCAATCCCTCCTTGGACTCAGCAGTGAGACCCAAGAGACCCTCACCTGTCAGACTCTGAGCCCTGCCAGTGATGTTTATCACCTTTGCCCTTGCAGGTGCCCCTCATCTCCTGTCCTCTTTAGCTTTGTTCTAATAGTGCCTTGTCTGGAGCTGAAAATTATGCTTAGAAGACATACAAACTCTGGGACTATCAACCTTGAATATCCAGAGGTATCCAAGATAAAGAAAGGGTTTGGGGACCCCTGAGCCCCTGTTTTCTGCACCATGCTGGGTCCAAAGTGATCATTCACTCACTTGTTCACCAAAGCTTCACTGAGAACCTCTTATATGCCAGATACTGTTCCAGTTCTGGGAATACATTGGTGTTAGTCCAGTGAAAATAGTAACTATGCTCTCCTTGAGTCATCTATGATATCTTCTTGCCTGTCATCCATCCATCCATCCATCCATCCATCCATCCATCCATCCATCGTTTTACTAAATAAACATTTATGGAATCTATATTTGATAAAGTTTTGCACAAATACGAGACATTTTGCTAGCAATCTAGGATACAGAAATGGATGATGCGCACAGTATAGTGAAGGAGATAGACAATTAAAGAGAGAATTTTAAAATCCTGAAGAGCTATCACAAAATCAAATACAAGAGGCTATGGCAGCAGACAGCATCCTGAGGCTATTAGGGGTGGCATTTTGGAGAGGTAACATTTGAGCTAGATCTTGAAGGATGGTTTGTTTGTCTGAATGCGTTACTAGTAGAAGGAGCAACATGAGATAAACCAGAGACAGGAGAAATCTCTAAGTACCAGAGCTTTTCTCATATTGTTCCCTGTCTCTAGAAATTCTCTCTTCTCCACCCCCACCTAATTAACTCCTACTCATCTTTATGATCTCAGCTGAAGCGTCATTTCTTCAGGGACTTCACTGAGCTCCCTGTCTAGATCAAATCTTTCTACTTTTTAATAGCATCACAAACCTCTTCTCCATAGCTCTTATCAGAGTTGAAATTGGTTAATTAGATGTGTGATTATGTGATTAAAGTCTGTCTCTTCACCAGAGTATAAGGTCTGGAGGGGTAGGAACTATATCTATATTAATTCACTATTGCATCCTTTTCCTTAGCATAATGTGTAACACATCGTAGGAATTAAATACATAGGATGGAATAAGGATAAATGAATGGATGGATGGATGGATGGACGGATGGATGGATAGGTGGATGAAAGGATATGGTTGCAGGAAAGAACATATAGGGTAGAGTAACTAGTGATGGGACTGGAGAATTTTTTCAGGGCCAAATAAAGAAGTATCACCTTCATTTAATTTTTCTCTTTTCCCCTAGCTACTTCTTTATCAAGCCAGTTCCTTTTATTCTAAGGAAGGGACAATTAGTCTCCATCATTATTCTGTTCATTTATTACATAAAAAAGAACATAACCCACAGGCAGATCTCCTGAGGCAGGAAGGAAAAGAAAGGGTTTATTGTTTGTTGTTTGTTTATACCCCACTGCTCTAATGTGGATGTGATGTGTTCATTCTGGTGGTCACACAGCAGAGTCACACCTGAACCCACAGCCATATGCATGCACACCCACACAACTGAGCTCAGGTCTTCCTTGCTCTCAGAGCTCTGTCTAGCTGTGATCTTTTAGACTCTAGTAGTAGAGTGATGAAATGAAATCTGGCATCATGAGTTCAGGGTGAAAAGTTTCTGTGAGTAAGAATTTGGAACAGAGAGGCAAAAGCCAGGAATGCCACATGGGATGGAGCTTGGTTCTTTCTGGAGCAGTGAGGATGGGAAGGGGAGACCACTGGATCACAGATGGCATGCTTGGATGCAAAGGTCTTAAACAAATGTTGTCTCTTTCCCATGAATGAGTCACTGATCTTTAGAGACCCCAACCAGCACTTTAATCAGAGTGGTTTCACTTTCATCTGCTTTCTATATTGAAATGTCACACAATATGGCATTTGATGGTGAGGAGAGGGGTAGGTTCACTGTTTTGAGAAATCAATGGACTAATCTGGCCTCTTTATTTCATTAGTGGGAGTCCTGAGGCCTAGAGGAGATAAGGTCACTTAACCAAAACCATGAAGTAACCATCCCATTGGCTGAGGTTGGGAGGACTAGAACCCAGGTTTTCTCAATCCCTGCCAACTGCCCTTGCCACTATGCCGGTACAATTACATTCCACTTCAGAAACATTATTAAGAGCCAAAGTTGTGTGCAGCCTTAAATGAGGTGATTGGGAGTCAAAGACAAACTAGACATTGCCCATGTCCATGAAGAGCTCACAGTCTTGCACCAGCTACAGAAACATAAACAGACCACAGAATACAATGTGCTAGCGGTTGGGATGAGGAAATACAAGTGACTGGGGAATCCAAGAGACTCCTGGACTTTCCCCTAATAAGGCTCTGGGTTCAGATAAATAATGGCTTGACTCTATTATCTTTTCTTCATCTTGGGAGTGTCCTGGGGTGGAGAAACACACAGAAGAAAAGAAATAAATCAGTATATGCCAGAACAGCCAAGAGAGATGAAGTAAAAAACCATAGAGCCAACTTAGATTTAAATCACTTACTCTGACTGTGCCAATGTGATTTTGGGCAAGTCCCTGTCTTTGAGTCTCCGCATCTTCATCTGTAGAGTGAGAAAACCAATACCTACCTCACTTATTGTTTGGAGAGCAAAAGAAGAAAACAAACATGTAAAATGTGTGACATCAAGTACATCTGCCCTCCTTGTGAGAGGGAGCCCACTATCACACACAGACCATGGTGCCAAATTCCTATGAGTTCTTACATTTTATCTTAATGCTTCTTGGGCAGTTTACATTCAGCTTCCTAACATATTTGCATATATTTTATTACAAATTACGTTTTTAATTACATACTGCTGAAAAAAGTGGGAGAAGGAGGCTTACATTTCCTGGTCATTTCTTTGAGTAAAATGAGCCCTCTTTCAGGAAGATGTAAGCCATCTATTTTGTGGTTTTGCATACCCAAGCACACAAGAGTATGTCTCTCAGCATAACCATACTCTAGTTGGAAAAAACTGGGTAAGAGTCTTTATGAATGGTAGAAAGAAAGATAAGAGTCTTTATGAATGGTAGAGGTGATAACTCATTCAAGGGGGTGTTGGGGATGTGAAGCCTGGCCAGCTAATCGTGGAAGGCTGTGAAAAGATGACAGACACCCGAAGGACTGCAGACGTCAGCTCCCACTCACTCCAGGATGCTAACAAGGCCTCATTTCCTCCTTCTGTCTCCCTTTCCAGCCCTTCATGGGAGACAATTATTGTGATGCCATCAACAACCGAGCCTTTTGCAACTATGACGGTGGGGATTGCTGCACCTCCACAGTGAAGACCAAAAAGGTAGGCCAGTGTGCACTCCTCGGCAGCTGCCTCCTGCCCACTTCTCCAGCTTGTGGGGCCAGGATCACTCCTTCATGGCTGGACAACCCTTGTCCTAACTCTGCCAGCACTGTCCACACGCTTTATTTCTTTTTTTAATTTTTATTCTTTTGGTCAGTAGTTGAACTAATATCATAGGCTGGGCCCTGGTTGATTTTTGCAGATGTGGTTCTCAAAGCTTAGAATTGGGTACGGAAGCAGGTAATAAAACTGCAATAAGTACTTTCGGAAAGGAAGGACAAAGTGCTTGGGGGGCTAGGCAAGGGGTCAGAGAAGGCACTCTAGAGCAAGAGGCATCTGCACTGAAACTTGAGGGATAAGAGGAAGGGGTGAGGAGGTGGTCAAAAGAACGGTGTCTGGAGCAGGAGACTGGCATGTAAAATCCCAGTGAGAACACACATTTTTAGGGGGTAGGGCTGAAGTCTAGGAAACAGAAAATAGTACATCCCTAATGAGGTCATTTACAGTCTTTGAGCATTTTATTATCTATCTTATTTGTCACACCTGTAGAATTAGAGAAAGATGGTCATGGTCATGGTATTTTTTCTTTATATCAGGACACACCCAGGAGTGATTCAAGTGTTTATAGTAAACCAAAGAAAAACATTCGATAGATGCACATTAACCCCTCACAGAAAAGTGGCCACCTCCATTTTTCTCCGACTGCCGCTGAGACCAGAGTGAGGAGCCCCAGCCAAGGGTTGGGAGGGAGGTGGTAACCCTGCTAGCCTGGGCTGAGAAGCGTTCTTGTGATGAATGAGTTAATGGAAAACTATTTCTATTTTTATATTCATCTGCAGTCAGAGCTGAAAGATCATTTCATCTGTGTCATTTTAAAGAAGGGGGAACTGAGTTTCTGAGACAGGAAAAGCAAAGAATCATAGTCAATCATGCCTAAAGAGCCCTCTATGACTATCTTGGCCCAAACGCTTCATTTTATTAATAGGGGCACTGAGGCCCATAAAAGAGGAATGATTTGTCCCAGGTGACAAAGTGAATGATAGAAAGAGTGAGGTTCCTGGATTCCAATCCCAGTCCCTTTATTTTGCAACATCCTTAGGAGAGTTGGTTTCTTCAAGAAAGAATCTCTGACCCAAAATACAGGAACAAATGGGACAAGACCCAAGGAACACATTCTAATCAGATGGCTGTTAGTTACTGAATCTTTTGGTTGAGGAATAAAATTTCTGGGATTGTCCAGGATCAGTCAGTCCCAGGTGGGCAACAGTTTTCAGCATGCCTACCCTTCTTTGGTTTCGGTTTGGTTTTGATTTTTGATTGATAGGACACTGAAGACGTACAATTTTTGCTTAAGTAGAGAAAAATAAAATTCATTTTCTGTTAAGGAATTTTATCATTTTTTTCTAATTATGAAATAATGCATATTGGAAAATTCAGAAAGAAGAAAACAAAAGAATTCACTTATTATCTTAAAAACCAAAGAAAACCACTGCTTTTTATTTTGGTGTATTTTATTCTGTGAATTTTGTTAAGTAAGTGTGAGGGTATTTTTGTCGTCTGTGTATATATCACTGCCTTTCTAGCTTGCAATCTTGTTTTGCTTAGTTTTGTTTACTTAGCACAGGAAATCTTAGACACAAGAATTACTTGCGCTGAGCACAGTGGCTCACGGTTGTAACTCCAGCACTTTGGGAGGCCAAGATGGGTGAATCACTTGGGACCAGGAGTTGGAGACCAGCCAGAGCAACACAGGCAGACCCTTGTCTCTACACGTAATTAATAATAATAATAATAATAATAATAATAATAAAGTAGCCAGGTATGGAGGCACAGGTCTGTAGTCCCAGCTACTTGGGAAGCTGAAGCAGAAGGACCACTTGAGCTCAGAGAGGTCAAGGCTGCAATGAGCCATGATCATACCACTGTACTCCAGCCTAGGCGATAGGGTGAGACCCTGTCTCAAAATTTAAAAAAGTTCTGATAGTAGTATAAACTTCTCAGCTGTATTTTTTGCTGCATTGTTGTTTATTATATGGCTGTGATGTATGCTAATTTATGTAACCATTTACTTCAACTTTTATTTTTAACTTTTGGATTATTTCTTTTTTCTTATAATTTTAACTAAAATGATGCTCATGAGCGTCTTTGCACATAAAATACTTTTATAGCTCTAATTATTTCTTTATAGTTGATTCTTACAATTGGAATGCCAAGGGAGGGATGTAAGCATATTTAAGGCTCCTGATACCTGTTTCCAAATGAATATAGTGAACAATATTATCTATTTTCTTCCATTGGAGTCAGCCACCTTTGAACGTGAATGGACGATGAAGTTTGTATTTGAAATAGAAGTTTTTACAGAATTATGGCTCCATCTGACACCAACGGTTGGAGAAAGAGCAGCTCTGTTTAAAATAATGTTCCTATCTATTGTAACTTAGGTACTAAAATATAAAATATGAAGCTGATTTTTTGACAGAGAACTTTCCAAAATGGATTCCTCTCTCTACAGAGTGCATTGTGGGAATATGAAGTCATGAGACCAGCCTCGCCAAGATGGTGAAACCCCGTCTCTACTAAAAATACAAAAATTAGCCGGGTGTGGTGGTGGGCACCTGTAATCCCAGCTGCTTGGGAGGCTGAGGCAGGAGAATCACTTGAACCTGGGAGGCAGAGGTTGCGGTGAGCCGATATCGTGCCACTGTACTCCAGCCTGGGTGACAAAACGAGACTCCATCTCAAAATAAATAAATAAATAAATAAATAAATAAATAAATAAATAAATAAATAATAATTTGGAATCCACACCTGAACCTCAATCTCATGACTTCATAGTCCCACAATGCACTCTGTAGAGAGAGAATCCATTTGGAAAGTTCTCTGACCTCATGATCCACCCACCTCAGCCTCCCAAAGTGCTGGGATTACAGGCATGAGCCACCGCACCTGACCAGATTCCAAATTATTATAGTAACTTTACCGTATACATATATTTGAACACCAAGCCACCATTTTGGCTCTCTGTTCCCATACTCAGTTCCAGTGCAGCAATTTCAGACTCCCAGGCCCCAAGATAAGCACAGACTCTTCACTAAGGAACCCCAGAACCAGTTCTTTGCTAGCTCTGAATGCATTTCATACTGTTGTTTCCTCCTTGTCTACCCACATTATAAATGTAGTTAGGCTTTTTGTGTTAAGAAATCCTCTTCTTCCACTTTAAATTCTTGTTTCTTCTTGTTGGCTGAGGGTGCAGAATGCAGATGGCCAAGCTGCCTTCATCCAATGCGGTGAATCTCCATTGAGGATCTCTGTGTGCTCAGCACCAGACCAGGCTGTGGACAGTATTTCTGCCCTTGTGAAACGTGTAGTCTATTAGAGGAGCCTGTTATTAAGCAGGGAGCCACACAACTATTGCATTTAATTACTTTTGTGGAAGAGGCAATGATGAGAAAGTGTGAGATTTTATGGAGAACAGCATGAAGGTCCGAGAAAGCTTCTCTGAGGAAGGGACATTTACATGGAGATCTGAAGAGGGAACAGAGTCTTCCTGGTGGAGGTGAATAATGGTTGGGGGTAGAAGGGGAAAGGTCTCTTAAAACTGTACATGAAGTATGGATTAGAGAGACTAAGGGCCTCCTTTATGGCAGATAGGACTTTGCCATCATTATTTCAGTTGTGGACAGGTGTTTGGGGCTTTTCAGATGCAAGATTCCTAGAAGTCTTACTTCTGGAAAAGTGTCTCAGATTAAAGTCACACTTCCTACAATTTAGATTTCCCAGTTTGACTTTTAAGGGAACTCCAACTTCTTGAAACTTTTCTCCTCTTTCTTGGACACCCCCAACTACTCCCTGCAGTAGACTGGCTTAAAGGTGGTGCTAGATGGAGAAAATAAATAAGAACACAAGACTTCCCTAAGTGAACTATTGCATATTTCAGACACTCTGCGAGACACTTGGCCTCTGTTATCCTCTTTAATCCTCTTGTCAACACAGAGAGGTCACTATTCTTATTCCCATCACACAGATGAACCAGTCTGGGCTTAGAGTACATATGGGACTTGCCCAAGTTCACTTGGCAAATGAGTGGGGAAGCCCAAGTTTGAACCCAGTTCTATCTGACTCAAAAGTTCTGCTTTTTCTCCTGCATGGTGCTGAGTTTCAGAAGAAGAAAGCATGCAGGGTGCCTGTGTCCTTGGCACACCTTGGCATGACCCTCCCTGTTCTGGTTGGAAACATTTCACCATGAGCCCAGACTGCCAGGGAACTTTGGCAAAGAGGAGAGCAGCTTTTCCCAGTAGCAGCAAAGATGGGGTCGGGGGAAGATAAGTCTCCCAGCCTTCCCATCATCCCTGACATCCCTGGCAGCCCAGAGAGGAGTTTCCCGTGGGCATCCACAGAACAGAAGAAAGTTCTGGTTTTTGTTTCCATCTTCCACCGCAGGAAGCCTCTCAGAGAAGGAGAGAGGTTACTTTCCTTTCATGCCTCTGCCCTTACCTGCTGGACCTGTTTAGGTCCCACTTGTCCCCTCAGCCCCAGTCCCATATCAAGAGACAATCCCTTCCCTTACACACCCAGGCTAGCGCTCAGAGAAACTCACCCCTGGGTGAGTTTCAAGCACCTTCCTAAATCACAGGAATTCAGTTAACTGAGCACTTAATATGTGCTTCGCTGTGGCCTGGATCTCTGTGCATGTCATCTCACTTAAACTCCAGAATAATTCAGCCAAGTAGAGCACTGAGGTTGAGGGAAATGGAATAATTTGTACAAGGTGATAGAGCTATGTTTGGGATTTAGGATTTCCTAACTGAACAAATGGTAATAGCTAAGAGTTATTGCTTTGCTTTACATGTCGTTTCATTTCATCAGCACAATAACCCTGTTGTAGATGTTGTTCTTTTTTCTTTTTCTTTTGAGATGAAGCCTCACTCTGTCACCTACTCTGGAGTGGCTCACTTCAGCCTCAACCTCCTAATAAGCTCAAATGATCTTTCCACCTCAGCCTTCCAAATAGCTGGGACTACAGACACACACCATCACACCATGCTAATTTTCATATTTTTTGTAGAGAAAGCAGTCTCCCTGTATTGCCCAGACTGGTCTTGAACTCCTGGGCTCCAGTGATCCTCCAGCCTCAGCTTCCCAAAGTGCTGGGATCACAGATGTGAGCCGCCATGGACGGCCCTAGGCGTTATCTTTTTAATCCTCATTTTATAGATGATGAAACTGGGGCTTAGAAGGGTTAAATTCACACAGTTAGCAAGTGGTAAAGCTAAGATGCAAACCAAGAGAATTCAAGCTGCACAGCACCTGCCTCTAACCCCTTGGAACATCCTTTTGCAGCAGGCTTGTGTCTTGCCCAAGCGTCTTGTCCTGCCCCTTGTGGGTGATATTCTTGCTTCATAGACCTCCAGGAATGGAGTTCTTGGTATGAACTCCAGGCCCAGAGTTAAGCACTCAGCATCTTCTCCCAGACTTCCTTCTTGCCAGTTTTCCACCTAAACTTCTTCCCGGTTCCCAGGGCTAGGGCCTCCGTGATGCCTTGGCCCAGCATGATGACTGTCTGCTCCCTTCATTCTCCCTCCCTTATTTGTCTGTACAGACACCAGCTGTTCCCCACATCCGCCTTATGGGGTGACCTGGGCCCGGCTGGCAGACAAGAGCAAGACGGTGCAGGAAACTCTGTCTGACAGGGGTGTCCAATTTCCCACCCAGACACCTGCCTGCAGTGTGAGGCAGACAGGAAGGGGCAGGACTCAGCCTCTCAGGATGTCAGTTTATTATTTTCCTGTTGGAGCCTTGAGGAGCCTCAAATACAAAGCAGATTTCCAGAATGGTTGCTCCAGTGGTTTCCCTTCATGACAAAAAAAATTCAATTTATAATTGGAATCATTCTAAGTAAGCACGTGTTAGGGTGTGAGGGAGAAAAGGGAAACAACCTTAACATATTCAACATACCAAAGCTTTCTAAGGTGTGGTGGCCTGGAACACTAGTTGTGGTCATGTTTCAGATGGCTGCTAAGAGAGTGATTCTTATAGATGTCTGGGGAGTTGGGGTATAGTCCTGGTTCTGTGACTTATTAACTCTGTGACCTTGGGTAGGCCAGACTCACTTTGGGTTTTTATGTTTTGATATTTGAATTAGATTCCTGTCTAATAACTCAACATAACAAGGCTTTCTAAAAATGTGCCTAAGGACTCTTCACATGGCTTCCTGGATGAGTTGGTCATTGAGCAGGAAGTTGAAGGCTAGTTAAGACTGAGACCTACAGAGAATAAGAAGAGGTTAATCCCAGAAACACATCTCAGCACAGGATGGTGCACCCAATTCATGCAACTATGTGTAGGGCTGGCTGCAATATTTGCTAAATGACAGATTTACTAAATCTTAAACCCTACCTAAATGAGAACATGGTTTCTTAAGAAAAGACATTATACCCAACATGTAGCACATTGGTCATTGGTCTAAGAAGGCTAGTGATTCTATAAGATATGGAAAAATAATCAACATCATTACATGGAGAGCAACCTTCTTAGCAGAGTGGGTGATAACCTACATTGACAAAGGGCTGGATGTTGGGTAGCTGACTTGGGGATGTACATCAGTGTCTCTTCTTGACCTAGCAGCCAGAATAATCCTTTTTTTTTTTTTTTTTTTGGAAACAGAGTCTCACTCTTGTCACCCAGGCTGGAGTGCAGTGGCATAATCTTGGCTCACTGCAACCTCCGCCTCCCAGGTTCAAGCAATTCTCCTGCCTCAGCCTCCAGAGTAGCTGGGATTACAGGCACACACCACCACACCTGGCTAATTTTTGTATTTTTAGTAGAGACGGGGTTTCACCATATTGCTCAGGCTGGTCTTGAACTCCTGACCTCGCAGAATAGTCCTTTTAAATCCAGTCAGATCATATCACACCTCAATGCAAAGACATACAGTTCCTTCCCATTTTACTTGGAATGAAAAACCAAAGTTTTCCCAATGCCTACAAAGCTCTTGGGAAAATGTGGGTGCTTTGCCCACCCACATTGCTTCTCTGACTTTGCCCCCTTTCCACTGTCTATGCCTTTTCTTATTCACCTCTGGCATTCTGGACCCCTTGCTATCCTTAGTTCAGCTCAGGCATCCTTCTACTTTACAGCCTTTGTCACTGTGTCACTGGCAATTTCTTTGGCTAAGAACCCTCTTCTATTCATCCTCATGACTCACTCCTTCACCTCTTTCAAGTCTTTGCCCAAGTGCCATGTTCTCAATGACTCCAACCCTGACCACCCAACCCACATCACCCCTGGCACTCCCACACTCATTTGCTTTGCCTTCTGTTTTTTTTTTTCTTTCTTTCTTCCCTAATACTTATCACCCTGGCACACACTATAAAATATATTTATTATTTATGATCAGATGACCCCTACTCCTCTTGATGCTAGAATGCAGAATTAATGAGGATAAGAATGTGCTTCTTGTTTGTTTATTGATATATTCAAATTTCCAGTGTACCTCATTGTTTCCTGTCCAATAGTAGGTACTCAACACCCACAAATAAATACTTTTTGCATGAGTGAATTTAGGGTATTACCTGCTGTGTGACAGATACTGTACTAGGCCATGAGCAAGAACTTGGTCCCAGCTGAATGAATTCATGTCTTATGGATGAGTAGCCAGACATTTAGAGTATAGCAAGTACTCATGGAGACACAGCAAGTCAGGAGGTCAGCGAAGTTTCCCAGAGAAGGCAACACCAAAGGCAATAAATGAAAGGTCCAGAAGGTATTTCCCAGATGAAAGGAGTAAGGAAGGACCAGAGATAGGGGTGGGAGGGAAAAGGGTATCTTTGGCGAGAGGAACAGTCTGTGCAAAGGCCCAGACACCAGGGAAAGTGTTAAGGAAATTATAATTCCCTGAGTATGCCCAGAGCATGGTGCAAGGGGAAAAGGGATAAAAGATAAGCCTAGATGGATAAGCAAGGCTTTTATCACCCAAGCCAGGGA
Source organism: Homo sapiens (assembly GCF_000001405.40). Lineage (NCBI taxonomy): Eukaryota > Metazoa > Chordata > Mammalia > Primates > Hominidae > Homo > Homo sapiens. The sequence goes on from NC_000009.12 coordinate 116,390,477, forward strand.
GATTGAACTTTATCCAGAGGCCAGTGGGGGGTATTCAGGAGGATTTGAAGCACTGAGCCAGTGTAGGGAATCCCAGAAGGCCTTTTGGAAGAGAGAGTAGATATGCTTAACTTGGAGGATTAGTAAGAGACAACAAGCAGATGGCTAAGCACACTAGACTAACTCTTCCATGTTCAAAAATTACTGGCTTCTGGAATGTTATTAAACCCTCTGCCTCCCCCTGCCCCCCGCTTTGGAATGTAGCCCTGACTTTTTCCTTATGGATGAAGTAGGCACTCATTTTAGCTTGGTCCTATGATGGAATCCAGCCCTTCTATCCCAAAAACTTATCAGCATCATTATCAATGTTATTACCACCACCATCATCATCATTACCTCACTGTCAAAACCATCACCACCATCACCACTAGCATCATCATTTATTGAGCCCATATTTTATGCCATGCATTATTCTAATGCTTTACTTGCATTTCATACTTTACCCAACATACTTCTGTGTGGTAGGACTGTTAGTACCTCCTTTTTACAGATAGAGAAACTGAAGCCCAGAAAAGGGAAGTAACTTGCCGGATAGCATACACGAAAGTCAGCAACAGGGCAAAGACTCAAACGTGTCTTTTTCTCCTCTAGGCCAGTGCTTTCCTCTAATTTACCCATATTTTTTCCACTTTATCCTCCATTTATCCACATGACCACTTTATCTTCATTTAAACAAGCTTCGTATACATTAACTGTTCCACGTTTTATGCCAGGTACTGTATCCATCCTACCTTTAAGAAACTTACAGGGGAATCCTCGTCCTTGGCATCATGCCTTTATCTACTTGGTACTCATGAAATCTTTCCATCAGCACTGTCAAGACCCTAAGACTCAACCAGGTGAAGTGACCTGCCAGTGATGTGGCCCCCCACAGCCAGCAGGAGACACAGTCAAAGCTCTCTGACCATCAGCACAACATGACTGTTGTCCCTCTCCAACCGGCACCCCCACCATGCTCTGCTAGTTACCTCCCTGTGGAGTCTGAGTCAGAATCCAGCCCCTGCATGTCTCTCAGCTCTGGACAGGATCTGCAGCCAGGGCCTTGTGGTATAGTTGCCTGAGCTGCATTCCTGAGCCACTCACACTCACAGATGGAGGTGTTAGCCTCAGCAGCTCACCCAGAGGGAGAACCCATGTGCCGGAGCACCATCTCTAGCCCCGAGTAAAAACAGGAGAGAATCCTGGCCCTTAATCATGGACCTGGCTTGCTAACACAATCCCAGAGTGGGTGGCCAAGCCATTTATGGGACAGCCTAGCCACATGGTGCTGAGAATCCCCAAATGTAAACTGGCCACCATGGTGTTCATGCTGTGGGTGGTAGGTTTTCTTGGGAGGCCGCCTGGGGGAGAAGGTGGGGAGCTGCTTGGGGAGTCAGGGAATCTGGCAGTTGGGCTCAGAGCTCTGATTTTATCAAGATGTGATTCTTCTCTCCATGCCTCAGTTTCTTCGTCTGTGAAGAGAGGACCCTGACTCCTGCTCTGCCGTCCTCCTGGGGCATGGTGCTGAGGAGTGCCAGGCCACCTGACAGCCCACTGATTCATCTCTTTGCATCTTAGTTTCTTTTAAGATGTAAAATGGGGATAGTAAGAATAGTTACCTCTTAGCATTGCTGGGCAGAGTGAGTAAGATAATGATGCACATTGAGTTTAGCTCAGTGCCAGGCACATAATAAGGATAAAGGTTATTGGTGATTAAAAAGACAAAGCAGCAGTCAGCCTTTTCAGGTTGTGAAGAAAATACCTTTTTTTTCCCCCTTCTTTTTACTCTCACTTGCTGAAAAGCTCTCAAGTGTTTGAAGTGGGGTTTGGAATCCTGCATCACCAACTCACTGACTGGTACTGAGGCCTGAGACAGGTTAGTTTTGCTTTAAACATTCTGAAGCCTCTATTTTCTCATCTGCAAGATGGGGAGCTAATAATGATAGTCTCCCAAGGTGGTGCAGAGTCAGAGAGCTAGCATATAGAAATCATCTGGCATGTGGAAGGCCCTTTGGAATCACTAGTGTGTGTACAATGGTATTCACCGCTTGAGCCTGCATGAACAGGTGTCCCCAAGTCCTTTCCAGGTTAGACCTAGCAATACCTGAAAATCTCCACCCTTTTCTTCTCAGCTTTATATCTGTGATAAGTGAGGAAGCTTGTAACAGAGGAGGCTCTGAACAGGCAGTTCACAAAGAGGCAAGAGGAGGGAAGAAAACACCATGTGTCTCCTCTACATTGGGCACTCTGAGAGCTGGACTGGACCTGACATGACTTCACTGACTCCTCACTAGAGCCCTTCGAGGTCTTGATAAAGACCCTTGTCTTACAGATGGGGAGGCTGAAGTCCACAAGATGCCAGGGACTTGCTGAAAGTCATACAGTTTCTGTATAAAGTCTACAACATATTACTTACAAGCATGTAGTGGAGACAAGGAGGCTCTGGATAGGCCTCCTGAGACCAACCCTCCTAGGCTTTGTCATATTCTGATTGAGTTTCCTCCAGTGTTTATTTCGGAAGTGCTGAAACTGCCCAGACTGGCCTGGGGAAGGAAGAAAAAGGTGACACCACCCCAGCATAGCCAGAGTGCCAAGACCGGCCTGAGAAGCTAACTGGTGGCAAGGCCTTACCAGCCAACAATTTTGGAGAAGCTGATTGAACTGGGGAGGACAGGAAGGGGAGCATTCAAGACAGGGTCTGTGAAGAAATTCTATGTTTCAAGTTCCTTTCTGGCCAGGTCTTTGCCTTCTACCTTTCTCAGACTGAGAAGGATTTTCAGCCAGATGAGAAGTTAGAAGCTATGAAAATCAACTCTTATTATAGGCAGGGAAACAAGCTCAGAGAAGGGAAGTAACTTGTCCAAAGTCACCCAGCAACTGACTGTAAAAGTGGAGGCTCCCTGACTTGTATTCTGCCTGCATATTCATGCATTCATTTGTTCATTCATTCATGGGTCATTGAATGCATAAAGACTGAGTTCAATAACAGTCATGGTCCCTGCCCAGAGTGAGCTGACATCGAAGTAAAGAAGTAATTCAGTATCAGAAGGGTGCAAAAATAAGATGCTGTGATATGGTATGAAGGTGATGGTGCTATTAGGTTGGTGCAAAAGTAATTGCCGTTTTTACCATTACTTTCAATGGCAAAAACCACAATTATTTTTGCACCAACCTAATATCTTTGGTCAGACTACTGAGGGAGGTAGTGATACTTGCGAAAAGACCTGGACAATGAAAAAGAGCTGGCCAGGGAAGAGCAGTCAGAGTGGAGGGCCATTAGTGGCTAAGGACACAAAAGTAGGAAAACAGAGTATCTGGGGAACCAATAAATAAAGAAGCCACTGAGAGTGAGGAGGAGAAGGAAACCATGTAAGATCTGAGACTTATGTAGAAATCAGATCATGCAAGGCCTTGAACTTGTGGTAAGGACTTTGGATTTTATTCTAAGACATATAATTTTTTGAATGTTTGCCTTGAGTGAGGTGCAGCAGAAAGCACAAAAGATAAAGCAGACAGACATGAAACCATCCCTCATGGGTGTTTGAGCTCAATGGGAAAGTGTTACAGACAGAATATTAGAGAAGACATTAGAGGTAACTGGATCGTGCTAATGATAGAATGAGAGCAAGGGTAGGAGACGGGGATGGATAAAGCATGGGGGAGTTAAGGACAAGGAGATTGTTCAAGTGTGGAAGGTGGGCGGTGGGGGACAATAGGCAGGAAAGATCGTGAAATACGAGTGAGGGAGAAATCTGATTCAGCATATATGTATTTGGCACTGAGCATCTCAAGGGTGTTAGGCCATGTGCTGAGGCTTTTGCATGTTTCTTCTTGCTTGATCCTCAGAAAAAATGCAACATGAAATATGGTATTTTAAAAATCCTCCTTTCATAGATGTAGAACCTAAGATCATGACAGTGGAGGGATTTTCCCAAAATCATTCAACGAGTATGAAGCAAACAAGGATCCCAACCCAAACCTTTTGGCTTTCATGATAGTACTTTCCACACTCTACCCCAGTGGTTGGATTTTGACTTGGCTTTGCCCTCAGTTTCCCTGTTTGGACTGGGGGGTTTTCTCTCTATGCCACTTCCAGTTCTAATATTCTGTGCTTCTCTTCAAGGTAAAATGAATAGGGGCAAATATTCTAGATTCTAGATGGAATATCCTAGATGTATTCCACAAAGTCACAGAGGATGGAAAGTAAATGTCCTAAACAGAGAACAGCAAGTAGCTGTGAGCAAGAAGAGAGGTGCTGCTTGGAAAAGGGGACGGTGGAAATGCTTACCACAGCATCAAGCACTTATGAATTTAAATTGAAAAGAGAAACAAAGACTTGTGGTAGCCATAAGTACAAAGAGTCAGAGAGAGATGGATCAATGAATACAAATTTATTCATTCTGTGGCTTAGGGCCTGTGAAAACAGGAATAAACAAGATTGACCTGGTCCCTGCCTTATGGGCCACAGAATTGGTGGGAGGATAGACCAAAAAAATAAAGGAGAGGGAGCGGGAGAGAGAAAGAGACAGAATAATTGAGCACTTAGCATATGTCAAGCACTGTGTGAGGTGTTTTCATGAGTTATTTCATGTATTCCTTATCACAACCTCAGGAGGTCTACACTTTTATTTTTCCCATTAAATGAATGAGTTCATTGAGACTCAGAGAAATTGTCACATGTTCAAGGTCACATCTCAAGTAGATGAGAGAGCTGGGGCATATACTTAAATCTTTCTGATGTTCCATTCTACATTTTAAATTATTGCAAACTTTCAGGATGGAGAGAGGTTGGGAGGGAGGGAAAGAGGTCAAAGAGGCAGAGAAAAAAGAAGAGGTAGACATTGAGAATGAGTCCACAAGTACATGAGAGAGAAGGATAGAAACAAAGATTCTCTCTGAGACTACGTGACCACTTGGAGACCCTGCCCAGGCAGGAGGCAAATGAGGTCATTAAATCCATCTGCGCAGATGGGAGGCTCTCTGGGGAAAGTTATATGCAAATGTCATGATGCAATGAGGTGAAATCTACTTGCGTTAGTTCAGGTGGGGACTCAAGCAGGAACTGCACTGTGCTCTTTGGAAAGATAGATTATCTCCTGGATGGGGAAGACACTCACTCTGTTGGGCTCTTCCTATCAGTTTGCAGAAAGGAAAGCTGGCCAAGGTCACAGAGCACATGAAGGAACGAACTGGCAACTGTATTGAACTCAGTTCTCTCACTTGTTCGTATGCTAAAATCTGCTTCCCAGGTCCTTCAAATTTGGTGCAAAACCACCATGCGATCTATTCCCTACTCAGGATTCCAAGCCTCCCAGAAGGTGGTCTAGCTTCCCTGAGACATGCTTTTTGTTTTCATCATTGCCTACTAAAGTCAAAGTGACCAGTATGTGCAGAGACTTATGTTTTCTCAAAAGACACTTCCACATCCTTTCTTTCACTTGATCACTTATACATCAGATATTCCATTACACAGTTCTATTAATCAACTTTGCTACAGTGCACGACAATTTTCCACCCATGATTTTACTCAGCTCCTATAGTTTAAAATACAAAGTGGGTCTTATTATATCAGCTCTACATAGGGACCTGAGGCTCTGAGATAAGTAAGTAGCTTGTTTTACTTTAAATACCAGACTTGACACTTATTATTACTTTTGGCAAATTCTTATTCCTTTCTGAGCTTCAGTTTCCCCATCAATAAAAGGGTGATTGTTGCAGCATCTGTCTTATAGAGTTGTCAAAAGTGTTTTCTTGTTTGGAAATCACTGAGTACATTGCCTTACCCCATAGCAAATGCCTGACCCATAGCAAGTGCCTCTGCAAATGAAAACTGCTGTGATTATGATCATGGTGTGCTCGATAAAAGTTATCACCAGGATAGCAAGAAGCAGAGCCATAACTTGAACTTGAACCTTCTGCTCCTCAAATCCAGTGATTGTATCCCTGCGCTGCACTGCCTTTCTGATCATTACTGCTTCAGACCAAATCACCTGATTCACTTCTTCTTTCTGCAGGTCACCCCATTCCCTATGTCCTGTGATCTACAAGGTGACTGTGCTTGTCGGGACCCCCAGGCCCAAGAACACAGCCGGAAAGACCTCCGGGGATACAGCCATGGCTAAGGAAGGACAAGAAGTTGTCAAAGAATTCCCAACGCCAGGACCCACATCCCTTTGGTATTGATTTCACAGTCAGCTGCTCAACGGAATGGCCTCTCCACACCAGGGATCCTTAGCACCCAACCGGTCTGCCTTTAATTTTACCCAGGAAGGACTCACATTGGGGCGAATGAACCAAGTTTCGCCATGCTGGATGATGAAATGGATTCCCATCCCAAAGTCTGAGATGGATTGCATATACAGTGTGCAGTCCCAGAGCCTCCTAAAATTCTAGCCATTTGTCACACAACCACAGCAAGAAACGTGTTCTATATCTAGAGTGTGCCCATCTGTGTTTAGTACACATGCATGCATACACACCCATACAAACATCTGTGTGAGGGCAGTTCTGGAGATGAGCAGAGAGAGACCGGAATAAACTCAATCTTTTCTTTCCCAAGCTCCTAGCCAACACTATCCTTGGGAGAAAGAAATTTGCAGAAACTGCTAAGACCAAGTGTGGAGATGTCAAGCTAGTTCACACTCTGAGGCTCAGAATATGTAGGACATGCACAATTGTGCAGTCCTTTGGGATTGGAAGTGAAACAGTCTGTGATCCCCTACCTTCTAGGGAACTAGGACCTAGGAAGAGGTAAAGATTATCAGGTATGCAAAGCGCCCCAATTCTTCTGCTGCCATGGGGGATTTTACCCCAACTCCAGGGTTCGAGGCCAATCTGAGAATGGCTTAGGATTGCAATGTCAAGGTATTATATCAGCCCCTTGCTTGAGGCTTGAGGTCATAATATCCCTCTAGGACTTACCTGTTCCCCCAGATCTTGCCTTGGGACCACATTTGCTGCTACTTTTCCTGCTGCTCTATCCTATACATTGAATAATCCAAGATGGTAGAACTAGGTTAGGAAAAATTCCACACAACCAAACAGTCTGCCTTAAAAGTGACCCACATTTTTCCATAGCTCCTCACTTTTTAGCCCTTCTGCAAGAGAAAAACCCTCATGGGTCCACATGGTGAGAAGTTAAGTTTCCTGTAAGTGGGCCTCTCACCCTGGAAAGGAGTTGAGGGACATCAGATGCTGGAACCCTCACTGAAAGTCCAGAATGTCTAAGCCAGTGTTAGATTTTGTAAACAAGTGGAACAGTGTTAAATTTCTATGATGTTGGAGCCATCCAGAGACTACTGGAATTGTCGAGACTTTTGGATTATTATCCTTATCCTTATCCTAATCTTCCTAGCCCTTCAGGCTAGAGTAGGCTTTGATCCTGAGAACCTTGCTGTTGCTCTGAGGAGATATAATTCTGGGAGAAAGAATCTTTTATAAGAACAGTACAGATTGTTCTCAAGAGGGCCATCAGAAGGAAGCCAAAGAGTTCACAGCCTCAGCACCAACAACTCAACATGGTCATCATGTTTTCTATATGGTTTTTCCAGCTAGCAGTACTCCCTTCCATACCTGTGACTGGGCAGTGCTTTTCTCTCTCCCATGTCTAGCCTCCAAAAGTTAAGTGAAAATTAGTCAACTGCACGTGGAAGCCCCCACCACTTTGGGGATCTCTTTATTTCTTTTCAGCCAGGGACCTGTCCACTCCCTTTGAATTAATATGGGAAGAAATTAATACAGGATGAACTGGAGAGAAGGGTTGAGTGTGGCATACTTTCTGAAACCTGGAGCTGGGAATTGCGGAGAAGGGAAGGTCTAGACTAGTTACATCACATAGGGATTACTGTAAATCAAGTCATCTCAAGTCTAGTGAAGACAGCCAACAGAAACAAAACCTAGCATAGGGATAGAAAATACCATGCACGTGTGCAGCCCCACCTAATTCCTGCATCCAAGGCAGGTGTTGTTAATCTATCATAGCACTTAAAAAAAAAAAAAAAAAGAGACCAAAAATAACTTTAGGAACCACCATATTATATCACTCCCAATAGCACTGACCTGGTGATCAAAAACACTTGAGAAGACATCTATTGGCCATCTCTGGCCAATTACACTAAGAAACATATCAAGGTGCTTTTGGCACAGGTGCCCACAAATACGGATGCAGTGCTGAGATAGTTTATGAGACTTGTACCATTTCACAAACTCTGAAATTGGGTTCCATATTGGCAAGGCTGCCACAGTTGTTAAGAATAATCCTCTATGTTTCTTCCTCACAAAACCATATCTCATTTATATCCAGACCATTACTTCACTATAATTACAAGGACAAATTATTAGCAAGAAATAAGAATAGTATTAGAAGAATTGATCCTATTTTGAACCCCTCTCCAGTATCTTCACACTCTTGTCAACTCTCCAGGCCTCTCTCTTGCCCTGAGTTATCAGCCTGTGTGGTGTTAACTACCTTAGAAGGTACAAGCTAAGAAATGTAACAGTATCAACCCTCCCAGTTGCTTAATTATACCCATAGGTAATACAAAAAGCTCTGAAGACCCAAAGATGACATTACTAATGATGTGATTTCAGGAGCCACAGAAGAACCTTACCAGCTTCCCTCAAATCAGTCCTTATCCTCTTTCTATCTTCACTCCCATCATCATCTATTTTCACACTATCCAGCTAAGCAAAGATTCCTGGAGGCTGACTTGTATCTTCAGACTCACAGAGTGAATTCAGCTCTTCTGAATCAAGACCCACCCAGTCTCTTTCATTCAGACCTGTTGCTAACAAATTTATATTTGCCAAGGATATTAGGCAAAAGAGGCTACTTGATTGGTGGCCAACCTCGTGCCCACATGGAAGGTATCTTTAATAGGGTCTTTTCAAACCTTAGTGGAGGAGGGTCAGCTCAATTTGGGCAATGCATTTGTTCCCAGTTTCATTTTCTTCCTGGGAATTAACTCGTCATTTCATTCCTTCAGTCATCTTCTGTGTAGGTGACCGGAGCACTGAGAGGCAGCTCTGATGCACTATTGTGTGTCAGCAGCTCAAAGGCCCTAAAACACTGAAGGTTCTGCATCTGAAGTATTAGATTGTTAGCAGCAAAATATGAAAGATGAGGTGGACAGTCCTCTAAGCCCTATTTAGGGAAGCTTTTCCAAGCCACAATCTTAACTACCTACCCAAAGGATTTGCATTACCCCCAGATTCTGTGCCAACAACCTTTTAAGGAAATACAGTCCTTGGGAAATGAGTTTTGATGGTGAATTGGGGTGTTAAGGAAGGGAAAGATTGTCATAGATGGTAGGGCTTTGAAAATGCAGGGTATCAGCTGCCACTCCTGGCTTCAACACATTGAGTCACTGCCTAGACGGTTCTCTTGGTCTTATTCCCATCCTGGCCAATGCTTAAATACTATTTGTTGAAAATAATTCTTTGAGACAGATTTCAGCTACCTCCCTTCCAGGTTCGATTTAACTTGGTTGTAATTGTCAATTTGTTGTTATAGGTCTTACCTGTGTGAAAGAAAGAAAAAGAAAGAAAGAAAGAAAGAGAAAGGAAATTATAAGGTCAAGTTAACAGTTTTGAGGTTTTGTGTTTTTTTCTGGAACTACTTCAAGTGAGAAAATAAAAAAAAATGGTGACAAAGCTGTACAGATAGAGATAATAGAAGACAAAGAGATTAAAAGGAAATAAAAATGCATGATTAAAAACTAAGAATAAAAAACCTATTTTTATGTTTCCTAAAGGAAATTGTTTATTCTACAGCCTCAGTAGGTAGACACAAACATAAAGATTTCCCTAGAAGACATAGAGTGGGATTTGATAACACTGTCTGTTATTTTCTGTACATTGTGGTAGGTCCAGGAAATATGACATTTTCCCCCTTGATGTGTTATTGTTGTTGTTGGGTGGGGTGGGCATTTTGTTTATTTGTTTGGTGGCAATCAGTGGTAGTAGGGAGTGGGAGGGCTTATATTGGTTTTTCCAGCTATTAAGGGGACATATTGTGTCGTTGTGCTTTTCACGTTATAAAATGTTTATATTTACCAGTACAGCACTGGGCTTTATAAAGACTGCACTCAGAACCACACTGCACAGTCCAGTTTTTTAAAAAGCTGCTACATGACAGACAGGTAATCCCACTGAGTGAGTTTTGAGAAACAAATCAAACGAAGTAAACAAGAAACATAAAAACCAAATAGCAAATGAATAAAAGCCTGTTCTTGTAACTTATTCAACTTTTGCCAAATTCCTACCAATCACTTGCTTTTTAAAAGAAATGTATAATAGCCAAAAGAGAAATTATGTCCCTGTTGTACAGAAGTTAGAATTTTTGACTCCAGGCAGCAGTTTGCTCAGTGATCTTGAACAAGTTATCCAATTGCCTCTACATTTGCATCAGTTTCTCTAGCTGCAAAATGGGGATAATACTATATACCTACCTCACAGTGGGAGGGCAGGAGATTTTGAGGCCCTGAGGTTTTAGGTGGGCTGTGAGGGCCAACGCTTGACACAAAGTCCATGGGTTATTATTCAAGAATGCACAGGCCCATCGGCCTTTTAGAAAGACAAGACAGGGAGTGCTTGTTTGATATTTCAAGGAATAAAGCCGGAGCTCCTGAATTGTAGTCCACCTTAAAAGAGAGACCTGTATTGGAGAATATTTTATTTTTTTGGCAAATTTGATCTTACCCTTTACCAGTTCTATAATTTGGTTAAAAGCTGATTATGTCCTACAATGTCAAAGTCAGCTAACTGTCGTCTACTTAAGACTTCTGGTCATTTCCAACTTATAGAGGAAGGGAGTCTCTAAAATCTCTTCTTCAGAAGGCACCTCACTTCTCAGACTTAAAATTCCACATCAAGTGTTCCATTAAAAGAAGATAAGGCATTCTGAGTGCAAACAAATGGGGGCTTCTTAAACTACACACCAGCAGTCAGTGAGGAAAACTTTGAACAATTATTGAGTTGCTTTCTTGGGTCTCTATAATCAATAACCTGTCTGCAGATATCTATCTATATAAAGATATTATATATAAATATAAATTTACATATATATGCACATGTATATATAGTTGTACATATATGTGTGTATATATATACTTAAATGTAATATTTACAAAATAAAACTGTGATCTCGTCTAGAGAAAATGTATTCATATTACAAACTGCTCTTCCATATTTATGTACCATATTATACCTTTTTATTATTGTTATAATTATTATGGGTATTTCTAATTAATATGATGTTGAAACCTGTTTGGCACCTTCTGGAAGCTACCAAAAAAATGACACTCCATTGAAGTGCTTAAAAGCTGTTCTCATAAGAATTCTTCTGGCCTATTGTAAAAAAGAAAAAAAAAAAGAAAAAGAAGAAAGACACAAAGAAAATAATCTAAACACCAAAAACTAAACACAATTCCAATCCTTTTTCTGTACCTCACGCGCATAAATTTGCTGCTCCTATTTTTTTTTCTGTTTATGTGTTTTTATGGATCTAAGTTAAATCTTTTGGCAATATATAAAAATGTAAATAGTAAACTTTATTTATTAAGAATGTCATCTTTTTTAATTTATATTTACACAATTGTTCATCTAATTTATTTTTTCTATACAGTTTTAAATACTCAGACATATTTTGCTGTTCATGATATTTTTATCCTGTTCTCATGGATTTGTTTTCCCATACTGTTTTCTCTGATCTCAATTACAGGTTGGATCTCACAAATAATAATGTCAGAGACAGAAATATTTTGCCACTGTTGATTACTATACTTTAAAGTTCTATATTATGAAAATATATAATAGCTTGTACGCTTCAGTGTGTTGTTGTGTGGTTTTTGTGTGTTGCGGAATGATAAAGGGCTGTCATATATACACGCTAACATGGAGAGAGCCCTGGGGCCTGGAATTAGACAATCAATGATAGAACAAGATTTTATCCAATATATATCGATTCCTCTACAAAATTAATTCCTGAAAGTATCTAATTTTGCATATGCAAAAACTGAAAAACTTTCTTACATGTTATAAGAAAGTTCTGGGGAGCTAAAGCATATGTCACTCTTGGTTATATATTGCCTTTTGCACACAGCCTTTAATAATATACTTCCAGATGTAAACACTGGTATGGTCCAAAGACACAAACCAGTGCAGTGGTTCCCAAGTGCTAAGCTGTGGATCAGAGCTAGTTCATAACTAAGTTTTCATTTGTCTAAGGCAAAATGTGGGGTCAATTGTTCATTCTTGTGGAGTTCTATCTTTTAAGATGAACTCTTTCTTACTCTTCCGGTATTAAAATGTCATATTTTATATACATATATACACACAATATATGCATATGCAGGCTCATATATACATATATATATATATATATGTATCTCCACACACACACACACACACACACACACACATATATATAATTTTACATATGTGAAAATGAGCCTGCAGCTGGAACTGAAATGTTGCTGCTTTCAATCTGTCTAGTGTATCTCACTGTTCATCTTATCACTAGGTAGTAGCTATGAGATTTTTAGAAAATTATTTAATGGCTTTAAGATTTAGTTTTCCCATATGTGATATGGAAATAATAAAAGTATTTCATAAGGTTTTTGCTAGAATTAAATGAGATAAATATGCAAAGTGTTTAGAACAGTGCTGAACATATTATATTATCTCATTATGAGTAGTATGAGACCAGAATTACTTATGACAAGTAATAATACACTAATTTTTCTGATATCTACTTATTTTATAAGATAATAGAAACAAAATGCATGAATCATTCAAGAGCTTGCACAGGCATTTTATGTAGTAAATTTATTAGCACTGTCCACTGAGCTGCTAGCTGGCAGTACCACCATAAGGCAGGTCAAAATATGTGTTTATCTGCTGATAACTACATTTTGAATTTTTCACAAAAAGGCTGTGTGGGAACATCAATGTGAATTATGTGTAAGGGCAGGGATAGGGAAGTCAAGAACTACTCATAGTGGGGTGGCTTTTTTTTGGACTCTAAAAATATAACTCATGGAGAAACATTAGGGAGACTACTAAAAAAGAAAAAAAAAGTCATTGCTAAATTCTTCCAGATAACTGGTTATTTTCAAAGTAAAATAATTGACAAAAGAAAAATATTTTACACAGTTCTATTCAATGTGAAGATTGAAACAACATTTAGACAATAGGCTCCTGAAAAGAGGCAAATATTTCTCAAACAGAAAGATTAAAAGATGAGAGTTTTAATGTGGCTTTTTATATTCCTTGGTTTCGTCTGAAGAGACAAAAAGTCATGGGGCAAAGAGCTTCCTACTTCAAGATGAAAGATCTTTATCCCAGTATCTTCTTCCATCTTTCTCCAGCCCTAAACACACACACACATGGACACACACGCACGCACATACACGTACACAGACACACACACAGAGTAATGGAGAGCTCACTGGACTTTATTAATCTGTCAAATGGGAAATTATTTCTTTCTCACTTCAAAGTAGGCAGAAATATTCAGTATTTTGATTCATTTATATTTATAATGCAAGTTTTGGAGTTTGTCTATCCAAAAAAAAATAATGTTTCAGTTTAAAAAATTTGGAGGGGGCACTCTATTATGCTGCACTGGCATTAGTAAATCTATTCAGTTCTTAACCTTTAACACCAGAAATAAAAAGTTTGGACAAAAGCACAGACTCTCTAACCTTCAATCCATAAGAACCCTTGCTTCTTTGAGTAAATGCTTTAAATTCTAAAGGAATGATGTTTAAGGTGAGAAACAGCGGTGCTGTACAGAAGCATGAGTTAGCAATGGGGGAAACCAAGTTCAAGTACTGTCCACCCTGTGACTTGGGCAAGGCACTGACCTTTTCAGAGACAGAAGGAATTGGCAATGAGAAAAAGCAGGTGGTGTGTTTAAGCAAATGGAACCAGCAGGTGCGTCCTTCTAAGTAAGAAAAAGTGTGACACTTTCAAAGAACTGAAAAAAAAGCCAATGCGTTTAGACAGTAGAAAGGGTATCAGTGGCCCAACCAGAGGATGGAGAAGTCACTAAGAGCCATACAAAGGATTTGGGGCTCTATCTTAACAGCAATGCAGAGCTGCTGAACAATATTTAGAGATTTACATGGTCAGATTTGTGGTTGAGAAAGGTCCCTCGGGTGGCAGTGTGAAGGAGTTGACTGATTAATTTTAGATGTGTTTTTTTTCCTTCTTTTAATTAATAGACTGGGTATTTAATTAAAAACCTATTTCTTAAATAAGTTTTTAGTTCATAGAAAAATTGAGCAGGGAGTAAAATTCACATTAGATTTCAGTTTTAAACAATAAAATATTGGAACAGGAAAATCTAGCTATTTTCTAGGACCAGCTATCAGGAAAATATAGAAACCTAAGACCATGTGATCAGGTTTGTAGGCTTGCGAATTCAAACAATGTCCTTGATGACCCCTCAGTGATGTTGTCATAAGGTCTCAAAATGAGATAGGAAGGCTTTGGGAAAGGGGTCAGAATGGAATTAGGTGAGATCTGGGATCATAGCCTCTTACATGCTGTGTTACCATGCAGTGCTGGTAATGTTCTGTTTCTTGATTTGGGTGCTGTTTACACAATTCTGTTCAGCTTATGAAAATTCATCAAGCACTTAAAAGTTCACATGCTTTTCTGTATGTATATTATATCTCGATATGAAGAAGTTTTAAGAGAGTCATCCGCAAAATTTCTCCGTAGAAAGAAGACATTTTTTCAGAGCAATTGGGGGAAGGAGAATAAGACACCATTTAAGTTCAGCCACAAAAGTTGCCCCCCTATAACACCTTTTGTACTATAAAACTGGTATACAGGGGAAATGTCAAAGGGGAAATGTTAGCAAAGATTCCTTAAAATACAACAGTTTTATAATACAAAAGGTAGAGCAGGGAAGCAATGTGTGTTGGCATTGTGGAAGTATGAGTAGGTAGGAGTCCTAGTTTCCAGTTCTGCTATTCTGCTTTATAGCCCTGTGATCATTGACAAGTCACTTAACCTTTAAGCCTCATGACTCCTCATTTGAGCAATAGGGATAATGATTACCAAGATGAAGATGAGATGAGCTGTCTGAGCCTGCTGCTAACTGAACACCATGACGGAACACTAAGAGATGCTATGGAGAAGCCAGTGAAGAAGCAGCCAAAACAATGGAATTTATCCCCTGAGGAACCCCATCCTACCCCAAACAGAGCTAGACTAGTTTTTAATTTGCTTTACCCAAAGATATTCCATGTACTGACAATGAACCCCTGCCACCATATATCTTTTTTTTTTTTTTTTTTTTGAGACGGAGACTCGCTCTGTTGCCCAGACTGTGCCGTGGCACAATCTTGGCTCACTACAACCTCTGCCTCCCAGGTTCAAGCAATTATCCTGCCTCAGCCTCCTGAGTAGCTGGGATTACAGGTACCTCCCACCATGGCTGGCTAATTTTTGTATTTTTAATAGAGACAAGGTTTTGCCATGTTGGCCAGGCTGGTCTCAAACTCCTGACCTTCAGCAGTTCACTTGCCTCGGCCCCTCAAAGTGCTGGGATTACAGGCGTGAGCCACCGTGCCCAGCCCCTATATCCAATTTTGATATCTACTTTCTCCTACGCTGGGTTTTATATCCTTGAGGGGCTGCCTCAGATGTAATTGAATCAGTCAAACATTCTCAGAAATTTGGGCCACAGAATCCATTCTTCAAGTGCAAAATTTATTTGAAATGCCAAGTCAAAAGAGCTTCTCTAATCAAAGGGGATGGGGTAGCCCAATTCCTATAGCTCCATTCTATTTTCTTCAGAGCTTTGGGGTTCCAAAGAGCATGATGTAAAAGCAATTGGTCTAATCTACTCTGTTTTACAGACGGGGAAATTAACAGAGGTTTCATTCAGAATTTGAACTTGCCACTTGCCCAGAGCCCCTGAGTAGAAAACACAGTGACATCACTAACTAACTTGCCCCTGCTGCTACCTGGTACCTGGGCTCTCCCCACAGGGGTCTTGATGAAATGCAGAGATCTGTGGAGTCTTAGAAATCTGGGCTTCATGCCTAGGGACAAAATGAGGGGGATTTGAAGGCAGTGAAGGACCACAGTTTTTGAGATGCTCTGTTTTCTTTCTGCTTGACATGTAGCCCAGCCACAGACTACCCTGGGAGTGGGAAGTTTGTTATCTCCATATTTTTCTGAGGCTGGAACATGTATATTCCAGCCTGGACTACATGCTTAGCTGAATGTTTTTATTTCCCTCTTTAATCTTTGGCACTCCAAACAGAATTTTTCCCAGAGGCTGCGGAGATGGTGACCAAGTTTCTTAGACAACGTCTGGGTGTCAGCTTGTTAAAATCATATTAGAAATAGTTCTTTCCATATGTATACCACTTTATACCACAGAAAAACACATTTGTTAACTTATGAAAGTATTCATTTACTCAAATATTTTTGAACAATTGTTTATTGAGCATTATTATGCACAATTCATTGGACTAAACACTGATAAGAGTGGTGGCCAAGATAGACATCCACAGCCATTTTCCTTACAGAGTATCCAAATATTCCAAATACAAAGACAAGCAACTAGCTCATTGGAGTGCAATGTGTGAGGTGTTGCAAATGGGGAAACCCATTGCAGAATAAAATGGCCAATATTGCACGCAGAGAAAACAGCATGTGCAAAGACCAAACGGGTGAATTAGGGCATGGCTTGTTTGGGGAATAGTAAGTGTTCAGGCCACCAGGATCTCAATTTGGAAGAAGGGGAACAAGAAACCACACTGGGGAAGAAAGATGCCAGGTGATGTCAGAGAGTTAGAAAGAGACCAGCTGCCAAGAGCTTTGTAAATGCATGTCTTGGTTTGGGTTCCTTTGGAAGCCAACAGTATTAGTTCATTTTCATGCTACTAATAAAGGCATACCCAAGACTGAGTAATTTATAAAGGAAAGAGGTTTAATGGACTCACAGGTCCTCATGGCTGGGGAGGTCTCACAATCATGGTGGAAAGTGAAGGAAGAGCAACGGCATATCTTAGATGGTGGCAGGCATGAGAGCTTGTGCAGGGGAATTCCCATTTATAAAACCATCAGATCTCATGAGACTTATTCACTACCACAAGAACAGTATGGGGGAAACTGCCCCCATGATTCGGTTACCTCCACCTGGCCCAGCCCTTGAAACATGGGGATTATTACAATTCAAGGTGAGATTTAAACCCTATCACCAACTCTGAGGCAAAGGTTCAAGTACAGGTAGATTATCTGGATGATGATTCCAATGAGTACCAGAAGAGAAGAGGGCAAAGATGGTAAGGTCATGAAAAGAGGTAGTATTATCAAACACATTACTACTGTGATCAGCTGCAGCTTAATCACCCTGGGGACGAATTCTGTGAGCCAGGAGAAGACACACTCCTCAGAATTATCCCACCTGAGATGTTAGGAAGCTGGGGTATTTAATCCAATCATGCCCATCAGTGGTTGAGGGATTTCCCTGGGGCATTAATCCTCCAGCACATCTGTCTTACCTGCTGGTGGGCAGAGTGGGCTCAGGCCACCAGAGAAAGCTCTCAGGCAAAGAAAAATGAACAGTGACTATGGAAAGTCATACCAGAAGATATTACAGTGGCAACAAATATGGGCAGAGCTTCAGTGGGATCTGTTGCAGCACTAAAGTGGTTGGACACTATTGCAAGGGAGATTAGCAAACAGGGAAGAGTCTAAGAAAAGAGTTTTAGGAATAATTTTCAATTTTGAGGTAGATCCCTTCATGTGAAATAAAGATTGCAAGGGAGAGCCAGGATTCACTAGGACCAAATGGGAAGCAGGAGTAGTGGTGGAGGTGAGAAATGATCTGGTAGTGCTGAGGCAATGAGAAAAGGAAGTTGGGATCAATAGAGTTATACGAAGTAGTAGGATAGCATAAGTATACGGTTTATATAAAGGACTGAGAAAAAAAAAGAGACGATATGATTTAGGTAAAATGCACATACATCCCTGGGTGCTTAGGGGCCAAAAAAGTAGCCATAAAATATATAAAGGCCATGAGGAGTCATATCGATACCAATTCATTTTTCACAGAATAGGAGAATTGAGTGCAGGAGATATAGGCCATGACAGACCTGGGTGGTTGGATGAGTCCTTCTCACAGTTTAAATCCACAGAAGACTGTCCAGAGAGTTCCCTGGATTAACCTCCAAATAAAGTTAAGAACTGTTTGTCCATAGCTCATGACACCTTTGAGTTCTGTTGAAGCTGAAGTCAACAGAACCTCTCAGAGCTATGGACTTCTCATCACAGTGGTCAACCCTTCTTCTAGACCAGCAGTTCTCAAATGTTAGCATGCATCAAAGTCCTCTAGAAGGCTTGTTAAAACACAGATTTCTGGGTCCCACTCCAGAGTTTCTGATTTAATAGTTCTGGTGTAGGGCCCAATAATTTGCTTTTCTAAAAACTTTCCATATGATGTGATTGCCGCTGATCAAGAGGGCCATGCTTTGAGAACCACAGATGCCAGTCCCTTCAACAATCCACATACTCACATACCTACTATCCTAGGCGATAGGGATTCCCAAATGAATAATAATAATAAAAAAATTCGCATGGCTCCTTCCCTCAGAGAATTCTCTGTCTGTTGGTGCAGATATGAGTAAATACATCTTTAAATTCCAATGTCAAAGACCCTCAGGCTTGAGGGTAAGAATGTGTTGCTGATGTGGAGTTTTGAACATGAGTAGGAGCCACTCAGATCAAGAAGGGAGAGATGGGTGCTCCAGGCAGAGGGCGCAGCCTGGACAAAAGTCTGTGGGTGGGAGGATGCACAGGAATGCACTTAGAGAACTGCAAGCCGTTAGGTGTGGTCAGAACATTGTCTAAATGTGGATAATCACAGGAGATGGGGCTGGAGAAGAGCCCAGGAGACTTAGAGGAGGTAGCACTTGAGCTGAGTCTTGAAGAACAAATGGGATTTTAGAAAAATAAAAGAAGGGTAGTCTGGCTGAGAAGACTGCAGGCACACTTGATTTCAGGATTCCATATTGTCTCCTCATTATCTCTATATTCCTCCTCCAAATGTATGAGAGAGCATAAAAGTGGTGTCCTTTTACAAGAGTTTGTCTAAGAGCTGGGGTGGTGCTCTATGGTTCTTTCCAGAGGCCTGTTTGAGCCTTGCATGGAAAGGAGTAGCTCATTCTCCTGCATACCCTTGCATCATATCGAACACATTCCTTTCCAGGATAAAAAACATGTCAAGGTAACACAGATCACATGTAAAAAGGGAGGTGACCAGACATCCCCTTTTCTTCAGTACTTACAGCAGTGACATAGTGCGTCTATTCATCCATTAATCTGTACAGACACAGACACACACACGCACGCACACACACACACGCATGCATACCATACCAGCACAGACCAAGGAAGTGAAATTTGCAAGGACCAATTTCAATTTCAAAACCTCTTTCCAATGAACCAAAGACAGAACTTAGTTTTCAGACATTTTATGCGCCATCCAAGACCTAAACCCAAACCTTGATATTTCTCTTCCACTAGCAGAATGGTTTTCCCTCAGGTTGTTACAAATATTTCTCTGTGTTGATATTTAAAAATATTTTCCACAAAGCTCCCTGCCAAATGCTTTCATCTCAAACACTTGCGGTTCTCCTGGAACTCATGTTAACACATACAAGGCATCAGCTGTTGGAACTCCATTCACCTGTAAATTTGTCTTCAGAGCCTGAAATTTGTACGTTCACTTCTTCAAAAATTCTGTTGCCCAAAGTTTTAGCCTACTTAAACCCTTCACAGTAGATTCTACCGGCCTTGTTAGGCTTATCTTTTACTACCATCCCCATCCACTCCCTACCCACTCCTCATTTTTTGCAGCCAAACCAAACTTCCTTTAGTTACCTTAGCTTGCAATGTTCTCTTAGTTCTAAGTTCTGGAACATCTGCCTTTATCTATACATACACGCACACCTCACTCCTCTTTGTTCTTCATTTTGGAGTTTAGATAAGCTCATTAATGATCATTATTATAGCTTACATTAATTGCAGACTCACTAAATGCCTGGCATGGAATTAAGTACTTCACACATAATCATTTATTTAATATATGTAAAAACCCATTGAGATCGGTATAAATATCAATATTCTCATTTTAAAAATGAGGAAATTGGGGCAAGAAATTTTAAATAAATTTCTCAATGTAGTATGACTAGTAAACAGATGAAATCTGAATTTGAACTGAGGCAATCTGTTCATGAACACAAAAACATAGCAATGCCTAATGATACTCCTAGAAGGCTTCTCTGAGCCTGACCAAGCCTGGAAACCCTGTGAGCCCACATCAGCTCTTATTTCCTCCACAATTGTCTTAACCACACTATGATAATTGTCCATTTACTTATTTCATTCCTTAGAAACACACAGAAGCTGCCTCTCATTCAACCTGTATCCCCTGACATACAGTAGGTCTTCTGTGATTATTTGAGGGAGATATGAATAAATTTGAATGGAGCCTGAGTCAAGCACCATCCATGAAGAAAACACATGCTAATCCAATTAGTGATATAAACTCCAGGCTGAAACTAAACCGATTAAGAGAACAAAGTTTTTCAGCACTTTAGAAATGCCTGCTAACATAAAAATCATACATCAATTACCAATCTTTCTCATTTTTCATGAAAGAAGCTGCCCTCCAAAGACCTCCAACTGCTAAAGCTTTCCAAGATGAGTATGTGTCTAGAGATAGCAAATTTGACTTTTTAAAAAATCAGTAATTCCAACTCTTAGCACATCCAAATTGCCTGTGTTTGGATAATGGAGTCAGATATGGAGGAGAGTTTGGTTAATCGAGTAGAAAGCTAAGGTTTAAAGCTTTGAGGCCAAGTGGGGAATTGGAACAGACAGAAGGACAATTAGGCACCTGAGATGTGGTAGGTATAACCAACACTAACCCCACCACCGAGAACATGGGTCTCAGCCTTCAATTGGGAAATGGGTCTCAGCCTTCATAGGCTCAGAGGTGAGGGGTTGCCAAACTCCTTCTCCTCAGGCTGAGATGGGTTCTACAACCTGAATCTGCAACTGGCAGCAAGGAAAATGAGGTGGCTTCCTGGATTGACCTGGTCCTCTTCTTTTAACAGCCTCAGGTTCTGAATGAGAGGGTTTCTGGTCACTAGTTAATTCACAGAGCTGATGATTAGCCAGACTTATAGGTTTAGATAGACTTCATTGTGTGACCAGACTCACTAAGACATCTGACCTCTCGATTGTCATCAATCTTGGTCAGTTAGGAATTTGGTTCCATTATTATCAACATTCACACTTTTTCTGGTAAAGCAACAGTATCCTTCTCTTTTCCATCCAAAGCTAGTCATTCTCTTTTCATCCTTTATTCTGATTTTTGCTTTTCTTTGAGCTTCCTACCTTGTTGCAATTAGCTAGAAGGAAACTACAAGCTGAAAGATTACAGTCTACCCTGCTACCAGAAGGATACCTAAAAATCCCATTGCACTGATGCTAAAGTCCAGACGTTGTTGCTGGCCTACTGGTCCTGAATGATCTGGCCTGGCCCTGTTTAATCCAGTAGCCACATGAGTCTACTGAGCACTTGAAATTCAGCACTGGTTAGTCTGTATTTACATGTGTTGCAAGTCAAAAATGCACCACGGATTTCAAAGGTAATGAGGTTTTTCTCACAATAATTATTGATATTAATCACATTAAAATGTCGAAATTTTAGATCAAACAAAACACATTATTAATTTTAATTTCACCTGTTTATTAAAAAAAGTTTTAATGTGGCTATTAGTGGGCCAAGCGCAGTGGCTCATGCCTGTAATCCCAGCACTTTGGGAGGCCAAGATGGGCGGATTACTTGAGGCCAGGAATTTGAGACCAGCCTGGGCAACATGGTGAAATCCCATCCCTACTAAAAATACGAAAATTAGCCGGTGTGGTGGTGCATGCCTGTAGTCCCAGCTACTCGGGAGGCTGAGGCACAAGAATAACTTGAACCAGGGAGCCAGAGGCAGTAAGCCAAGATCGTGCCACTGTACTCTAGCCTGGGCAACAGAGCAAGACTGTCTCCAAAAAAAAAAAAAAAAAAAAAAAAAAAAAAAAAAAAGAAGAAGAAGAAGAAAATAAACAAAAAATAAATGTGGCTATCAGAAAATTTTAAATTACACATGTAGCTCACACTTTGTTTTTATTGGGTAGCACTGATATGACTGATAATATTCAGCCTCCATTCCTGCCATTCTTCCTTTTACAATCTGTGCCCCAGGTATGCTGAATTTCTTCTAGGCTCACTAACCTTGCAAGTTCTCTATCACTCCCCAGCGTTTATATATCTGGAACATTCTTTCATTTTCATCATCTAGCCTTATTCATCCTTTAGGCTGGAGTTCAAATATTTCTTCCTTGGAGAAGGGTGAGATGTGTTCACCCTTCCAAATTTTAAGGTAGGGGCCCCTCTCTGTGACCTCATGACTCCCTTTGTTTCCATTCATCACAGTACTTGCCAGGCTGCTGTAACTGATTTTTTCTGCCTCACAGGATTGTACGCAACAAAAATAAAGCAATTGCTACTATACGTGGTACATAGTAGGTATTCAGTAAATACTTATGAAGTGAATGAAGAAAGGAAACCTAATCTGATCATGCTGCATCAATGGTGCCATGCGCTACATACCAAATCTGGACCTCTGCCTATTTTCATAAATAAAGTTTTGATGGACCACAGCTATGCTCATTTATTTATATACTATCTATGGCTGCTTTTGTGAAGCAGAAGTCTGTAGCTGCAACAGAAACAGTATGGCCCACAAAGCCTAAAGTATTTATTACATGGCTTTTTAAAGAACAAAGTTTAAGCTAGGTATGGTGGTGTAGTCCCAGCTACTTGTGACTCTAGTCCCAGGTACTTGGAAGGCTGAGGAAGGAGGATCAACTGAGCCCAGGAGGATCAACTGAGCCCAGGAGTTTGAGGCTGCAGTGATTGTGCCTTTATGCTCAAGCCTGGACAAGAGAGAAATCCCATTTCTAAACACACACACACACACACACACACACACACACACACACAAACAGAAAAACAAACACATAAGTTTGTTGACCCCTGTTCTAAAATATAATGCCCAACTTTTCAGAACATATCCCTGCTTATCTGTTCGGACTTGTCGGATAGTTACTCCACTTACAATACCTCTCCATTTTAAGTGTACTGAACTATTGGAAGTGCCAGGAAATCTACTACATTCTTGTGCTCATCTATTCCATCTCCAGACCACACTGTAGGTCTCAACACTCTATATTATCTAACTATTTTACATAATATATAAGAAAATGAACATATATCCACTTATAAGTCTTGATTCTCAAGAGCAGGTACAACCCATTCATTCAACACATATTTATTCAGTGCCCAAGATGTGCCATGCCCAATTTCAGGAGCTGGAGATAGAATGGCCACTGTGCTTGTAACACTTAGAACCAAATAGAAGACTATTCTCTCTCAATTCTGTGTTTCCACTGACCAAACCAGTGCCAGGCATGCTGTAGTCACCTAGCACATGTGTGAATGAATGAATAAATGTTTTTTAACTAGAATCACACTTTTATCATTATTTAATGCTATAAGCAGCAAGATGAAATTAAGGGTCAGACTTGATTCTATTCCCAGCTTTGACAGACAGGCAGTCAGGCAGTAAATAATGCTTAAGGACATAGAGTGTGAAGGAAAACTGCCTAGGCTTGAATTCTCCACCTTTGCCACTGGCTCTCTGCGTGATCTGAAGCAAATTATTAGATTGTTGTGTGGGGATAAAAATGTCCATCTTAAAGACATGCCATGTAGATTAAATGAGTTAGGGTTATAGAGTGCTTGACCAGTGCCTGGTACCTACTGAGTGCTTTATTAGTGTTGGCAATCATTATCATTGCCATTGTTATTGTTATCACCGCCCAAGCAAGGCCAAGTGACAGTTCTAGGAGCCTCATTGATAAAATGGGGACAACAGTATCTGTTCTGCCATGGGAATCCAATTAGAGACATCAGTGAGAGGACTTTGTAACCTGTGAAGTACTCTCCAGATGTGAAATGTGGTGATATCTCCCAGATGTGTGGGTGAAATCGTCACTGACACATCTGCAAGGAGCAAACATCTGGAGGCCTGGCATGCCATCATCTCAGCCTCTGCTGCCCTTCCCCCCTACTCTAGCTCCTTTCTCCACACACCTCTTTTCCCACCCAGGGGCAGCATGCCAGTTCCAAGGTTGCAGTGAGAAAAATAACATTCTTCTGTTCTCTGTCCAGTGTGGAAATTCCATCTCTTTGCAGTTTCCATCATGTCAGAGGTGCACTGAGGGTCCATTAAGGCTCCTTATGGGAAGGGAGGAGGGTGTAGAGAGAGAGGGAGGGAATGGGAATCCCTTTTACTGGGATTTTTACTAGTACCGCTAGATGAAATCTTTCCATCCAGTCACCAAAGCGATTATTGGGTCATGGCTACTGCTAGGAGGTGATTTTTTAAAAACAGGCTAACAGCAAAAGAATGCCTCATTGAATCAAAGTACATATCCATTGCAATTTTTTTTCCAACCATTTTTCCCCTTTGCTTTCCCAAATACAACAGTGTCTGGGTTAGTTCTCAAAGCAGTTTTGAATTTAAGGCTGAGACTGCTTTGTAGGGTGTCCCCAGAAGTAAGTCAACTGAGTTCAACACACATTTATTTTGCATCAACTTTTTTTCTGGGCACTATGCTTGGCAGTAGATGTCTGGAGGTGAATGGAGCATTGCACTGTAATTGTGGACTCCACAGACTCCGGGGGAGATAAGTCACAAAACACAGGGCTTTCCAACATGCTAAGTTAGGACTAACATAGAGGTAATCCGTGGTGCTTGGGAATTTCAGAGGAGAGGGCAGGTACCAAGACTTCATATTACCTGAACCCAGTACAGAACCAAGTATACATTAGGTCCTCCATAGGGATGTCATGAATAACTAAATGAGCTCCACCTCTGAGGGTTCAAGGAAGGCTTCCCAAAGAAAACTGTATTAGATCATGGTTGAATATATATGTCATGGTTCATAGGCTGCAAGAAGCAGCTACAGTTTGGCCCAAAGGAAAGTTACTACAAGTGTTTGAGAGGGCTTGGCTCATAGGTTTCAACCTGTGAGGGAAGGCTGGAGAAAGAGACTTGAAGAAGCCAGATCATTCCAGGGTCTTAGCAGCAAAAAGAGATAAAAAATATCACCCAGGCTCTACAGTTCAACACACTCAAGCTGTTCCTTTCTTGTATCACTCTACTCAAAATTCAGAGTGTTGGGAGTAAGAATCTAGTTGGCCACATGCAGGTCTTATGCCTAGGTAGCCTGCAGTGGAAGAATGTAACACTTTGATTTAAGTTCCACCAAGATCATACCCAGTGAAGCCAAGGTGGTTCTCTACTCCTTTCCTCCAAAAAGAATCAGGCATTGATCAGAAGAAATAACTGTTTCTGAGCAGCCAATAGAGAAATTGCTACTGTCCACTAAAGCAAGAGTTAGGCAGAAGGAAAAAAGCTGGCAAGAATATACATACCTATGGAAGCAGAATGGGATAAGGTATGGAGGTCCGAAAAAACAAGGGACAGGCAGGGAAATTGAAGCAGCTTAGGTATAGGGCATAAGACAAAAAGGTCTTATGAACAGGGTATGAATAGTGCAGAGCATGACAACGCTTAATCTCCATTCTGTACTGTGGTGTGAATGCAATAAGGCAGGAGGGTATGGAACCCAGTGCCACTGTTGCCTGTGTCATTGCTGCATGAAAATATTGTGTTATTTTAGCTCAGCATAACGAGAAGTTATATGACTGTGACATCCCCCTGATGTCAGGTGAATAGATTAAACAAGTCCAAATACTATTAACCCAATTACAGATGTGCTGAGTGGGATCTGAACTTGGCTTATCCCCAACTGGAAGTTTCACTTGGAAACTTAAAAGAAACAGGGGCAGAAAATTCTCATCCACACCCAGTGCACCATGTCCTCAGCCAACCACAGAAACCTCTGCTGCCCAATAGTCATCCTCTGTTCTGTTTTTGTTTGTTGACTTTGTTTTCAGTGCAACCCCTAACATCTTACGTAACAGAAAATAAGGTTGGGTGAGAAGCTCTTTCTCCTTAAATGTAGATTTAGGTTTTGTGGGAACTAATAGTGATGCCAATGGAATGAACAAGAGAAAAAAAAAAAGAAAAGAAAAAAGAAAAGGAAAAGCAGACCACAAACCTTTATGGAGCACTTACTGTGTGTCACATTCTATGCCAGGCCCTTTCTGATTTATTTATAGTGTCTTTCTTACAATGTCTGAGTGAGGTGGATACATCTGGTGATTCCTTTTTTTTTTTTTTCAGTGAACAAATGGAGCTCCAAGTCTGCTAAGTTTCCATGTTTGAGGAGGCTGAGAGTTGAAATCAATTTGTCTGACTCCAAAGATTAATATTTATTCTTCAGAATGTCTTCCTCCCTTAACAACTCCTTCTGAAGGTGTTTTGTTCCCCGTAACAAGGACCTGCATCTCATCTTGGTTGCCTGTCAACTTGTAACTCTAGTGATAGAAAGCTCATCATATTATCCTCCCCTCCCAAAAAAAGCAGCCCTTTATATGAACACTCCCTAAGCAAACCTCCTTTTGTCTTAACTCTATTCTCTTGACTCCAACAAAGGGGTGTATTCCTTCAGCTGCATACCTACTATTGCAACATCTGAAGATGGGGACTGGGCCTTGGTGTATTCTCCATGTAAATGGACAGACTCTGTGTGCTCTGGTTGGAAAGGCTCTTGGGAATCATCCATATTTGTGATTCCCAAATATGGCATGCATCAAAGACACCCTGGGAAAGTTGCAAAAACACAGAGTCCCAAGACGTAATTGGAATCTCAATGAGTGTGGCCCAGGAATCTGTATTTCTCCCCAAGCTCCCAGGTCATTTGGATGTTTGAACCCAGTTCCCCAAATTATATTGCATGGAAGATCAAGATCCAAAGAAGGAAAGAAATTTGCCTAGGGCTACACAGTCAATGAGTCATGCTTTTATTTTCTGAGAAAAAAGACCAGCCTTGATGATCTTTGCAGACAGCTCCTCTAAGACCTGCCTCTTGTTCTGCCCCAGAAAGGCTGTTCGTTGACTGTGGAGTTGAATAGCTTGCAAGAGAGTGAAGAAACTACGTCATCCTTGATCATAAAACCTAGTGAACTGCAGCAACCAGGCTGGTATTTGTGCTACAAAACTGCCTGGGGAGGCTAACCCAACTTGGCACTTGCCTTGATTTCTGAGAAGAGGTAAGGTTTTCCCCCTATTATTCTCTAACTGCCCAAAGGTCAGAAAAGCAGATGGGCCTGGGGTTACCACGGGGTCAGGAATGCACTGGACATAAAATAAAAAAACACTCTACTCTTGGTTCTGGCACCTTTATGATCTTGGATGGGTACTTTTTCATTTCTGACCCTCAGTCTCCATATTTATAACATGGGAGCATTGGCCTCTGGAGGAGTTATGAGAATGTTGCTGTAGAGTGACCATGTTTTAGGCGAGAACTGCATCCTAGTTTTCTCCTAATGGCATGACTCCAGGCAAATCACCTAAATTCCCTGAGCCTCAAGACTTGTTCTGTGAAATGGAAGTGTTGACAGCTACAATATGGTGTATGTATGACAAGTAAATGAGATACTCCAACCAACATGCTTAGCACAGACCCTGGCTATGGAAAGTGTTCAACAAAGGGCAATTGCTGCTCTGGTTGTTATTGAAATTTGTCCTTCTAATCTGAATCCCCAAGAGATCAGCCTCTCTGACCAAGGAGGAGAGTGCTAAGGCCTTACATTTGATTGGACTTTTCTAGTTCCTATACCCACCATCTCTTTAGTCCCTCAGTGGCTCCTTAGCAAATTCATGAATGAGCCTTTTGGTAGACTCCAAAGTGAGTTGGTCTGGGACTCAGAAGAAAGAAGCCCACAGTTTACTCAGGCTTGGAGATCCT
The DNA here is from genome assembly GCF_000001405.40 of Homo sapiens. Taxonomy (NCBI): domain Eukaryota; kingdom Metazoa; phylum Chordata; class Mammalia; order Primates; family Hominidae; genus Homo; species Homo sapiens. Next base: position 116,418,524 of record NC_000009.12, read on the forward strand.
GCATGAACACAAACCCATATCTCAGCCTCTATTTCCTCAACTACAAAGTGTTGATCAGGAGCCCCATTCCGGAAGACTTAAGTAAAAATGACTTTGGAACTGCATGGAGTAGTATGAGCACACATTTTTTGAGTATCTACTGTATGGTTTAACCTATGGGCCCTGGAGACATAAAACATAGCCCCATCCAGGAGCTCACATATATTAGGGGAAAACAAATATATAAAGGCACAATTAAAACCCAATGGGTTAAGTAGGAACATCACAGATATGTGGGGATTGTGAGAACTGAAAGGACGAACTCTTGTCCTGAATTTGGAGCTATGGTCAGAGCAACTTTCCTAGAATAAGTAACACTTCTCCTCCAGGAGTTTGCTCTGTAAACATCCTCCTCTTCCACAAATATATATAGTTGGTTACCCTCTTCTTTTCCAGTTGCAGTCCCGAGACATTGAAAAAACAATTAGTAAAGCTGAAGGATTCTTCAGTGAAGTTCTTGTCCAGCTAACCTCTTTATGAAGAGACACCGAGGGCAAGACTAGGGAGAAACTAGAGTCCAGCAGCCTGTTAGTGTCAGGACTGGGTCCAGAATCTGAATTCTGAATTACCATTTGGGGTGCTTGTGACTACCTAAACTGACAACCTCCCCAGTCTCCCTGTTTCACACACACACACACACACACACACACACACACAAACACACACACAGAGGCATACATGCCTCCCTGTCCAGCAGAGCACACCTGTGGCCCCTTGCCCTCCCCTGCTGCCAACTCTTGTAAAACAGGAAAACAGAACAGCTTGGCTTTGGCTATAACATGTACAAACACTTGGAGCAAAGTTTCCAAAGGGAGACAGACAGTGAACGCCTTTCAGGGTCTGGCAGTTTTATGGGCAGAGGCCAATTAAAAAGCATACCCCCACACAAAGCCCGTGGGTTTTGTTTGGCTGTGGACTTCTCTCCAGGCCCCTTGTAGGCTGCATTGACAGCGCAAATTGGAAGGACCACTGTTCCTGAGGGATCCTGGACATTCACAGTGCTGCTGGGGGATCTTCCTTCAGGATTTCCTCATTTGAGCCCTGACGCCCAATTTCAATGGGTTTTAGCTATGGGCTAGGTCCAGGGCAAGGCTCCAGGGTTCAGAAGGAATTCTAACCAGACCATGCCCTTGTGTTGCTCATAGTCCTTTGGGAAAGAATGGCATTGAGTGAGGAAAGGGCTAAAATGAAAGTAGGGAGTCCCCACTGTGAGACCTCAGAGAAGAGTTATCAGCTCCTCTGGGAGAAGGCAAAAGGCCTCAGGAAGCCAGTGGATGACATTTAGGGTGGATCTGCCCAAGCTGGAACTCCACTCCCACCAGAGGGAGAACACATGCAAGTGATGAGAGAGGATGAGCGAAAGGCATTTCTGAGACTTTTGTGTGTCTGAAGAGTAGGGAGTTGAGTATAAGAATTACAACAATTAACATCTGTAAACTGCATGTCACATGCCAAGTGCTGTTATAAGTATCTAATGTAAACTGACCCATTTAATCCTGAGAAAAACCTTATGGAGGACTATTTCCTTTAAGTAGCAGAGAGAAAAACCAAGGCATGAACAGGCTGTCACCTGCCCAGGGCTACCGAACCATCAGCAACCCATGGTTTGTGTGGTCAGGACAGGGACTGGGGTTGACTCTTGGGCAGTACAGTTGGCTGGGAATGTGGTATTGCAGAAGAAGCTGAGACTTAGGGAACTCCAGGTCTCCATGCTCTGCTGCAACCTGGCTGAGGCTGTGACCCTCTCTAGACTGGCCAGAGACAGTTATCCTGCTGTTGTCAATCTCAAAGGGAGGTAGTGAAGATAAAAGAGAGATTAAAAGTGCTCTTTGTACCTGAGTCATCATCTGATATAATGTTTCACATCCATGACACATAGATCTCCCCTAGTGTGGTGGGGGCACATGGATAACCCAGGGCCCACAGAGGGTGAACGGCTTGCTCAAGGTCACATAGCAGCTCTACTTCAGGAGCAAGACTAGACCAGAGGTCTCTACCTGAGGAGACAATAAAGCATAGTAGTTAAAATTCTGGAGTCCAGTGAGATCTGGATTGAAATTTGGTTCTGCCACATACTAGCTGCCTGAGACCAGAGAGTTTCTTAAATTCCTTTAGGTTCATTTCCCATATTTTTGAAAGAAATGATAATTTATAAAGTATATGAAATGATGTTTATGTAAAGAATATGTCTTATGGTAAGCAATCAATTAAATAATGATGGTGATGAGGATGAGGATAGTGATGATGAGGAGGAGAAGGAGGAAGAGGAGGGAGAGGAGGAGAAGGAGGGAATTCAGCACTATTTCTATAAGTCCAGTATTTTACACTTCCACAAAATTCTACACTACTTACGTAAGCCCCTTGCTATGGTTCCCACACCTGCATTTGAAAGTCATAGCACATTTGTGCATAATTACACTCAGGGCCATGAATGGTTTTCACATAAAGCTAAATTATATTCTTGGCTCTCTGCTGTCCCAATGACTGTTTCTGCATGATGCAAATCATGCCTCATCCATGCACACTGTCCGTTGAACCCATGTGATTCATCATTCACTTCATGCCCCATCTAGTTCTGCCCAGTCTAACACTCAGTCAGCAGTGGGGAAAGATAAAACCCAAGTCATCAGGCTTTGGTTAGCAAATCCTATTGAGTCAACTTCCTTGACACCTCTCAGATCCAGCTTCATCATTGCAATGGCCATAGCTCAAGCTTCCTCATCTTCCTCCTAAACAATACCTATAGTCTCCTATCTAGTCTTCTTCCCACTCTCTCCTCCCCACTCTCCTACTCTGCACCCAGGAGGGGCATTTGAAAATGCTTATCTGCCCATGTCACACCTCTGCTTTCAGTCCAGTGCCTTCCAATGGCCAATGTGGTCTGGCTCTGACAACTTCTCCAAACACATTCTCCATCTCCCTGACCACACCAGTTGCTCACTATCCCTCAAATATGGCACACTTTTTCATCAATATGCTAGTCTCTCTGTCCCTCATGCCCTTTTTCTACTACTGTACTTACTAAACTCTTATAAATCCTTTGACTATGAAGGCTTTCCTGATGATGACTTGCCTTCCAATGGCAGAGTCCATTGCACCCACCCTTTCTCATGTAAAGAAGTCATTATAGGCCTGGCACAGTGGCTCATGCCTATAATTCCAGCACTTTGGGAGGCCGAGGTGGGAGAATTGCCTGAGCTCAGGAGTTCAAGACAAGGCTGGGCAACATGAAGAAAAATTACACTACAAAAAATTACAAAAATTAGCTGGGTGTGGTGGTGCACGCCTGTAGTCTCAGCTACTTGGGGGACTAAGGTGGGAGGATTGCTTGAACCTGGGAGGTTGAGGCTGCAATGAGCTGTGTTAGTACCACTGCACTGCACTCTAGCTAGGGTGACAGAGTGAGACTCTATCTCTTAAAAAACAGTCATTATAATAACTATTTACTAAGAACTTTTGTTTTCAAGTACACGATGGCTTTATATACATCATCTAATTTAATCTTCCCAACAGTCTTGAAGTAGTATATTTATCCCTTTCACAGATGAGAAAAGTGAGGCTTAGAGAGGTTAAGTTAATGCCAGCTAACCTGAGCTTATTAGTTAGCAATGTCTGTTGAGTTTGCCTCCTAAATTTCTCTTAAAGGTTGGCCCTGCCTCACTGTAAATTGCACAGCCAATATTTAAACCCAGATTGGCTTGACTCCAGAGTGTCTGATTTTATCCTGCTGTATTTAGTTAGCTAAATTCTGGGAGTTCCTTAAGGGGAGGAGCTGGATCCTGTTCATGTTAGTACCCCAAACCTGGAAATCAGTACTCTGGTATTGGTTGGAAGTTAGACTTAGTTTTTGACTTAAGATGGAGAAGGGAGGCACTGCACTTAGTAGCCCTAGCAGGTAGTGTGCATACACAGTGCTCATCATTTGGAATTACTTTGTCTGCTCAAGTTTAGATCTCAGTATCTCAATACCATCACTTACTACCTACAGGATTTGGGGCAGGTTATTCAGTCTGCCTAAACCGGAGTTTCTTGAATTGTAAAATGATCGCCACAATAGCACATGACTGTTTTGCTCATGGTTAAATGAGATAAGTATGTAGAGCCATCGGTATGAGGATCCCTTAAATGGTAGTTACCAGCATTTGTCTGTAGTGCACACTTTATCACGAAGCCTGCTGAGAGAAGATAATTCTTGACCATCCAGAAGGATGAGGTCATTTAGGGGTGATTTCCTATGCACCCCTAACACACACATCTGTGTGTTCACAACTTCTCTATATGGTGGTGAAGACTACATGAGAAGTCTCATCCTTGCCAGCATATTGTGACATGAGCTTCCCTGGCAAGTTCCGTGGCAGTGCATGGATCAATCTGGTCATGCAGAGGCCAGGGCACCATACCCAATAGCTTCATTTACAGGTCAAGAATGTTTCTTTTTTTTAACGACACACTTCTCTTTGGGGGTCTTGTTATTGCATTAAATTCCACCATGGTGACCACTTCTCTTTAAGTTTTTGACACTAGTTACAATTCACATAGCTGACAGAGCTGAAAATCATTAATTCTTTCTTTTAATCAGAATTCTCTAGGTCTTTCCCAACCAGATTTTCCTGGATGTCTGCCCAAGACTCACAGTATTATGCATATTGTCTCCATCAGGAGAAAAAATAAAAAATAAAATAAAAACACTATACATTGCATTGGATGCATGTTAACTCCCTTATCATTCAAGCTGGGAAACAACCCCTTGAGGTGGGACCAGCATTGACTCCACTTTGTTGATGAGAAACCTGATGTCAAGTTACTCCCTTAAGGGCAATAGCTGGTGAATAGCAGTGTTGTCAGATTCAAACTTAATCAGGCTCAGATCACCACACCAGCACATTGAGTGCTGTAATTTTCTGCAACTGTTGAGCTAAATTGTTCCTCGGGTTGGGTCAAGACAATGGAAAGCAACAGCAACCTGATAGCTCTCTGAAAACTTGGGACCCAGGCCCAGCAAACTGATAGCTCTCTGAAGGCCCATGTATACCCAGGAAGTGGTATACATGAGAGGCATTTAGAAGCTCCACCTGTATACTTAGAGAAACATAAACCCAATAATAGTAAACTTCCTGAAAGAGTGCCTTAGAGCTTAGATTGTGAGAGGTTGAGAAGCTTCCCAGGCACCAAGGTTGGAAGAATCTCTTTCTGCTTTGTTTTCTTTTGTGTTACCCATTTTCCCCATATGGATTGAAGTCCTGGGGAAAAAAATGCGCTCAATATGTAGGTTATCAGGAAGGGGATTGTCAATCTCATCAACATTTGCCAAATTGAGAAGTAGGCATGGTTTTTTTCTTTTTTACTCACCACTACACAAATGAGGATAGGCATATTTTGAATGGCTTATGTTTTATTGATATTCAGTATCTTTTCCTCTTCTGAAACCCCACAGTGCTACACTCTCTTCTCTTAACAGGTGTCATCTTTGCATTATGATATACCTGACCTACATCCCATCTGCTCAAGCTAGGTAGCTTATTTGAGCTAATATGAGGGTGTTAAGAATTTATAACATCTCTTCATACTCATTACCCTCCCAGGGAAGGGTACACTGGAAGCAGTGCAATTACCATTTAAAAGGATATTTCAATGATACCTCAATAAAGCTGTTTTAAAAATAGATAAATAAAGGGAGATTCCAGTGTTGGTATGTCACCCCCTAAGCTATCATCACCTCCTTCATGGAAAATGACAATGGCACCCCTCTCTTTGGGGCCTTCTCCAATCCATCCTTCACCCTGTAGTGAGAATGATTTTCTTAAAGAGTAAGTTGACTATTTAGTCATATAAATAGTCATGGATGCTTCAAGGCAGCATCAAGCTTCTTGCCCAAAGCTTCCAATGCCTTGCCAAGCTCCCAGCCTCACCTTTTAACACTTCCTATTTTGATCCCTACTCTTAAGGAAAGTTTTCAGTCCTTGAAAGAGGTGTACTGTCTCTTGTCTCTGGGCTTTTGTTCATATCTCTTCTTCCTGGAGCAAATTCCATCTTTTTTTTTTTTTTTAAGTTGTCACCTAGGCTGGAGTCCAGTGGCTCCATGTCAGTTCACTGCAAACTCTGCCTCCCAGGTTCAAGCAATTCTCATGCCTCAGCCTCCCAAGTAGCTGGGATTGATTACAGGCACGTGCCACCATGCCCTGCTATTTTTTATTTTTTGTATTGTTAGTAGAGACGGGGTTTCACCACATTAGCCAGGCTGGTCTCAAACTCCTGGCCTCAAGTGATCCACCTGCCCTGGCCTCCCAAAGTGCTAGGATTACAGGCATGAGCCACTGTGCCTGGCAAGCAAATCCCATCTTTTTCACCTCTCTGTCTGGCTTATTTCTACTCATCCTTTGGGTTTAGGTATCACTTTTTCAAGGAAGCATTTCAGGAGCCCTCCAGTGTGTCTCATGCTCTAACAGTGAGTGCAAAGAACCTCCATTCTTCCTCTAGCACAGCTTGAAATGACCAGACTCCTTCTCTATAATTTCCACTGGGCAATAAGTTCCCTGAGGGAAGGAAGCTTCTCTGTCTTTAGTTGCATATGCTCTGTGACTGGCACAGGGTAGATACTCAATAAGTGAATAAACAGAGGTCTCTCAAGCACATTCCCTTGGTAAGAAATACCACCCAAGCAGAAAGAGAGACAATAGGAATTTTTAATGCATGGACAGGCCTGCAGGGACTCTGGGCAGACCCACAGGTAGCAGGAAGAGGCAGGGTCCCACAAACTCAATAATGTCCAGCAAAAAAGAGAGAGAAGTCCTTAAAGACCCATGCTTCCTCACTGCAACCATCCTCAGAGCTTCCTTCCTGGTGCTGAAGAGGTCAAAACTGTCTCCTCTAGGGGTCAGGTCAAAACTGTCCCTCCATAGGTCTCCTCCAGGGGTCCATGGCAGGAAGAAAGCAGAGTGTGGCAGGAAGAAGGAAGAAGAGCAAAGGCCGCTTGGTCTCCACCTGAAAACTTCTGCCTCGGGATTGACAGCCATCCATAAGAAAAGGTTTAAAAAGGAGAGACTTTTGATAGAGTCAAATAATATCTTTGAAAAAATAAAAGATAGAGAAAAATGAATAATTCCATTGGTTACAAAGGTCTCTGTCCACTATCCACAGGAGAAACCGTTTGCTTTGGCCTTGCTGGCAAGCTTCATCTGCTAGGCCCATCCTCAGCTGTCCCCCAGCCCACCCAGGCCCCAGGATCCAGGAGAATACTGCTCCCCCTCCCATGGAGAGTCTCTGTGCTCACGGAGGGCAATACCCTCCCTCACCGGCCCTTGGACTCCCCGTACGTGTTTCGGGCCATTGACACCATCTTCTCCTCACACGTGATTTTGGTGTCCTTGAGGATGCTATACCACACCATGCCTGCAGGCCGGACCTCCTCGCTGCGGCAGAAAAGATAGGGCACTGTTTCCACGCGGCTCTGGATGTAGGCACTCCGCAGGAGGCTGGAGCAGTGGCTACTCACCCTCTCCAGTCGCCGTAGAATCAGGTGGGCCTTCCTGAAAGGTAGGATGAGACAGCCATGATTAAAGAAGTCCAGATCAAGAGTTAGACCTTTGAGGTAGTAAATGTCAACAAACAAATGGTAACTTCTCCCAACCATTTCCTATCTACTCCAGATTGGAGTGTGGTACTTCAAACACTGATTCAAAAATTGCCCTAGAACCTATCTTCTTCAATTGTGCAATGTGTTAAAAAATGAAAAAGAGGTAGAGCCTTTAACCTAGTATTTTCACTTCTAGGATATGGGAGCCCTAGGAGTTCAAAGGTGACCAGCCTTGGACTCTGATCAAATAGGTATTATTATAATGATTAAAAAGCAACAAGAACAACCAAAAGTTATTGACACCATATGCTAGACACTGGGTATGCATTTTACATATATTTTACATTTTTTATTTAGCCTTTATAACTATCCTGAATGTATTGTCTACCCCCTTTTAATGGGTGAGGAGCTCAAGCAAGGCTCAGAATAATGACATTACTTGACTAAGGCAAACATCGAGTCAGCCACTGGAGTTGGGAAGAATCTAAATCTAGGCCTGACCACCCACAGTCCCTTTCTAACTGTCTGTGTTCTCACTTCATGAACTATTTCACACTCTTTTCTCTCAGTCTGGAAACTTTGAAATCTTGCCCTTTGTGATTCCCTTTCATCAAATATATATATATATATGTCCCCAAATCAGAACTTTTCTGTGTCTCATTTTTTCCCACCTTTAAAAAAGTGATGATGGTCTTATCCTCAAGTTAAGTAAGAGAAATGCCTAATGCCTGGTATAGAGCTCAGAGTAAGCTTCCAATAAATGATAGCTACTCTTATAAGGGATTGCTGGAATGCGCCCTCAGGATCAAGGTTATGCTGAAGACCAGCCTTACCAAGAATTATTCCGTACTATGGAGGACATCATTAAGAACTTATCTAGAGCCCTATATCCAGCACGAGAGAGGGGAGCTGGGAGAGATCTGATGGCTGCACAGATAAATAAAGCCAGGAAGGATTCTTGCAATCACCTAGTCCAGGGTTTTTCAAAGGTGGCATTATCGACATTCTGGGCTGTATATTTTTTTGTTGTGGGAACAATCCTATAGGACATTTAGCAGCATCCCAGGGCCCCACCTACCGCCAGTAGCACCCTTGCCCCGGTCGTGAAGTGTGAAAATTCTTTAGACATTGAAGAATTTTCAATAGCACTCTTGCCCCAGTGAAACTGTCTTTAGACATTGCCAAATATCTTCTGGGGGCAAAATCACCCAAGTTGAGAACCACTGACCTAGTCTGACCCACTTTCATTAAAAATGTGGAAACTGAGGCTTAGAGAAGGAATAGAATATCTTTATCCCAGGTCACATTACAAGTCAGCTTCAGTGTCAAGGTGTCTGTCTCCATGTGGAAACCACTTTTCTCTGCATTCCAGCATCTTCAAGATGCCAGGCACCCTGGGAGGCTACATGAGAGGTTCTCTCTCCTGCTGTCCTCTCCATGTCCCTCTGATACCACAGGAGGGAAGGAGTTTTACAACAACAGACCCCACAAATGGGAGACTGTGTTAGGCACCTGCATAGCAGCTGAAAAAGGACCGAGCTTATGTGTATACATTTTGTGGGCACAATTTATGAGGTGCCTTTCAAAAAGTCCTCTTTGTATAGTTCACCACTTGGGTGGAATATTTCCTGAGGTGCCAAGAATTCATCACTTCATAACCACACTCTATCCACAGTCCTCTTTCCCCTCGGGCAAGTGCCCCCCCCAAGAGGAGCCTGAGGAGTTTCTTTTCCATTCCTTCTCATTTGAGTTCTGGCTTCATTCTTTAATAATTCTGTGTCCTGGGGACATTTACTTAACATCTCTAAATCTGTTTCTTCATTTGAAAAATGAGGCTGTTGTGAAGTTGAAGGAGATAAAGTCATTTCTTGCTGATTTGTTGAGCATTTATTATGTGGCAGAACTTCTGGTAGAGAAGATGGACAAATGGAGATGACAATACGAATGACAAAAGCAATTATAAAAGAAGTCACGAGAGCTGTGTGAAGACAGAGGAAGGTACTTAAGTAGGATCAAGGATGTCCAAGTAGGCTTCCTATTATAGTAGTAGGGAAACATGTGTTGAGCCTCCTAAATGAATAGGAGTTAGATAAAGAAGAGGAAAAGGTGGCCGGGCACGGCGGCTCATGCCTGTAATCCCAGCACTTTAGGAGGCCAAGGCGGGTGGATCACAAAGTCAGAAGTTCGACAGCAGCCTGGCCAACATACTGAAACCCTGTCTTTACTAAAAATACAAAATTTAGCTGGGCGTGGTGGTGGGTACCTGTAACCCCAGCTACTCAGGAGGCTGAGGCAGGAGAATCATTTGAAACCGTAAGGCGGAGGTTACAGTGAACCAAGATCGCGCCACTGCACTCCAGCCTGGGCAACAAGAGCAAAACTCCACCTCAAAAAAAAAAAAAGTAAAGGTAAAAGCATAGAGACAAGAGATGCATAGATGTTCTGAGAATTTATGGCTACAATACAGTGTACTAGTGGGGACACAGTGAAAACTGGAAGGAGCCATAGCCAGCCTGTTGAAGCCTAGGAACTAGGGCAGTGGTTGTATGCAGTAATGATACAACCACAGGCTCCAGAACACCGACTACTCAGGTTCAAATCCCAGCTCAGCCACTCACTCTGTGTGATACTGAGTGAAGTGCTTTACCACTTGTCCCTCAGTTTTCTTACCTTACCCACAAAATGAAATAATAACTGTATCTACCATAAAGTGTTATTTTTTAAATAAAAAATTAACAGACACATAATAAACTGTCAATAAATGTTATCTATGATTATTGTCTTGAGAGTAAGTGGGAGAGTTATTGAAAGATTTCAAGAAGCAAAGTAACAGGTTTGGAGCTGAACTGTTTAAAAATATTTCTGGTTGTTTGAGGAGAACTGAGCGGAAGGAGGCAAAACACAGAATTAAACCAAGTGGAGGCCAGGAGCAGTGGCTCACACCTGTAATCCCAGAACTTTGGGAGGCTGAGATGGGCGGATCACCTGAGATCAGGAGTTTGAGACCAGCCTGGCCAACATGGTGAAACGCTGTGTCTACTAAAAATACAAAAATTAGCCAGGCCTTGTGGTGTATGCCTGTAATCCCAGCTACTCGGGAGGCTGAAGCTGGAGAATTGCTTGAACCCAGGAGGTGGAGGTTGCAGTGAGCCAAGATCGTGCCATTGCACTCCAGCCTGGGCAACAATAGCGAAACTCTATCTGAAAAAAAAAAAAAAAAAAAAAGTAACCAAGTGGAGTGCACACTCAGGTGTTAACTGTTTCCCACTGTTGTACTTACAGGTGTTGGTTTGATTTTTCTCTACACTGGTAAAAAGCTTCTTATTCTTGGTTTGCTCATCTATACAAAGGGAACAGCAGATGGCTCACCTCATAAAGTTATAGTGAGGGTTAAGTCAGTACACGTCAAACTCTTAGAAAATTACTTGGCACAAAGCAAGCACCTGATGCTTGCTAGAAAGTATCATCACCATTATCATTACTCCCACCACCATCACTCTCATTGTCATCATCATTATTACATCATTAGGTGTATTTTGTGTACTGGGCAATGGGACAGATATGAACTAGTTTAAGCCTTGGGTATCTTTATAACTCAGTGACAAGAGACAGGCAGACAGAAATATTAACATTCTCTAATTCGGGGGCAGAGCACTGGGTTGAGGAACACTACGTATGCTGTTCTGGGAATATAAAAGATGGACACCAGTCATCAGTTTGGAGACTCAGAGTAGTCTCTCAAGAGGACGCCACACCTGAGCTAGTTCTTCAATAATGAAACAGCATTTTCAGGTAGATGAGAAGGCAGAGGAAATAGCCCATCCCAAGTCAGACCGGAGAGAACATAAACTACTAGTTGTTTGAAATAACCAGTGCAAAGAATAGGGAGACCAGTGAGCTTGGCAGGGATCAGACCAGGCAGACTCTTCCAAGCCATGATGTAGTATTTGGATTTTATTCTGGGCAATGGAGAGACATTTTCTGATTAGATAGTCACAGAAGTAAGCGATAAATATAAATACAAAATGAAGTTGGAAAAGACAATTCTTCCAACATGCCCAAATGCCCTTCTTCCAAAGGAACAGACAAAGCCTCCTTTTGAATGGATTAGGAAAACATATTTGGAGTGAGAAAGTGATTTTGCCTTTAAGGAACACCTTGAGTAGTAACAAAGGCAAAGCTAGAACCAGGGTTCCTGATTCCAGGGTGAAGATGAAGTGTTGGCTCTAGAATCTCAGATTTAAATCCCAGCTCTATAACTTACAGCTATGTGGTTCATGAGCAAATTATTCAATGCCACTAACTCTTAGTTGTAGCATCCATAAAATGTGAATAATGGTTTTGCTGGGAGGATGAGATAATAAGGAAAATTTGCTTAGCTCTAAGTAAGTGTCAGCAATGATTCAAAGCAGAATATTATCGTGAAAAGCACATAGGCTTTAGAGTCCATAAGGGCAAGTCACTTCACCTCCCTAAGCCTCAGTTTTCTCCTGTGTAAATGAAAATAGAAATATTTATTTTGTAGGGCTGTTGTTAGGTTGAAATGAAATGATGGCTACAAGCAACCAACACAAGACTTTGTACGTAACAGGCACTGAACCAATGTTTGCATTTAGAAAACAAAGAAGAATTCAGAAAGTAAAGCCATGGAGAGAAGGGTTGGAGGTGCTCGAAGGCTGGGGAGGAGAAGGAAGAGTCGGAGTGAGAGAGACCAAAGGCAAAAATGCTGGCTAATAAATTGTAGGCAATGGAGATCCATAAATCAAAAGGTCAGGCATGCTTCAAGCTTTCCCTGGAGGGGAAATCATAGGTCAGTGACCACTTTTGTCAAATACCGGAAATGAAATCTTCCTCATTGGAGATAGGACTCAGACCCACTGGGATAGGAAGCAAGAGGTGAGGGAGGGCCACCACATACTAATTTATTGTTTTATCAGCAGGCAAGACTGAGACAGGAATCGCTTGTGAAAGAGTCAGGGGCTGGGCCCAGATGCCACTTTTCCGGGACTGTAGAACCATTCTATTCCCAGCACCATTTCCCAATCAGCTGTTGACTCACTTATCAGACAGGACAGAGACCCAATTTCTAAGGGGACCCTGAAATGGAGAAAAATAAGACAGGCAGGAAGAAAACATTCCCATTCGCCTCCCTCCCTCCTCCCTGCCTTACGGAGTTGAGCTTAAGTGTCTCTGTGTTAGCTGTCCCGAAGCTTAATGAGAATTGAGGACATGATGTGGTTGCAAAAAAATGGGAACATGACCTTCAGAAGTGGAGAGGGCAGAGGTTAAGGGAAGTAATGGCTTCATTCATGGTGTCCTCGTCGGGCTCCATCTGGAGAACCCCCGACACTTCTGGTAAGAGGGACACATGTAAATTGCAGCCAGATCATGATACTGAGGGGTGTTTCAAAAGCAAGCCTGCTGAGCTGAAAGCAGGAATGGAGAGTGCCCATGGAAGAGAAGATTTAGGCCATTAGTTACATTGTTGTAGCAACAAAAGACAAGTGGGCAACAATCTGCGGGTCAGAGATGATAATGACTACAATTTATTGAGCACCCACTATGTGCCAGAAACTGTACCTATGCAACATTATTTTACATCTAATCCCTAACCCAATTTTAGAGTCTACAGGTGATAAAAATGAGCTTCAAGCCAGTCATTGATTTGACCAGGGTGACAGGAGGATAGGGCGGGGTTTCAATCCTCTGCTGTAAGGCATCAAAACATTATGACACAGTCACCCTAAAATTATCAGAAGACACATTTGGCTTAAAATAATAAAAAATGTAAAGCTAAAGTCCTCTAAATTTAGAAAGGGTTATTCTATGTGGCAGCGGGTTCCTCATCACTGGAGGTGATTAAATCAAGTATGTTTTAGAAAGGGGTGTACTACAGTGGGAGTCGTAGCAGGCGTTTGTCATTGTTTATTTGTTTTTAATCTAAAAGGCATGAGAGCCTTGATTCACAGAGAAATATCATCTGATGACCACTCACTTCACAACAAAATTTGCTGTGACACAATTGTCAAGCACTGAATTCCTGAGCTGAGAGGACCACTTTTGCTGAGGTTCTATTCATGACTCAAAGTCACACTGAAATTTCATCTTCAGGAAGTCTTCCAGATCTTCCCAGCTATCATAAGTCATGTTTTCCCATTTGCTGCTGAAGCATTTTATTTATCTGTGGAGATCCATATCACATTTTTTCTTAGTGTGCACATATCTTGGGATGTAATGTGGTTTTACAGGACACCAGTTGAATATCAGAAGACAATATTCTAAACTCGGACTCCAACACTTAGTGTTTAGACCTTGCAACTATGGACAGTTTACATAACTCCACAATTCTCTGTTGCCTAACCTTCAAAATCTATTGTTCAGGATATTAAATGAAATATAAATAACTGGGCCAATAACAGGTGCTCAACTAATATTTCCCACCTGCTTCTTGGACAGTGTAGGTTTCCTCTGGTGTCCAGCTCTTTACTGTGCAAGAATAATGAATTAATAAATGCAAACTGGGATTACTCATGCCTGTAATCCCAGCACTTTGGGAGGCTAAGGTGGGCGGATCACTTGTGGTCGGGAGTTCCAGACCAGCCTGGCCAACACGGTGAAGCCCCGTCTCTACTAAAAATACAAAAATTGGCCAGGTGTGGTGGCAGGCGCCTGTAATCCCAGGTACTTGGGAGGCTGAGGCAGAAGAATTGCTTGAACCTGGGAGGCAGTGGTTGCAGTGAGCTGAGATTGCACCACTGCACTCCAGCCTGGGTGACAGAGCAAGACTCCATCTTGGGGAAGGAAGGAAGGAAGAAAGGAAGGAAGGAGGGAAGGAAGGAAGGGAAGGAAATAAATGCAAAGTGACTTGAACTGAGAAAATTTTCAGTCCTTAGCTTTCAAAACACAGCAACTCTTCAGCAGAGGTCAATAAAGGGAATGAAATGGCATAAAAGCATCATGTGGACCTAAAGAAATAATCAGGCAAGTGGGCAAAAGGTTTATGTGGATTTGTTTATAATAACAAAGAAACTGTAAGAAATCTAGTTGGTTTTTAATACACAACCAGATTAATGAGTGATACATTCACATATTTGCATGACTAAAGGACCCTTCAAAAAAATAAAACATTTACATACGTATCTGTGGGTAAAAACTTGTAAAGCATATTGTTAAACAGAAACAGGCAGATAACAGAACATAACTTATGTATTTGTTAAACATAGTAGAGATGAAAGAGCTGTGGTTGTAGACATGAACATATTCTTAAGCCTGTATCTGTTTCCCCATCTCCATGCATATCCATATCTGTATACAGAAATACATGTGTACACTGTTAACAATGTAATCTCTGGGGTAGGGTTGGGATTATGTGGCCCAGAGGTGCACAATTTTCATTATTTTATATATTTCTGTATCATTTGGATTTTATATAATGAACAATAATTATTTCAGAACAAAATAAAATAAAGGTATTTTCATTTTAAACTATGAATATATACACATATATTTTTAAGCTGGTGTGATGAACTTGTGCAATGAAGCCATGGTTTTATGACTTTCCAGTAGTTCATCAGGGTTACTTTCAAAATAAACCCATATCAAATTTAGCCTCAGCTTGCTCCTATCCAACAAAGTCAGAAGCTCAGATACTGCCACTGGTTATATACCTTTAACACCAGGTTTGAAATGTGATTTGTAAGGTGCCCACTGAAAATGTTCGCATTTGCTTTCTCTTTTCATCCACTCAGAAGAAATCATAAGACTTTTCAAAAATGTGTTCTTTGATAACAGAAATGACTGAGTCTCAACTGATCCAGAGCTATTTCAGTTGGAACTGATAGGAACTTCAAGAAAATAACTAACCTTGCTATATACTGTCGGTGGGGAAAACAGATCCATGGGACACTAGTTCAAAGTCCAAAGTCAGTGTGTTTTGTTAGTATTAGTTAGTTGGTATTAGTATGAGTATTTATTTGTTAATTGAAGGTATAATTGAAGATACCTTCAATTATAAGATATACCCATGCTTTAATAACAGCCATTCAAGAAAAGAGGAATACAATGTTTAATGTACACATCCACTGTGCACAATCCGTCCTGATTTTAGAAATGCCAAAATATACAGAAAAAGGTTAAAAGTACCTCTGAGATTATAGGAATATGACCCTAGAAGCCTAAGTCTGCTCTTGTTCCCAATATCTTAAAAATTCTGAGAGTTAATTCAATATATCCAAAGAAGCAGTTAACACAATCTTGGAGGAATGTACAGTGACATCCCAGGTTTGTTTGTTTTCACTAAGAACACAGCAGTGGATGTGTAACTCTTTTCAAATCCCATGGCACGTTGAGAAAGATCCTGTGATGATTTCTGCGATCTATTCGTAATGTCTGCCATGGAGGCAAGAGGAGCTGACATCATAAATACACCATTCCTGGTCCAGATAGATCAATTTCACTGAAGCAAAATGTCCTCAAGAGCTTGCTGTGTCCTCTCTACCAATATGCTCAAACATAATTGAAAGTGTAGAGAAGCCCAAGAGTGGTCAAGGATGTTCTGACCCGAGAAAATTCTGGTCCCTGGCCACCAGTGAGCTCAGTTTTTCAAGTCTCCTAATAGGAACCTTATGTCTGGGGACAGCTGGGTGTCAGTGCGTCTTCTTTGAGCAGCTGTTTGCAGTAACCTGTGGTCGTAAGAACCAGGCTCTGGGGGACACTGGCCTGATAGATTTATTAGGCAGAGGTTAAGAGATGTCCTTTCGTCACTAAATCTTATGGGGATATATGACCACAGATTTAGGAAAGATTTGAAAACATTTTGGGGTTTAGTGATTACACAGTCCAAGAGAATCCTAATAGAGCTCATCTTATATCAGTCCTCAAAGTACTCCTGGAAAAAACTCTTATCCCTCTAGTCAACCTGGGTCCCTCAGAAACAAGACGTGCAGGGCTGGAAGTCAAATGATACTAACAATGTGTCTGTTCTCTGGTCTCTATGACCTTCAGGGTTTTCTGGTTCCTTGGCTTCCCAGCTGGAAGAGACTTTGGAGTTCAGCCCTTTCATGTTACAAACAAGGTCCAGAATGGGGATGGCTTGTGTCCAAGGTCACACAACAAGTAGGTGACAAGGCTAGGACAGAAGCCCTGGGCTCCTGGCTTTGGAGAAGCATCTTACCCTCTCTTATTTACACTGTGATGTTCTGCATACTTGCTAATCCTTGAAAGGCAGAGCAAATGTATCCAAACTGCTCCTCTGTTTAAAACATTTATATGGCTTCTGGGAGAAAGAATAAACTTGTGAACAGAACTCACAAGAACCATCATGATCTGTCCTTTGCTAAACAACCCAGCCTTGTTGTTTTTGTTTGTTTGCTTTTCCTTTTCACTTTGAACTCTCCTCTTTCACTTCGAACTCTCTTCTCCAATAAGATTTATATTTTTAACTGAAGTATATTATCTTACCCAACTTCTCTCATCTTTGCATTGGTAATTCCTTCTGATGAGAAGACTCTCTCCCTTCCACCTGGAGGACCCTTCTTCATTCTGTTTCTAAACTTAGAAACATTCTTTCTTTTACAAGGATTCTTCCTTGAGCTCCAGATCTGGATTAGCTGCTCCAGCTTTCTGCATCTGGAACCTTGTCACTCCAAGTATGCTTTTGGGGCCAACAACATTAACATCACTATGAGAGCTTGTTACATTGGATTTTTTGGAATGTTAGAAGACCTCAGAGTTCATGGAATTCAGTAAATGCAGAATCTCAGACCTAACCCAGACTACTGAGTCAATTTGGAATGTAACAAGTCCTCAGGTGATTCTCAGGCACGTTAAAGTTTGAGAAGCACTGCTCTAAAACGCTTGTCCATTCACATGCCAAATGCCACCGCAATTGCTGGCTGACCAGTCTTTTCCGCACTAGATGCTGAACCTTGTAAAGGCAGGATCTCTGCCATCTTCACTCTGTATTTTTAGCCCCCAGCACACGGCCTGACACATAGTTAGCACATTAAATGAATCAATGAATCAATCAATCAATGAAGTGAGATCTCTTCAAGTCTTTTAATATTTGCAAGGACATTGCATTTTTTGGAATGTTAGAAGACCTCAGAGTTCATGGAATTCAATTGTTTCCATCTGTGATCTAAAGATTCTTGAGGGCTTGGAGAGACATAAGGGATGCTTGGGATTGGGTGGGGTGGAGGGGCATAGAAGAGGAGACCCAGCAGGTGGGACTCCAGGCCACCCACTCCAGTTTCTACCAGAACAAATCTTTAGTCATCTGGTCCACACATTTAAATCATCTCATTACTCAATTACTCAACAACTAATTATTTAGCACTTACTTACAAATGTGAATACGACATAAGGGATCACTAACTATACATAGTTTACATTGTAGTAGGGAAGACAGATAATATGTAAGTAAACATACAAGCAATATAAGATTCTAAATCTAGTAAGTGCAGGAAAGATAGTTAAACCATTAGGGTGTGACAGAGCAAATGGGCGGACATTTTAGAGAATTCTCTGTGGAGGTGGGCTGTGATTCCATGTAAGATTTATTTAGAAAAAAAGGGTATATACCCAAAGGACTATAAATCATGCTGCTATAAAGACACATGCACACGTATGTTTATTGCAGCACTATTCACAATAGCAAAGACTTGGAACCAACCCAAATGTCCAACAATGATAGACTGGATTAAGAAAATGTGGCACATATACACCATGGAATACTATGCAGCCATAAAAAATGATGAGTTCATGTCCTTTGTAGGGACATGGATGAAATTGGAAATCATCATTCTCAGTAAACTGTCGCAAGAACAAAAAACCAAACACCACATATTCTCACTCATAGGTGGGAATTGAACAATGAGAACACACGGACACAGGAAGGGGAACATCACACTCTGGGGACTGTTGTGGGGTGGGGGTGGGGGAGGGATAGCATTGGGAGATATACCTAATGCTAGATGACGAGTTAGTGGGTGCAGCGCACCAGCATGGCACATGTAACTAACCTGCACATTGTGCACATGTACCCTAAAACTTAAAGTATAATAATAATAATAAAAAATACCACTGTTCTAGTTCGTCCTTATCATGTTATAGGTGAGGAGACTGAGGGCCAGAAAGCGGCAGAGCCCAGGGTTGCACAGTGAGCTTATTAGCAGCACCAGGATAGATTAGGAGGCAGTTTCCTTGATTCCTGCTGACATATCAGTGTGGGATGTTGGAGCAATCTCAGATATCCTCCAGGAGACTAGAAAGACCAGAGGAGGAGGAAGCTGGGTGACAGGGTGGGGAGGTTCGCAGACAGTGGCTGGTGACTGCCTGACTAGGGGTTAGCGGGTTATCACAAACCATTACTGAGTGGATTGCCTGGCCTCTGTGGGCGGCCCGGCCGCCTTTCCAGAAGATTTATGTCCTGGAGGCTCATAAAGGATTCCAGGAGGCTGTAAAGACAAAGTCAGAAGTGGAGCTGTGGTTTAGCTTCCACACAAACTCCCTGAGCCCTGTGGGAAAGCCCAAAAAACTGGAATGCCTTCCTCTGTCCACAGGCAAGATGGCAGCTGAGATGACTCACACAGCGGCTTTCATCTGGGGCTCTTCACTTCTGCCCGCCAGTCTGGCCCTCTTTTAGGTTTTATCTAAAGAACCTTCCTTTCATGTGCAAGGGAGAAAGTTAAAGTCCAGGACCCAACATAACTGATAAGGCCTTGCGCTGGACAGAGATCCGTTTTATCCCTGGACCAAGCTCTCATCTCTGTCCCTGAGAGCCTCAAATTCTTGGAGGGCCATTGCAAATGTTCTAAGGGCTCAAGGTAAGAGCTCAAGGCAGAACTGGCCTCCATGTCAAACTCTGCACAACTCTGGGCAGCTCATTTTGCCCCATGGGACCTCAATTTCCTTATCGTCCAAAAAATGGCATGAATACCCTACATGGTCATTTTGAAGTTTTTAAATCATGAAGTGCTGCCCACTAAGTATTTCAAGAAGTCATGTGATTCTCTCCAATGCACCAATGCCACCCTGGCCTAGAATGCTATGCTGTCTTCCTGGGACTATTATCACAACAGCCTCTAGAGCCTCACTGCCGCTTTCTTACCTTGACACCTATACTCAAGCCAGAGGGATCTTTCTCCTTTAATGGTCTGATAATATTACTCCTTTTTGTGAAAAACACTTCAAAAGCTTACCATTACCCTAAGGAGATAATCCCAACTTCTTAACCTAATTTAAAGGACATTCAGGATCTGGCTCCCACTGACCTCCCCCTTCTTATCTCTTACCACTCCTGCTGTCACACACTTTGCTGCCACTACACAGAAATTCTTCAGTGGCTCCAAACACAGTGTTTACCAAAGTGTAGGCCGAGTTCCTCTAGGGTAGGGAAAGGATTTTAGGTGGTACTCAAGATGATCACAGACCCAATATTAAACAAAAATGAATCATGTGTGCAAAAGTGGCTAGATTAGCTCTTTCATTCTCTTCCCCTCTTTCAGGTTACTTCAAAAGGAAAATCTTGGGCCGGGCGGTGGCTCACGCCTGTAATCCTAGCACTTTGGGAGGCTGAGATGGGCGGATTACTTGAGGTCAGGAGTTTGAAACCAGCCTGGCCAACTTGGCGAAACCCTCTCTCTACTAAAAATATTTTTTAAAAATTAGCCGGGCCTGGTGGTGGGTGTCTATAATCCCAGCCACTTGGGAGGCTGAGGCAGGAGAATCGCTTGAACTCACGAGGCGGAGGTTGCAGTGAGCCAAGATAGCACCATTGCTCTCCAGCCTGGCCAATAACAGCGAAACTCCATGTCAAAAAAAGAAAAGAAAATCTTGGTTTGGGGCTGTGTCTTTAACATTTCTCTAACTAATCTCCCTTTTGAAGGGACAGCTTCAGGCTCTGCTAGAATTGAACAACATTGTTTTCTGTTTTTTGTCTTGTTCCACTTTTGTTGCTTTTGTTCATTGTCTTGAAGGGTTAGGTTTAATTTTCTATTAAGGGTAGATGATGTTGGTTTTCCCTTTACAAGATGATGTTGTGTTTTCTATTCAAATACATTTTTTTTTTTTTTTTTTTTTTTTGAGACGGAGTCTCGCTCTGTCGCCCAGGCTGGAGTGCAGTGGCGGGATCTCGGCTCACTGCAAGCTCCGCCTCCCGGGTTCACGCCATTCTCCTGCCTCAGCCTCCCGAGTAGCTGGGACTACAGGCGCCCGCCACTACGCCCGGCTAATTTTTTGTATTTTTAGTAGAGACGGGGTTTCACCGTTTTAGCCGGGATGGTCTCGATCTCCTGACCTCGTGATCCGCCCGCCTCGGCCTCCCAAAGTGCTGGGATTACAGGCGTGAGCCACCGCGCCCGGCCTCAAATACATTTTTAATAAGAAGTGAATATAAGAAAGAAATACCAAATAAAGTGTATATGGTGGTGAGATGACAAAAGTCATAAAAGTGGTAGGCAAGTGATCAAAAGTTGAGAAGAAAACTTCCACTGTCATGTAACATTTTCTCTTCTGAGCATTCCGTCAGGTAGTCTCTCTGCTCCAAATACCCATCCTTTTCCCCCACAACCCTCACTTACCTTACCCCAACTCAAACCTTAGGCATCAGTCTCTCAGCCCCAGTGCAGCTTCATTGGGTGACCTAGACCAGATGCCTATGTCTCATGTATGTTCCCAAAGAGTTCTGTTCTTCTGCTATCATGACGCTTATTATTCCTGCTCTACATAACTGCCTGTTTATGCAACAAGAAGCTATGTATAGGTAGCAACCATTTCTACCTTTTTATCGTTGCATTGTCAGCAGCCACCACATAAGAGGTGCTGTTAAGTATATGCTGAATGGATGAATGTTGCTAGATGCAAGACATAAAATGCAGCCACCATTGCATATACTGCTTTATGAAGCTTTAGAAAATAGTGACTGTGCCTTAGTTCTGTTTGAATCATTCATGGTTCCTGGCATAGTGACTGGCATGCAGGACAAAAATAAAGCCTTCATACATGTTGAATTCATAAATCTATATAGTCATGTTCACTAATGGACTTTAGTCAAAATCATAGCTATTTACTGTAAAAAAACTCAGACTTCTTATGGAAGACTGAGAAAGGCCCTGGATTATGGGTCATGGCCCCACTGCTGTTCCCCTCTGTGATCTTGGTTAGGATACAGGCCTTCAAAGAGCCTAAGTTTCCTATCTGTAAAATGAGGTGGGAGATGAGCAAGGAGAATGATTAATGCAAAGAGCATCAATGCCCTTTCCCCATTCAACATTCCAGGAGTGCAGGAATCTAAAGTTCCAAGATTCTTTCATTATCTCTGCCTATTTTCTATCTTTAGCCTTGACACGACCAAGGTGATAATCACCCTTATTTACTTGATAAAGCCTAGTCTCAGCCTATGGGGAAAGGGTCCAGAAAAGTCAACTGGAGGCAAAAAGAATATGCCCCTCCAATCACACAAATACGCCCATACCTGGGCCCCAGCTCATCCTCACTTCTCCAGACGAAGTCGCCAAACTTTTCATAGTGAGAGTTGTAGTGGTGCTGGACTCGGAACAGCATCGAGGCTGAGACCTCCATCAGTGTGTTGTAGGCCATCTGCTGCTCCTTTCCACTTGTGTACCCATTGTACAGATTGTAGATCTTGTCAGCTATTTCTGAGAGGGCAGAAGGGCAGAAACAGATCACTGGGTGGTGAAAAAAAGTAAGGATATAAGCATGGGCTTCAATAAGAAAGGCACAGTGGTGAGAAAGTTTGCTTGCATAAGCTCTGGGAGCAGACAAACCTTAATTTCATCTTGAATATGTTATTGACTGGTTGTGTTTGGTTTTCTGTCATCTGGAGGTAATGATGTCTATTCTGGAGGTGCATTGGGAGAGCTAAATTAAAGAGTGGATACAAAGCACTCAACACAGGGTCTGGCACAAAGTTAGTGCTCATAATTGCAAGCTTAATTATCAATATAATTATTGTACCTGTGATTTTACATACAATTGGCTTAAATAAATTGTCTTGGATAATCTCAACACCCTCCTTCTATTTCCCCTTTGTTGTATTTCCAACACATTTCTGTGATCAGGTCTGATAGGTCCCCATTTGAAACACCTTTCAAAGATAATCCAAACTCTTCTGCTTGTTGTTCATGGCTATTCCTACTGCTTCAGTTAGTCCTACTAATCAAAGTAACTTCAATACATCATGAGTAGAAGGCATATTCTTCCAGCTTCAAAAACCCTGTCAAAATCTGTATGTGGTCCTAAATCATTACCAACAACAGTTGCTGCTAGGAGAATCTGGAAACTTAAGAGTAAAAATGGGAGGAACACTATGCTCCTCCCATTATGTTACACTATTTTCTACTCTGATTTTTATTTGTACTTTTTTTTTTGACAGTGGACGTGTTATTTTAAAATAATATTTTTAAAAATTTATCAGGAAAATGTTTCGAATCCCCTCCCCTTTGGTAGCACATAAAACATTTATAATTGAGTTTATTATTGAGCCATCTGCAGAAATGTCTGTCTCACCACCCATAATGTGAATTCCTAAAAGGGGAGACTATGTCTCTACTGCATTGCTTGGACTTTTGAGAAATAATTGTTCAACTTTAAGTAGACCACCAGGACTTATGAGCCACTGTCACATTTTGCTAGACTTGATGTAGAAACTGCATCTACACAATGCTGAAGAACAAAGTATATGGTGGATCTGATTGACTGATTATATTTTTTCAGGTTATTTTTGCCTGCTGTTTATGTCATGAACCAGGAGCAGCAAAAACATTTAATCTTGCATGCTAACTGACTGATAATCACTGATGGTAGCTCTATGCTAAGGATTCTGAGACCACCATGGGACTGGATGGAACAGCATGCTGTGATCTGCTAATGATGTCTGCTATGGACACCACAAGGTGAAATGGTTTTCTAGGTGCCATCTCTTTGCTACTCTAGCAACGACAAGTGGGAGAAAATGATTGGTCCCTGAGAAATCTAGGCCAAGGGACAAGATACAGTTATGGGGCTCTGACTCCCTACCATTTGTGGCCTGTAAGTCAGAACACAGATCAACTCTCTAAAAGAGGAGGCAAGTCTTTCCACTGCCAAAGACATTGCTAGTCAATCTTAATTTTTCCCTTCATGACTTTGATTAATTTAGCTCCATGTTCCTCCTGTTCCCTTAGTGCCTTCAATTTCTTCTCCCTGTGCCAGTGTGTCAGGGTGTGCGTGTGTGTGTTTAATGATTAGTGACTGTTGGGTGCAGAACTTAGGGGAAATATGGGAGTTACTTTGGAGTTGAAAAACTGGGTTACCTACCTTCTGCCTTGTTGTCATCTACCAGTGGACAGGCCGTCCTCAGGGTCACCGTGCTTAGCTCTGAGTGCCTCCCTCGTGTATCCACAGCATACAGAGTGAACCTGCAGCACAGCAAGAAAACAGAGCACCAGGCTGTGACTTCACAGAAGGCCCTGGGAGTTGCAGGGAAGAACAGAGAGTCATGGCACATGAGGCTACAGGAAAAATGATTTTAAAAAAAGAATGATACTTATAAAGCATTTATTGAGCACTAACTGCCTACTCAGCACTTTGCACTTCTTAAAAGGGAGGGATTTATTGTCACCCACATCTTGTCAATGAGGACACTGAGACTTAGATTGTGTATCTTTCCACAGTCTCAGTTACTGAGGGACAGAATGGGGGTATTGAACTCATGCAGTCTGAGTCCAGGGTCTGAGAAGTGAGCCCCATTGCTATCCTTTATGGCTGGATATATCCATTTATATATTCATTAATTTACTCATTTAAGAAATATTTATTGAGCATTTACTGCACACCAGGAAGTACTTTAAGTGCTAAGGTCATAAAGATGAACAAGAGAGTCAAGGTCACAGATAAAAAAAGTAAGTAAAATCAAAAAGTAAACAAAAAATCAGATAATGGTTAAGTGTGAAAGAAAATATACCAGAATAATGCAAAAAAGACTAATGCGGGAGCATGGGGAGTATGGGCTTTGGGATGTAGCCCATGAAAGCCTTCCTGAAGAAGAAACTTCAGGACCTAAGACCTGAATAGTGAGGAAGAACCAGTTTATGGAAGGAAGACCTGGGGAAAGAGCATTCTAGGTAGGATGCTCAGTAAGTACAAAGGTCCTGAGGAAAGGAGCCCAGACGGTTGAAGAAATGGGCAGCCAGTGTGGCTGGAACAAAGGGAAATGAGGTAGAAGGTCGGTGGGAACCTTGTAGGCCATGCCAGGGAGACTGGGGGTTAATCTGGCTATAAGGCATATCCCCACCTTTCTATGATGTCATCTGAAGTTCCATGCTATATTGATGGAAGCAGACACAGCCTGTGTGGCCTTAGAAGGAAAGAACAGGTAAAACGTAGACCTGGTAGATTCAAGTCTAATCCAGAGCACATAATTGTTTCTAGAGCAGCCTCTGTCCTCTGTCCTATCTCGGGGAAGCTCTGTGACCCTTGTATTCCCAGATCTCCAAGTTCTACAGTTAAGCAAAGTCTAAGAAGGGAGCAGAAATGACTTTCTAGATGATGTGAGCCTTAGAGGCCAAGAACAGTCTGATAGAAGGGTTGAGCATCTGAGTGTTCTGTCTGCATCATGTCATCCTTTTTCACCAGCTTTTAAGGGTAGAGGCAGTAGTGTGAAGTGGGTAGAGGGTTCCCTACATTAAGTAGAAGAGACTAGGGTCATAATGGCCCTATTTTCTTCCCTCCTCCCTTGCATCTCAAATTATCCCATGTTATAAAATACGAAAAACACTATGATTAGCAAGTTTCAGAATGCTGAGCCCTGATTGGCCATACATACTTGTACTTAATAAATATAAGTTGGTGATACAAATTAATTATTATGTGCTAAGACCCTAATATGTGTCAAGCACTGAGCTAAGAGTTACCTACATTAACACAATTAATTCCCCCACACAATCCTAAAAGACAGGCACTATTACTCTCTTTATTTTATTTGTGAGGCTCAGAGAGGGGAAGCAGCTTGCCCAGAACCACATAGTAATTACTAGGACTGGCAATTTAAACCTTGGTTTCTCAGACTCTAAAATTCATACATGCAACCACTGTAAGCTGTTGTCTTCTGATCACAGTTCTGTAGAAATCAACTCTGTAAAAATGTGATTCCATTAGCCACACTTGCTGAACCCCAACTATGTTGAAGCAGTGCCATCTCATAAGTTTTTCTGATCTTATGAAAACATGCTAAAATAATCACCCTCATTATCTATACCTTTCAGAAGATAAAACTGAAGATTTAAAAAATTAAGCAATGTGTCCAAAGTCACAGGTTCAGAAAATTAAGGAGCCAAGACTATCATCTGTCTTACTCTAAAACCCACACTCTTTGCTCTCAGCTGCCATTTTATTGCTCCCACTCGCAGGCTCAGGGTATCATATCCAGGTTACCTACATGGGCCCTTCCAGCTTTGACTTCCCATGACCTGAGGCCTCAAAGGTTGTTTTAATAAAGGGTACCACAAGTCAAAACTTCTTGGTACAAAGGAAGCAGGGGGTGACAGAGGAAGGGGCCCGGTCTTGGAGATGGCCAGATGTGGGTTCATATTCCAGTTTTACTGTCTAGCATTGTGAACTTGGGCAAGTCGCTTCACCTCTCTGAGCTCACTGCACCTCTCTGCACCCAACATCTGTGATAGACTGCCACCCACCTCACAAGTGCAGTATGGATAGATGTGAAATGTAAGTGCACTATGAGGTAAGTTATCATTGGAAAGCCATGCAGAAGGGTTGAGAACAAGATCATAAATAAATTTAAGGAGGTGAGAGTAAGCAAGTGGCAAGGTGGGAAGTGAGAACAGCATCAGGCAACATTATGTAAGCACTTATCATCCACATATGGACCCATCTAGAAAGTGGCAGAGGCAAGATGCAAATGCTAGCATGCATGACTCATAGTGCATACACTTCGGCTTGGGTACAGCTATATGTTAAATGACAACAAGTCATTTAACACAGTACTAGGCACACAGTAGGCACTTGACAAATACTGATATAAATGAATGAATGAAAGCATACCACCTCTCATTTCTTTAGTTTCTCCATCAATAAAATGAGGTTAGTTTCACAGACAGTGCATGGCTGTCTCAAGGATTACATGGAGTGATGCTGAGAAAGTGGCTTGTAAGAAGAGGATTTTTATAAAAGCACTT
Organism: Homo sapiens; assembly: GCF_000001405.40. Classification (NCBI taxonomy): domain Eukaryota; kingdom Metazoa; phylum Chordata; class Mammalia; order Primates; family Hominidae; genus Homo; species Homo sapiens. Next base: position 116,445,329 of record NC_000009.12, read on the forward strand.
ATTTGTGCAAGACAACACATTTTAAAAAATGCTTTCTTGGAGTTAGAAGAGACGTATTTCAACCAAGGGAAACATGGAAGGCTTGTAGTGAATAGAATATATGAATGAAAGTTCAAAATATGAAAAGTAGGAATATGTTTTAACACAGCTGTTTCATAGGCCACTTATGTTCCTGTGGTGCTTCTGCAATCCACTTCCTTCACCCAAGAGGGCCCAGGGTCATCTCGCTGCTTAGCCAAGCAGCATGAATAAGAGAGCCCCCAGGATGCTGGGGAAGAAGTGGTCTTAGGTATTCATGTCATAAAAACTGGGTAGAATCCTTGCTTTCTCCAATTGCTGGCTGAATATTCTTTGGGAAGTCACTTCGCCTGCTTTGAGCCTCAGTCTCCTCACCTGTAAAATAGGGTGAAATTATCCATATCTCACAAGTTGGTGGTCAAGACTCAGTGACACAATGATAATAATAGGCCCAGTTCAATCTTTGCTCCCTAAAAGGTAGCTTCTATTTTTGTTATTATAGTAACCAAACATGCCAGTGGGGGCCTCGGGATGGAGGAGGCCTCAGGCAACCCTGCTGGGGGGTGGAGAAAGAGGAAGACGTCAACCTCACAGTGCTGGGTCAAAAGTCACAAGGCCATGCGCTTTCTGCCTGTCTCAGCTGTAATTGTAGAACTGTTCCAGAGGCACATCTGAAAGCTGTTAGGGGACCAGGCAGTGCCTGGAGGGGTTACTTGTGAAGGAGAGAAAGTGGCAGTCCCTGATATGAAGGAGAGAGGGAGAAAGAGACAGAGAGAGTGAGAAGTTGGGGGGGGACAGAGACCAAGAAACAGATACAAATATATACCACAAGCAAATCCATACAGCAGGAGAGTGAAAGAGGGAGAGCCAGGGACAGAGAGAGACAGAGACAGAGACAGAGGGGAGAGGGAGAGAGAGAGAGAGATAGAGAGAGAGAGAGAGAGAGAGAGAGAGAGAGAGAGAATAATCAGACCTCTGAGTTTCTTGAGATCAGAAAGGGTGTCAGCCTCTCTCTGCTTAGTTCTGTCATCATCTCTCTGAAGCAGGCTGAGGTTCACTGATAATTTGAACTAAAACTCCTGTACCATCAACTCCTAATCTTGATTTTACAAGTGGAGAAACCAAAGCCCAGAAGGAAAAATGACTTGCACAAAGACCCACTTGCCAATAGATTCATACAAAGACTCTGGCATTCCTGACTCCTCCTCCTCCAGTGCTCTCTCCTACATTTCCATGCCCTGGCTGATCGAGGTCCAAGTCTACTTATGGGATGCTTTCATTATGAAAGAGGCGGCTCATGGATAACGTTGGATGAGCTATACAGGAACCTGGAGCTCCAGGCCCAAACCATTGCTATTCCTTTCCTTGGCCTTATTTCAGGGGAAGGAACACTGGCCAAGGTGGCTGAAACCTGAATTTGAGTCCCAGCTTGTCCACAGACTGTGTGGTATGAGATCTTGCATACCTACAGTAATACAGGCTTAGTGTATTGGGAGGTTGAAATCCAAACAAACACACTGTGTGGGAAAATGCCTTGGGATAACTACTCCGAAGTATTTTTCAATATTTCTTCATCATTGTCAGGACATTGTCATCCTCAGGACATCATCTTCATCATCCTTAGGACAAAGTCCATCACTCTCAGGACAAATTCCTCAACTTGGAACCCCCTCATTTGAGCTCTGGTCAAAGGTCTAGGTGTGCTTGCTGACCTTCCTCCCCACTCTGCTTCACAGCAGAGGCATCTCCAGCTGCTGATGGTTCCAGAACATGGATCCCACCTCTGAACCTTTCCACCAGTGGCACTCTCTGGCTGAGTCATCCATCCCCTTCTTCACTTGACCCCTCTCCACCTTGTCCTTGAAGCATCGCTCAAACCTTACCTCCTCTGGAAAGTCTGCTTTGACCGTCTCAAGAGCTGCTTAGCCCTCCTTTTCCCCTGCACGGTGCCCATGCCATATGGTGCACATGTCACACAGCTAGGTCAGCACCCCTTCACTTCTTTCTTGCCCCTATGAGTATGTGATTGTCTTCAGGATCAGAATATGGTTCTGCTCAACTCTAAACACCTACACCTGGTGCACCAACGCTCAGCACACACAGGTCAGAATGAATGAGGTTCATTTCCCTTTCCTGGAAATCAGTCTTTCCATCTGTGAAATGAACAGAAGATGACTAGATTGAAAGGTTACTAAAATGAATGGAATAACAAGAGGGCTAAAGGCATGGCTTTGGGATCAGCCAATTTGTTGTTAAATTCTGGCTTCTCGTACATTGGCTGTGTGTAGCCTTGTCTCAAGGTACTCACCTGTACAACGGGAATCATAATATTAAAACTCACCATGAAGGGTTCTTGTTAGAATAAAAGAGAGTGCAGCATGAAAGTGCTCAGCACAATGCCCGACATGTGATATTGTGATATGCAATAACCAATATGCAATCAATCGCTGTTGGCATCATCATTAGGGTTAGTACTAAGCCACTGCCCAAGGCTCTGACTTCACCCCCAACTGGAGTAAGTGGTCCCAGTGGAGATCAGAGGAGGGTGGGTAGAAAGGAAGCTGCTATTGGTCCCATCCAAGACCCCAGACCTCCTCACAGCAGGGGTGAGAGAATGAAACCAAGAAGTTAATTGGCAGTGAGAGCTTCTCACAGATCTGACAGGGGGTAAGAGCAGGGACAGAGCCCTAGAGGCCCACGTCAGGCCTGGGTCCCCGAGAGTATAGGAGAATGCGTTTGAAGTCTCCAGGCCAACGCCTGCTCTTCCCCAGCCGCAACATGATTTAGGCATTCTGGGGAGGCAAAAGTCTCCTCGCTGATTTGAAGGGAAACAGATGTTTCCAGGCCAGAGGCCCCAGTCTTGTAAAATGCTCCTTCCCCCCACACAGCTTTGGCAAACAACTTCCACTTAGCTCATGCCCACCCCTCCCACCCCCACTGCCATGGCTCCCCTCCCTGCCATTTCCAGCACAATGTGGCAGACAGGGGCAGTAGGAAAAGCACCTAGTCCCAGCTTAAGCTTTGGGTCTGGGAAGCTGGATGGCCAGGGCCACCTCAGTGCCCATCTCTATGCTTCAGCCTCCCATCTCCTGCAGTGAGGGAACAGGACCAAGCTCACTGCTGAGAGATAGGTTAGATCTAATATTCTAGGAACTGAGAGCTGTTTTTTCCTCGATAGAGCTGGTGTTACACGTTCCAGACTTTTCTCCACTGGATTCCGTGGCAAACAGCATGGACTTACAAATAAGACTGTTCTGGATTTGAATCTGGATTCTACCTGGGCAGTAGCAAGAAGCTACTGAGCAAGTAGAAATTCTACCATTGAGCCTCAGTTTCCTTATCTGTAAAATGGGGACAAGAGTTTTATCTTGTGGGATTGTGAGAATGAAATCAGAATGCAATCTCCCTACCCATAGTTTAGGTTTCTTGTGAACAAAATCAAGTACTATATCTTTTCCCTTGTACTATTCATGATGCCCAGACAGTATGGATGTAGAGAAAATGTGTAATAGTGTTCGTGATGGATTTTTGATGGGAAGACTGCTAGACACTCTGAAGTCCAAAGCCTCTCATTCTGAACCCAGCTCCACTCAAGTAGTAGAAAGAGTGTTTCTGCTTTTATGATCACAATGAGGCAGGGTGTGCAGAGGTTAGAATAGACACTGGAGCCCTGCTACCTGAGTTCGAATGTTTGTTCTACAACCTACTATCCTTATGACCTTAGGCAAGTTAATCGACCTTCTCTGTTCTGTAATGTTTCTTGTCTTTAAAGTGTGTGGCCGGGCGTGGTGGCTCACAACTGTAGTCCCAGCACTTTGGGAGACCGAGGCAGGTGGATTGCATGAGCCCAGGAGTTCAAAACCAGTCTGGGCAACATGGTGAAACCCCATCTCTACAAAAAATACAAAAATTAGCTGTGCATGGTGGTACACACTGGTAGTCCCAGCTACTAGGGAGGCTGAGGTGGGAGGATCATTTGAGCCTGGGAGATCAAGGCTACAGTGAGCCAAGATGGCACCACTGCAGTCTAGCCTGGCCAAGAGAGCGAGACCCTGCCTCTAAATAAATAAATTAGTAAAAATAAAATGTGTATGATAATATTATCTATCTCAAAGGGATGTTAGAGGAATAAAGTTTATGAAACGATGCTTGACACATGGTAAGTGGTAAGTTAGCATAATTGTTATTCAATGTGCATGTGTTTAAATAATTCATCTCTTCTATAATGGCTTTAAAACAAGACCCCCGCCCCAGTTCTTTGACATTTCACCTTGAATATGGGCAGGCTCATGAGTGCTTTGACCAGTAGAGCAAAATGGAAGGGATGCTGTGTGACTTCTGAGTCTGGGTCATAAAAGGGGATGCAGCTACCACCTTGCTTACTGAAACATTCTCACTTGGAACTGTGAGCCTCCGTATAAGAAATTTGAGTGCCCTGAGGCCACTGTGGTGGGAGGAAGACAAGCCACAAGGAGAGGCCATGTGTGGTTGCTTCAGCAGCCCTGGTACCTAGGCTCCAGATGGATGAGTAAAGGAGCCTTCAGATAATTCTCACCCAAGCAGTCAAGTTACTCCCAGCTTTTGAATTCTTGCAGTTGAGGCCCCATACTTCGTGGAGCAAAGACAGCCCAACCTACTATGTACTGTCTGAATTTTCAACCCACAGATCCATGAGCAAAATCAAATGGTGATTTTAAGCTGCTAAGTTTTGGGGTCATTTGTTGTGTCATCAATAGTAACTGCAACAACTAACAAGCATTGCAAGCAGGATCAGCAAACTACAGCCCACAGTCCAAATCTGGCCCACTGCCTATTTTCATAAATAAATCTTTTACAACCACACTCTTTTTTGGTTTGCTTTGAATGCATTTTCTATGGCTGCTTTCACACTACAATGGCAGAATCACGTAATTGTGACAGAAATCACAGCATCGTCAAGGCCTAAAATATTTACTATCTGGACCTCCAGAGGAAAGCCTACTGACTCCAATGTAGAGCTTTGAAAGTACTGAATGTAGTATCATTTGCTTACATTATTTCATTTAATCCCAAGGTTAGAAATCATTCCTATTTTACAGTTAGGATCAGAGAGTTCAAGTGACTGGTCCAAGGTCACACAGCTCTCTAACTGCAGGTCTAATGCCTCCATAGCCCGTTGAAGACCTAGACTCCAGTTTGAGTAATAATGGCTTTGGGTAAGTCCCACCATGCTCTGCTCTCACTTTCCCAGCCTGGGACATGAGGGTATTGGGCAAGTTGGGCTGGAGAGGCTGCCAAAAGTCAGATGTCCAAACTTCCCCCCAGCTGAGTGCTAGCTACCAAGCAAAGTATTTCTGTTCCCCTTTGGTCTAGGAGTACCCAAGTGAGGCTTGAGAATGAGTCACCAGGGGCTGCTATGCATCCCTGCTCACTCTCACATGCAGCCACCCACCCTCGAGCACCAGAACCCAACTTTCCTGTCTCCCAACTCAAGCTGACAACCCATGCTTTCTGCCAACATAAATATTTAATTCTAGTGCCCGGAACAGAGAGACCATCTTGGTATTAAGGACTCCCATCCTAGTTTCTACTTTCAAAACAACTCAGTCTGAGGCATGATTAGGAGGTCCTGGCTTAGAACAAAGGTAAAGCAGTTTGTGGTTGGGCTCCAAACACCAGCTCCCCACACTTGCACTCCCTTCAACCTCTCAAGCTGTATGAGCTAACAGGCAAAGAATCAGGGGAGTGGGGAGCTGGCAGGGAGAGCTCTGTAGGAAGGCCAAGTCTGGAAACCAGTGTTGGTTCTAAGCTCAGGCAGAGGTGACAGCAACCTGGAAACGGTGCTAGGCATCCACTGTTCTGACTGCTAAATCCCCTGAAATTCACTGGTATGTGAGCATCTCCCTAAAATTCACAGTGCAGTGAACACCAGAACTCAGAAATAATTATAGTATTAACACTTAAAATTAAATACATATAAATTCATTTACAATTAAAGTGTGTTGAGTGTATCTCCAATACCTGAGGAGTGAGTAATTATCACAGCAGTTCCACTCTGTGTGCTTTGCCATAAATGAATGCCTACTAGGTGCTGGGCATTCTGCTAAGCACGGAAGAAACACCCATAAAAAAAAAAAGAGTGGGGTTTTTGCTGTCATGGAGCTCACAGAAGAGCAGAGAGATGGTCAAATGAACAAGAAATGGGACACAGTACTATAAGGTCTTCAATAAAAATGTATTCTTGCCCCTATGTTTGTTTCAGGTGTGTCTGTTCTTCCTTCTTTCAAAACAGTGGACTAAGCCTTAGATATGAGTTTAAAAGCTACTGTGAACTAGACCTTATCTTGCTGGATCTTCTGTCTGCTGCAAACTGGGATTGTCAACCACCTACAGGACTCTCATTTTTTTGTACGAAAAAATGATGACAATTCTTGCCCTCTCCATTCTGAAAGCCTTTGAGGAGTGAATAAGACAGTGGATTTAAATATATAAATACTATGCAAATGATCTGAGTGTATTCATTCACTCATCAAATATGAGTGACCTGACCCCTCTTGAAAAAAAAAAATGCAGGTTGGCATGTGGCTTGGCTTTAACAACAATGACTGTGTTTGCCTTTCTTTTCTTGGTCTTCTCCTGTCCCTTCCTCTCCCCATCCCCCGTCTTTTCCTCCTCCTTCTCTTTATTCAGGGTGTGGACTAAATGATAACACATAATTGTACTAGCTATAGTACTTAATTGGAAGATGTTCACATTTTAATATGCTGTTTTAGGGTAAAGCAGACACAGACTAACCTTATGGTCTCAAGTTAAGGAATGAATTGAACACAGAATGCCCAATTATTCTACTCCAACTTGCACTCCTGGGATCTCTGAAGCAAATTGTAGGCTTTTAAAAATATCTTTATTATATATTGGACAGCATCTCTGAACTCAGATATAAACAATAATTTTTAAAGTGACTTCAGTTATAGAAATGACTTTTTCAGAAGGCATAACTTGGAAGCATGTTGAATTGAGAGGCAGAGGATATGATGTGTAGGTTTCACCTTGTCATTAACTAGCTATGTGGCTTTGGTGGGATTGTTTGCCCTCTCTGCACCTCAGTGGCCTGTCAATAACCCCATGGTGACGGTGTGAGGACTAAATGGTGATTATGGATGTAAAAGTGCCTTAGAGATTCCACACACATTTCCTGGGCACATACTCTGTATCAGACACAGTGCTAGAAGCTTTTACACAGTTGTCTTCTGTTTCCTTTACAACTGCCTAAGGGATGTGTATTATTAAATCCATTTTACAAGGAGGCAAGTGAGCCTTGGAAATTTGGATTGACTTTCCCAAGGCTACAGATATAGTAGTAGTTTAGCCAGGCCCCAACATAGGTCTACTTACTCAAAGTCCACTGCTCTTTCCAAATGGATAAAATTATTAGGCATTCATTGGTCCCAAGTGGGTCTTGAGTCACAGTTCAGAGGAAGTTAAAGTTTATTAGGAGGATGAACTCCATGTTCCCAACTTTTGACAAGGAAGAGATCTTACAACAGGAACACACTACTGCTCCTTTCAACACTGACATCACTTCTCTTCCCACATCTGACCCTAAAGCCCTTCTCTTCTTCCATGGTGCCTTTAAGATTGAATTTTGCCAAAGCCAAGCTCAGAGGAGGAGAGGCCAAGCAGAGGCCACCAACTTGGATTTACTCTTGGCCATTAAGTTAGGGAACATTATAGGCAGAATGGTTCTTATCTACTCAGTTCTGAGCTGAGCTCAGTTCCCATCTCATATGTGAGTTCTGCTTTCCATGGGTGGAGGGGTGGGAGTGGGACAAAGAAACAAGCCCTCTGCTTGGGGTCTAAAAGACTGAGTTTGCATCATGACTTTCTCCATTTCCTGTTTCTAACATCTCTGAGAGTCTTAGTTTTCCTATCTGTAAAATGGAGTCAACAATACTTGCCTCACAAGATTGTTGTAAGAATGAATAGCGCTGGGCGTGGTGGCTCACGCCTGTAATCCTAGCACTTTGGGAGGCAGAGGCGGGTGGATCACGAGGTCAGGAGATCGAGACCATCCTGGCTAACACGGTGAAACCCCGTCTCTATTAAAAATACAAAAAAATTAGCTGGGCGTGGTGGCGGGTGCCTGTAGTCCCAGCTACTTGGGAGGCTGAGGTGGAAGAATGATGTGAACCCAGGAGGTGGAGCTTGCAGCGAGCTGAGATCATGCCATTGCACTCCAGCCTGGGCAAAAGTGCGAGACTCCGTCTCAAAAAAAAAAAAAAAAAAAAAAAAAAAGAATGAATAGCATGAGAAACACCCAGAACAGTGCTTGGTACAATAAATGTTATCTTGCTTATCTTGCTTACTTATGATACTCAAGTAAGATAAAATGGAAACAGTGCATCTTTAAAATCAAATCCCTGCACAAAGGCAATGGTTCTGGAGGGTGTTGTTTTTCATAAGGTTTCATTAGAGCTCCAGTTCAGCCACAGCATGTATAAGCAAATCATGCCATGTTTGTGAGCTTCAGTTTCCTCATCAGTTACCCCATGACAGCAATATCCACTTTTGATCATAGTTAAGAAAACTAGAAACAATTTACACACTAGGCACTGGCTCAGCTGGAGCCTGAACTCAGGGCTGCCTGTTGTGACCTTGGGTGAATTTCTGCCCCATGGACTTTGCTTTCTTTTCCTATTTCACAATGGGTCACTAGATGTCTTCACTGGTGAATGATAGCAAATGTTAACTCCAGCTAGCGCCAATCTTCTGCAAGCTCTTCCAACAAGACAAAGGAAGAGGGAACACTGACAATGAATTCTATAAGGTGGTGTTATCATTATAGAATTTGTCTGATTAAAATCAGATGAAATCCAATATCCCTTATATAGATACAACAGAATACTAAACTAACCATACTGAACAACTATAAAAAAGACTATACCCTATGACAAAGTAGAATTTGATAACAGAGATATCAAAGTAGAAATAGATAATAGAGATATCTATTTTTACCCTTTCTATTCCATATTGTACTGAAGGTTCTAGACAAGACAATTCATCAAGGAAAAAAAAAAGCATCCAGATAATGTGGAGAAATAGGAACACTTTTACACTGTTGGTGGGACTGTAAACTAGTTCAACCATTGTGGAAGACAGTGTGGTGATTCCTCAAGGATCTAGAACTAGAAATACCATTTGACCCAGCCATCCCATTACATACCCAAATGATTATAAATCATGCTGCTATAAAGGCACATACACATATGTTTATTGTGGCACTATTCACGATAGCAAAGACTTGCAACCAACCCAAATGTCCATCAATGATAGACTGGATTAAGAAAATGTGGCACATATATACCATGGAATACTATGCAGCCATAAAAAAGGATGAGTTCATGTCCTTTGTAGGGACATGGACAAAGCTGGAAACCATCATTCTGAGCAAACTATCGCAAGGACAGAAAACCAAGCATCGCATGTTCTCACTCATAGGTGGGAATTGAACAATAAGAACACTTGGACACAGGGTGGGGATCATCACACACTGGGGCCTGTCGTGGTGTGGGGGAAGAGGGAGGGATAGCATTAGGAGATATACCTAATGCAAATGAAAAGTTAATGGGTGCAGCACACCAACATGGCACATGTATACATATGTAACAAACCTGCACATTGTGCACATGTACCCTAGAAATTAAAGTATAATAATAAAAAAAAAAAAGGTTTATGGTAGGAGGCTGGACACAGTGGCTCACGCCCATAATCCCAGCACTTTGGGAGGCCAAGGGAGGTGGATCACCTGAGGTCAGGAGTTCGAGACCAGCCTGGCCAACATGGTGAAACCCTGTCTCTACTGAAAATACAAAAATTAGCTGGGTGTGGTGACGCACGTCTGTAATCCCAGCTACTCAGAAGGCTGAGGCAGGAGAATTGCTTGAACCTGGGAGGCGGAGGTTGCAGTGAGCTGAGATTGTGCCACTGCATTCCAGCCTGGGTGACAGAGTGCGATTCTGTCTCAAAAAAAAAAAAAAAAAGAAAAGAAAAGAAAAACAGTTTACGGTAGGAAGTAATAGTTAATTGCTAATTTTTAAAACCCATGTGACATTTTCTTTACTACAAATTATTTAAGTTGTAAGATTATTAAATTTTCAGTTTAATACTAGTGTCCAAAAAGAAATAAGAAAATCAACAATATAAACATAAGACTATTCTCATGTCACTTCCAAAAGATATTATTTGGGCAAAATGATCAATGACTACATAATTTTGAAAAGGTGTCAATAACCTCTTCTTAGATTGAAGAAAAAGGTAATTTGGAAAATTCCCTGAAAGTACTACTACTGGTAAACTCTGAGTTTACTTTAACAGCAACAATAAAAAAGGCCCAAGCCATCCTTAAAATCTAAAAAGTAAAAAAAAAATAGCATCCAGATAAGAAAAAAAAAAGTAATACAATCTATTTTTGTAGAGACATAATTTTATATATGGAAAATAAAAAGGAGTCCATAAAATATTAGATATAAAACAGTTCATAGTTCAACACAATAAAACTATATACAATAGACACACAGCTAGTATTATACCAAATGGGGAAAAACAAAAAGCCTTTCCTTTAAGATCTGGAACAAGAAAGTGATGCCCACTCTCATCACTGTTACTCAACATAGTACTAGAAGCCTAGCTAGAGAAATCAGGTAAGAGAAAGAAATAATGGGCATCTAAATTGGAAAAAATGAAGTCAAATTATCCTTATTTGCAGATGATATGATCTTATATTTGAAGACACCTAAGATTCCACCAAGAAAAAAACTATTAGAACTGACAAAATCAGGAAAGTTGTAGGATACAAAATCAACATACAAAATAAGTAGCATTTCTACATGCCAATAATGAACAGTCTGAAAAAGAAACGAAGAAAGGAATCCCGTTTACAATAGCTACAAATAAAATGGAATAAATTTAACTGAAGAAGTGAAATATTTCTACAAAAAAATATAAAACATTGAGTCAAGAAATTGAAGAGGACACACAAAAATAGGAAAGATAATCCATGTTCATGGATTGAAAGAATAAAAAAAATCCATATTACCCAAAGCAATCTATAGATTCAATGCAATCCCTAGCAAAATACCAATGACATTTGTATTAGTCCATTTTCATGCTGCTGATAAGGACATACCTGAGACTGGGAAGAAAAAGAGGTTTAATGGACTTACAGTTCCACATGTCTGGGGAGGTTTCACAATCATGGTGGAAAGTAAGGTGGAGCAAGTCACATCTTACAGGGATGGCAGCAGGCAAAGAGAGAGGTGAACTCGTGCAGGGAAATCTCTTTTTATAAAATGATCAAATCTTGTGAGACTTATTCACTATCATGAGAACAGCACACGAAAGAATTTCCCCCATGATTCAATTATCTCCCACTGGTTCCCTCCTACAATACATGGAAATTCAAGATGAGATTTGGGTGGGGACATGGCCAAACCATATCAACATTGTTCAGATAAATAGAAAACAAATCCTAAAATTCCTGTGAAACCACCAAAGACACAAAATAGCCAAAGCTATCCTGAGCAGAGAGAACAAAACTGGAGGAATCACATTACCTAACTTCAAATTATACTACAGAGCTATAGTAACCAAAACTGCATGGTACTGTCATAAAAACAGACACATATATCAACAGAATAGAATACAGAACTCAGAAATAAATCCACACATCCACAGTTAACTCATTTTCAACAAAGGTGCCAAGAACACACATTGGGGAAGGAACAGTCTCTTCAGTAAATGGTGCTGAGAAAACTGGGTATCCATATATCAAAGAAAGAAACTAGAGTGCTATCTTTTACCATATGCAAAAATCAAATCAAAATAATTAAAAAAGTTACATCTAAGACCTCATATTACGAAACTACTACAAGAAAACACTGGGGAAACTCTCCAGGACATTGGTCTGAGCAAAGATTTCTTGAGTAATAGCCCAAAAGTATAGGCAACCAAAGAAAAAAATGAACAAATGGGATGATATCAAGTGAAAACTGCACAGCAAAGGAAACAATCAATAAGGTGAAAGACAGCCCACAGAATGGGAGAAAATATTTGCAAGCTATCCATCTGACAAGGGATTAATAACCAGAATATATAAGGAGCTCAAACAACTCAATACCAAAAAGATTCTAATAACCCCATTTAAAAATGGGCAAAAGATCTGAATAGACATTTCTCAAAAGAAGACATACAAATGGCAAACAGGTATATAAGTAAGTGCTCAACATCATTGATCATCAGAGAAATGCAAATCAAAACTACAATGAGATGTCATCTCACCCCAGTTAAAATGGCTTTTATCCAAAAGTCAGGCAATAACAAATGCTGACAAAGATGTGGAGAAAGGGAAACCCTCGTATGTTACTGGTGGAAATGTAAATTAATACGACCACTATGGGGAACAATATGGAGATTCCTCAAAACACTAAAGCTAGAACTACCATATGATCCGGCTATCCAAGGAAAGGTATACACCCAAAAGAAAGGAAATCAGTATATTGAAGAGACATCTGTACTCCCATGTTTATTTCAGCACTATTCACAATAGCCAAGATGTGGAAACAACCTGTGTCCATCAACAGACTAATGGATAAAGAAAATGTGGTACATATACACAATGGAGTAGTATTCAGCCATTAAAAAAAATGAGATCTTACCATTAGAAACAACATGGATGGAACTGGAGGACATTATGTTAAGTGAAATAAGCCAGGCACAGAAAGACAAACTTTGCATGTTCTCACTCATTTGTGAGAACTAAAATTAAAAACAAAAAAAAAATTGAACTAATCGAGCTAGAGGATAGAATGATAGTTGTTATCAGAGGCTAGGAAGGGCAGTGGAGAAGAAGGGGAAAAGAGGGGTTGGTTAATAGGCACAAAAATATAATTAGATAAAATGAATAACATCTAGTATTTGATAGCAAAAGAGAGTGACTACAGTCAACAATTTACTGTATATTTAAAATAACTAAAAGAGCATAATTGAAAAGTTCATAACACAAAGAAATAATAAATGCTTGAGGTGATGGATTCCTCATTTACCCTGATGTGATTATTACACATCGCATACTTGTATCAAAATATCTCATGTACCTCATAAATATATACACCTACTATGTACCCATAAAAATTCGAAATAAAAAAAATTAAAAAATAAGTTCAGTCAAGCAGGTTACAAGATTAATATACAAAAATCAACTGTATTTCTATTTACTAGCAATGAACAATCAGAAAATAAAATTTGAAAACCATTCCTTTGTGCAGTATTAAAAACTGTATTTACAGAATTAAAAAAAACACTTAGGAATAAATTTAACAAAAGAAGCATAAGACTTGAACACTAAAAACTACAGAATATCATTCAAAGAAATTAAAGAAGGCCTGTGTAAATGTGAAGACATCCTGTATTCATGGACTGGAAGGCTTAACACTGTTAAACTGGAAATATTCCCAAATTTATCTGTAGATTCAAAATCTCTATTAAAATATCCGATGATTTGTTTTACAGAAATTGACAAGCTGCTCCTAAAATTCACATGGAAATGAAAGGCATCCAGAATAGCCAAAACAATATTTAAAAAGAAAAAAAAGCTGGAGTACTTATACATTCTGATTTCAAAATTTATTACAGAGCTATGGTAATCAAGACTGTGAGACACCAGTATGAGGACAGATGTAGATCAATGAAATAAAATTGACAGCCCAGAAATAAACTCATACATTTATGGTCAATTGTTTTTCAAGGAGGGTGCCAAGAAAATACAGTGGGGACAGAATACTCTCTGTAACAAAAGACTCTTTATCAAATGGAACACTTGGGTAGCCTCGTCAAGTGAATAAAGTGGGACCCCTATATCACACCATGTATAAAAATTAAAATAGGTCATTAAAGACCTAAATGTAAAGGCTAAAACTATAAAACTGTAAGAAGAAGACATAAGAGAAAATCTTTAAGACCTTGGATTAGGCAGTAGTTTTCTTGGATATTACATTAAAAGCATAAGCAAACAAAAAACATACATAAATTGGACTTTATCAAAATTTAAAACTTTTGTGCCTCAAAGAACACTATCAAAAAAGTCAAAAGACAACTCATAAAATTAGATAAAATGTTTACAGATTTCATATCTCATAAAGGTGTCATGTCTAGAATATATAAAGTAGCATTACAACTGAACAATTTACGAAGCACAATTTAAAAATGGACAAAAGATTTAGACATTTCTCTAAAAAAAAGACATTCAAATGGCTAATAAGCACATGAAAATATGCTTGACATCATGTTATTAGGAGAATGCAAATAAAAACCACAATGAGACACCACTTCATACCCACTAAAATAGCGATAGTCAAAAAGACACAAAATAGCAAGTGTTAGCAAGGATATGGAGAAATTGAAATCCTCATATATTGGTGGTGGAAATGCAGAACGGTGCAGCCATATTGGAAAACAGTTTGGTAGTTCCTCTCAAAGTTACACACAGAGTTATCATATGACCCAGCAATTCCATTCCAAGCTATCTAACCAAGAGAACTGAAAACGTATCTCCACAGAAAGACTTGCATAAAAATTTTCATAGCAACATTATTCACAACAGCCAAAAAGTGAAAAATGACCCAATATCCATCAACTGATGAATGAATAAACGAAAGGTGGTATATCTAAATAACTGAATATTACTTGCCATAAAAAGGAATGAAGTCCTTATTCAAGCTACAATATTCACTGAGCCTTGAAAACATGCTAAGTGAAAGAATCCAGACACAAAGGACATATATTGCATGATTCCACTTATATGAAATGTCCACAATAGGCAAATTCCTAGAGATAAAAAGTAGATTAGTGGTTGCCAGGGGTTGGGAGGAAGGGGCAATGGAAATGACTGTTAATGGGTTACAGAGTTTCTTTTTCGGGTGATGAAAATGTTCTGGAATTACTTGTGATGGTTGTGCAACTTTGTTAATATCTATAACATAAAATCCACTGAATTGTAGCCTTAAAAAGGTGAATTTCATGGTATGTGAATTATATGTCAAACAAACAGAAAAACCAAAACCAGTGGAGTCAGGAGGATCCTGCCTCGTTAATGATGGCATGGTTCTCCTTTATCTTTAGCTTTTTTATTTTTGAGTTTGAGCAACATCTCCCACCCCAACCCTTTGCGCGTATTTCCTCATTTAAGTAGAAAGTGTTACTTATAGAGGAAATATGGAACCTTCAGTGAAATCTTAAGTGAATAGCTATGGCTTTTTAAAATTTGTAAATGTAGGATCCGAGGATTGCAAAGGAACTATATGGTGCAGAGTTTAGGGTCATGGATGTATAAGCGGGGAAAGTTCTTTGTTTAAAGATGGTCTCTGCTGCTTGCAGGCTTGTGACACTGGGTGAGTACTTGGTCTCCTCCAGCCTTAGTTTCTTTGTCAGTAAAATAAACAGAGTTCCATCTGCCACACTGGGCTGTTAGGAGGATTCTGTAGCGTAGATAAGATGCCCTTAGCCCATTTCTTAACAAATGGTAACAGCACAATACATAGTTATTATAGAACAACCATTCTTAATGATCCTCATCAGCATTTCCTATTTTTTGGCTAAACAGAAATAATTGTATTCAATCTAGTGGGGGAATTCACCTTGAACCTCTGGCATGTTCCCAATAATGTGCACATCCTCCTCTCTCTGCCTGGAATAATTTCTCCCCAGTTCCTTCCCTCACCTCCTTTTCCATGAAGTTCCCTTTTTAAATTTTGACCATACCCCAAATGGTACATTTCAAATACAATTTACCCAGCTTTATTTTTCCTTCACAAGATTTATAATCTTCTAATATATTATATAATTTACTTATTTATTATATTTATTGATTTTATTTTCCACTCCCACTTGAATACAAAATTCATGAGAACAGGATTTAGTCTGTTTTATTCACTAATATATCCCCAGTGCCAAAAATTGTGCCAGACCACATAGTAGGACCTCAAAAACTGTTCTTTGAATATATGTGTGTGTAAAATACACATATTTATATACATGTATACGCATATATATATGTACACATATATAGGTGTATACTTGTTTATATGTACACACATGCACACACACATATAAAAATCTGTGCACCTAGATTGTGGTCTCTCCTACATAAAAGCTATCCATGGCATCTCACTCCTAGAATATTATTTCTTCCCTCTTCATCTGGGACCATGTGATTTTTTTCCATCCAGTGAACTGTGGGTTAAGATTTCGTATGCCTTCTCCAGCCTTCTCTTCCCATCTCATAGGCCAATGTATTCCAGAAGGTATATTCATGATTCAATAGAGGGCCTCCATCAGTGTGGATCCCTGAGTGACTGTTGGAATAGAGCTTCCTGCCAACCTGTAGTAGGTATGTCCAGTGAGTGACGATTAATGCTTTGTTATGTTATGCACTAAAGTTTTTGTGTTAACTCAGCATAGCTTAGCCTATCCTGACTTACGCATGCCTCATTCACAGATGGACGACAACAGTGAGAAACCCATTCTAGAACTATTGATCACACAACCATGTATTTTGCACATATTTTAGGTCAGGCATCTTGCAAGGAGCTTTAAATGAATTGCCTCTGATCCTCATGTTGGCCTGTTAAATAATGGTTATTATCACCATTTTATAATTGAAGAAACTAAAGCTCTGGTTTGGCATGATTTGCCCAAGCTCATCCAACCGGTAATTGGCAAGCCAGGGTTTAAACCCAAGCCTGATTCTAAAGACCACTCTCTTTCTGCTACAATTTGAGCCCCCATGGG
The DNA here is from genome assembly GCF_000001405.40 of Homo sapiens. Taxonomy (NCBI): domain Eukaryota; kingdom Metazoa; phylum Chordata; class Mammalia; order Primates; family Hominidae; genus Homo; species Homo sapiens. The sequence goes on from NC_000009.12 coordinate 116,462,168, forward strand.
ACATTTTTAAAATGTCCTCATATGTAAAACCTTTGAACTGATGAAGCACATATAATGTGCTAGGAGGCTATCTAACTTCACCACAATCCCATGAAGTAGGTTTTATCATTGTCTTCCTTTTACACAGGAAGAAATGGGAGCACAGTGAGCTTCAGCAACTTGCCCAGTATGTCCTGGCTAGGATATACAGAGCAATGATTCAAACCCAAACAGCTTGGCTTCAGAGCCAGGGCTCTTAACCTTCTGCCATGCTACATCTCAATTCTTTGGGAATCCCTGTCTTAATCCATGCCATGCAATAATAATCCTGTATTCTTCTTGAAAAGTACAGAGAAAGGAGAATTTCTTGCCTTACAAGGGGCAGGTGTAGAAAAATCACCAGGATTATACTGTGGAATAAAGAATGTCTGAAATGAAAGTTCAATGCTTTACTCTAAACTCACTGTTGACTCCCTGACTCTTCAAGCCGATAAGCTCAAAGAGGTCAGTAGGTTTGGTGATAATATAGGAACGATGGGATAATATTCTTTTCCTTGGGTTAAGGGAAGTTCTAGCTTTTTACCTCAACAGGCCTTCTTATCCTCCTAGGATTGCTCTTTAAGGGTAAGTGTTGGGTGAGCATGTGTGTGTGTGTGTGTGTGTGTGTGTGTGTGTGTGTGTGTGTCTGCCCATATATACAATTTGCATATGGCAATCTGAAGTAAATTTCTAACTAATATTACCTGCTAGTCACTGGATATCTCCTTTGGATGTCCAAAGACATCTTAATCTCCTGCCTTCACACTCCTCACATCCCCCAAAACTGTTCTTCCTGTCATCCTCCCCATCATGGTGAATGGCAGCAGCATCCATTTAGTCACTCAGTCATGCCCTGGGTATCATCCCCAACCCTTCCCTCTGTCTCACTCCCATATTCAATCAGTTTCCAAGTTCTATTAAGTCTATACTTCAACAATTTCTCAAATGTACCCGCCTTTTTCTCCATTGCAACTGCTCTAGTTCAGGCTGCAACCATTTCTCACCCGGCCAATTAGAACCATCTCCCAACCAGTCTCTCAGGCTTCTCCCTTACATCCCACACCACCCTAATCTGTTCATCACACTTCTCCAAGGGTCTTTTTCTGAAATGGTTATCCAGTGCTGTCCTACCTCAAAGCTCTTCGATCTCTCCCCACCATCCATAACATAAAAACTATTCTCCCTAAGCTGGTTCACAAAGGGATTTGACATCAGGACTTTATCTCCTAACTCCTGCCATCCTCCTCTCAACTTCTCAGCCTTCATTATATGCTTCAGCAATACCAAACAACATATTGTTTCTCAAGCATGCCATTGTCCCTCAGCCTATGGGCTTTTGCTGTGTCCCTGCTGAATGTTCTCTCTGCCTATAATGCCTGTCACCTCTCTGGGGCACTTCCATTCCTTCACATGTCCCTCCCTCTGGGAAGCCTTCTCTGACAGTTGAATTAAACTAATGTAAGGGGTATAGTTTTAGTATGGAAAAGAAGACAGCTCCCTCTCCTGTGCTTTTCTTAGTGTCTTGCAAATAACTTCATTATAGTTACATTGTGTTTCCTACTCTATCTTCTCCACTACGCTGTGAGCTCCTGAAAGGCCAGGGCTGCATGTTATCTGTCTGTTTGTTTTCTTGAGACAGGGCCTCAGGGTCTTGCAATCCTGCTACCTCAACCCTTGAGTAGCTGGGATCACAGGTGCATGCCACCATGAACAGAGTTTTGTGTTTTTTTTTTTTTTTTTTTGAGAGAGACAGGGTTTCATTATGTTGTCCAGGCTGGCCTTGAACTCCTAGTCTCAAGTGATCTTCCCACCTCGGCCTCCCAAAGTGCTGAGATTAAAGGTGCCAGCCACCATTCTCAGCCATTTCTGTCTCTATATAGCCAGAATCTGACACATAGCAGAGGAGTATTAAAGATATGTTGAATAAGTAAACAAATTAATGGTTGAATGTATATTTGTCAGTGTGTGGACATTATGACAAATGTCATAATGTATAGCTATATAAACAAATATATATATATATCTGTATGTCTGAGGCTGTGTATCCCTAAGCCTGGTAATAATATGGGAGGATGGGTAAGTGTGGCACCCATGTATGTGAAGTGGCAATGCAGCACAGAGTTATGCACTTGGTTTTCTAAGTCATATAGATTTTTGTGAGGATTATTTGTTTGCTATTCACTAATTGTGATTTGAACACAATAGCATCATCTCTCTAGGACTCACTTCCATCAATGGTAATGCATAGATATTGATGTTACTAGTGTCCTGGAATCATTGTAAAATACTAGTAAAGGCTTAGCAGAGTGACTGGCCCACAGCATTCAATATGTTGGTTATAATTATCTTCCTTGAGAGCAGTTATGTGGTCCATTCATGTATGGATGTTTGTGCTGAAGCATATCCCTGAGTATTGAGTATTCATGTAGCTGTGTGCATGTTGCATATATGGGAGTGGGGGTAGAATATGAGAAACTGCATGACTAACATATTGAGTTCTGTGTGCCAGTTGAGTCTCCAGAGAGCCTTTGTACTGGGCAATTTTGTTTCTGTTTTTTGTTTGTTTCCCATCTCTTACTGCTTTGAAGCTTGCTCTCTGGGACACACTGCTGGGGTCTCTACTTGCCTATAGGGATCAACTTACCATTTCTTCCCATCAACCACTCACTGATAAGTAAGTGTGAGGCACAATGGGTGCGATATGCCTGATGTCTATTTTCCTAAGAAACTTGCAAAGAAGGTGCCTCTTCAACCCAACTGTTGCAGACTATATGAAGAGGCTCAGAGCAGGTCACTGCAGGTCTTTCCCTGTAGTCGTTATGGAGGGAATGACCTAGATATGGACCCGGCTCTGTGCTTCTGCCTAATGTTAATAGGGAGGATGTCACATTTGAGCATACCCTTAGCACACCTGCCTGAGATGTGGCAGAGCACAAGTTTAAAATCCAAGTCTGTCTGCCTCCACCACGAAGGCTGCATACTCTCTATCATGCTGTCCCTTTTCACTACAGCCAGCAGGTTTGATTGTTGCTTTGAACTCAGGCGACCCTGTGCAGCCTTTGTCTAATATCTCAGAGCCCCAGCCACCAACCGGCTCCCTTTGCCCCATGAAGATAAGCCTTTCTGGTCGACTGGACACATCAGCCTTAGAAACCTTGAGTTACCAGAATGGGAGCAACTGGCTGGCTGGGTACGGTTGGGGCATCCGGCCCTGATAAGACCTCGCCACGGCTGGACAAGCTCTCAGAGACGTAAGGCTTTGCGTAAGCACAAGATTAGAAGAACACATTATTAAAATATTTATTTTCTTACAGGTATTGATTGACATAAAAGGGGGGAAGAGTTCCCAGGAGAGAGATAACATCCAGTGGTACTTTTTGTGACTTGGTTTTGAACATATCGTTATACAGAAATTAAATTACTATTAATAATAAATAATAACAATACAAGCTGCAAGTTGTCAGCTGGAAGCAGCTGCAGTTTCCATTTGCTTACATATGAAACTAAGGATCATGGCGCAAATTTAAAAGTAAGCAAGCAAACAAACACAAACCCACTTTGCTCTGCGGATTAGACTAATGCAGATTCAGGAGAGTGGCTGTGTTTTAGGCGAGATGGGAGGGGCAGAATGGGGCTGAGAAGGCTACTTGATGAGTAGTCTTCAAGTGTGTCTTTAATTTCCTTTAGGAGAAAATAAAGAGCTCTGAAGCAAATGTGACAGTACTGACATGCAGTAATCCTGAATAATGACACGTGGTGGCTTATTGTACTTTCTCCATACTTTATTTTATTTCAGTATTCATGATTAAAACAAATGAACACATCCCTGACACCTATCAATTTATACTTTGCAAAGCGTATTGCACAAATAACCTTGAAAGCAAGACAAAGCAGGGTTTATTGCCCACATTTTACATTCAGTGAACTTGCTGTTTGCGGGGAGGGTGGGAAGCGGGCTTTTGAATCAAGGACGCATAGTGGAAGAGTGATAGAGCTGGTACTTAATCAACTGCTGGTCCAGGGCTCCTTATGCTGCATTCACCTTGACTTTGAAGACAAAACTGTTCCCCCTCTTGCAGAAAAATCTCTGTGAGGTTTGCATTGGTCCAAGGACTAAGACAGCATTAAGGCACTTCAGATCTCTAGCTTCTTGGCCAGTCCAGCCACCTTCTCTTATCTCTGCTCTGCAACAATGAGTCTTGACGTCATTGGCTCAGCAAACGTTTCTCAAAGGCTAGATATGAGGCTGGAACTTCTAGGCAGTTCCTTACAGCAGCCTGCTTCACAATTCCTACCAGCCCATTCTCTCTGTGACCTTCCTCACCTATTCTCTTTTCATAAATTTGGTTGCTGCCTCCAAGTAGGGTTTTCTACCTTCCCACACCTTCCTCAGACAGAACATCCAGTGTAAGATGAGGCAATGCAGGGCAGAAGTTCAGGTCCAGAGTTTTGGCATCAGAATGACCTAGATATGGACCCGGCTTTGTGCTTCTGCCCAGTGTTAATAGGGAGGATGTCACATTTGAGCATACCCTTAGAGAATAAATATGTGTTAGGTAAATAAAGGCAGGAGGAGGTCATGCCTGGTGCTAAAAACTTCCTTGTTCTCCCAAGCTTTTTTTTCTCCATAACCCATGATTTGTGGGGCTTCTGTTTTCTCATCTGTAGAATGGGGATAATAAGACTCTGAGAATAACATTTTTTGCTATCAGTTTTGTTTGTTTTCCTTACCCAGACATTGTTACGCCTTCTTTTGGAAGCATGGTACCTATAGCCACTGACGAACTATTTCTGCAGTTCTCAATGTGGTTTGGGTGGGACTGTTCCTCTCATGTTCCTGCCTCTCACCAGAGGAGTGGTGACATCAGCCAAGCAAGGCAGCAAGAGTCCCTTCTTGAGGATTGATAGGGGTGCTGGAAAAGGGGTTTGGTGTGTTTCTTTCTTTCTGAGATTAAAAGCATGAAGGACTATCAAAGTCTACAGTTGCTAGGTTCCATCTTCATACCCCTCATAAGGAAAACTCACTTTAGAATGCAGCCAGCACACAGCAAACTTGAGGAAAGAGATAGAGAGAGAGAGAGTCCTTTTTTTTCTTCTTTTGAGACAGAGTCTCGCTCTGTCACCAGGCTGGAGTGCAGTGGTGCGATCTTGGCTCACTGCAACCTCCCCCTCCCGGGTTCAAGCAATTCTCCTGCTTCAGCCTCCCAAGTAGCTGGGACTACAGGCGCACGCCACCACTTCCAGCTAATTTTTGTATTTTTAATAGAGACAAGGTTTCACCATGTTGGCCAGGATGGTCTCAATCTCTTGACCTCGTGATCCGCCTGCCTCAGCCTCCCAAAGTGCTCGGATTACAGGCGTAAGCCACTGCACCCGGCCGAGACAGAATCTTACGACGTCATTTGAACTCCTGGATTCAGCTGGGGCTGAAGTCAGCACACTGTTAGACTTCCCAGTTATATAAGCAGATACATTCTATTTTCCTTAACAACTTTCATTTGAGTTTCTGTCCGTTGCCTCCAAGAGTCTAAACTCATGTAAATATCCTTTATAAAGTTGTTGTGATGATTAAACAAGATAATGTTTTTAAATCACACATTAAACTTAATATCTGGCACATTTCTAAATATTCAAGAAATGGTAGGGTAGGTAGTTGTTATCATTAGCAGGACTGTAGTGAACTCTTTTCCCAGAATGAAGTTTGCTCCTACGATTGGCTCTGCAGCTCAGCCTAGTGATGAGCAAACAAAACCTCTGTCACTGCCTGGCCACACAACGTTGGCTAGGTCTCTTTCTACCTGGTGCAGAACCAAATTTCCAGGCTCTGGGAAAGACCCATACCTGTTCAGAAAGGACTAGCTTCTCATTCCTCTGAGTGTCAGTACTGAGGACATGAAGCCGTGAATGACACTATCATTATCAATACTTTACTTGCTGTTATCCCCACTGGAATGTGAGGTTTCTGGGGAAAGAAACCACAACTCATTCTTCTTTCAACCCTGCTAGCCTCTCATATACTAGTGGCACTCCCAAAGGCTTTCTTTCCTTTTTCAGAAAGAGATGAGAGCTAATTACCTATAAAAATTAGTAAGGAAGAAATGGGGACTTTTGCCAACTCAAATAGGCTTACTTATTGTTTATCCTCCACAGGACAGTTATAGTACATAGGACGTGTTAGGAGAAAGTTTCCTGGTTGTCACCAGTACTACTCTACCTTGGGCCCACCTAAGAGGCAAGGAATTGGAGTAGAGTTCTTACCAACCAGCATCAGGAAGGATGCTCATGTACACAGAGGAATTGTCTGTGGCTCATCTCTCACCCTCTGTTAATCTGACACTGAAGATTTTAATCTCCCTTCTTTCTTCCAACTCTTGCCTACACTAGCCCTCACTGGCTCTCATCCAGGCTTTGGGAACAGCTTCCCAAATTACTTCCTATAGTTTTGTCACACCTCTAATCTGTTGCTAGTGTATTAGCCAGAGTGATCTTCCTAAAGAGCAAATCTGACAATGTCAACTGAGCAGCCGGCTCATGACCCTTAATAGCTCTCTTTACTTTCAAGATAAAGTCCACACTCCTTAGGTTGGCAAAATAGTCCCTTATGATTTGAGCTCTACCAACTTCTTTCATCATCCGAATTTGTTCCTTTGCACCATAATAACTTGAGTAGGGGTTGCAAATGTGCCATGTTGCCTTGCTTCTCAGTAACTTTGCACATATGACCTCCTCTTCTTGGAAAATCATGTTTCCTTTTCTTGGTATCTGCATCTTAGTAATTCTGATCATTCTTTAAAACTTAAATAAAATGTCATCCTTTCTAGGCAGCTTTCACTGGGCTGAAAGGCATTCTCTCGTCTGAACTCTCATATCATTGACCACATTTCATCGTGAGTTCCATGGAAGCAGAGACAATGTCTCGTTCATCTCTGGGTTCCAAGAATGTAGTGCTGAGTTGTACAGAGAAAAAGGTACTCAAAAACTAATAGAATAAACAAACGTTAAATGTTAATAGGGAGGGTGTCACATTTAAACATACCCTTAGAGAATAAATGTGTGTTGGATAAATAAAGGCAGAAGGAAGTCATCCTGGCTGCTAAAAACTTCCTTGCTCTCTCAAGTGGTTTTTTTTTTCCATAGTCCATGATCTATATGACGTCATAGAACCAGTTCACCAATTTCAATTGGCTTGTGGTATAGTGGTTTATGTATACAACTGGCTCCTCCCAGCAGAATAGAGAACTTTTTAGGGCAAACCCTGCCTCATTCCCCTGTGCCCCTTATAAAGCTCAGCAGGAGGGAATATAGTTCAGCGGGTCAGAGCCTGAGCTCTGAGGTCGGTCAGAAAAGACCTGCTTTCAAATGCTAGTTCTGCCACTTATTCCCTCAGTGACTTTGGCCAATTTATTGAACCTTCATGAGCCTTCATTTCTTCATCTCTAAAGTGAGAGGGGAAAAGTATCTGCCTAATAATTCTAGCTATGCTAAAATGTGATATTGCATATATTCACTTATGTATACAATACATACTTATTGAGTGTCTCTGTGTTTGTGCAATTGAGTGTACACAGATAAAACAAACACTATACCCCATAAACTGTCAAGTCTAACAGGGAACGTTAATACACACATAAATCTGTATTGTAATGTTTGATAATTGCAATAAAGAAAGGAGGTGAGGTACATAATTTAGATTATGGGTTCTGGGGATGCCATTCTGAGGATGTAGATTTAGGCTGAGGCTGGGCACGGTGGCTCACGTCTGTAATCACAGCACTTTAGGAGGCCGAGGTGGCAGGATCACCTGAGGTCAGGAGTTCGAGACCAGCCTGACCAACATGGCAAAACCCGCCTCTACTAAAAATACAAAAATTAGCTGGGCATGGTGGTGGGCACCTGTAATCCCAGCTACTCAGGAGGCTGAGCCAGGAGAATTGCTTGAACTGGGGAGGCAGAGGTTGCAGTGAGCCAAGATCACACCACTGCACTCCAGCCTGGGTGACAGAGCGAGACACCATATCAAAAATAAAAATAAAAAATAAAAAAAATAAAAAGATTTAGGCTGAACACTGAAGGATGAATAGTGTTAACCCAGGGAAAAGATTCGGCGTGTTCTGAGGCCCTGTGAAGGGGAAGAGCGCATGCTGTGGTGTGAGCTAGGCTCCTTAAATGCTAATGTGACTTCTGGGGATGCTGGATCAGTTAATAACTAGGAAGTTAGACTCTAGAGACAAACTGTCTGAGTTCACATCCTGGCTCTGCTACTGACTTGTGGCATGGCTTTTGGTAAATTTTTTTGACTTCTTTGGGCTTTGGTTTTCTCATCTGCAAAATAGTGATAATAAAAAAACACTGTCTCATTGAGAAGGGTGGATGGATTAACTTACAGAAATTATTTAGAATGGTGCCTGGTATATTGAAAGCACTCTTTATATAATAGCCATTCATATCATTGATTCTTTTATTTGCACTCCAAAGTATTTACATGAACACTCTTCACTGAAGAGAAGGCAAAAGTCCTACCTGAAGAAAGCATATTCATATTGTGGAGTGAAGATGAATAAGGGAAATTATGGGAAGTTAAATAAAGTCCAATAAAGCACCCAGAACTCATTTGTCCTCTCTGTAAATGGCATGATTCTTGCCTCTAAAAATGGCATATTTCATAATGCCAATGCTTTATGGTGGGTACTCTCCTTGGCCTGCCATTGGTTACCTACATTGGGACAAGGGTATTGAGATTCCTGGAAGAAAGTTATAACTCTAAGACGATGTATTGTTCAAAAATTAACAAGACTAAAGCAAAAACAAACAAATGAAAAATCTCTGGGGTTTCCTCTCCTTTTTCTTTTTTAAAATGATTTTTTAAATTGATTTAATATCTGTGTAGAAGCCAGCAAAATTGCTGTTTACTTATCCTGTAGCTTCTGAGTGTCTTCTTTGCCCCTTTGCTCTCTCTCTTCCCCCTGTTACAGGCTATAGATATGATTAAGAAAGATCTATGTAATGGTGTTAAGTTACTACACTCTTTGGAGGAGAGATTTCTGGGGACAGGCCTGCGATAAGGGTGAGAGGAGTTGGATCCAGTCGTGAGAGTCAGATAGGCAGCTCACCCACACACAACCTCTCCACAAGCGAGACAGCTTCCCGGCCTTTCTTGCTTGTTTTAATCTGTGAATGTTTCCCAGAAAGAAATAGTAACTTCTTTTTCTGGCAGGGGTGCCTCCTGAAACTCCCTGAAAACAGGGCCTCTCCCTCCCCTTCAGGCTGGCCTCACACATGCTAATGCAAATCAGTCCTGACCCAGCCAGGGGTCTTTGGGAAGGCTGCCAGGAGCTTTAGAACAAACACGCGAAGAATGTTATTTCATTTCTGGCATCCCGGGGAAAGAGGGACAGAGAAGGAAGTTGGGCAGTAAAGGGGGTGGAGGGAGGGGGGAATTCATATGAATGCTTACTGCAATAAGAGTGAAGCAAATGGAAAGGACAGCAGGAAATTCTTAGGAATAAAGGGCCTACTAGGTGCCAGAAATGGACATATGGAATATTTGGTTTTAATTTCACACATACACTCTGAAGAAGAATTTATTACTCTCACTTTTTGGATGCAGGAAGAGGCTTGGTCTCCAAGGTTAGGCAATTTTTCAAAGGCTACCCAGCTAAGAACTGAGGGAGTCAGAATTTGAAACCAGATTTTTACATTTCAAACCTTGGGCTCTGTCTTCTCACTAAGGCTGGCTTACTGGTTGTGCTTTGATAGATTCCCAACAAAACCCGCGAGTGCAACAGCCCCACATGCCATGACCTCCATCGTCTGTCTCCTCCTTTCCAGCCCCCTGCATGGTTCTAATTCCAGATTCATTCAGCCAGACCCCGAGCTAGTCTCCCTACCTGCAGTCTCCTCTATTCTAACTTATACACCACGAAGATCTTTCTATAACCCAACTGTGGCCTTATCACTGCTCCTCCTTAGCACACGTTATGAGGCCTTGCAAGTCCTGCCTCTCCAACCTCATATACTGTACATTTCAACTGCCCTGAATCTCTGTTGTACCCCATATGTGGTCCCTTCAATATCCTACCTCCCTGCCTTCATTTCAGCTATTCCTTCTGCCTGTGATGCAATAACTTCCCCAGTTCTAAGTGTTCAATGCTATCCATTCTTCCAGACCTAGCTCAAAGGCACCTCCCCAAAGGCACACTAGCTGTTAGAGATCACAGCCTCCTCAGAACTCGCATGCCTTTATTATGGGGCAAATCACCTTCTACCCCCAATATGATTAGCTGCTTAAAAGTTTGTCCCTAACACTGGGCAAAGCTCTTTCAGTCTCAGCCATAAGACTTTGAATTGCAGCTTGGTCACTGCCTAAGAGAGAAGTGCATAAGAATACACAAGTGCAGATTTTGGAGCTAGATAGCTTGTGTTAGAATCATGGTTCTGGCCAGGCGTGGTAGCTCATACCTGTAATCCCAGCACCTTGGGAGGCTGAGGCAGGCAGATCATTTGAGGTCAGGAGTTCAAGACCAGCCTGGCCGACATAGCAAAACCCAGTCTCTACTAAAAATACAAAAAAAAAAAAAATAGCCATGTTGGTGGTGGCGGCGGCGGAGGGGGCACACCTGTAATTCCAGCTACTCAGGAGGCTGAGGCAGGAGAATCGCTTGAACCCGGGAGGTGGAGTTTGCAGTGAGCTGAGATTGTGCCACTGCACTCCAGCCTGGGCAACAGAGCGAGACTCTGTCTTGGAAAAAAAAAAAAAAAAAGAATCATGGTTCTGCCATTTACTAATAAGATGACCTTGGGCAAACCATTAAGCCTTCCCATCTTAGTTTCCTTGCCTGTAAAATAGGGATAGTATCTACCTTAGAGGGTACCATATTATTAAGGTTCAAAGAGTTAGTGGACCAAAAGACTTTGCATAATGAATGGCATGTAATAGAGTTTGATAAATGGTACATGATGACAACGACTGGGAGGCAGGAACCATGTTCTTGGCTGATAGCTACACTGCATACATGACAGACTGTCTTCATTCATTCAACCTGTAATACCTATTATCGATCTTTGATGTTTGCTAAATTAAGTACCTACTAAGTGCCAGGCCATATGTTATGGATTTACAGGTAACTAAACCATGGTTTCTAAAACCTATTCTACTCTTAGATTACAGACAGTTTTCATTCTTTATGATAAAGAGAAACATTATAGGTTCAAGGAATAGTAGAATAAAAAGAGAGGGAGGAAAGGCATCTCTTGTTACGTCAGATGATGGGGGAAAACAATCCAAACTAGCCAGATCCCATGTCCAAAGGGCTTCTGGGAAATGCTCAGGAACAGAAAAACGTGAGTAACTGCACAGTGGGCAGGACAATTAGCCAAGCATGAGTCCCCTTCAAGGTCATCATTTCAGTTGGCAGATAAAGACCTATTCAAGGCCAGGTGTGGTGGCTCATGCCTGTAATCCCAGCACTTTGGGAGGCCAAGGCAGACGGATCACCTGACGTCAGGAGTTCGAGACCAGCCCAGCTGGGCCAACATGGCAAAATGCCGTCTCTACTAAAAATACAAAAATTAGCTGGGCGTGTTGGTGGGCACCTGTAACCCAGCTACTCGGGAGGCTGAGGCAGGAGAATCGCTTGAACCCAGGAAGCGGAGGTTGCAGTGGGCTGAGATCGCACCACTGCACTCTAGTCTGGGCAACAGAGCAAGACTCTATCTCAAAAAAAAAAAAAGACCTACTCAAGAAAGATCTTATATGTACTTGGTATGTGTTTAATATTGTTCTGGACACCCTATGCTTGGGAGCTCTGCATGTGTATTTGTTTCACAACAAAATTCTAACATGGAAAATGGCAATACCCTCACTGTACAGATATAGAAATTGAGACCCAGGAGAAATAAGCATCTTGTACAGCCAGAAACTGTCTGAGATTTGAAATGACCCTAGAATAGTCTGACTCAAGACCCCATGCTCGTAGACTCTCAGATACCCAAGAGGATCGGGGCAGATGGGTGCTTGAATCTAGTACCAGAGAGCAGCAGGTAGGCTATAACGGAGGTGAAGAGTCCTGGTTCAGCCCAGCTCTGCTCTGCCTGTCTGGGTGACCTGGGTCAAGCCCTATCTCCTCCCTGGGCTTTAGTTTTTCCCATAAAGAGAGAGGGTTTAGATCAGTGGTGTTTGCAGTCTCACTATCCTGTGATTCAAATATGAAAGTGGAATAGGGTTGTTGGTGGATGGGGGTCTGTCTTTGGAGGAAAGGAGAACAGAGCAGCAAGAAAAATGCCAGAAGTCTGGATTCCGTCTCACCTCTGACTCTCTACACATCATTAATGGTAATCCCTGCAGTCCACTAACACCTTTCCAGTGATGACTCAAGACTGCTCACAACCTCCTTCACAGATGGAGATGGGCATAGGGGGAAGGCAGCCCCTTCATGTGCAGTGATGGACCCACAGCCAAGATAATGAGAGCAGGGAAAAGTTAGGAAGCCTGGCCTCTAGCCTGGTTTCATTCCTAGAGTCTTAAATGATCAGAGTAGAAATGAACTTCTCTATCTGAGCCCCTCATTGCAATGAAAAAGAAACTGAGGATCAGAAAAATGAAGTTCTTTGCCCAAGGCCCCAGGTGGATGGACAGCAAAGCTGGGCATGCAGCCTAGGTGGGGCTTGTGATCCCACTCCAGAAGCCTCTCCCTATGTTGAACTAACTGGGTACTTTGTTCCTGACAAGGAACCCTAAAGTAGAAAGTGATGGTCACAGCCTACTGGTAAAAGACAGAAGTCAGAAGTCAGGATTCCCATGTATCATTCCTGGCTCTGCCTTGACTATGATGCCAGAGTCTCTTGGGGTCTCAGCTTCCTCATCTATACACTGAGAGAAGTGGCCTAGATAAGAGTTCCCAAATTAATGATCTGCTGGTTGTTACCTACAAAATTGGTTTATTTGGCCAATTTTAAATTGGTTGCCAGCATGTAATAATTAGGAGGTTTCACATAAACATCTAGATTTCTGGCTTGGAAGATGTATTAACACCAAATCAGCAGTCTCAAATGGTAACCAGCAGCTGGAACTAAGTATTCTCTGTGCCATGCCTAATTTACTGCAGTCCTCACTCCTCCCTATTATCAAGCATCTGGCCACAATGACTCATTGCCATCACTGGCAAGTTCCTCCTTACAAAGCATGGCTTAGAGTTTGCCTCATCCCTAACAGCTCCCTGCTGCCCTGAGCATGGGGCTCTCACTGCCCACCGAGACTTCCAGCCCACTGAAGGCCAGTAATAGAACATTTCCTGTAGTGATCCAAAATCAATCTGCCTTATAGCCTTGTACCACTGTCCTGCTCTCTGGAGTCACAGTGAACACATCTGTGCCCTGTACCCCTGTGCAGCTCTACAGAGGGTTGAAGACATTGGGTGCACCCTTTTGTGTCTTTTCTTAACTTGAATAAACATTCAAGGTCACTCAAGCGTTCTTCATGGTCATCATTTCAAGGGCCTCGGGGACCTGCTTCCTCTCCTCTAGGCATTGTTCAGATGCTTGGCCTTCCCCTTGCAAGTCAACTCTTTCCTGCAGCAATGAAGCTCATTCATCCCACCAACTCCCTGGAAGCTTCCCCATACTCCTCATGGAGCCCAACTTGGATGATGAGGTCCTCGCCTGCCTCCATAGCCCCAAATCTCCTACTTTCCCTGGCCTTCCACATTCCAGTTACACTCTCTGCTGCAGCGTTGTCTCTCGTCCCCCAGCCTGCTCACAGTCTGTCCTCTGTCCCAAATCCTCTTTTCCCTCATATTAGTTTCTTAGGGCTACCATTAAAAGGGCACCACAAATTTGGTGGCTTAAAACAACAGAAGTGTACTCTCTCAGAGTTCTAGAGGCTAGACGTGTGAAATCATGGCATCCGCAGGGCCATGCTTCCTCTGAAGGCTCTTGGAAAGAATCCTTCCTTGCCACTCTCAGCTTCGGATGGCCCGAGGTGTTCCTTGGCTTGAGGCGGCATCACTCTAATCTCAGCCTCTGTCTTCACATGCCTTCTTTGCTCTGTCTTCTCAGAGCGGCATCAGTCACTGAATTAAGGAATTAACTTAATCCAGTATTACCTCATCTTGATCCTTAAGTAAATACATCTGCAAAGATGATTTCCAAATAAAGCCCCATCCCAAGGTTTCAGGTAGATGTGAATTTTTCAAGGACACTGTTCAACCCACTGCAATCCATCCTCTCACTTCCTCAGAAGACTTGCAGCGGAGGGTTCCCCTGGCTGGGCTAGTGGCTCTTCCTTGGTGTCCCCACGGTCCCTGGAGCATGATATGCAGTGTCAGGTAACAGCCTGGTCCTTTCTCTGTATTCATCACCATGAATATGAGCTCCATGAGGGCAAATACTTTGGTTTGGTTAGTTCTGCAGCACAAGTGCCTACCTTACTGTGAGGCACCTCCTAGACAGTCAACAAATATGCGCTTTTCTTGAACACTGTGCACTGCAGTAAGTTATGAAAAATCTGTTTCCAGATGTTTCCTGAGACTGTGCTGTTCCATTTTGGCCCAGCACATTCGCTAATCAGAGCAACACTCGCTGGTCCCCAAATGTGTGTGGACTCCATCCTTCCCCCTTTTATCAATATCAAATGGCCCTCCTGGCTCTCAACTCAACTCAGCCTGTTCTCCAAACCATGGTCAGGGTTGTCACCACAAAACACAGGTTAAGATACATCCTGTCCCTCCTCCAGTGCCCTTCCTGGCTCCCCTCTGCCTGCAGGAGAAAGCCCAGCTCCCCTCCGCCTGCAGGAGAAAGCCCAGCTCCTCTGCTCAGTATTCAAGGCTTAGCCCTCCAGCGCAGCCTCAGCTCCCACCCCCTCCCCACTCCACAAGGTCACATGAGCAGTCTGTGCCCTGTCCCTCTGGAACCCTGGCTGGTGTCCCATTCCTGGATGGAATCTTGACGCAGTGTGAGGAAAGAAACAGCCTGCTTGAGAGTCCCCAGCAGGTTTTAGGAGCCTCACTGTCTGTCGGCTGAAAAACAGCGTTATTTTTCCTCTACGAGTCTCTCTTGGCTTGGGATGCACGGCTGTATTTGCTTCTGGCTTGAGGACAGCTATTCCCCTCTCCCAGGCCCCAACTGTGCACTTTGGAGAGGTCAGTACGACCTGATGTTAGATGGAATTGAGTCGCCAGGCTGCCGTACTTGCCCCCATCCCCTAACCAATTAGGACTGGACACCACAGCCAAGGGAAGTTCACATTCCACTCGAGTTTGGGGACATCAGTCACCCCCGTCCCTACTGAGCTCCGAGACCCTTGGCCACACCTAAATTGCCATTCAGCCCAGAATCAGATAATAGGCAGAAATCCTTGTACTTAGGCTGGTGTGGGCTGTTTGGGTGTCGGAGGAGGAAAGTGGAGAGAAAAATGCACAGGAGGATAAAAGAAGAGCGACCCTAGGGCTGAGCAAGAGAGGGACTGAGAAGTGATAAGAAAAGGAGAAAGAGACAGGGGTAGAGACACAGAGAGAGCAAGTAGAAGAGAGGTACATACAGACACAAAAAGACAGAGACAGGCCAGGCACGGTGGCTCACGCCTGTAATCCCAGTACTTTGGGAGACCAAGGCAGGTGGATGGCTTGAGCTCAGAAGTTCAAGACCAGCCTGGGCAACACAGTGAGATCCCTAATCAAAAAAGAAAAAAAAAAAAAATGAAAGAAAAGAAAAAGACAGAGAGAGATGGACAGGAAGCCAGGGTGACACGGAGAGGGAAGTAGTGTCCATGACCAAGAAAGAGAGAACAAGAAAGAAAAGAGAAGAAACAGAGGGCAGAGGGGGAAATAAAAGGCCAGGCAGAAACAGTTAAAAAAAGAACAAAAGGAGAAAGCAAAGGAGAGATGTTACAAATATGGGAGAGGAAGCAGGGAAACAGGAAGAAAGAGAGGGAGGGGGTAGGGAGGGAGAAAGGAAGGGAGGGAGGGATACAGGAAGGAAGGGAAGGAGGAGGGAAGGGGAGGGAGAAAGGAAGGAAGGAAAGAAGGAAAGGGAGGGGTAGTGGGGGAGTAAGGGGGGAGGGAGGGAGGGAGGGAGGGAAGGAAGGAAGGAAGGAAGGAAGGAAGAGAGCCAGGGAAGAAAATGAAGAATGGAGGGAGGAAAGGAGGAATAAAATGAAATAAGGAAAGAAAAGTTCACAATGGGAAGAAAAAGCCAGAACAGAGCAGCACAAGAACCCTATCAAGCCTCTCCTGGATTCTTTCCCTGGTGTGTCCTGGATAAACCCTGGGCTGCAGCTCAGGCCTCTGGTCAGCATGGAAGGTTTCCTCTTTGCTCCCTTCTCATAGGAGCTGAAAGTCCCTTCAGGGTCCTATCTAGGATGTGGCCTGACAGGCCCACTGAGCAGGTTGGGTCACTGATGCTAAGAGAAAGCAGAAATATCTGACCTTAAGCTGAATGAAATTCTTTCACCTGGACTAGACCCTTGCCTCCCCAGTTGCCAGGGGCTGGTGTCTGTCTTCTTGCCCCCATCATCTTTTGAAATGCACAGCCTCAGGCTGGGCGCAGTGGCTCACACATGTAATCCCAGCACTTTGGGAGGCCAAGACAGGTGGATCACGAGGTCAGGAGTTCGAACCAGCCTGGCCAATATGGTGAAACCCCATCTCTACTAAAAATACAAAAATTAGCTGGGCACAGTGGCACGTGCCTGTAGTCCCAGCTACTCAGGGGGCTGAAGCAGAAGAACCGCTTGAACCCGGGAGGCAGAGGTTGCAGTGAGCTGAGATTGCACTACTGCACTCCAGTCTGGGCGACAGAAGGAGACTGTGCCTCAAAAAAAAAAAAAAAAAAAAAAAAAAAGGGAAATGCACAGCCTCTGAATTCATGAAAAGTTCATTTGAGATGGCCCCTTTCAAACCCTCTTCTACAAATGGAGAAACGAAGACCTCCAAAGTGGAAGCCACTTGCCAAAGGCCCCATAGCTGCTAAGGGCCAGAGACAGGATGACCCTCAGCAATCTCACCTCCTATCATCTGGACAAGCACTTTTGAAAGCAAGCCCTGGAGGGCTCCTGATGACTTTCATGCTGTTTCCAGTAAATTCTGTGCTGATTTTTGGCATGAAGAAAGGAAATGAAGAGGGTAGGGTAGGAATGTAAATAAAGGGAAACATTGGGATTTCATCTAATATATAATTATAGTATCCATGGTGGTGGCCCTGGCTGCCTCTGTGATGTGCTTCCCAGGCTGTGCCCAGGAGAGGTGGTGTCCTGAGGGTGGTGGACAGGCCAGCAATGCTCCATCCAAGGCTCTCAGCCCCCTGGGCTTTTGGAATAGGATTGTTGGGCCAGGAGCCTGGACTTGCTTGCTGAGACACATGGGAGTCTGACAGTGCTGGGAAACAGCTCGGCAGATGAGAGCTGGGAAATCAAGGGCATCGCACAAATGACAATGGGAGTCCATCCCTAGGGAGGAGCAGGGGTCCTCATGCAGACCCCACATACAATTGTGTGTGTAGTGCTGTGAGGACTGCGGGGAAGGGACAAAGTTTGAAATTCAATGGTAGCCATGTAGCTTTTGTGTGACAACTAAAAGTGTGTTTTCCATATTGTTTCTAACCCATTTGGGCATGGATCTTTGTATAAAAGATCCCTGCCCACAGCTTCCACTCTGACCCCTGTCATTTCTATATGCCCAACTCTTCTCATAATTCGGTGTGGCAATTTTCAGTTCAGGCAGTGGAGATAAACTGGTTGGAAATCTGCCTCTACTTACTAGCTTTGTGGCGGTAGTCAAGTTACCTAACCTCTCTGTGCCTTAGTTGCCTTATCTGTTAGGTGAGAATAGTAGCAACTACCTTACAGAGTTGTTGTGAGGATTAGATTAAATAAGGTTTATAAGAAAGAAAGAAAAAGAGAGAGAGGGAGGGAAGCAAGGAAGGAAGGATGGGTGAAGAAAGGAAGGAAGGAAAGAAGGAAGGAAGAAAGGGAGGAAGTGGGAAAGGAAGGAAGGAAGGGAGGAAGGGAAAGGAAGGGAAGGAGGGAGAGAGGGAAGTGGAAAGAAGGAGGGAGCCAAGAGAGGAAAGCAGACAGAGAAAGATAGAAATAGAAACATAGAAACCTAGAGACAGATGTAGAGATACAGTACTGGACCACAGCCTGGCACATAGTGGGTGTCTCCTGAATATTTGGTGAGAAAGTGAGTAGGAAATTTTACATGAGTGAAGGGGAGAAGTCAGTGTCTACAGAATTTCCACATTGACTTGAAAATTTGTTCAAATAATTCGACAAAGATTTATTGGATTCTTAATTAGTGTCAGTTACTGTTCTAGGTACCAGGGATAGAGGATGAACAAGGCAGGCACAGACCTTGGTCCAATGTCCTTCTAGTGAGAAAAGATAGACAAAAACAAGTAACAGAGACTAAATCATTACAGTATTAGTGAGTACCATGGCTTTGTGTGTCTGTGTGC
Source organism: Homo sapiens (assembly GCF_000001405.40). Taxonomy (NCBI): domain Eukaryota; kingdom Metazoa; phylum Chordata; class Mammalia; order Primates; family Hominidae; genus Homo; species Homo sapiens. The sequence continues at coordinate 116,480,630 of NC_000009.12, forward strand.
ATGACAGGCAGGTAGATAAAAGTGGCAAAGGAAGATGTCTCTAAAGAGGCAACATCTAATCATGGACCTGAAGGAGAACAAGGAAACACACATGGGAAGAGTCAAGGGAAGGACATCCCAGGGAAAGAGAACAGTAGAGGCAAAGACCTTGAGGAAGGAAGAGACTGGCGCACTCTAGCAAGCGTGCCTGCAGAGTGGTGGGTAGGGGCAAGTGTGGGAGAAGAACGCCAACCTGCTGGAAGGCTGTGAACATATGGTGTCAGCAGAGGCCATCCCACGTGTCACTGCTTAGGTAATGTCTGTCATCACAAATAGTAGTCACAGTGGTTACTCCTCCTCCTGCTGCCATTTGGTAAGCACTGACAATGAGCTAGACATTATCTTGTCCTCTTTACATATTTTAGTTCATTGTATCCTCATAACCCTATGAAATAGATCCTATTATGATTCAGTTTTATAGATAAAAAACTGAAGCAGTCTGGGCATGGTTGCACATGCCTGTAATCTCAGCACTTTGGGAGGCTGAGGCAGGTAAATGGCTTGAGCTCGAGACCAGCCTGGGCAACATGGCAAAATCCCGTCTCTACAAAAGATACAAAAATTAGCTGGACATGATGGCACATGCCTGTAGTACCAGTTACTCAGGAGGCTGAGGTGGGAGGATGGCTTGAGCCTGGGAGATTGAGGCTGCAGTGAGCTGTGATTGCACCACTGCCCTCCAGAACCTCAGTGACAGAGCCAGACTCTGTCTCAAAAAAATCAAAATGAAACAAAAAATCTGAAACAGAGAGGTGAAGAAACTTGCCCAAGGCCACACAGTGGGTAAAAACCCACCTCTGTCTGATTTCATAGGCCTAATTTAAAATTATGTGCATGTGCTAGTAGTGGTAGGGGATGCAGATTCACAAAGTCTATTGCCTTTCCTGTTGCTGCTTTTTGAAAAACATAGAGTGGCACTGATAACCCTTCACACGTGTACACAATCTTATGAAAATGTTGAAGTGAATTTCTGTCTACTATCCAATTTAATTTGGGGGAGGTATGACAAATTATCTCCATTTTATGGATAAGACTGATTATCTCCATTTTAGGAATGAGAAGGATGAGGTGTGAAGTACCCCCACCTCCCATCTATAGGCTGTGATCTGAGTCTTCGGCCCCCAAGCCTAGTATTCTTTCCATTGCAAACAGTGTCATTTGCAGTTAGGAAGTTCTCTTCCACTCATACCTCACCAGGTGCTTTGAACAGCACATGGGAGGAGGGGAGGAGAGGAGCAGGTGGGCATTAAGAATCAGCTTGGGTATGAATCTGAGCTCTACTCCTTCTCATTATGTGACATTGGGGAAAATGATCACTCCCTTAAGCTCTAGCTTTCCCACCTGTGAAATGGGAGAGGCCAAAAATAACACTACCCGGCCGGGCACAGTGGCTCACGCCTGTAATCCCAGCACTTTGGGAGGCCGAGGCAGGCGGATCACAAGGTCAAGAGATCGAGACCATCCTGGCTAACACGGTGAAACCCTGTCTCTACTGAAAACACAAAATATTAGCCGGGCGTGGTGGCAGGCGCCTGTAGTCCCAGCTACTCAGGAGGCTGAGGCAGGAGAATGGCGTGAACCCGGGAGGTGGAGCTTGCAGTGAGCCAAGATTGCGCCCCTGCACTCCAGCCTGGGTGACAGAGCAAGACTCCGTCTCAAAACAAAACAAAACAAAACAAAAAAACACTACCCTATCTCTAGGTTTATCATGAGAATTGAATGAGATAGTACACATACCTTAGAATGGTTCCTGGCACATAGTGAATACTCAATAAAATATTATTACTAGCAGTATTATCCAGAAAGTCCTGGTGGCACTGGGCATCAGAACCTCTGTTTGGAGTCTCCATTCCTGCCTCAGTGTGCAAGCCTCCGGGCTCACTGAACTTAACCTTTCCATGTCACAAATAATACTAAGACCAGAGGAGGGGGAAGAACTGACCCAACGTACCACTGAGAGCAAATGTGAAACTTGCTGTCGGACTCCCAACCTCGGGCTTTTTTTCACAATGCCCTCCCTTCTCCGGGGCTTTGCTTTTTCTTCTACTCTTCCAACTCTACCCACCCCGCTAAGATAGAGCCTCTGGCCTAAGCCTCTGTTCCCACCATGGATGTTGGCACTTGGCTACAGTCCCCAGGCTCCCTTGGCATTCCTTTCATAGAGCTGAAGCCAGGGAGGTGAGGGCGGGTCTGGGGCAAGCCTCTGAATGTGTGGGAATGCATCCCCCACCCCAGGAATCAGGCCTGGCTGCTGCTGGCATGCTTGCTGAGGACCCTTTGGCAGCCTTCCACAATTAGAGAAAGGCAAGGCAGCCAAGACAAGACAGAGGCTAATTACCTTGGGTAATAGGAAATTGGAGAGCAGCTACAAGAAGGGTGTCTGGGCCTTTGGCCAGGCAAGGGCAGGGACCATGGATGCCCAGCCAGGCCTGAGCCATTGGCCCTGAGTGGAGACTCCTGCTCAGGGTCACCCCTCGATTCCAACAACCCACCCACGGCAGCAGGAGCTGGCCCTGCTGTCAGACCTTCCTGGGACCCACTCCCTCTGCTGCTTTTGTTTGTTTTCATTCAAAAGCAAAACAAATGAAATAAACAAGGAAATTCAATTTAAACAGGGCACGGGTGCTGATGTTTCTGTTTTGTTACACCAGGGTGAGCTTAGGACAGAAAATCAGCCTTGACTTTCACTCCTTCATTTGGTCTTACCCTGTGGCACTGTGTAAATTTACATGGATGGAGGGGCTACAGAAAAAATTTGCCTTCCTAGGTGGTGTGGAAAGAGGGAGTTGGGGTTGGAGTGGGGTCAGAGAGAGGGAGAGAGGCCAAAATTCAAGTAAAAAATAGGACCAAGAAACTGAGATACACTCATAGCAACAGAAATTAAAATAATGAATAAAAAGACAAAACAGGAATGGTAGGGAGAATGACAGACAGACAAAGACAGGAAGTCATATAGAAAATACTTACACAGAGAGGGAATAAAAGACAAAGAGAAAAAGGCAGAGACGCAGAGAGGCACAGTAGTGCAAAACAGATGTGAGAGAGGTAGAAAAGCTGGAAGGGCAGGAGCTCAGGAGGAGAGAGGGGATGAAAATAAATCCCATGACAGAACTCATGAGCTAGGATCTCATGCACCTTGATTTTAAAGATGCTGACACTGCAGAACAGGGAAGGAATCTGAACATTTAATCCAAGGTCCCAGAGGCAGAAGTAGTAGCAGGGCATGAGCCCAGATTCCCCAGTGGAGAGACTAGTCCTTCACTCTCCTGCCACCTGAATCCTTTAAAAGCATGGGTGCAGAATTTGGTGTCTGACTGTGTTTAACTAAAACTTGGTCCCTTCTGAGACCTCTCTCCTCTACATCAATCCTCTCCTCTCATTCCATTTCTCTCAAAAGGATTCTGGATGGTCGTTCCTTCCAAAGATAGTGGGACCCCAACTTGCCTGATAAGGACCAGTTCCTCCAGAGCTGTGCTTAGAAAAGACACTGATAACCAGCGACTGAGAAGAGTCAGGGGAGAAGAAGAAAGTGGCTAACACGTCCTGCAGGCTGCCTATATGCCAATAATTCAGGTAAGCCTTGTTTGTGGAGTTTTCAAAGTCAACTCTCTTCCCTACAACCCTTTGAGATAGGGACAATCACCAGCCTCCTTTTCCAGAGGTAGAAATTGTCTCATAGAGCAGTGAAAAACCTGCCTCGGGGCAGGTTATGAGCATGAGGCAGTATCAGGGTTCACACCCAGCCCTGCGTGTCCCCAAGGCCTGTGCTATTTCTACTGCCGCACACAGTCTTCTTGGCTCAAGAGGAAGACGAATTTGGGTAAAAAATGAGCAAGCAAAAAATGAGAATCCCCAAGAACTGACACTGGAACTATTTTAAAACTCCAGACCGAGCTGGTCAGACTCCATGGGAGGAGAGCCGCCAATGGGATAAGAGACTGTTCCAAACAACACCCTGGTTCCTGGTCAGAGCGGCCCGGATCCCAGGGCCATTAACATCATCCATTTCAAAAATACATAAATAAAATAGAGAAGTGTTCCGAGTTAGAGATGACAAGCTCCTGACAAGCACATTTCCAGGACAGAGGAAGAAAGAATGTTCCATATTTTAAGAGGTGGAAAGGAGGGGTGGTGTCAGGCAGTGAGGAAAAGAAGGGGCAAAGGAAAGTGTTCATCACTTTTAAAGAATGTCAGCTGATTTGTCAGCTCTCAGTGTTAATTGCTTTCAGGATTCCATAAAACATTTCATTGCTGTCTACATAATGGGGCTGCAGGATTCCAGTCCAGCTGACATCAAGCCCCTACAGCGTCACCCAGAGACAGGGTTACTCCTTCTGTATTAGTGAATAGGAATCACCCGACAGGATTCTGTCGTTCCCTGTTAGATGCTGTATCTCCTATCATTTGGTGGATGGATGGGAGAAAGTTGAAATTATCACAAGGGCAACAACAGCAACATTGATAATAGCTAACACTTCTTAGGCTTCTACTGGAACCTCATCACTAGAGAGCTTTTGTCCATGATCCCTTCAAGTCCTCCTGGGGTCCCTGTGAGCCAAACACCACATTATCCACATTTTCAAAGAGAAGGAATTGGAGGCTCAGAGGGATGGGCAGCTCACTCAGCATCACAGAGCTGATAAAGGACAGGGTCAGGATTTGAATCCAGGTCTGTGTGCCTTCAGTCTATAACCCTAAGGAGGGGAGAAACCAGAAGCCATCTATCAGAAAATCTTTTGAAAATGCCATTCACTTTCTTCACAGAATTATAGTTTTCAGAGTTAGAGAGGACTTAATCGCTCTTAATGTAGTCACATACTTGTGTTTCACCTCACACATGCAGTTGTCCCAGAGCCCAAGGTGTTGGTGAGTGCTTACTGCTTAAGAGTGTGTAGAGTTGTGCTCTCAAAGTCAGTCCCCAGTCCCACCACTCACCATGAGGATGGTGGTCATTCTTTAAGGCCTAAGGTACATCTTAAAACCTTAGTAAAATTTGCCCAGATGTCCCACTGGAAGACGTGGAATTGCATATTTACTTTGAAGATTCCATTCCTAGAGCATTCACTGCCCCCCAGGTGACTTAATATAAAGCTTGGGTCCCAACATCTAAGAGATAGTCAGTTGCAGAGCCAGGGGCAGAAGACTCAATTGCCAGCTTTTGGTGATATTCTTGAGTTTGGTGACCCAACACATTGGTTGTTACCAAGGAGTGTGAATATCTCAAGTGTTCAAAAGGGTGAGGAAGAGGCAGGGAGAGGAAGGGGAAAATGGGTTGTGCTTTGAGGTAAGCAAGGTTCACAGATTGTGGAAGGACTAACACTTACTGAGCACATGCTTGGAGATACCAAGCCAGGGTGTTTCTTGTTTAATTATCACACAACTCTACAAGGTGGGTTTTATTATTTGTTTTACAAAGGCTTTATAAGAGACCTATAGGGGTAAAGCAACTTACCTAAAGTCACATAACTAAAAATGTCAAAGCCAGATTTGAATCCATAGTCTGTGGCCTTTCTTACAATTATTAGGTTATGTTATCTGAGGATAGGACTTCTGTCTTAGTCTCATTCATATCCACAGTGCTTAGCGCAGAACCAAAACACAAGAAATACTCAGCAAATGTCTAGTGAATAAGTAAATAAGTTATGAATTAGTAAATGAATATGTGAATGAAGTAATTGATGAATGAATAAATTAATGTAATGAAGGAATGTAAGAGCAGGTGAATAGATGGATGAAGAGACGAATGGATGGAGGGAAAGAGGGAAGAAGGGCAAGAGGGAGGGATAAATGGAAAATAGATGAATGTTTGGGTAGACAGATAGTTAAATGGATGAGTGAATGAATCCCTGAGTGTCTAAATACAGTAATAAATAAATGAGTTGAATAACTGGTGAATAAAGCTCAACTTCGTAACAACTTCAGCTTTCTAACTTGACAAGGGAGGTGAGCTATCATTCCATAATTGGGGTACATAAGGAGAGGTGGTCTATAAAGCTCTATGTTATAGCTTATGATGGTTGCATCTAGATCTAAAAACAACACTCATTGAGGTAGGAAATAAAAAGTAACAAATGAGCTCCTTTTCTCTTCCAGGCTAACAAATGAAGCTCAGAGTGACTGCCTCTTGCATCTCCAGAAGTTTGAATGCAGTGACTCCAATGAACTCTACAAAGGAGTGATAATTGCACTATTTTTAAAAGGCTGGCTGGATCTATTAATAAAAAAGTGTATATTGTATATATATATCAGCATATATATCTCAGTATGCGTATTTCAGTCTGTATGTGTCTATATATCAGATATACTAATATAATATTTAAAGAGAAGAAAGGATACAAGAGGTAAAAGATCACTAGGCAGAGATCCCTGACCCAACCATCCTTGATAACTTCATCTGTGCTCTTGAGTAAGCCCTCTTCTCTCTCTGAGCTACAGATTTCTAATCAGTAGAAGGAATGGTTTTAAATTTCTGGCCTCTCTGGGCACTTCAGGACTCACCTGGTGTGATTCTGTGATCCATTGTGGCATACTTCTCAAATGGACACTTCTAAACCTTAGAATCTCAAGTTGCACATACAGGCTAGCTAATAAAACATTTGGCTGGCCTGCACAGAATAACTCATGCCATTCCTCTTAGGCTTAAAATCATCCTGTCTGCCTCATGATCCCCACACACCCAACACATCTTACTTGTAGAGACCGTCGGGCTCCAGACACTTGAAGATGACTGAGTAGATACTGACTTCAGGGACCTCTCCATGGCTTCGACCAGCTGCTACACAAGATGTGCCCAGGCCAGAGAGTAAGTCATCAGCAAAACTCAGGAATTCTCCTGGAGGGAGAAAAAGAAAGATGAGCTCCCCAGCTCAGGCCATAGTGAGGAGACGTTTTTGCTGTCATCCAAACCTATCAAATGTCTTGATACCATTATCAAGAAAAATAATGGATAGAAAAAGCAAAAGATATGAAAATGAAACAGATTTGTATTTAGCCTTGATGACTCTTTGTTCATATTTATGCGCAATTTTTTCATCCATAAAGTGGAAACACTAATACCTACCTTTATAAGATTGTAGCAAGACTCAAATGAGGTAAATTATTGTGTAATAAAAATTTATGAAAAGGTAGCAAGGATATTATGCTTTTTTTTTTCTGTAACTATTCTGGCCTTGTCACTGTTATTCACTCCCTGTTAACTCCTTGAGCAAAGCTCTTCTCTCTTAGAATTGCATTTTCCTTCTTTGTATAATGAAGGAACTGGACTAAAGATGTAAAATAATTTTCATGTCAAATTGCCACTGTTAGGCATGGGTACTGGATTCATGGAGTGTTATAGTGAGATGGACAGAGACCAGCTAAGGAGTAAAGAGTTCTGTGATTGATTAGTGATGAAGGTCATGGAACCTTCACCATGTACAGGATGTACATGATGTCATGGAACGTTCACCATGTACAGGATGGAACAATGGGAGACTATGTGCCACATATTTGTGATCCTCAAACTCCATCACTTCTTTAATTTACTTTAAATCTAACCATTGGATTTTAAGAAGTAGTGGAAGTTTACTAGAAACAGAACTAATAAAGAAGTCTAGGAAGTAAAGAAAACTAGAAAGAATAACTGAACATCTAGACTCTTGGGATCTAGTCTTAGTTCTGTTGAGAATTTGCTGTATAGTCTTGGGCAACTAAATCCTCATTTTTTGTGCTTCAGTTTTCTCCTCTGCATGGTGAAGGTGCCAGAATCATTGTTAGGATTCTTGAAAAAAATAAAATAAAAATACAGATATGAACAAAAATTAAGTTATAAGGATAAACATCGCAGTACTATTTATACTAGCAAGAATGTAGAAACAGCTAAATGTCCAACTACATAGAAATGGCTATATCAATTGAGTTCAATGATGCAATAGGCTATTTTATAGTCATTAAAAATAATCTGTGAAAGAATATGAAAGGATATTTATGACATAATGTGAAGTTAAAAACAGGTTACACTATTACAAAATAATCTCATTTTTGTAGAAATTTTATATGCACATGCATTTAAAAACAGAAGGAAGAAAATAAAAACAAATGTTTAAGGTGGACTGTCTGGAGAGTGACATAATGGGCACTTTTTCTATCTTATTTTTGCTTATCTCTATTTTAAAAATTATCTTCAATAAACATATATTGCTTTTGTAACCCATAAAAATATCAATAAAAATTACTTAAAAATAGATAAAGTAAATGGGCCAGACTAAATGGCCTCTAAGTTCCCCTCTAATTCTAAAATTGGATGATCTAGGAAAAAAACTGACATATGAGGTATTTTTATACCGCACAGTATAAAATGATATGAGGCCTCTCAACTGTTGTTTTCTTCTTTTCTTCATGCCTGATAGAGAGTTCCTCAGAGCTCTATTCATGTACAGCCCCACTAATAAACCAGAAAAGGGTGCCAGCTCCATTACATCCTCTCTACCTGGGGTTAAGAACAAGACAATGTCATGAAACCATAAAAGAACAATAGTGTTGGCTCGTGTTTCAGAAGATTAGGACTCAGAGCAGCTTGGTGGTGCTTCTCTACCAAGGAACTGGTTGAGCAGAATATACAGATCACTTCCTGTTGGTCTTTCAAAGAAAAGTTTCATTCTTTATTTTATTTATTTATTTATTTTTTAATTTTAATTTTAATTTTTTTGAGACAGGGTCTCATTCTGTTGCCAAGTCTGGAGTGCAGTGGTGCAACCTCAGCTCATTGAAGCCTCTGCCCCGCAGGCTCAAGAGGTCCTCCCACCTCAGCTTCCCAAATAGCTGGTACTACAGGCATGCACCACCACACCCAGCTGACTTTTGTATTCTTTGTAGAGATGGGGTCTTACCCTGTTGCTCAGGCTGGTCTCAAACTACTGAGCCTTGGCCTCCCAAAGTGCTGAGATTATAGGCATGAGTCACTGTGCCTGGCCCAAAAGTTTCATTCTTAAAGAAAAACAGTTTTAAAAAGAAGAGTTTCATTCTTCGTCTCACAAGTGAATCTTGCAAGACTTATCTGACTGAATTGGCCAGATGGCCCTGGGATTCAGCCGAACAACAGTTCTAGAAGGTATTTGCTCCTTTAGTCCAATAGAGCAGGTCTTGATGGGTACTGTTTCTTGGTTTCTATTTTTCACGAAGACAATACATGGTTCATAGACTTGACGCGTAGATGCTAGATTTAGGATCAAGTGTCTAAATCAGGGTAGTGTTGGCAACAGGCAATTTCAGCTGCCACTGCAAGACAGACCTGAGACTGAGTACTAATTCCACCATGGGCTGCAAGTCCTTAAACTTCTCAATGTCTCCATTTTTCTTTTTGTTACAAGGAGTTAACAGCACTCTCATGCATTTGGAGTCTACAGAGTAAAGCCAAGGGTCTAGAAAGAAACAAAGATGCCTAGAACCAGAGGTTTGTCTGGAAAATGAAGATGTGAATGAATCTTTTATTCAGCATAATTTTGGCATCCCACATTTCTTCTGTAGGCCTCTTATATCAGTTTCTTTCATAGTACAACCAGAAACTAACAATATGTCCATTTCAAAAAATATCACAAATTCCAGAGCAATGTATGTGATAAAAAGTAAAAAAAAAAAAAAAAAAAAAAAAAAAAAAAGGGGGCATTGGTGGTGAGGGTGAGGGTAGGGGAGAGAAAAGACATGAGATTATTCACTAGATGGAGTGAGGGTCTTATTTCACTTGGGTACTCAGGATTCCAAGTCTGGCTACATGTGTTTGTTTTCTTTGAGCTTGGGTCCATGTCTGTCTGCTTTTCAATTTGTTTCCAGATAGCCAATGAGAGAGCTGGATCTTCATGAGTGTATTAGTCATTATCACATTGCTATGAAGAAATACTTGAGACTGGGTAACTCATAAAGAAAAGGGATTTAATTGACTCATGGTTCTGCATGGCTAGAGGGGCCTCAGGAAACTTACAATCATGGCGGAAGGCACCTCTTCACAGGGTGGCAGGAGAGAGAATGAGTGCCCAGGGAAGGGGGAAATAGCCCCTTATAAAATCATCAGATCTCATGAGAGCTCACTTACTATCACGAGAACAGCATGGGGTAACCACCCCCATAATCTAATCAACTCCCTCGAGGTCCCTCCCAGGACACATGGGGATTATGGGAACTACAATTCAAGATGAGATTTGGGTGAGGGTACAGCCAAACCATATCAATGAAGGAACTCAGTATGTTTGTGGCCTGTGTTAATTACCTGTCTTGAGATGAAAAGATGGCTGATATTCATTTTCAAATGGGAATAGCTTTCCAGATAGTTCCATGAATTTCAGAATAATTGGGACCATGGATACAAGCCCCATAAACATGTCAGGTCAGTAAGACTGGCATGATTCTATGTTCTGAAAAATTCTAAGGTTTGCAGGTTTAATTCAAGTGAAGGAACTGGCTCACCTGCAGTATATGCAGTATAACTAGTCATACCAAGATCATTATAAGGATATTTAGTGCCCAGTTCTATTCACAACTGTATGAATATAATCATCTTCAAATGAGAAAGTTAAAAGGAAGGCAACTGACATCTAGTACTTATTTTTCTTTTTTCCATTTAATCCTCACAGCAATCTAACAAGTTAGATTTTATCTTCCCCATGGTAAAGCTGAGGTTAATGTTGCAGTTAAAAAGGAAGATAGCTGAGATTAGAACCCCTATTTTTTCAGTTCCAAAGACATACCTTTTCTTTTATACTATGCTGCCTCCTAGAGAAAGTTTGAAAATGATAGTATTAGAAAGGGAGGTTTCTCAATGCTATTCAATTTGCAATTGAATTCCCGCCACACTCTTAGCTTGAGGAATGAGACAATAAAAGAAATGGTCCCTGACCTTCTACAGCTTGTAATCTGACAACAGGAAGGGTTGTTAAATACAAGAACAAACCTATAAAGTAAACTGTAAGATAGCTTTTTTTGGCACTGGATTTCAGAAGGTTTAAATGCAATTTAGATGAAGACAGGTGAATGAAGTAATCCCCCAGTGTTCTTCCTCACCCAGTGGAGGGGGTACTAAGAAAGGCATGGGGGCTTCTCTATGCACAAATGAAAATCAATGCAATTCAACACATGTATTTTAGTTCCACAATATAACATACTCTGCATCTGGCAACCATACAATTGAATGAGCAATAATATACAGAGCAGTGGTTAGGAGCCTGGGCTTTTAAGTTTACTCTGCCTAAGATTAAATCCTAGTACTCCACTTACTGCTTGTCTTGGACAAGCTCCTTAACTCTGTACATCTATATTCTTATATGTAAAATGAGGAGAATAATAGTATCTAACTTAGACAGTTGCAAACATCATATAAAATACTGTATACTGGAACACAGTAAGAGCTTAAAATGTGTATCAACTACTACTGTTTTTGTTTTTCTCTCTTTTTTTTTTTTTTGAGAAAAAGTCTTTCTCTATTGCCCAGGCTGGAGTGCAGTGGCATGATCTCAGCTCACTGCAACTTCCACCTCCCGGGTTCAAGCAACTCTCCTGCCTCAGCCTCCCGAGTAGCTGGGATTATAGGTGCCCACCACCATGCCTGGCTAATTTTTGTATTTTTAGTAGAGACAGGGTTTCACCATGTTGGCCATTCTGGTCTTGAACTCCTGACCTCAGGTGATCTGCCTGCTTCAGCCTCCCAAAGTGCTGGGATTACAGGCATGAGCCACTGTGAGAGCCTTGTTTTTCTTATTCTTGTTTTCAACATAACAGAGTAGAGATAAGGACTCTTAAAGATATCTTTTCATCCAAGCTTCTCTTTTTACAGGTGACAAAACTGAAGATCAGAGAAGGACAGTGACAGGTCCATGCCCATACACTCAACAGGAGGAGATTTGGAACAAAAACTTGGTGCCTTGACTCCTGGAGTCTCGGAGATAACTTGTACCAGCCAACTTATGAGATAAAATCACTGAGAATTTAAAATCTCTCAAAGCTAACACAGGAGCCCTTCCTCCCCAATTTCTGACCACTTTATTCAACATGAATGTGATATACAGTCCCTGGGCAATTACTACGCACCAGACACTGTGCTAGGTACATGGTTCCACCTTGCCATCTTCTTAAGCCTGGAATTTCTGAGAAAGACACAAAGTCTCCAAGAGATAGGAGTTTAGTACATTTCTAATATGTCATATATTTTAACAGTGGTTTGCAGATTATAACATAGAGAACTCCAGGGGCAAGGATGAACACTAACAGGAGAGAGATTGGGGCCAGTCTTCCATATACTCACACTAACCTTCAACTAGATCAACTCTAGTTTGATCTATTTTATATACTAGCGGTCCATGTTTTTATTTAGTTTTTTACAAAACTGTTTATAAAAGTTGGTTTTAAAGTTTTATTGCTTAAAGTGTTTGAATTCCAGAACTGTGCTGTATTCTCTGATAGAAATACAGAGGCTTGGGAATGCTACACCTTAATTCAAGGATTTGCAGCTACTCAGGGGCAGAATCCAGAATCAAGCCCCACTGTCTTGCATCTGAGCCCCATGCACCTTTCACTAGGCCACTCTACCTGGGAGGCCTCTGCTCCGTCCTCCCTGGTACCTTGTTAGGGGCTTATGGTAGAACCCTCCTAGAACCCAGGCTGCTGCTTCTGCCTCGCCCAAGTTCGTCCAAGTCTCTAACATTCTTTTCCTGTTTTTCTTTCCTTGAAAACAGATAGGGAGTTGGGAGTCGCTGTACAGGAATGTGCCTGTTCCCCATTACAGCTCTTCTGGGGCTGTAACCCGAGTGGGCTGGGGCCAGACCCCCACACATTTCTTTATCCACTCAGACTCTAGCCTTGCTCTCATTACCTTCCACAGAAAATGTTAATCATGATTCTGCTGCAGCTTCAGAATCAACCCAACAAAGCATGGATCAATTTTTCTAGAGGCCCCACCCCCTATTCCTCAATTCCCTCTCCCTCTCCTTTCAGCAGTCCCTCAATCCTCCTCCTTGTTTCCCCTCTCTCTCTCTTTCTCCCCTCACCCTCTTGCTTCTGAATGAGTTGAGGTCACCGTCAAAGCCGGCCACATGAGCAAATTGAAAACAGGTTGGGAGAAAAGCAGAAAAGAAATTCCAGAATGGAAGGAGCAGTGGGAGTGGGGGGATGTGGGGGTGGGGACGGCAAGTTTTTTAGCCCAGGTGAGGAGAAAGGTCCCCAGCTCAGGGCTCCACACTCTTTTCGGGAAACACCAAGAGGATTTAGGAGTCGTCACTCTGGGCCTGGCCTCTCTAACCTGCAGATGCTCTTTGTCATGGTGCCCAGGGAGAAGCAGAGCTCTCTCTGCATTTCCTTTACTTGGGCAACTGTAGAAATTCATTATGAGAACTTGTCAGGGACAAAATGCATCTTTAAGGGCCTCATACCTATCAGCTGCAGTTGGTTTGTTTCTTCTGAAACATGGTGTTATTTTAAATCTGAAGAAGCAGTGTGTAGAGATCCTCACCTTTATTGTAATGGCAGTAGGAGGTAGTAGAAAGAGAGTGGGTTTTGGGGAGCAGATGACACCTAGTTTTGAAGCCAGACCTACCACTTATGAACTATATTATGTAGAGATGGATGATTAAACTCTCAGAGACTGCTTCTTCATCTGAAAAGATGATCCTATCAATTTCAGAGAGTCAGGTGAGGATTGAGTAAGAGAATATTTATAATATGTCTGATACATGAATAGCTTACAAATGTTAGTGCCCCCCTCACCCCTGCTCCCTCAGGTCTGAATAATTTGTCTGATGGCAAAATTTTTAGTTATCACGCTCAGTTGCTTTTAGGTGCATTACATCATATCTAACTCCCTAAAACCTTCCTGTTTTTTTGCAAAAAGAAGACATTTTGAATGGAAGGAAGGAATGAAATAAGAAACAAAGAAAGAAAGGAAGCAAAAAGAGGGAAATAAAAATGTTATTTGGCTTTTATTACATGGCATCAACAACGCTAGACATTTTTACTTATATTGTCTTGGTTAAATATTCAAAACAATCCATCTTGCTTAAAATTCGATAAAACCTAATGAATTCAGTGAATTGTGCTTTTGCAGATGAGGAAACAGTTTCATCTGTAAATAACTTTCTCACAAAAATCTACCTAGGAATGTCAGAGTAAAGGCTGAAGTCAGGACATTCAGCACCCAAAGTCTGTGCCTTTCCTACTGCACATTTCCCTCCAGACTGCGAGATGCCTGGGGTGGGAATTCTGTTTCAGTCACCCTTGTGTTACTGGTGTCCAGCATAGGGCTGATGATGAAGCTATTTACTGAAGCCTGTGAAACTGAACTTCAGTGGTTGAAGCCTGGATCTGCTCCTATTTACTCGACATCAGCACCTGGCATTAGAACTCTCTCTTGGGATAGCCAGGCTGCCTCCTGCATAACCTTTCAGGAGTAAATAGGACACAAATAATACAGGAAAGGAGGAAATGACGTAAAGATAAGGGCTCCAAAAAAAGGGAATAGTGATCTAGCAAATACCTACTGAGAGTTTCTGTGTGCCAGGCATCGTGCTGAGACTTCAGGCTCATCCTCATGCCTGCCCTCTAGTGGACACCTGTTGGTTTGACTGGCTATAAAGGCATGCCTCTTTCTACCAACAGCACCTGAGTTTTCCTTTGGGGAACCAGCTCTCCCCCAATCTCAGTCTAAACAATTTAGGTAGAGCTAAGGCCCCTTTTATCCTTCAGAGACTGGCATGTGATCGATGGCCAGCCATTTCATGTCAAAGGTCAAAAAGACAAGTGACCTAGGCTTAATCAATCAGACTAACTCCAGGTACAGACACCAACCAAGTTCTGATGACATTATTTGAAGCCCTGGACCCAGTTGTGTCTGAGGCCTAGATCTACCCTTGGGTATTTCAGATACATGAGTTAGTATTTTTGCATTTTTGCAACTTTCCATTTGTTTTCTGTTCCTTGCAATCAGGAGTCCTCTCAAATACAAATCCTATGAGGTATGTTTTATGATTGCCATTTTATAAATGAAAAAATAATGCTCACAGATCTAAATCAAGTAGTCCAAAGTCATACTCCATCTAAATAAGAAGGCTGGAATTCAGATTCAAAGCTGTCAGACTCCAAAACCCGAGCCTTTCCTATCATAAAACGCTGCCTAGGGTGAGGGATACAAAGACTACTAATTAACAAGAATTCACGGGGTATCTCCAGTGTCCTGCTTCCTCGGGCCCCTTCTTCCTCACTTCCTGGGCTCCTTTCCTCACTCACGCATTCCAGCCATGCAGACATTCTTCCTCCTCCTCTAACATGCCAAACATACTCCCACCACAGGGCTTTTGCACCTGTGGTTTCCATGGAGCCTTCTTCCCCTTGTCGTTGTATGGCTTACTCCCTCTCCTTTCCCAAATCCTTGCTCAAATGTCACTTGCTCAGAAAGGCCTTCTCTGGCCACTCAGTCTACAGGAGCATCCACTATCACCCTTTACCCTCTTAACCCATTTATCTTTACAAAATTTATCACTGTCTCTCATATATTGATGGATTGATATATTGCCTGTATCCCCTGCTGTAAACCCTGTGAGTAAGAGAATTTGTTCACTTAGAATGGTGTCTGTACACAGTAGGTTTTCCATAAATATTTATATAGTGAGTGAATGTATCTGTTGTGTGCTTCAAACTGAGCTGATGGCTGGGAGCACAAGCATAAAGAACACTTTCGTTTGAATTCCCTGGAAAGCAGAGCTTAAGAACAATGGCTTGGGTGCAGAAGGTTTATTTGGGAGGTGATTCCAGGGAGCAGGTATGGGGTAAAGGGCAGAGTAAGACAGGGAAGAGAAAAAGTCAATATAAAGGTATATCTTCAAGTTTGCTACTGTACATGATGGGACCTAATTCTGCAAGACCCTTTTAAGGAGGGAACAAGATACCCCCCAGAACTGTTTGGCTGGAAGTCGGGGAGATGGGGCACTTATCTACCAATTCCTGATTCCCATTGGTTGGGTCCTGTTTTAGTCTATTCTCATGCTGCAATTAAAGACATATCTGAGACTGGGTAATTTATAAGAAAAAGAGGTTTAATGAACTCACAGTTCCACATGGCTGGGGAGGCCTCAACATCATGGTGGAAAGCAAAGGAGGAGCAAAGGCACGTCTTACGTGGTGGCAGGCAAGAGAGCTTGTGCAGGGGAACTGTCCTTTATAAAACCATCAGATCTCCTGAGAATTATTCACTATCATGAGAACAGCACAGGTAAAACCTGCCCCCATGATTCAATTACCTCCCACCAGGGTCCCTCCCATAACACATGGGGATTATGGGAACTATAATTCAAGATGAGACTTGGTTGGGGACACAGCCAAACCATGTCAAGTCCTTCACCCAGGAGTGTTATTTCCCCACACTTTTTTAAAGTTGTACTTGCACACTGGCCTAGGGAGCTCCTTCAATCTCTCATAAGGCTGTGGGGCAGAAAGTGCAAGTGTGCATCTGAGGTCACTGGCAGCACAAAGTGAGCCTGAGTGTGCACAGAGCTGCTCACCACAGCTGCAGCTGAAATAGCCATGGGCCAAGAGGATATGGCATGGCCCCAGAGGCATCTGCTATAAAGATACAGTCTCTGCCTTTAAGGAGTTTGTAAAAAGAGCAACTGACTTGTCTTCCTTCTTGAGGTCTAGGACAAACTTGTTAGCCTCACTGTTCAAAGAGTTCACAAGCAGTTATCGAACACCCTCTAGGCGCCAGGGAAAGGACTACAACTGTGGTCACAGCTCTGACCCACAGGAACAAAACCTCTTCCCTGTGATGCTCACAGTTTTGCAAGGGAGAACGGCAAGGACTGCTTTTACGTGCAGCCAACCAAGGAGTCCTGCAACTTATGATTAATACTGAATTTAATAGTATTAACCTCAACATTAATATGCACTTGGCTTATAAAGCCTTCCTTTTTCTACTGCTGGATTAATTAGAGCCATAAAAGCCCTCGTCATCCCCACTGTCTGGAGGACAAATGATGCTAATGCATTTGGCTGCAGCGGGTATTGCTAACATGTGTGGGGAAAGCTGATTTGGGGACCAGGCTGGGGAGAAGGGGGAGGGATGAAGGAAGGCCAAGTTCTCCTCCCCCCCAATCACTCTTTAAGGACCACAGTGTGAGTTCACTGCCTTTGAAGCACTCATCCATGGAGGGTTTTCTTTTACTTTTTTCCTTTTTAAAATTCCATTCCCAAATGTTATATCATTGTAAAGTGGAAAGAACCAACTGTACGATGTGCTTCCTATCAGATTCTCAGTTCCCCTAATACTTCCAACTTTCTCTGGGCCAAACACTTCATTCAACATCTCCCTCTCTGTACAAAAAGGCAAAAACCACGAGGTTGCTGACGGTGGGCCCTAGGAGCCCCTCTGTCCACAAATGTGATGAAAAAGCATAGTATCTGGCAGGGTTGAAGTTATGATTCTTATTTTGTGAAGAAGAAAAAAGAGGCTCAGAGAGTTAAGGCAAGCCTTCCAAACACACAGCTACTACCCAGCAAAGCTAGAACTTGAACCCAGGTTGATCCAATTCCAAAGCCTGTTGTTTTTCCACCACAACAGGCACTTCTTAATTGCTCTGTCTCTGTGAACTTCAGTCTCCTTGTCTCTAAAATAAGGATATCAGGGCCAGGCACAGTGAGTGTCCCATGCCTGTAATCCCAGTTCTTGGGGAAGCTAAGGCAGGAGGATCACTTGAGGCCAGGAGGTCAAGATCAGCTTGGACAGCATAGCAAGACCCCATCTCTAAAAAAAAACAAAAAACAAAAAACAAAAAACAGCCAGGTGTGGTGGCATGTGTCTGTAGCCCTAGCTATATGAGAGGCTGAAGTGGAAGGATCACTTAAGCCCAGGAGATCAAGGTTGCAGTGAGCTGTGACTGTGCCACTGCACTCCAGCCTGGGCAATAGAGTGAGACCCTACCTCAAAAAAAAAAAAGGAGGATGTCAGTATCTACTCTACAAGAAAGTGAAGAAGAGTACATTAAATCCATTAAAGGATTTATAATCTGCAAAACATGATGTATATGTCAGTAGATGTTGCTAAGGAAAATTCACACAGTGCCAGGTAAGGTAATAAAAATGCCAGGTCAGTACTTCTGATACATATGCCAATGTTCAGCTCCAAGGACATAGCAGGGCACAAAAAATGTGATAGTGAAGGATCTTTAATAACCTGGAAACATAGCCATCTTAAACAAAGCAGAATTTGAATGCCAATACACTAACTCACTTCACACACGAAGAAAAAAGTTGGGGTATGAGGATGCTATGCTGCAGGAAAATGTATTCCTGAGATTAGAGCTTCCATAACTCTTCCCTAGTTCTCTAAAGAGCTGGCTGCTTCTGTTCCATCATCTCAGCTGAAGTTCCATCCCTTTAGAATCCTCTGCACCACCCCGACTAATGCAAATCCAAACTGCCCACTCTCAGTTATGCCCCACCAGAGAACTCTTGATTTTATTCCAAGCACTAGTGATAATTTGTAGTTACTGTGTTTGTCACTTTATTTACCTCTTTATTTGCTTTTTATTACTAAAATATTAATTCATGAGTTTAGAAGCCTTGTCCATGTTGTTCATGATTTCCCCAGTGTCTAGCAGAGTGTGGGGGGCACAGTAGCTATTCATTAAAGGTCGATTGAATGAATCAAGGCAGGGATGATGCCGGAGAGGTACTCATGACTCAGTCAAGGTTTTGTAAACACGTGTGGACAACTAATGTTCATCCCTTAAGTTTTTGCTCATACCCAATGTCTTTCAAAAAGCTCTTCTTGGTCACTCTTTGCCTTCACCTGGCAAAGTTTAGGGCCCCTCAACTGAGTTCCCACAGCTCCCTGTGTCCCTCTCTATTATAGTCCATAACTCATTGTCCTGTAATTACATATGTAGTTGTCTTCCTCCCCTCATGCACTGGGAGGATTATGGTAAGGTACCTGGCCTGTCTTAGTCACCACCTGAGCCCTAGTGCCTAGGCTTATGCAGAACAAGTGAGTCAATGAATAAGCATGGCTTCCTTTACCTGCTGGAAGAAAGCCCATGGGGTGGAAGATTGGGGGGATGCTAGGACCTCATTATGCATCAACCTTGGAGTTGTGTTGGAAACAGCAATCCCATGAGGCCACTGGGTCTTATGTAAAAGAGTACTGAGTAGAGATTCAGGGGACTGGTCAGTGCCCCTACCTTCTTATGAGATTCTGTACGAATAAGTTCATCTCCTCATCCACCAAAGCACAGGACCATAATAAAAAGAATGCTCATCAAGTTCTCCACCAGCCTTTACCTGATTCAGTCTTGCAACCCACCTAACTCCTGTTTATTTTCCTCTATATTTCTCTATCACTTTATCTATCTGCCAGACACCACACCCCAGGAAATCTCCCTAATTGATATGATTGCTTATTGATGCCTGACGAACCCTGGAGTTTCTGCCCAGCCTCACCCTTTGCTACAGCACCTCAGCCACCCACACTGGTTACCCATTAACCCTTTGACTCTACTATCCCTGTGCAGTGAGGATTGCTCTTCTCTTTCCACTGCCCTCTCCTTTTGTAAAACCCTTTTTAGTTTACAATGTATGCCTCCACCACCTCATTAAATTTAAGCTTCACAAGTGCATGATGAGGTGGGCACAGCACAATGGAAGTGAAAATTTCCATTTAGGGGAAGGTGAATCTCCGGAAAGGAATGTGGGTAGCTGAAGAGGTACTGGAACCAGATCACACATTTCTAACCCCTGATCCCGTGCTGCTGTAGCTATAGCTTGTGCTCTTGTCTTCTCATCCAGGCTGTGAGCTGAGCCATGACTAATACAGGCTTACAGCCACCCCCTGCAGTGGCTAACAAGGAACCCACCCTTACTGTGTCCCTCCAAACATGTTAGGCAATTCAATTCACTAACATGCTGATATCAAATCTCCTTTGAGAGGGAAAAGCAGCAGAACAGACAATATTGTGCTCAGCCCTGGGTTTGAATTCTGGCTTTGCTAAATGATTCTAAGCAAGTGACGTCATCTTTTTAAGCCTCATTTTCCACATCTGTAAAATGAATGTGAAAATATCTATCTCTAGGGAATCAATGAACTCAAATAAGAATTAATTTAGATAGTGTATGGGAAGCACCTAGCACATTGCCTTGCGTATGGTAAATAATAAACAGCAGCTTTGCTATTATCACTGTTATTTTAAAAAATACCAATTCATGAAACACTTTGTGTGGTGTAAGCAGAAAGGAAAAACTCAACAAACTAGGGAAAGTGAATTATCCTCATGTATTTAGCACTTTTTGATCCTCCCAAACCAGAACTGCACAAACTATGTGTCCCAAGATTAAAAACAGCTGAATGCCCAAACTTCCCTCCCTTTTCTAAATATACACCTCAAAGCCTGCCATTAACTAATAGCTGGGATATCTTCAGTAGATAAGGGAGACTATTTGTCTTTCTTCTTCTCCCCTAGGGTGGGAGAAGAACCCAAGCTCCAAACCCAAGTCTGACCAGGACTCCCCAAAGGCAATCTCTGGGAACCCAAAAGCACCAGTGGGGTGTTTGGTTTTTTGTTCTTGCGATAGTTTACTGAGAATGATGATTTCCAATTTCATCCATGTCCCTACAAAGGACATGAACTCATCCTTTTTTATGCCTGCATAGTATTCCATGGTGTATATGTGCCACATTTTCTTAATCCAGTCTATCATTGTTGGACATTTGGGTTGGTTCCAAGTCTTTGCTATGGTGAATAGTGCCGCAATAAACATACGTGTGCATGTGTCTTTATAGCAGCATGATTTATAGTCCTTTGGGTATATACCCAGTAATGGGATGGCTGGGTCAAATGGTATTTCTAGTTCTAGATCCCTGAGGAATCGCCACACTGACTTCCAGAATGGTTGAACTAGTTTACAGTCCCACCAACAGTGTAAAAGTGTTCCTATTTCTCCACATCCTCTCCAGCACCTGTTGTCATAGGTGGGAATTGAACAATGAGAACACATGGACACAGGAAGGGGAACATCACACTCTGGGGACTGTTGTGGGGTGGGGGCAGGGGGGAGGGATAGCACTGGGAGATATACCTAATGCTAGATGATGAGTTAGTGGGTGCAGCGCACCAGCACGTCACATGTATCCATATGTAACTAACCTGCACATTGTGCACGCGTACCCTAAAACTTAAAGTATAATAATAAAAAAAAAAAACAGCACCAGTGGGATTGAATGAGGTCCTGAGCCCATCCCATTCCCCAAACTCAGTTCTCCTCCATACTCGCACTTGCACACACACACAAAAAGCATATCCCCCTCCCCACTCCATCCCTGGAGGCAACAAGCCTCCAGAAGGGTGGGGAGAAGGCCCAAGCAAAGATGAGTCAGGTTTTCTGGTCATGCAAGCAACACCATTTAACCAGGCTGAGGTGAATCATTGAGAAGGAGGTGGGACCTGGGAGGTGGCAGAGAGAGGTAGATTTCCAAATGTGTGTGTGTGTGTGTATGTGTATGCATGCATGTATGTGAGAGAGAGAGACAGAGAGACAGGGACAGAGAGGCAGAGAGACATAGAGACACACAGAGAGAGACAGAGAGAGACACACACAAAAAACAAACACAGAGAGGAGACACACAACACACAGACACAAAGACACACACTCACACACAGAGAGAGGAGAGAGAGAGAGAAATAGAGAAAGAGACCAAGAGAGAACTACAGCCAGAAAATACTCAGAAAGACTGAAGCAGAAACTGAGAGCCACAGTGAGAGACAGAGGAGAAATGGAGAGAGAAAGAGAGAGACATAGATAAGAACACATAGGGCCAAAGACAGAGAACCAGAAATAAAAATGCAGAAAAAAGACAATCAGAGAGAAGTGGATAGAAGGTCAGAGACCTAGAAAGACAGATAGAAATAGAGAGACATAGACAGGAGTTGGTGAGGAGAGAGAGAGAGAAACAGAGAAAATCGGGGTCAGAAAGACCAAGACCAAGGCAAACAAGAAAAACAGAAGGAAGAAAGGAAAGAAGGAAGGAAGGAAGGAAGGAAGGAAGGAAGGAAGGAAGGAAGGAAGGAATGAATGAATGAATGAGGGAAGGAAGGAGAGAAGGAAGGAAGGAAGATGGAAGGAAAGAAAAAAGGAAGGAGGTAGAAAAGAAGAAGAGAATGAAGGAGGGAGGGAGAGAGGGAAGGAAGGAAGATGAAAGGAAAGAAAAAAGAGAGGAAGGAAAGAAGAAGGGAAGGAAGGAGGAAAGGAGGGAGGGAGGGAAGAAAGATGGAAGGAAAGAAAAAAAGGAAGGAGGAAGAAAAGAAGGGAAGGAAGGAGAGAGGGAGGGAGAGAGGGAAGGAAGGAAGATGAAAGGAAAGAAAAAAGGAGGAAGGAAAGAAGAAGGGAAGGAAGAAAGGAAGGAAGGAAGGAGGGAGGAAGGGAAGGAAGATGGAAGAAAAGAAAAAAGGAAGGAGAAAGGAAAGAAGGGAAGGAAGTAAGGAAAGAAGAAAGGAGAAAGGAAGGAAGAAGGAAGAAGGAGGGAGGAAGGAAGGAAGGAAGGGCACGGCAGGACCAGCTAGAAGGGCATCTTCTGGAGATGGATGCCCTTGAGTGACCAGGGAAGCTTTACTTCTGGTCTCACCGCTACTCGGGGCAGATGATCTGGGAGGAGGAGGGGGGGAGAGTGAGAGGGTGACTGGCATTTCCATTCAGCTCCCCTCATCTATCCCTCCCACCCACATATAGAGGTTTTCACTCTATTAAAATGACTCCCTTGCTTCCTCATTTATGTTAAAATTTTCCTTGAAATAAAGAAAAGGAAACAAGGTCACCCTTCAATCCACAATGAAAACTATAAAAGCGTTTTTAGGCTTGGAAAATTTAGCTGGTCAGTTTTTCCTACTGTTTAATAACTGCCTTGGGTTACACTGAATGAGTAAACATGTTTTACAAGCTTCTAATTCATACCTAACCCTATGAGTTCACAGCTTTACATAATATATACACACACATATACTATATATACACACATGCACACATACATACTGCAATGTAAAATATAAACACACATACATACTTAATATATATATGAGTGTGTTCGTGTGGTGTAAGTAATCTTTCCAATTTGTGCAGCTCATTAGGGCTTACAAAGCACGCTCTTTCCTCATTTAATCCTCACGATAATCCTGTGAGGTAGGCAGTTTAGGATTATCATCCCCAGTTTACAGGTACCTGTGGTTAAGGTAGAGAGACCAAGAACCCACAGGTCTCTAAGGCATCACAGTCCATATCACAGTTCTGCTCTCCATAGTCCCAAAGCTGACTTCATGAACTTGGGTAGTGCAGTGCCCACTTCTGGACCTGCAAGGACCCAAAACCATGGGGATCCTGAGGCATCATCTGTTTCAGGGCTTCATTGTACAGACAGGAAAACTAAAGCTCAGACTATTACTGCTAGCCTATAGGGTGCCTCTGTGCAAATTGGAAAAACAATAGAAAAATAAAAATCATCTCTTTCTTAAGATACTTCCCTCCCTTGTTCCAATATTCTGATTTGTTAGAACAAGACACTTGATCAATGATTAATACATGTTTATGATGTCTACAATTGGAATGGTGAGCTTTGGAATGTGGTAGCATTGTGAGCAGCAAAACCTGTGCGACTGCATCTGACATCGCCAGGATGGGGGCCCAACCAAGGTGAGGGCAAAGAGGACGGTAAGGGAGAAAGAAAGAAAGAAGGGAAGGTAAGATGGGAGAGACAGCACCTACTTTCTGAGGTCTAAGAAGAAAACCCATTTTACTTAAAGGACATTGAGATAATAATAATAACTAGTGTTTATTAAGCTCTTAATCTTTTCTGATACTTACAGTAACCCTGTGAGAGTGTTTCATATTGCTAACTACTGCTTGTATTTCTATCTTACACTCTCAAGTAATAATAATATTATTCAGAATAACAGTGACAATTGATATAACTTAAGCATTCACAATGTTAGATACTATGCCTAGTATTTCATGTACTGCATCTCATTTCAGCTTAATAACAATATGCCAGCCTGGGCGACATAGTAAGACCTCATCTCTACAAAAGTACAAAAATTAACTGGGTGTTGTATCGTGCATCTGTAGCTCCAGCTACTCAGGAAGCTGAGGTGGGAGGATCACTTGAGCCTGGGAAGTCAAGGCTGCAGTGAGCCAAGATAGTACCACTGCCCTCTAGCCTGGATGACCAAGTGAAATCCTGTCTCAAAAAAAAAAAAAAAAAAACCCAAAACAACAACAACAAAAAACACAAGTTAGCTTATTTCCCCAAATTTACAAATGAGTATATCAAGATTCAGAGAGATCCACTAACTTGCCTAAGGTCACTTGGTTAAATTGCGCAACTGAGATTTGACTATTATGAGGGAAGAGTAAAGGTCAGACACACTTTCACATCCTCTAAAAGTGACTGAAATGCTTTACATTCTCAATAATTACTAACTATGCTAGCACATCAGAGAACCCTACTTTGCATATGGGGCATCAATATCTCTGACTTCTCATCTCGTGTGCTTTTAGTATCTGATAGTCTACTCATTCCTTTAATCGCTTTGAGGCTACTGATGAATGGAACCATCTAGATCATGAATCCAGGGAGTCTCTGCTCTGTGGAAACAATGTTGGTTCCCGCTCAGCTTTTCCCTGGTGCCCAGCTCGCCTCCCTGTTTCCACCTCTCCCTTACTGGATACCCAATCAATGCAAATGGATCTGAGTAGTCATTAGAATTTATTTTTTAAGAAAAGCAAGGCAAAACCAAACCAAAACCAGAAGTCTGCCACAATATGCAAAGAACCACCTTTGGATTCCAATAAAACTGGGCTTCCTACCTTTAGCATCCTCTTGTGTAAGACAGGAATAAGAAGTATTACCATTTTAATAGAATGTTTCAAGGATTCAATGTGTAAAATATCTGACCCAGTGCTTCTCCTTAATGTATAAAATGTATTCCAAAACAAGAAGTGGCGATGGGTCGGGGGCACTCATGTTGCACTAGAACTTTACAGTGTACCTGGTATTTTCATATCCATCAACTCCTAGGCAATCCAAAGCCTCACTACTGCTCCAGCTAGAGCGCCTTCCCTCTCCCTTTGCTGACTACACTTCAATGACTGTGCCCTCCTTGGTGCTCCTGAGGATGCTCCAGGGGCTTTGCTATTGCTACATCCTCAGTCTGGAGCAGTCTACATTCAGCTAGCCACATGGTTCACTTCCTCCCACTTTCCGGTCTCTGCTCAAACATCACACCCTCAAAGAGGTTTGTCCTGATCACTGTAACTAAATGGTATGCCCCCAACCTCTATCCTCATACCCTATTTTTCTTTCAAACACATAGTACACTTTGACTCTGTATTGCACATCTATTACTTTACCATCATTGCCTCCCAACCCTCTGTACCGGGAACATAAGCTCCATGATAGGAGCTTGTTCAGTGCCTTCTCCTCAGCTTCTGGAATAGTGTTCGGTATGTAGTAGGTGTTCAATAAGTGGTTACTGAATGACTTAACTCATAGTTGTTCATGAAACTCTGAGAGGCTGGCAAGGCTGGCATTCTGATGCACACTTTACATGTGAATAAACTGAGGCCCAAGGAGGTGAAGAAAATTTTCTAAAGTCCTTCAGCTGGTGGATAACAGGAGTGGGACTAGCAAACTGAGCTGCCAGACTCAAATCCAAAGCTCTTTGTATTTCACCAACTTGTATTTCCTATTATTGCTCCCCTTCACCTCCAAGCATGCCCTGGGAAATGGGTGTTATTTGGGATTTTACCTCTTAGGCGGGAAGCCCCAGAGATGGAGGAGTAAGAAGGAGTGACTTCACATGTTCTCCACCCAGACATAGGCCTTGCTAGAGTCCCATGAACAAACTAGAGCTCTGGCCCTCATCTGGGAGCAGGCAGACCAGCCACTAGCAGCCAAAAGGAGGAAGGGATTGATAAATAGAGAGAATGTGGGAGGAGGGCAGGAAGGGGATTGCTGTAGCCATCTCCAACCCCCCAAAAAGTCAGGCAGGAGAAGTCCAATTACCCTTTCAGAGTAATTTCCGCTCTATAAAGTGATGACTTACTTCACCGCCCAGAGGTTTCCATTTGCCAACTGGGGATAGACAAGTCCTGCAGGGGAGGGAGCGACTTACTGACTCTTCAGCTCCCTGGAGGGGAAAGGAACCTGGGCTTGGACGTGGGCTGTGCTCTGACTTGCTTTTTTACTTTGTGACTCACCTGCCCTCTCTGGACCTCAGTTCACTCATCTATTTAAAGAATTCTGAGGCCTAGAAAAACTCTGGGGATTGGTTTAAGGAAGATGGCATAGAAAAAGGCATGTGTCACAGCATGGGCCAAGTGTTGGGTTCCTTGCTATAAGTCAGGCACTGTGCTTGGTGCTCTACATACATAATCGCTTTAACATTCACAGAGATACTGTGAAGCTGGCATTGTGATGCTCATTTTGAAGATGAAGAAATGGAGACGCAACATCAGTGAGCGTCTCCAAACTTACACCAATAGTGAGCAACAGTTTTGAGATTAGGACCCAGAGATATCCAAGCTCTCCATAGTTTGTCTCCCTGAAATGCAGAGTTGAAATATTGTCACCTGACATCCTCAGAGTCAGAGCTGAGGACTTTAAAGACCAATTAAGTGAATCTCCTGTTTTCCAGATGGAGAAACAGGCACAGAAGGGAAAGTGACTTGTCTGAAGACACACAGGAGGAGAAAAACAGAGTCCAATTAGAATCAAACCAGACTTTCTACTGAACTAGAAAGTGAATGTCTGTGTTAATGGCAGTCAACACTCCATCATTATTGTCCAGTTGGTGGGCAGCCTGTTTGTTTGAAGGGCATGAGTTCCTAGAAGTATGCCTCCCATCCTCCCTCTGGACCACAATATTCCCACAGTCTAGCACCAATGCTGGTGCCTCGTGGGTATTCAGAATATTTTGGAATTAGTGAATGAATGGATTCCCAGTCCAGATTCACTCCTCTCTTATTGTTCTTGGCACCTTCCCACATTGGTACTGTCATCTCCACTTGCCTCCCTGTCTGATGTGTTCTTTCTGTCCTTCTGCAAACTCGATCCTCAGGTCCCCATTTCATGTTCACATCCAATCCCACCACTTCTCTTTCTACTTTAGTTTACAGGGACCTCATTAGCTTACGTACTTGGGCAAGTTTCACAACTTTCTTCTTCTTCTTTTATTTATTTATTTATTTTTTCTTGAGACGGAGTTTCGCTCTTGTCGCCCAGGCTGGAGTACAATGGTGTCATCTTGGCTCACCGCAACCTCCACCTCCTGGGTTCAGGCGGTTCTCCTGCCTCAGCCTCCTGAGTAGCTGGGGTTAAAGGCATATGCCACCATGCCCGGCTAATTTTGTAATTTTTTTAGTAGAGACGGGGTTTCTCCATGTTGGTCAGGGTGGTCTTGAACTCCCAACCTCAGGTGATCCACCCGCCTTGGCCTCCCAAAGTGCTTGGATTACAGGCGTGAGCCACCACGCCCCGTAACAACTTTCTAAGCCTCAGTTTTCTTACGTACACAACAGGGATAGAGATAGTAACAGGGTCTTCAGAAAGCTGTCTTGAGGATCAGCAATGCCAGATGAGCTTGGTGAGCACATATTACACATTCAGTGCATGGTAGTGGCGTCAAGGTCAACATTGTCATCACCTCACCCAGTTCCACAGCCTGCAAGAATTTCCGTATGCTCTGCTCACTCTTCTAGAACTTCAGTTCCCACTGAATGTGTTCAACAGGACCAGTCAATTTTTTGTGAAGGGTAGAAGTGTGTGTGAGTGTGAGTGTGTGTGTGTGTGTGTACTAGAGGCCTGCCATTTGGGAAGCCCTAACCTATGAAGGTATCATCAAAACCCTTGCCCACGTGGTGCCTTACAGTTTACAAAGTACTTTTTTCTTTATTATGAACCTTACAACAGCACTTCAGCGCAGATGATTTTAGTTTTGCCTTATAGATGAGGCAAGTTGGGTATCAGAGAGGGGAGGTGATTTGTCACAACAGTAAGTGGAATATGCAGAATTACTATAAAGATCTAAGATCTGGAACCAGCTCCACTGACTGTCATATATTCTTTCCTCAGCATCTCTATACACAAGACAAAAGGATAATTAGAGGGCAAAGAAGAAAGTGTTTCCATTGAAGGAAGTGCTAGGAAGAAAGCAAAAGTCAGGGATATTGGGCAAGGAAGAGGTAGCTTGGAAGATGCTCACAGGTGTCACCATCCAGGTGGCACTTCTGAGTGTGGGCTCAGCATCTACAGCTTCATTTCCATCCCATACCTCTCTTTTATCTCTGAATTTTTTTATATATATATTTTTAACTATAATTTAAGTTCTAGGGTACATGCGTACAACGTGCAGGTTAGTTACATATGTATACATGTGCCATGTTGGTGTGCTGCACCCATTAACTCGTCATTTACATTAGGTATATCTCCTAATGCTATCACTCCCCCTTCCCCTCACCCCACGACAGGCCCTGGCGTGTGATGTTCCCCATCCTGTGCCCAAGTGTTCTCATTGTTCAATTCCCACATATGAGTGAGAACATGCAGTGTTTGGTTTTTTGTCTTTGTGATAGTTTGCTAAGAATGATGGTTTATAGCTTCATCCATGTCCCTACAAAGGACATGAACTCATCCTTTTTTATGGCTGCATAATATTCCATGGTGTATATGTGCCACATTTTCTTAATCCAGTCTATCATTGATGGACATTTGGGTTGGTTCCAAGTCTTTGCTATTGAGAATAGTGCCGCAATAAACATATGTGTGCATGTGTCTTTATAGCAGCATGACTTATAATCCTTTGGGTATATACCCAGTAATGGGATGGCTGGGTCAAATGGTATTTCTGGTTCTAGATCACTGAGGAATCACCACACTGTCTTCCACAATGGTTCAACTAGTTTACTCTCCCACCAACAGTATAAAAGTGTTCCTATTTCTCCACATCCTCTCCAGCACCTGTTGTTTTCTGACTTTTTAATGATTGCCATTCTAACTGGTGTGAGATGGTATCTCATTGTGGTTTTGATTTGCATTTCTCTGATGGCTAGTGATGATGAGCATTTTTGCACGTGTCTGTAGGCTGCATAAATGTCTTCTTTCAAGAAGTGTCTGTTGATGTCCTTTGCCCACTTGATGGGGTTGTTTCTTTTTTTCTTGTAAATTTGTTTGAGTTCGTTGTAGATTCTGGATATTAGTCCTTTGTCAGACAGGTAGATTGCAAAAGTTTTCTCCCATTCTGTAGGTTGTCTGTTCACTCTGATGGTAGTTTCTTTTGCTGTGCAGAAGCTCTTTAATTTAATTAGATCCCATTTGTCATTTTTGGCTTTTGTTGCCATTGCTTTTGGTGTTTGAGACACGAAGTCCTTGCCCATGCCTATGTCCTGAATGGTATTGCCTAGGTTTTCTTCTAAGGTTTTTATGGTTTCAGGTCTAACATTTAAGTCTTTAATCCATCTTGAATTAATTTTTGTATAAGGTGTAAGGAAGGGATCCAGTTTCAGCTTTCTGCATATGGCTAGCCAGTTTTCCCAGCACCATTTGTTAAATAGGGAATCCTTTCCCCATTTCTTGCTCTTGTCAGGTTTGTCAAAGATCAGATGGTTGTAGATGTGTGGTATTATTTCTGAGGGCTCTGTTCTGTTCCATTGGTCTATATCTCTGGGTACAAGTACCATGCTGTTTTGGTTACTATAGCCTTGTAGTATAGTTTGAAATCAGGTAGCGTGATGCCTCCAGCTTTGTTTTTTTGCTTAGGATTGTCTTGGCAATGTGGGCTCTTTTTTGGTTCCATATGAACTTTAAAGTAGTTTTTTCCAATTCTGTGAAGAAAGGCATTGGTAGCTTGCTGGGGATAGCATTGAATCTACAAGTTACCTTGGGCAGTATGGCCATTTTCATGATATTGATTCTTCCTATCCATGAGCATGGAATGTTCTTCCATTTGTTTGTAACCTCTTTTATTTCGTTGAGCAGTGGTTTGCAGTTCTCCTTGAAGAGGTCCTTCACATCCCTTGTAAGTTGGATTCCTAGGTATTTTATTCTCTTTGAAGCAATTGTGAATGGGAGTTCACTCATGATTTGGCTCTCTGTTTGTCTGTTATTGGTGTATAAGAATGCTTGTGATTTTTGCACATTGATTTTGTATCCTGAGACTTTGCTGAAGTTGCTTATCAGCTTAAGGAGATTTTGGGTTGAGACAATGGGGTTTTCTAGATATACAATCATGTCATCTGAAAACAGGGACAATTTGACTTCCTCTTTTCCTAATTGAGTACCCTTTATTTCCTTCTCCTGCCTGATTGCCCTGGCCAGAATTTCCAACGCTGTGTTCAATAGGAGTGGTGAGAGAGGGCATCCCTGTCTTGTGCCAGTTTTCAAAGGGAATGCTTCCATTTTTTGCCCATTCAGTATGATATTGGCTGTGGGTCTGTCATAGATAGCTCTTATTATTTTGAGATACGTCCGATCAATACCTAACTTATTGAGAGTTTTTAGCATGAAGGGTTGTTGAATTTTGTCAAAGGCCTTTTCTGCATCTATTGAGATAATCATGTGATTTTTGTCATTGGTTCTGTTTATATGCTGGATTATGTTTATTGATTTGCATATGTTGAACCAGCCTTGCATCCCAGGGATGAAGCCCACTTGATCATGGTGGATAAGTTTTTTGATGTGCTGCTGAATTCGGTTTCCCAGTATTTTATTGAGGATTTTTGCATCGATGTTCATCAGGGATATTAGTCTAAAATTATCATTTTTTGTTGTGTCTCTGCCAGGCTTTGGTATTAGGATGATGCTGGCCTCGTAAAATGAGTTAGGGAGAATTCCCACTTTTTCTATTGATTGGAAGAGTTTCAGAAGGAATGGTACGAGCTCTGCCTTGTACCTCTGGTAGAATTTGGCTGTGAATCCGTCAGGTACTGGACTTTTTTTGGTTGGTAGGCTATTAATTATTGCCTGAATTTCAGAGCCTGTGATTGGTCTATTCAGAGATTCAACTTCTTCCTGGTTTAGTCTTGGGAGGGTGGATGTGTCCAGGAATTTATCCATTTCTTCTAGATTTTCTAGTTTATTTGCGTAGAGGTGTTTATAGTATTCTCTGACGGTAGTATGTATCTCTGTGGGATTGGTGGTGATATCTCCTTTATCATTTTTTATTGCGTCTATTTGATTCTTCTCTCTTTTGTTCTTTATGAGTCTTGCTAGTGGTCTATCAATTTTGTTGATCTTTTCAAAAAACAAGCTCCTGGATTCATTGATTTTTTGAAGGGTTTTTCGTGTCTCTAACTCCTTCAGTCCTGCTCTGATCTTAGTTATTTCTTGCCTTCTGCTAGCTTTTGAATGTGTTTGCTCTTGCTTCTCTAGTTCTTTAATTATGATGTTAGGGTGTCAATTTTAGATCTTTCCTGCTTTCTCTTGTGGGCATTTAGTGCTATAAATCTCCCTCACACACTGCTTTAAATGTGTCCCAGAGATTCTGGTATGTTATGTCTTTGTTCTCGTTGATTTCAAAGAACATCTTTATTTCTGCCTTCATTTCGTTATGTACCCAGTAGTCAGTCAGGAGCACGTTGCTCAGTTTCCAGGTAGTTGAGTGGTTTTGAGTGAGTTTCTAAATCTTGAGGCCTAGTTTGATTGCACTGTGTTCTGAGAGACAGTTTGTTTTAATTTCTGTTCTTTTACATTTGCTGAGGAATGCTTTACTTCCAACTATGTGGTCAATTTTGGAATAAGTGCGATGTGGTGCTGAGAAGAATGTATATTCTGTTGATTTGGGGTGGAGAGTTCTGTAGATGTCTATTAGGTCCGCTTGGTGTAGAGTTGAGTTCAATTCCTGGATATCCTCGTTAACTTTCTGTCTCGTTGATCTGTCTAATGTTGACAGTGGGGTGTTAAAGTCTCTCACTATTATTATATGGGAGTCTAAGTCTCTTTGTAAGTCTCTAAGGACTTGCTTTATGAATCTGGGTGCTCCTATATTGGGTGCATGTATATTTAGGACAGTTAGCTCTTCTTGCTGAATTGATCCCTTTGCCATTATGTAATGGCCTTCTTTGTCTCTTTTGATCTTTGTTGGTTTAAAATCTCTTTTATCAGAGTCTAGGATTGCAACCCCTGTCTTTTTGTTTTCCATTTGCTTGGCAGATCTTCCTCCATCTCTTTATTTTGAGCCTATGTGTGTCTCTGCACATGAGATGGGTATCCTGAATACAGCACACTGATGGGTCTTGACTCTTTATCCAATTTGCCAATCTGTGTCTTTTAATCGGAGCATTTAGCCCATTTACATTTAAGGTTAATATTGTTATGTGTGAGTTTGATCCTGTCATTATGATGTTAGCTGGTTATTTTGCTTGTTAGTTGATGCAGTTTCTTCCTAGCATTGATGGTCTTTACAATTTGGCATGTTTTTGTAGTGGCTGGTACCAGCTGTTCCTTTCCATGTTTAGTTCTTCTTTCAGGAGCTCTTGTAGGGCAGGCCTGGTGGTGACAAAATCTCTCAGCATTTGCTTGTCTATAAAGGATTTTATTTCTCCTTCACTTATGAAGCTTAGTTTCGCTGGATATGAAATTCTGGGTGGAAAATTCTTTTATTTAAGAATGTTGAATATTGGCCCCCACTCTCTTCTGGCTTGTAGAGTTTCTGCCGAGAGATCAGCTGTTAGTCTGGTGGGCTTCCCTTTGTGGATAACCCAACCTTTCTCTCTGACTGCCCTTAACATTTTTTCCTTCATTTCAACTTTGGTGAATCTGATAATTATGTGTCTTGGAGTTGCTCTTCTCAAGGAGTTCTTTGTGGCTTTCTCTGTATTTCCTGAATTTGAATGTTGGCCTGCCTTGCTAGGTTGGGGAAGCTCTTCTGGATATTATCCTGCAGAGTGTTTTCCAACTTGGTTCCATTCTCCCTGTCACTTTCAGGTACACCTATCAGACGTAGATTTGGTCTTTTCACATAGTCCCATATTTCTTGGAGGCTTTGTTTGTTTCTTTTTATTCTTTTTTCTCTAAACTTCTCTTCTTGCTTCATTTCATTCATTTGATCTTCAATCACTGATACCCTTTCTTCCAGCTGATCAAATCGGCTACTGAAGCTTGTGCATTCGTCACGTAGTTATCGTGCCATGGTTTTCAGCTCCATCAGGTCATTTAAGGACTTCTCTGCATTGGTTATTCTAGTTAGCCATTCTTCTAATCTTTTTTCAAGGTTTTTATCTTCTTTGCGATGGGTTCGAACTTCCTCCTTTAGCTCGGAGAAGTTTGGTTTTCTGAAGCCTTCTTCTCTCAACTCCTCAAAGTCTTTCTCCGTCCAGCTTTGTTCTGTTGCTGGTGAGGAGCTGCGTTCCTTTGGAGGTGGAGAGGTGCTCTGATTTTTAGAATTTTCAGCTTTTCTGCTCTGTTTTTTTCCCCATCTTTGTGGTTTTATCTACCTTTGGTCTTTGATGATGGTGACGTACAGATGGGGTTTTGGTGTGGATGTCCTTTCTGTTTGTTAGTTTTCCTTCTAACAGTCAGGACCCTCAGCTGCAGGTCTGTTGGAGTTTGCTGGAGGTCCACTCCAGACCCCGTTTGCCTGGGTATCAGCAGCAGAGGCTGCAGAACATCGAATATTGCTGAACAGCAAATGTTGCGGCCTGATCGTTCCTCTGGAATTTTCGTCTCAGAGAGTTACCCAGCTGTGTGAGGTGTCAGTCTGCCCCTACTAGGGGGTGCCTCCCAGTTAGGCTTCTCAGGGGTCAGGGACCCACTTGAGGAGGCAGTCTGTCTCAACTTTCTCAGATCTCAAACTCTTTGCTGGGAGAACCACTACTCTCTTCAAAGCTGTCAGACAGGGACATTTAAGTATGCAGAGGTTTCTGCTGCCTTTTGTTAGGCTATGCCCTGCCCCCAGAGGTGGAGTCTACAGAGGCAGGCAGGCCTCCTTGAGCTGTGGTGGGCTTTACCCAGTTTGAGCTTCCCAGCCGCTTTGTTTACCTAGTGAAGCCTCAGCAAAGCCTCCCCCAGCCTCGCTGCTGCCTTGCAGTTCGATCTCAGACTGCTGTGCAAGCAGTAAGCGAGGCTCCATGGGCATGGGACCCTCTGATCCTGGTGCGGGATATAAACTCCTGGTGTGCCGTTTGCTAAGACCATTGGAAAAGCGCAGTATTAGGGTGGGAGTGATCCGATTTTCCAGGTGCCATCTGTCACAGTTTTGCTTGGCTAGGAAAGGGAATTCCCTGACCCTTTGTGCTTCCCGGGTGAGGCGATGCCTCACCCTGCTTTGGCTCACGCTTGGTGTGCTGCACCCACTGTCCTGCACCCACTGTCCAACAAGCCCCAGTGAGATGAACCCAATACCTCAGTTGGAAATGCAGAAATCACCTCTCTTCTGCGTCAGTCACACTGGGAACTGAAGACTGGAGCTGTCCTATTCAGCCTTCTTGGAACTGCCCTATCTCTGAATTTTTAAACATGCTCCCCGATAAGGTGAATTCTCATTTGGATATTAATATGAATCCTAGCTTTCCCTGTGTTTTCTTGTGACAGCACCCTGACTTTGTTCAGGGGTTTACCCCTTAGGAAATGGCAAAAACTAAGCATAAGCCAATCATTGTTTGGCAATGGTTGGTTTAGAGTTATGGACGTGAGATCTAGATGTGAGGGAAAGTGTGCTGAAGAGCTTCTAAGAATGGTTTCCTCTCTCTCTTATGATGGAAACAAAGGGATAGAGTCCATTTCTGCTACTGAAAGTGTCAGGATATGTGGCTAGAAGCCTTGCAAGCCATTCTTTGATCAGGACCAGGTTGCCATCTTGCTACTGTCCTGAGGAAGGAGCCAATAGATGGTTGGAGGCAGAAACAAGGGCATTACTGAGACTCAGAGCTGGGTGCCTGATATGCCATATAGGGATACACTCTACTTTTGGACTTCTGGTAGCCTGAGATAATCCATTTTCTTGTCTTTTAAATGCATTTGAGTTGAGGTTACTGTTACTAGCAGCCAAAGGCCACCTGACTCCTTGTGGCTCCTACATGCAGGCTGCTTAGTGACCCAAGAAGTTTTCATTTATGTTGTTAATGATCTACTGAGCAGACATCAGAAGTGATTAGTCACAAATAATAAAGATGAAACATTTAAGAATGTTTGGCTTTTTTTGATAATTTAGACCAATACCCCTTAAACTTTATCATGCATCAGAATCACCTGGGATGTCTTGCTAAAACAGACTATGGGAACACACCACTAGAGTTACTAATTCATTAGACCTATGGTGGGGGTTAAGAATTTAATTTTCTAATAAGTTCCCAGGTAATGCTGTTGGTGCTGGTTTGAGGACCACATTTGAGAAGAACTGATTTAGACAACTGTATAATAATTTCCCTTATTTTATTAAAATATAAATACGATTTCTTGAACAGGAGAATAGGAAATACAACTACATCTAGAAGTCACACACCTGGAAACTTCCAGGGGAATGTGACTTGCATTGACTTATCCTGTGTATTGCAGAAATAAAGGTTGAGACTTAAGGCTCCAAATATCTACTGTTTCAGACTCAGAGAGCTCAGGATATAGGTACAATGATTGAAAGAGAGCACAAAATGGGTCTTCTGTCTTTATATCCTGCTGGAGGTAGCAGCTAACATGTTTGAGAGATCAAAAAGATACTATTATTATTAATGCATCATCATCATCATTTACACTTTATAAATTCCTTCTACATCATAATCTCATTTGATCTTTATTGTAATGATGATCATTATGATAATAAATAGAATGAGGGCCTTTTCTCAAATATGGCAGATAGGAGGAAGGACTAGCTTGCAGCTCCTGCCTGGATGGACAGAGCAGCGTGGGGAGACTCATATTGTGAACTTTTGCTCCAAGAACTACTGCAGGAACATACCAGGAAGCCAAGAGAATCCACAGACCCTTTGAAGGAACTAGATCACTGCTGCAGTCTCCCTGAGATGACAAAAAACTGTGAGTCAGCTTGCTTTCTCAACAGAGGGGCTTGTGATCTGGGGCAAGTTTTCAGCCCTGGCTACCAGCTTCCTGGAAATAGGCTTGGTGCTGTTGGGAGGCCATAGTGAGAGTGAGACTGGCTTTTAGGACTGTGGGCTGCATGGGAGCAGAGTGAGGCCTGTGACTGCTGGCTTTCCCCTACTTCCCTGGTGACCTGTATGACTTAGGAGAAGCTGCCATAATCCTTCTGGGAACATAACTCCATTGGCCTGGGAACCATACCCCATTCCCCACAGCAGCTACAGCAAGCCCCACACAAGGACAGGCTGAGCTCTGACATGCTTATCCCTGCCCCCACCTGGTGTTCTTTCTCTAACCACTCTGGTAGCCAAAGACAAAGGTCATAATCTCTTAGGAGCTCTATGGCCCTGCCTACCACCTGAGAAACCTGAATACTTCATCAGGTGTCCCTAGGGTAAGTCTGCATCCTCCCAATAGGACCACAGCTGACACACTCTTGAAAGTGTCACCTCCTGGCTGGAAGCCAACGAATACAAACCAGCACACTAAACAAAAACACAACTGAGGACCATCACAGAGTCCACTTCACTACCCTGCTACCTCCACTGGAGCAGGTGGTGGTATCCATGGCTGCCAAGACCTGAAGACAGATAACATTACAGGACTCTTTGCAGACACTCTTCAGCACCAGCCTGGAGCTCTGCTGGGTGGCTAGACTCATAAGAGCAAAACAATCACTACATTTCAGCTCTGAGGAAGCCCCATTCCTAGGGAAGGGGGAGAACACCACATTAAGGGAGCACCCCATGGGACAAAGGAATCTGAACAGTGGCCCTTGAATCCCAGATCTTCCCTCTGACATAGTCTACCCAAATAAGAAGGAATCAGAAAAACAATTCTACTAATATGACAAAAGAAGGTTATTTAACACCCATAAAAGATGATACTGGTTCACCAGTAATGGATCCAAACTAAGACAACATTTCTGAATTGCCAGAAAAAGAATTCAGAGGGCTGATTATTATGCTAATCAAGGAGGCACCAGAGAAAGGTGAAGTCCAACTTGAAGAAATAAAAAATATGATACAGGATATGAAAGGAAAATTCTTCAGTGAGATACACAGCATAAATAAGAAACAATCACAACTTCTGGAAATCAAGGACACGCTTAGAGAGAGCAAAATGCACTGGAAAGTCTCAGCAATGGAACTGAACAAGTGGAAGAAAGAACTTCAGAGCTTGAAGATAAGACTTTCAAATTAACCCAATCCATCAAACACAAACAAAAAAGAACTTCAAAAAATGAAAAAAGCCTCCAAGAAATTTGGGACTATGCTAAACATCCAAACTTAAGAATAATTGGTGCTCCCAAGGAAGACAACAAATCTAAAAGACTGGAGAACATATTTGAGGGAATAATCAAGGAAAACTTCCCCAGCCTTGCTAGAGGTCTACACATCCAAATACAAGAAACTCAAAGAGCACCTGGGAAATTCATTGCAAAAAGATCATCGCCTAGGCACACAGTCATCAGGTTATCTAAAATCAGGACAAAGGAAAGAATCTTCAGAGCTGTGAGGCAAAAACATCAGGTAACCTATAAAAGAAAACCTATCAGATTAAGAGCATATTTCTCAACAGAAATCCTACAAGCTAGAAGGGATTGGG
The DNA here is from genome assembly GCF_000001405.40 of Homo sapiens. Taxonomy (NCBI): domain Eukaryota; kingdom Metazoa; phylum Chordata; class Mammalia; order Primates; family Hominidae; genus Homo; species Homo sapiens. Next base: position 116,518,344 of record NC_000009.12, read on the forward strand.
GTCTTATTTTTAGCCTGCTTAAACAAAAGAATTACCAGCCAGGAATTGTGTATCCAGAAACACTAAGCTTCATAAATGAAGGAAAGATACAGTCTTTTCTAGACAAACAAATGCTGACAGAATTCACCATTACCAAGCCAGCACTACAAGAACTGCTAAAAGGAGCTCTAAACCTTGAAACAAATCCTCAAAATACACCAAAATAGAACCTCCTTAAAGCATAAATCTCACAGGACCTATATAACAATAACACAATTAAAAAAAGAAAACCCCAAGATATTCAGGCAACAAATAGCACAATAAATAGAATAGTACATAACATCTTAATGCTAACATTGAATGTGAGTGGCCTAAAGGCTCCACTTAAAAGATACAGAATGGCAAAATGGATAAGAATTCACCAACTGAGTTTCTGCTGTCTTCAGGAGTCTCACCTAACACATAAATGTAATTTAAAGGGGTGGAAAAAGATATTCCATGCAAACAATGCCAAAAGCAAGTAGGAGTAGCTATTCCTACATCAGACAAACAAACTTTAAAGCAACAGCAGTTAAAAACACAAAGAGGTACATTATATAATGATTAAAGAACTGGACCAACAGGAAAATATCACACTTATAAATATATATGCACCTAATACTGGAGCTTCCAAATTTATAAAGCAATTACTACTAGACCTAAGAAATGAGATAGACAGCAACACAATAACAGTGGGGGACTTTAATACTCCACTGAGAGCACAAGACAGGTCAACAAGACAGAAAATCAACAAAGAAACAATGGACTTAAAAACTATACCCTAAAACAAATGGACTTAACAGATATTTACAGAACATTCTACTGAATAACTGCAGAATATACATTCTATTCATCAGCACATGCAATATTCTCCAAGATAGACCATATGATAGGCCACAAAACAAGTCTCAGTAAATTTAAGAAAATTAAAATTATATCAAGTACTCTGTCAGACCACAGTGAAGTAAAACTGAAAATCAACTCCAAAAAAAACCCTCAAAACCATGCAAATACATGGAAATTAAATAGCCTGCTCCTGAATGATCATTGGGTCAACAATGAAATCAAGATGGAAATAAAAAAAAATCTTTGAACTGAATGATAATATTGACACAACCTGTCAAAAACCTCTGGGATACAGCAAAAGTGGTGCTAAGAGGAAAGTTCAAAGCATTAAGTGCCTACATCAAAAGTCTGAAAGAGCATAAATTGACAATCTAAGACCACACCTCATGGAACTGGAGAAACAAGAACAATCCAAATCCAAACCCAGCAGAAGAAAAGAAATAACGAATATCAGAGCAGAATTAAATGAAATTGAAACAAGAAAATACGAAAGATAAATGAAACAAAAATCTGGTTCTTTGAAAAGATCAATAAAATTGATAGACTATTAGTGAGATTAACCAAGAAAAGAAGAGAGAAGATCCAAATAAGCTCAATTAGAAATAAAATGGGAGATATTACAACTGATATCACAAAAACACAAAGGATTATTCAAGGCTACTATGAACACTTTTATGCACATAAACTAGAAAACCTAGAGGAGATGGATAAATTCCTAGAAATATACAACCCTCCTAGATTAAACCAGGAAAAGATAGAATCTCTGAACAGACCAAAAACAAGCAGTGAGATTGAAATAATAATTTAAAAACTACCAACAAGAAATAGTCCAGGACCAGAAAGATTAACAGCTGAATTCTATCAGACATTCAAAGAAGAATTGGTACCAATGCTATTGACACTATTCCAAAAGATAAAGAGGGAATCCTCCGTAACATTCTATGACACCAGTATCATCCTAATACCAAAACCAGGGAAGCACATAACCAAAAAAGAAAACTACAGACCAATATTCCTGATGAACATAGATGCAAAAATTCTCAACAGAGTACTAGTAAACTGAATTCAACAGCATATAAAAAAGACAATCCACCATGATCAAGTGGATTTCATGCAAGGGATGCAGGGATGGTTTAACACACATAAGTCAATAAATGTGATAGACCACATAAACATAATTTAAAACAAAAATCACGTGATCATCTCAATAGATTCAGAAAAGGCATGTGACAAAACCCAGCATTCCTTTATAATTAAAACTCTCAGCAAAATCGGCATAGAAGGGACATACTTTAAGGTAATAAAAGCCATCTATGACAAACCCACAGCCAACATTATACTGAATGGGAAAAAAGTTGAAAGCATTCCCCCTAAGAACTGGAATAAGAGAAGGATGTCTGCTTTCACCACTTCTGTTCAACATAGTAGTGGAAGTCCTAGCAAGAGCAATCAGACAAGAGAAAGAAATACAGGGCATCAAATTGGTAAAGTGGAAGCCAAACTCTCTCTGTTTACTGATGATATAATCATATACCTAAAAAACTCTAAAGACTCATCCAAAAAGCTCCTAGAACTGGTAAATGAATTCAGCAAAGCTTCAGGATAGAAAATTAATGTACACAAATCAGTAGCACTGATATACAACAACAGTGACCAAGCTGGGAATCAAATCAAGAACTCAATCCCTTTCACAATAGCTGCAAATAAATAAATACATAAAATATTTAGGAATACCTAACCAAGGATGTGAAAGACCTCTACATGGAAAACTACAAAACACTGCCGAAAGAAATCATAGATGACACACCCAAATGAATATATCCCATGCCTATGAATGAATAGAATCAATATTATGAAAATGACCATACTGCCAAAAGCAATCTACAAATTCAATGCAATTCCTATCAAAATACCAACACCATTCTTCACAGAACTAGAAAAAACAATCCTAAAATCTATGTGGGACCAAAAAAGAGCCTGCATAGTAAAGCAAGACTAAACAACAAATCTGGAGACATCACATTACCTGACTTCAAACTATACTATAAGGCCATGGTCATCAAAACAGCATGGTATTGGGGTAAAAACAGGCATATAGACAAATGGAATGGAAAGAAGAACCCAGAAATAAAGCCAAAGACTTATAGCCACTGACCTTCAGCAAAGCAAACAAAAACATAAAGTGGGAAAAGGACACCCTATTCAGTAAATGGTGCTGGGATATTGGCAAGCCATATGTAGGAGGATGAAACTAGATCTTCATCTCTCAACTTATACAAAAATCAACTCAAGATGGATCCGGGACTTAAACCTAAGACCTGAAACCATAAAGATTCTAGAAGATAACATTGGACTAAGAAAAACCTTTCTGGAAATTGGCTTAGGCAAAGACTTCATGACAAATAACCCAAAAGCAAACACAACAAAAAGCAAAGATACATAAATAGGACTTACTTAAACTAAAAAGCTTCTGCACAGCAAAAGAAACAATCAGCAGAGTTAACTGAAAACCCACAGAGTGGGAGAAAATCGTCACAATCCATACAACTGACAAAGGACTAATATCCAGAATCTACAAGGAACTCAGACTAATCAGCAAGAAAAACAAACAAACAAACAAACAATCCCATTAAAAAGCAGGTTAAGGACATGAGTAGACAATTCTCAAAAGAAGATATACAAATGGCCAACGAGCATATAAAAAATGCTCAACATCACTAACTATCAGAAAAATGCAAATCAAAACCACAATGTAATACTACCTCACTCCAGCAAGAATGGCCATAATAAAAAAAACAAAAAGTAATAGATGTTGGTATGGATGCAGTGAAAATGAAACACTTTTACATTGTTGGTGGGAATGTAAACTAGTACAACCACTATCGAAAACAATTTGGAGATTCCTTAAAGAACTAAAGGTAGATCTACTGTTTGATCCAGTAATCCCACTACTAGGTATATATCTAGAGTAAAATAAGTCATTATTCAAAAAAGATACTTGCACATACATGTTTATAGCAGCACAATTCACAATTGCCAAAAATATGGAACCAGCCCAAATACCCATCAATCAATAAGTGGATAAAGAAAATGTAGCATATATATACCATGGAATACTGCTCAGCTATAAAAAGGTATGAAATAATGGCATTCACAGTGACTTGGATGGAATTGGAGACTATTATTCTAGGTGAAGTAACTCAGGAATAGAAAACCAGACATCGTATGCTCTCACTCATACGTGGGAGCTAAGCTATGAGGTTGCAAAGGCATAAGAATGATACATTGGACTTTGGGGACTTGGGGGAAAGGGTGAGGGGTGGCGAGGGATAAAAGACTACACATTGGGTACAGTGTACACTGCTCAGGTGATGGGTGCACCAAAATCTCAGAAATCATCACTAAAGAGCTTATTCATGTAATCAAATACCACCTGTTTCCCTAAAACGTACTGAAGTAAAAACATAAACAATTTTTTTAAAAGAATGAAGATGAAGAGGAAGAGGAAGAAGAATTGTCAGCAGAGGATAAGTAGAAGGGAGTGGATTACTTCCATTGTACAGATTTGAAAACTGAGGTTGTATGACTTGTCCCTGTCATATAGCAAGTAAACCCTGAGCAAAGACTTTAACCCAGTTTTGTCTTCCACTAAATTCTGTATTATCTCTACTAAAGCAGCTGTGTGTTGGCACAGCTATTAACTATGAATAAAAAAATAAAATTTAGAAATTCTACGGCTATCATACCTTCCAAAATAAGGCTGGCATCTTGCTTCAGAAACACCTCATATGCCCTACGAACCCACCAAGCATCTTCCCCCAACCAGGAACAAAGACCCCAAAACTAAGATAGAAAAATCTAGAAGTCAAAACAACTATTATAATGTTGTAGGAGACTCTTTCATGACCTCACCTGAGGGCTATTAACTATTATTAAGATAAAGCTCAAGAGAGCATGCCTTTCTCATTACCAAGCCCATTATATAATTCAGAGACCTTTTTTTTTTTTTAACGACAGTTATAAGTGACAGAAGGCAGTGTGGTAGCAAAGGAAGAGACAGAAAGGTCATCAAAAGCAGACACAGGAGAACTCGAACTTGCTCTGGAGATGATTTAAACATTTTGAGATGGACATTTTGATCAAAAGGAAAGACAGTAAGAAAAACAAGAAAAGGTCTGCCTATTGCCCTAATCCTCCTGAGTAAACCAGGAGCATTGCAGAGCTCACTCAACCTCTCAGGCTGACCTGGTATAGAAAAAAGAGCATGGTGATCTTGAATAGGTTACTAAACATCTCTGAGCTTCCACTTCCTCAGCTTTCAAATGGAAGGTCATAATGCCTCCTTTGCAGCACTGTAAGGACTGGCGATATGATATAGAAAGATCTTAATAGTTTCTGGTCTAAAGTAGGCCCTAAATAATAGAGGGCTCTTGTTATTTTTATGATAATGGCATATATGAGGCATGGGGCAAAGAAGAGGCTCTGAGGGGATGGCTACCAGGTTTGGCTTGGGTAAACATGGGCACCTCCTATTTAATCCAGCCTTTGAGACCAGCTTCAAATATTATTTTCTAGAGTCACAATTTGCTAAACCAAGCAGTTCATGGGCCTTACTTCACAAATTATTACTTTGGTACTTTAAAAGCCTCCCATAACAAGAACCAGCCCTCTACAAGGCAGGCAAAGGAACAGAGCTGAGTTCCATAAGGAAATAATTCTCTCAGGGGTTACAGATGCATGGACTATATTTTATGGCCAGTGCTGGGTGAATTTTTAGCAAGGAGAGAAAGGCCATTTTTTTTCCTCTAATCACACAGTGGCATAGCTTAGATGCTTAGATTTGGACTGAACTATATCTTGCCCTAAAACTCTATTATGGATGTTACCTCTCATTTCATTGACAGAATATTTCTAACATGGATGGGATTCCCTGGTGAAAGAAAAAGAAAAGTCATTCTTGGTGGGGGACAGATTAGGCAGCTCCTATTGTTTTAGTGGCTTCTGCCTATGTCTGCGTCCCTCACCAGAGTGGGAAAAATATCTTCTTACAAATTTTTGTTATAGACTTACCTAATAGGTGCTACGTGAAATGTAACTCGATTGACTGGAAGGCAAGTATACTGCTGAAACACAGTACTTTACTATTTCAGCCATAGATCATAACCAACATAGGTGAAAATGTTTCCATGGGAAAATGTGGTCAGAGTTCCCTTCCGTGCAAAGGTGCCAGAAACACCTTTCCCTTGCAGGCTTTCACTGCTTTCTGAGAGGCAGCCTGGTGTAATGGAAAGAGCTCTATATTTGGAGCAAGATGACATGAGTTCCAGTTCAGCTTTCCTGCTCTGAGTTGAATGACCCTTAAACTCTCTGAGTCTCAGTTTCCTTCCCTGCCCAAAAGGCATAAAAACTCGTACTCCCTTGGTGTTTTGTGAACTGAAATGTTGGCAGAATCACTTTGAAAACCATAAAGTTCCCTGTACAATGTTGAAAACTTATTAGTACCTTTCTGATCTGCTGGGATGTGAGCCCCTCACATGACTTTCACATGAAAGTTGGCATTCCTTCTCAGGGTTACATGGCCAAGGTACCCATTCCTCTCTGTAGAGATATGCCTGTTCTGTCTCTAAGCAGCCTAGGCATCTCTGATCCAAAAAAGCTTCAACTTCCAAAATTCATAAGCTCCAACAAAAAGAGAACTGAAGAGGAGAAGTGGAGCACTGGTATAAAGATACCTGAAAATGTGGAAGTGACTTTGGAACTGGGTAACAGGCAGAGCTTGGAATAGTTTGGAGGGCACAGAAGAAGACAGGGATATGTGGAAAAGTTTGAAACTTCCTAGAGACTTGTTGAATGGTTTTGACTGAAATGCTGATAGTAATATGGACAATGAAGTCCAAGACAAGGTTGTCTCAGACGGAGATGAGGAACTTATTGGGAACTGGAGCAAAGGTCACTCTTGCTATGCTTTAGCAAATAAACTGGTGGCATTTTGTCCCTGTCCTAGGGATCTGTGGAACTTTGAACTTTACATAAATGATTTAGAGTATCTCTGACAGAAGAAATGTCTAAGCAGTAAAGGATTCAAGAGGTGACCTGACTTTTTGGAACACATGTGGACAGTATGTGCTGTAGATCATGCTCCTTCTTGGGGCCCTCCCAACAGAGCGTAGGCTGCAGGGTGGAAGATGTGGCATAGGAGGAAGCACCAGAGCATGGGAGCAGGTGACTTCTTAGGAGTTAGGACTTCCTCATCGGCCCTCCCCTCATCCAGTCTGAGAGCCTTTGCACCACAGATGGCTTCTGCCCTTTTTGGCCACTGTCATATATATAATCAAGCATCAGATTGAAACTCACATCCAAAAGCTATGCATCTCATCTCTAATAGTGGTCCATGAATTTGAGTGATTGTGGTAACCTGGGGCAGCAGGCACAGGAGAATTATTAAGCAAGCCACCTGCCTTCAATAGCAGTGGCAGAAGAAGTATTGAGAATTCCCAGTGTGCCTTCTCACTCCTTTATCCTGCAGGTGCCAGCTTAAGCAAAACTCCTACTATACTGTCTCCTTGTTGAAAGGTCGTTAATAATTATCCATGGGCCTGAGAAAAATGTCAAAGCTCTTTACAGTCACCCTAAATAATGCAATCCCACTCACCATTCCAGACCCACTCTCTCCACAAACCATCCCTTACAGATTCATTCACAAACAGACCTCCCAATTTCACACCTCTCTGCTTTTTCCTATGCTATTCCCTCAACTTGGTAGATCATTTCACCTTATCCTCTTGCCTGTCCCCATTACAGTCCTTCTTATTGACATCCTACTCATTTCTAAGGTCCGGCTCAAGTGCCATCTTCTCTAGGAAGACCTCTGTTATCCAAAACCTCCTCACAGCCCACTTCATTTGTTCTTCTCTAATCCAGACCCAACCTCTGTTATTTGGTGTTGATTTCTTTCACAAAAAGGATAAAAGAAGGTTCATATTCACATATATGCTCCAGTTTCTTCTATATGCATGTGCACCACATTATGGAAACAGCTAAAAGCCCCTCTTTCCTTGCCTGTAATATGGGAATAATCATACCTACTCTGTGGGGTTGGTGTGAGTAGTAAATGTGACAAAAGACTGGGCACGGTGGCTCATGCCTGTAATCCCAGCACTTTGGGCGGCCAAGGTGGGAGGATCACTTGAGGCCAGGAGTTTGAGAGCAGCCTGGCCAACATGGTAAAACCCCGTATCTACTAAAAATACAAGAACAACAAAAAATTAGCTAGGTACAGTGGCTCATGCCTGTAATCCCAGCCACTTGAGAGACTCAGGTGGGAAAACTGCTTGAACCCAGGGGTCAGAAGTTGCAGTGAGCTGAGATCATGCCACTGCACTCCAGCCTGGGCAAAAGAGAAAGAACTTGTCTCAAAAAAAAAAAAAAGTGACAAAAGATGTGAAAGTAAATTTTAGTTTCAGAAATACTGCGAAAGTAAATTTTAGTTTCAGAAATACAATTTTTGATTCATCATGATTTTTAGTATGCATCCCTAGCAGATTTGTTTAAGCTTCTGATGAGCTCAGCCCGATATCTGTATCCTAGATGCTCAGATCCAATTCTGGCCCAAAGCAAGTGATTAGAGAATGTCTGATGACACAAAGACCAATGAAACAGAATAGCAAGTCCAGAAATAAATCCACACATTTACAGCCAACTAATTTTCAACAAAGGAGCCAAGAATACACAACAGAGAAAGGACAGTGTCTTCAATAAACGGTGCTGGGAAAGCTGGATATTGACATTCAGAAGAATAAAATTGGACTCTCACATCATGTACAAAAGTCAACTCAAAATGAAGCAAAGACTTAAATATAAGACCTGAAACTATAAAGTAACTAGAAGAAAACAGTGGAAAAGTTCCATCACATTGGTCTTGGCAATGATTTTTTAGATATGACCCCCAAAGCACTCACAACAAAGGCAAAAATAAACAAATAGGATTGCATCAAACTAAAATACAAAGGAAACAATCAACAGAGTGAAGACAAAATCTACAGAATGAGAGAATATATTTGCAATCCATACATCTGATAAGGGGCTAATATCTAAAATATATAAGTAATTTCAAAAACTTAGTAAGAAAACAAATTGTCCAATTAAAAAATAAGCAAAGGACCTGAATAGACTTTTCTCAAAAAAGGCATACAAAAGGCCAACAGGTATATGAAAAAATGCTCAATATCACTAACCACCAGATAAATGAAAATTAAAACTGCAATAAGAAATCACCTCACACTGTTAGAATGGCTACTATCAAAAAGATGAAAAGTAAATGTTGGCAAAGGTGTGGAGAAAGAAAACTTGTACACTATTTATGGGGATGGAAAGCAGCATGAGAATTCATCAAAAACTTAAAACTACAACTTCCATATGATCCAGCCAATCCTACTACTGGGTATATGATATAGTTTGGCTCTGTGTCCCCACACAAATCTCATCTCAAATTCTAATCCCCATGTGTTGGGGAGGGGTTTGATGGGAGGTGATTGGGTCATATGGGTGGTCACCCCCATGCTGTTCTCATGATAGTGAATTCTCATCAGATCTGATGGTTTAAAAGTGTGGCACTTCCCACCCCCCTCACTCTCCCTTTCCTACCACCATGTAAGATGTGCCTTGCTTCTCCTACACCTTCCACCACTACTGTAAGCTTCCTGAGGCCTCCCAAGCCACATAGAACTGTGAGTCAAACCTCTTTTCTTTATAAAGTACCCAATCTTAGGTAGTTCTTTATAGCAGTGTGAAAACAACTAATACAGAAAATTGGTACCAGAAGTGAGGCACTGCTACAAAGATACCTGAAAACATGGAAGCAACTTTGGAAGGGGGTAACAGGCAGAAGTTGGAACAGTTTTGAGGGCTCAGAAGAAGGCAGAAAGAATTGGAAAAGTTTGGAACTTCCTAGAGACCTGTTGAATGGTTTTGACTGAAATGCTGATGGACAAGGAAGTCCAGGTTGAGGTGGTCTCAGATGGAGATGAGAAACTTATTGGGAACTGGAGCAAAGGTCACTCTTGGTATGCTTTAGCAAAGAGACTGGAGGCATTTTTCCCCTGCCCTAGAGATCTGTGGAACTCTGAAATTGAGAGGATGATTTAGGTTATCTGGCAGAAAAAATTTCTAAGCAGCAAAGCATTCAAGAAATGACCTGACTTTTTTTGAAAGTGTACAGTCATATGTGTTCACAAAGAGTTGGTCTGAAATTGGAACTTATGTTTAAAAGAGAAGCAAAGCATAAAAGTTTGGAAAATTTGCAGACTGCCCATGTGGTAGAAAAGAAAAACCCATTTTTTGCAGAGAAATTCAAGCCATCAGCTGCAAAAAAATTGCATAAGTAAAGAGAAACCAAATGTTAATAGCCAAGACAATGGGGAAAATATATTCAGGGCATTTCAGAAATTTTCACAGCAGCCCCTCTCATCACAAGCCTGGAGGCCTAGGAGGCAATAATGGTTTTCATGGCTGCTGCTCTATGCAGCCTTGGGACATGGCACCCTGCATTCCAGACGTTCCAGCTCCAGTCATGGCTAAAAGGGGCCAAGGTATAGCTTAGGCTGTCACTTCAGAGGGTGCAAGCCCCACGTCTTGGTGGCTTCCACATGATGTTGGGCCTGTGGATGTGCAGAAGACAAGAGTTGAGGTTTGTGAGCTTCTGCCTAGACTTCAGAGGATGTATGGAAATGCCTGAATGTCTAGGCAGAAGTCTGCTGCAGGGGAAGAGCCCTCATGGAGAACCTCTACTAAGGCAATGCAGAGGGGAAATGTGGGGTTGGAGCCCTTACACAGTGTCACCACTGGCTCACTGCCTAGTTGAGCTGTGAGAAGAGAGCCACCATCCTCCAGACCCCAGAATAGTAAATCCATCAACAGCTTGCATCATGCACCTAGAAAAGCTGCAAGCACTCAACATCAGCCTGTGAAAGTAGCCATGGGGGCTTACCCTGCAGAGCCACAGGGATGGAGTACCCGAGGCCTTGGGAGCCCACCTTTTGCATCACTGTGCCCTGGGTGTGAGACATGGAGTCAAAGGAGAGATTATTTTGGACCTTTAAGATTTAATGACTGTCCTGTTGGGTTTCGGACATGCATGTGACCTGTAGCCCCTTTGTTTTGGCCAATTTCTCCCATTTGTAATGAGGGCATTTACCCAATGCCTGTATCCCCATTGTATCTTAGAAGTAACTAACTTGCTTTTGATTTTACAGGCTCATAGGCAGAAGGGACTTTCTTTGTCTCAGATGAGACTTTGGACTTGGAATTTGGGGTTAATGCTGGAATGTTGTGAAGGCACAATTGCATTTTGAAATGTGAGAAGGACATGAGATTTGGGAGGGGCCAGGGGCAAAATGATATGGTTTTGCTGTATCCCCACTCAAATCTCATCTAGAGTTGTAATCCCCACGTGTCAGGGGAGGGGCCTGGTGGGAGGTGATTGGGTCATGAGGGCAGTCTCCCCTATGCTGTTCTCATGATAGTGAGTGAGTTCTCATGAGATCTTATCGTTTAAAAGTGTGGCACTTCCCTCCTCACTCTCTTTCCTGCCACCATGTAAGACATGTCCTGCTTCCCCTTCAACTTCCACCATGTTTGTAAGTTTCCTGAGGCCTTCCCAGCCATGGGGAACTGTGAGTAAATTAAACCTCTTTTGTTTATAAATCACCCAGTCTCAGGTAGTTCTTTATAGCAGTGTGTAAACAGACTAATACAGTATATATTCAAAAGATATGAAATCAGTACGTCAAGGGGATATCTGCACTTCCATGTTCATTGCAGCATTAGTAACAATAGCCAAGATATGGAATCAACCTGAGTATTCATCAGTGGATGAATGGATAAAGTGTGATATATATATATATATATATATATATATATATATATATATATATATATATATATATAAAATAGAATATTATTAATCCTTAAAAAGAAGAAAATCCTCTCATTTGCTATATGGATGGACCTAGAGGACATTATGTTAAGTGAAATAAGCTAGGTACTGAAAGACAAATACCATACGATCTCACTTACAAATGAAATCTAAAATAGTCAAACTAATAGAGAGTAAAATCATGGTTACTACATGTTACCACTTTGGGTACTCAGGAAATGTTGGTCAAAGGACACAAAATTTTAGTTAGGAAGAATAAATTTAAGAGACCTATTGTACATCATGGTGACTATACTTAATAATATATTGTATGCTTGAAAATTGAAAAGAGAATAAATTGTGTGTTCTCATTATGAAAAATTAGTATGTGAGGTAATGCATATCTGAAATAGTTTGATCTTAGCCATTCTACAATTTATACATATATCAAATATCATGCTGTATACCATAAATATATATAATTTCTACTTATCAGAAAAATAAGTAACTAAAACAAGAAAATATCTGATGAATTAATGAATAAATGATAAAATGAATGAGCCAAACAGGAGTCAAGAAATAGGCCAGAAGACTCTTCAATATGAGAATAACCTTTTCCTCTCAACTAAATTAGAGTTCTCCTGATATTCCTTTTTATAACACCTATCTTCCATTCATAGCACCTCTCATGATTTGAATTGCCTACATATGTCTGTTAAGTCAATATCTGTCAGCTTCATTTGATAATCCCCCAATAGCGGGGACCATTTCTCTTTTTATTCCTTGAATACTCAGCACCTAGGACAGAGCATGACATGCAACTGGCACTAAATACATATTTATTAAATAAATGAATACACAGATATTTTAAGTTATTAAAAAACAGAAAATTAATCCCTGATGGAATTTAAAGACAAAGTGTAGCATTTTATTCAATTACTATGTATTAATGTAAGCTGAGACACGTTCTTGGCCCCATCTCATCCATTAGTCTGAGTTAGGGGCATAGTCTGTGTTCTCATTTTCTCTTCCACTCTCTGTCGATGGAAACACTTATCATCTGTGTTGTGTTTGTCCATGTTCTTGTCTTCTGGCCTACTAGGCTATAATCTCCAAAATGGAACCACCTTTCATTCGTATTTATGTCTTAAATGTATGGCCATGGTACTCAAATATGGCAATAGGGCATAATCACAATTCTAAAGTTCTTTTGACATATGATACAGAGGCCCTCTGCTTACTGATGTTTACAATTTTTTTATTATACTTTAAGTTCTAGGGTACATATGCACAACGTGCAGGTTTGTTACATATGTATACGTGTGCCATGTCGGTGTGTTGCACCCATTAACTCGTCATTTATATTAGGTATATCTCCTAATGCTACCACTCCCCCTCCCCCCACCCCACGACAGGCCCCGGTGTTTGATATTCCCCTTCCTGTGTCCAAGTGTTCTCATTGTTCAATTCCCATCTATGAGTGAGAACATGTGGTGGTTGGTTTTTTGTCCTTGTGATAGTTTGCTGAGAATGATGGTTTCCAGCTTCATCCACGTTCCTACAAAGGACATGAACTCATCCTTTTTTATGGCTACATAGTATTCCATGGTGTATATGTGCCACATTTTCTTAATCCAATCTATCACTGATGGACATTTGGGTTGGTTCCAAGTCTTTGCTATTGTAAATAGTGCCGCAGAAAACATACGTGTGCATGTGTCTTTATAGCAGCATGACTTATAATCCTTTGGGTATATACCCAGTAATGGGATGGCTGGGTCAAATGGTATTTCTAGTTCTAGATCCTTGAGGAATCACCACACTGTCTTCCACAATGGTTCAACTAGTTTACTGTCCCACCAACAGTGTAAAAGTGTTCCTATTTCTCCACATCCTCTCCAGCACCTGTTGTTTCCTGACTTTTCAATGATTGCCATTCTAACTGGTGTGAGATGGTATCGCATTGTAGTTTTGATTTGCATTTCTCTGATGGCCAGTGATGATGAGCATTTTTGCATGTGTCTTTTGGCTGCATAAATGTCTTCTTTTGAGAAGTGTCTGTTCACATCCTTTGCCCACTTGCTGATGGGTTGTTTTTTTCTTGTAAATTTGTTTGAGTTCTTTGTAGATTCTGGATATTAGCCCTTTGTCAGATGAGTAGATTGCAAAAATTTTCTCCCATTCTGTAGGTTGCTTGTTCACTCTGATGGTATTTCCTTTTGCTGTGCAGAAGCTCTTTGGTTTAATTAGATCCCATTTGTCAACTTTGGCTTTTGTTGCCACTGTTTTTGGTGTTTTAGATATGAGGTCCTTGCCCATGCCTATGTCCTGAATGGTATTGCCTAGGATTTCTTCTAGGGTTTTTATGGTTTTAGGTCTAATATTTAAGTCTTCAATCCACCTTGAATTAATTTTTGTATAAGGTGTAAGGAAGGGATCCAGTTTCAGCTTTCTACATATGGCTAGCCAGTTTTCCCAGCACCATTTGTTAAATAAGGAATCCTTTCCCCATTTCTTGTTTTTGTCAGGTTTGTCAAAGATCAGATAGTTGTAGATGTGTGGTATTATTTCTGAGGGCTCTGTTCTGTTCCATTGGTCTATATCTCTGTTTTGGTACCAGTACTATGCTGTTTTGGTTACTATAGCCTTGTAGTATAGTTTGAAGTCAGGTAGTGTGATGCCTCCAGCTTTGTTCTTTTTGCTTCAGGTTGTCTTGGCAATTCGGACTCTTTTTTGTTTCCACATGAACTTTAAAGTAGTTTTTCCAATTCTGTGAAGAAAGTCATTGGTAGCTTGCTGGGGATGGCACTGAATCTATAAATTACCTTGGGCAGTATGGCCATTTTGCAATATTGATTCTTCCTATCCATGAGCATGGAATGTTCTTCCATTTGTTTGTGTCCTCTTTTATCTCATTGAGCAGTGGTTTGTAGTTATCCTTGAAGAGTTCCTTCACATCCCTTGTAAGTTGGATTCCTAGGTATTTTATTCTTTTTGAAGCAATTGTGAATGGGAGTTCACTTATGATTTGGCTCTCTGTTTGTCTGTTATTGGTGTATAAGAATGCTTGTGATTTTTGCACATTGATTTTGTATCCTGAGACTTTGCTGAAGTTGCTTATCAGCTTAAGGGGATTTTGGGCTGAGACAATGGGGTTTTCTAAATATACAATCATGTCATCTGCAAACAGGGACAATTTGACTTCCTCTTTTCCTAATTGAATACCCTTTATTTCTTTCTCCTGCCTGATTGCCCTGGCCAGAACTCCCAACGCTATGTTGAATAGGAGTGGTGAGAGAGGGTATCCCTGTCTTGTGCCAGTTTTCAAAGGGAATGCTTCCAGTTTTTGTCTGTTCAGTATGATATTGGCTGTGGGTTTGTCATAAATAGCTCTTATTATTTTCAGAAATGTCCCATCAACACCTAATTTACTGAGATTTTTTAGCATGAAGCGCTGTTGAATTTTGTCAAATGGCTTTTCTGCATCTATTGAGATAATCATGTGATTTTTGTCATTGGTTCTGTTCATATGCTGGATTATGTTTATTGATTTGCATATGTTGAACCAGCCTTGCATCCCAGGGATGAAGCCCACTTGATCATGGTGGATAAGCTTTTTGATGTGCTGCTGGATTCGGTTTGCCAGTATTTTATTGAAGATTTTTGCATCGATGTTCATCAGGGATATTGGTCTAAAATTCTCTTTTTTTGTTGTGTCTCTGCCAGGCTTTGGTATCAGGATGATGCTGGCCTCATAAAATGAGTTAGGGAGGAGTCCCTCTTTTCCTACTGATTGGAATAGTTTCAGAAGGAATGGCACAAGCTCCTCCTTGTACCTCTGGTAGAATTTGGCTGTGAATCCATCTGGTCCTGGAATTTTTTTGGTTGGTAGGCTTTAAATTATTGCCTCAGTTTCAGAGCCTGTTATTGGTCTATTCAGGGATTCAACTTCTTCCTGGTTTAGTCTTGGGAGGGTGGATGTGTCCAGGAATTTATCCATTTTTTCTAGATTTTCTAGCTTATCTGTGTAGAGTTGTCTCTAGTATTCTCTGATGGTAGTTTGTATTTCTGTGGGATAGGTGGTGATATCCCCTTTATCATTTTTTATTGCGTCTATTAGATTCTTCTCTCTTTTCTTCTTTATGAGTCTTGCTAGTGGTCTATCAATTTTGTTGATCTTTTCAAAAAACCAGCTCCTGGATTCATTGATTTTTCGAATGGTTTTTTGTGTCTCTATTTCCTTCAGTTCTGCTCTGATCTTAGTTATTTCTTGCCTTCTGCTAGTTTTTGAATGTGTTTGCTCTTGCTTCTCTAGTTCTTTTAATTATGATGTTAGGGTGTCAATTTTAGATCTTTCCTGCTTTCTCTTGTGGGCATTTAGTGCTATAAATCTCCCTCACACACTGCTTTAAATGTGTCCCAGAGATTCTTGTATGTTATGACTTTGTTCTCTTTGATTTCAAAGAACATCTTTATTTCTGCCTTCATTTCGTTATGTACCCAGTAGTCATTCAGGAACAGGTTGTTCAGTTTCCATGTAGTTGAGTGGTTTTGAGTGAGTTTCTTAATCCTGAGGTCTAGTTTGATTGCACTGTGTTCTGAGAGACAGTTTGTTTTAATTCCTGTTCTTTTACATTTGCTGAGGAGTGCTTTACTTCCAACTATGTGGTCAATTTTGGAATAAGTGCGATGTGGTGCTGAGAAGAATGTATATTCTGTTGACTTGGGGTGGAGAGTTTTGTAGATGTCTATTAGGTCCACTTGGTGCAGAACTGAGTTTAATTCCTAGATACCCTTGTTAACTTTCTGTCTCATTGATCTGTCTAATGTTGACAGTGGGGTGTTAAAGTCTCCCATTTTTATTGTGTGGGAGCCTAAGTCTCTTTGTAGGTCTCTAAGGACTTGCTTTATGAATCTGGGTGCTCCTGTATTGGGTGCATGTATATTTAGGATAGTTAGCTCTTCTTGTTGAATTGGTCCCTTTACCATTATGTAATGGCCTTCTTTGTCTCTTTTGATCTTTATTGGTTTAAAGTCTGTTTTATCAGAGTCTAGGATTGCAACCTCTGCCTTTTTGTATTTTCCTTTTGCTTGGTAGATCTTCCTCCATCCCTTTATTTTGAGCCTATGTGTGTCTCTGCACATGAGATGGATATCCTGAATACAGCACACTGATGGGTCTTGACTCTTTGTCCAATTTGCCAATCTGTGTCTTTTAATTGGAGCATTTAGCCCATTTACATTTAAGGTTAATATTGTTATATGTGAGTTTGATCCTGTCATTATGATGTTAGCTGGTTATTTTGTTTGTTAGTTGATGCAGTTTCCTCCTAGCATCGATGGTCTTTGCAATTTGGCGTGTTTTTGCTGGTACCGGTTGTTCCTTTCCATGTTTAGTTCTTCCTTCAGGAGCTCTTGTAGGGCAGGCCTGGTGGTGACAAAATCCCTTAGCATTTGCTTGTCTATAAAGGATTTTTATCTCTCCTTCATTTATGAAGCTTAGTTTCGCTGGATATGAAATTCTGGGTGGAAAATTCTTTTATTTAAGAATGTTGAATATTAGCCTCCACTCTCTTCGGCTTGTAGAGTTTCTGCTGAGAGATCAGCTGTTAATCTGATGGGCTTCCCTTTGTTGGTAACCCGACCTTTCTCTCTGGCTGCCCTTAACATTTTTTCCTTCATTTCAACTTTGGTGAATCTGATAATTATGTGTCTTGGAGTTGTTCTTCTTGAGGATTATCTTTGTGGCTTTCTCTGTATTTCCTGAATTTGAATGTTGGCCTGCCTTGCTAGGTTGGAGAAGTTCTCCTGGATAACATCCTGCAGAGTGTTTTCCAACTTGGTTCCATTCTCCCCGTCACTTTCAGGTACACCAATCAGATGTAGGTTTGGTCTGTTCACATAGTCCCATATTTCTTGGAGGCTTTGTTTGTTTCTTTTTATTCTCTTTTCTCTAAACTTCTCTTCTTGCTTCATTTCATTCATTTGATCTTCAATCACTGATACCCTTTCTTCCAGCTGATCAAATCGGCTACTGAAGCTTGTGCATTCGTCACGTAGTTATCGTGCCATGGTTTTCAGCTCCATCAGGTCATTTAAGGACTTCTCTGCATTGGTTATTCTAGTTAGCCATTCTTCTAATCTTTTTTCAAGGTTTTTATCTTCTTTGCGATGGGTTCAAACTTCCTCCTTTAGCTCGGAGAAGTTTGGTCTTCTGAAGCCTTCTTCTCTCAACTCCTCAAAGTCTTTCTCCGTCCAGCTTTGTTCTGTTGCTGGTGAGGAGCTGCGTTCCTTTGGAGGTGGAGAGGTGCTCTGATTTTTAGAATTTTCAGCTTTTCTGCTCTGCTTTTTCCCCATCTTTGTGGTTTTATCTACCTTTGGTCTTTGATGATGGTGACGTACAGATGGGGTTTTGGTGTGGATGTCCTTTCTGTTTGTTAGTTTTCCTTCTAACAGTCAGGACCCTCAGCTGCAGGTCTGTTGGAGTTTGCTGGAGGTCCACTCCAGACCCTGTTTGCCTGGGTATCAGCAGCGGAGGCTGCAGAACATCGAATATTGCTGAACAGCAAATGTTGCGGCCTGATCGTTCCTCTGGAATTTTCGTCTCAGAGAGTTACCCAGCTGTGTGAGGTGTCAGTCTGCCCCTACTAGGGGGTGCCTCCCAGTTAGGCTTCTCAGGGGTCAGGGACCCACTTGAGGAGGCAGTCTGTCTGTTCTCAGATCTCAAACTCCATGCTGGGAGAACCACTACTCTCTTCAAAGCTGTCAGACAGGGACATTTAAGTCTACAGAGGTTTCTGCTGCCTTTTATTAGGCTATGCCCTGCCCCCAGAGGTGGAGTCTACAGAGGCAGGCAGGCCTCCTTGAGCTGTGGTGGGCTCCACCCCTTTTGAGCTTCCTGGCCACTTTGTTTACCTACTCAAGCCTCAGCAATGGTGGGCGCCCCTCCCCCAGCCTTGCTGCTGCCTTGCAGTTCGATCTCAGACTGCTGTGCTAGCAATGAGTGAGGCTCCATGGGCATGAGACCCTCCGAGCCACGTGCGGGATATAATCTCCTGGTGTGCCGTTTGCTCAGTTGGAAATGCAGAAATTACCCATCTTCTGTGTCGCTCACACTGGGAGCTGTAGACTGGAGCTGTTCCTATTTGGCCATCTTGGA
The DNA here is from genome assembly GCF_000001405.40 of Homo sapiens. Taxonomy (NCBI): domain Eukaryota; kingdom Metazoa; phylum Chordata; class Mammalia; order Primates; family Hominidae; genus Homo; species Homo sapiens. The sequence goes on from NC_000009.12 coordinate 116,537,279, forward strand.
ACCCAAATTTCTATAATTTTTTTCTTTTACTTGGCCTTGTTGTTCTCCAAAATTTATTCATGTTTACATAATGGTGGTACAAACAGAAATGCAACTTTGGTTTCACAATTTACATTGATAACTTCACATTCATTTGACAGTTTATTTCTGACAATTACAGATTTTACCTCCTTCTTGAACCTATGGACATTATATGAGACACAGTGATATGTGTAATGATGTGTAATGTATACATGTGGTAGGAACCCTGGGAACTGTAAACATACAGTGAAGCCCTGGAAGGTGAATAATTAAAATTTGGTGAAAGCTAACTGCTCTTGAGATTTTAAAGCCAGAAAACCTAAGAGTATCTCTTAGAGAAAATTTTATGTATGATCCAGGATTTGGAAAGACCATTCACTGCAAATTGGTAAAATCAGAGAACTCCACTGACTATCATAGAATCAGAAGAGCTGAGGCAGATGCCCTGTGGGAACAGGATACTAACATAGAATCAAAAAATCAAACCTCTAGAGATAGGTACTAAGAGTAATGGTAGTGATTCAAACCAGAGAGTAAGATCTGAGCCATGAAAGCAGGGATTAGGAGAGTACCATTTGTAAATACAAGGCACTCTAGTGTGTTCTTTTACATAGTTATCACAACAAACCTTCCAGGATACTCCAGTTTTACAGAGAATGGGATGGAGGCTCAGAGAGGCTTAATAATTTGCCTAAGGTCATACTGCTTATCAGTGTCCATATCAAAATTTGAAACAAGATCTGTATGAATCCAAATTAAGTGTTGAACCCACTATACAACAATGCCTCCTAGTTGATGCTTAGGCTGCCTGTAGCTCATCTGATAGGAATGAATAAGAGCTATGGTCCCCATTCCTGGATTAGAAATAAAGGAAAGAAGAAAGGGAGGGAGGAAGGGATGGAGGAAGGGAAAGAGGGAAGAAGGGACTGAGAGGGAGAAAAAGAAAGAATGAAAAAGACAGAAAGAAAGGAAGAAAGGAGCAAACGGAGGAATGAAGGAAGGGAATGAGGAAGAAAGGGAGGGAGGAAGCAAGGAAAGAAGCGAGGAAGAAAGGAAGGAAGGAAACAAGGAAGGAAAAGAAAGAAATTTGGGGTTCTACACTAGCACTACTGAAAATAAATCTTCAGGGATGTGTGGCCCATGACTTTGTATTTTAAAAACTTTCTTCAGGTGATTCTCATACCCAAGGGCAGAGAACCACAGAGCTGAAGGGGACTCTTGCTCTAGTTGTGGTGTTCGACTTGTGAATTCTAAATTCACTCAAGTTTTAAGGTTTTGTGTCCTAAGTCTCTTGCCTGTTGGATCTCAGAGTGAAAATTCTTCATGTTGATCTAAGGAAAAGTACTTAAAATTATATTCCATGCTTTGTTAATTCTAAAATGCACAATTTTTGCCTTTGAATATGTCTGAAATTGAGATGCATCCTACAAGTGATGATGCCATACAGTTTCCATCAACCAGGCAGCAAATATCATCACCTGTGCTTATGTGAATCTGGCTGTCATTCCTGGTGGTCCACCTAGATAAGTACAATCCTTAACATTTCAGGCCAAACTCCTTAAGAATTAATTTTGGAAAGAAAATGGATCCTGACAGTTGTCTAACAAACTTCATTGACAAGAACTAGTAAGATAAAGAAAGCAGCATCATTCATTAAAACTTGAAAGAAAACACCAGAAATAATAATGGAGTCTTCTTTTAAGAAAAACAGCAATAAAAATGAACAACATACTGGTACATGCTACGACATGGACGAACCTTGAGAACTAAGTGAAGAAGCAAGTCACAGAAAAAAGCAGATGTGGCATGATTCCATTTATATGAAATGTTCAGAGTAGGCAAATCAACAAAGACAGAAGGTAGGTTAGTGGTTGCATAGGGTTGAGGAAATAAGGGGAAAGTAAGGAGTGACTGCTAATGGGTATAGGGTTTATTTTGGGGTGTTGAAAATGTCCTAAAATTGACCGTGGTGATAATCGCACAACTCTGTCAATGTGCTATCAAATTGTACACTTTCAATGGGTGAAGTTGTATGGTATGTAAATTATATTGCAATGAAGCTATTAAAAAAATCTATGAGGGAGGGAAAAAAAAAAGAAATGTAACATTACTAACTGTCTGGCTGGCAGAGAGGACAATAGTATATGGAAAAAAAATTTAAAGACTGAGTCAAAAAGTGGTTTAGAAAAGGCAGACACTGAATGCAAAGTTTTATGAACATTTGAACACTTATTTTGTTTATAGCACAAGAACGATGCACAGTAGTCCCCACTTTCCAGGGAGGATATGTTTTAAGACCCCAGTGGACGTCTGAAACCACAGATGGTACCAACCCTATATATACTATGGTTTTCAATCTAATAACCTGGACGGCTACTGAGTGACTAACGGGTGTATACGCTGGACAAAGGAATGCTTCACACCCTGGGTGGGATGGTGCAAGATTTCATCACACTGCTCAGAATGGCGTGGATTTACAACTTATGAATTGTTTACTTCTGGAATTTTCTATTTAATATTTTTGGACTTTAGCTGATTACAGGTGACTGAAACTGGAGAAGACAAAACCATGGATAAGTGGAGACTACTGTATTATAAAAATATAATCAGAATAAATGAGCCCTTTCAATGAGCTCCAAAAATATAATTGATAAGAAACCATTGGGTTATAGTTCAGTTGGCATCATTTTCTTTGCTTTATAAATGGCACATAAAATAAAGTGTCTCTTAAAATGAATCGCATCTTGATGTGATAAAATATAGCATGTGACTCAGCTACATGAGACTGCTTTTCCAGCCAATGGCTAGCTGTAAAATACTGGCTGTATTCTTTACCTTCTCCATTCCTAAGATTTCATGTCTCTATATTGGGTCTATTTCTATGGATCCTCTTGGCTCTGAGATATTCTAGTTCTAATTCAAATTTTTATTCATGTCTGGTGGGAAATTTATCATTTATTATTAGATCCTGCATCAGATCACAGGCTTAAAACATAAGGAAAAGAGAAAAAAAATCATACCCATCTAAATTTATCTTTTACTGAAAGAAACATGCAAGAAGAAAGAGGTAAAATGATTTCTTGCAGTTTTCCCTCTAATTATATGTAGAGTTTCACTTCTTAATCCTCTCTGAATCTCAGATCCCCAGAGACGTGAAGATGCATGGAATAACACGTGAAGAGAGGAAACTTCGGGCCTGTGGTCAAAATGTGTTCACCACGGCAGACAACTGCTTGGGTGACAGCTTTGGCCTCTGGATGAATTCTCCTTGGCGAGCAATCGTCCCACCTGTAGGTGCCTTCATGATCGTCTGTGTGCAGGGCACCAAGCAGGCCATCTAAAGCCACTAATCTCAAAGAGAGCTTACCCAGGGACAGGACTTTCCAAAAGGAAAGGAGCACAATAGAAGAGAATGGCTGCTGCTAAGTTCCATCCAACAGGTGAATTTAGTGGATTTTAAAATTCCTTTTTAGTTGCTGGTCTTCATAAGAGATTATTTTTGTCTAAAATGCAAGCACCCATTTTTATCTTGCAGTCTCCAAAATAATTGAGAAATTGGAAATGCCTAAATGTCCAGCACTAAATAAATGATTAATAATATTTGAGATACCCATATTATGAAACAGTATATGAACATGAAAATTTTTACAAAAGTTTTTCCCCTAGTTTTGAAACTAGGGGAAAAAGTTTGAATGCCACATCTAATGAAAAAAAAAAGCAGAAAAAAATATACATGACATTCTCCACTATATAAGGAATGGACATTGAGGAAAGAAATATGCCAAAATTATGATATTATTAGGCTGGTATAGTTGTAACTTACTCATGTTTCTGCATTCCCATTCTATAATAAATGTGTCATACTCTTTTCTATCATAAAATTAATTTTACACAATTTTAAACATTTTTCTTATAACAGAAAATAAAATGTGATCATAGTAGGAAATTTAGGCGGGAAAGAGAAAATATAAATCTGCCAGATCTAACACAAAGAAAATAACTGATAATATAACATTTTGGTATATACTCTTATAGTCATTTTTTCTTGAACAGATGGACAATACAGAGAGTGAGAAAGGGTCTATAATCTTATGAGCCACTGCAAGTTCTACCCAACCTATAATGAGAGCAGGCCCCAACACATGGAACACTGGGCCCTTGTTGCCATGGTTTTCCTAGTTAACTCTATTGCTTTAATCATAGTTAATTGGACTGAGAGTAAAAACTTAACCCAAGGTGATCCACTCACATTTATTGCCCAGGAATTACAGCTGATAGTACTAAGGTACCAGGAAGATAGGCAGTGGATGAAACACTGCACCAGATTGGGGAAGTGACTCTAACCATGGGCAGATGGAAGCAGAGACAGAACAAGGCAAGAGCTGATGGGCCCTCCAAAGACTGAGAGAATAGCACATGTGGTGTCTAATAACTTCTCAGATTCTGTGTCTTCTTGATTTATAAGATTTCCCCTTCAGCTCTCAATAAAGACATCCACATCCCTAAAACCAGAAGTGCTTTAATTATATACCATTTTAAATTAAATTTTTAAATTTTAAGATAATTGTAGATTCATATGCAGTTATAAGAAATAATAGAGAGAGACCTTGTGTACTCTTTACCCAGTTTTCTCCTGTGGTAACATCTTGCAAACCTATAATTCAATATCACAGCCAGGATACTGGTATCGACACAGTCAAGAAACAGAACATTTTCATTACCACAATTATTTCTCATGATTTTTTTTATAGTCACACTACTTTCCTCTTGCTCCTGCTCCACATACTATTTTGTAAAATGTTTTCTGCAATAGTAATATTTAAATGACTGTCTTTTATTTCCTTTTTATTAAACATTATTTAACTGAACCCTAATAAACACCCTTACATGTAAATCTTTTATAAATAACTTTTCTTAGAATAAGCAAATTCTCTTGATACATATTGCTAATTTGCCTTCAAGAAAGTTTGACAAATTTACATTAGCACCAACAAAATATTTTTAATGAAATAAAAAGGTAACATAAACTTTTAGTGGTTTATAAGATCTTCTGAGATCCATCATTTACAAGGGTGCCTAATAAATTCTGCCACTTCAATTGAGCAAGTTGTTTTAAAATCAGATCAGTTCAAGTTAATATGTTTATTACTTTTGGTCAAAGATCATTGCAAGGGTATTAGAAAAAAATATAAATTCAATGTTAACTTTAAAAACAACTTAGAAAAACCTGAACAAAGCCAAGTTATATATATTCTGGGAAAAAAATAGATTACATTTTGGAGTTACAAAAGAGAATCATCAGTCCCATCCATCAAAATGTTGTTTTAAGACTATTATTTTTGGCTGGGTGTGGTGGCTCATACCTGTAATCCCAGCACTTCTGGAGGCTGAAGTGGGCTGATCACCTGAGCTCAGGAGTTCAAGACCAGCCTGGGCAACATGGAGAAGCCCTTCCAAAAATACAAAAAGTAGCTGGGCATGGTGGCAGGTGCCTGTAATCCTCCCAGCTACTTGAGGGGCTGAGGCAGGAGGATTGCTTCAGCCTGGGAGGCAGAGATTGCAGTGAGCTGAGATTGTGCCACTGCACTACAGCCTGGGTGACAGAGCAAAACTCTATCTCAAAAAAACAAAACAAAACAAAAGACTATTATTTTTGGTATAAGCTTGATGTTCACCTTTGGAATCATCCAGCTGAAAAAAAAATCATATAGTATCTTGTTGGACAGAAATATTTTTGGAACTCTCTTTTAAATTGATTATAACCTCTACTAGATAAGCACCCTAAAGACCATCCGGCACATTTTTTGGTTGGTTGGTTGTTTTTGCATGCATAGAAAAAATTGAAAGAAAATGAAGAGAGTTCTTCATAATCACAGGTATAGAGATTATAGCATAAGGGCAGTCTGATTGCTTGAGCTCAGGAGTTTGAGACCAGCCTGGGCAACATAACAAAACCCTATCTGTATGAAAACTACAAAAAAAAAAAAATTAGCTGGGCATGGTGGCGTGTGACTGCCGTCCCAGCTATTCTGAAGGCTGAGGTGGGAGGATCACCCAAGCCTAGGGAGGCTGAGGCTGCAATGATCCATCATTTTACCACTGCACTCTAGCCTGGGCAACAGAGTGACACCCTGTCTCAAAAAAAAAAAAAAAATTGTCAGTCTAATACACACTGTTGTTGATCATGGTGTACAGTAGTTTTGCAACAGATTGCCATAAAAAAAGTTTAACATTCATTAAAAAACAGGAGTTCCACAAGGTAAAATAACTCACTGCTGTGCCATATCCTGTGTTGTTCAGTTGAACCAGTGATCCCTTTCAAATTATAATCCCTTAAGATAATAGTCTTTATTTTCCTTGTCCCTCTCTCCAGTGGCCTCTTTTGAAAAGTCGTCCTCATCCACAGATGGTCAACATTATGATGGAATTTTGTTTTCCTCTCATGTGAATTTGGAGCTGATAGATGCTTCTCAGCTCCTTGCTGGGACCTCACTGACAAACCCGCTGGCCCCAGAACTACTTGTGACATCAGGATGACGCTTGTGAGGTTCCTGTTGGTATCTTCTGCTGAGCTACAGGGCCCAGTGGACAAACACTGATGAGAACGTGAAGTTCAGAATTCGTTACTGCCCCTCACAAAGCCTATGTGACCGGGAGTAGATGACTAAACCCTTCACTGTCTTTTCTCCTATTAGAACATAACATTGTCTAGTTCTAACACAGAGAACAGAAAATGAGTTAGCAATGTCCAAATTCCCTGCAGAAACACTTGGGAATCGACTGCCAAAACGACCTTCTCTGCAAATTCAGGGGTTACACTCAAAACTCTCCAAGGGCACTTAGTGGCTGACATACTAGTATTCTATGATGAATCAGCCCTGAAATTTGCACTGAGACAGTCATACTAAGGAATATGCAGTGTCTGGGGAGAAATGAGGTATTTGGATGAAAAATGGAGTGTCCCCAGATATTTGGGGGAGGAGATAGGAGCAACCCAGAAACCCTCCATGTCTAATCAAGTGACTCATCTTGTGACAGCAGTCCCCATCCTCCATTCCACCTCACCAAAAAAAGATGTTTTGCATCGAAAATCACCATTCACAAAGAACACAAGGTGTCTTAGACATGATAGTAGTAGGTCTTTCCCTGAAATGCTCCACCTTTGCTCCTTTAAAATTTTTAGCAGTTATTTGCTATGTTTCCCCATGCCAGAAAAAGAGGAAAGGATGATTTGGGTTCTTCTATTTATGTAGATGTCACGTGCTTTTGACAGTTCCATCACATTTCTGACAGTTACATATTTTTATTCATGAGTTATTTGATGGATTGGTTCTTTGGGGGCATCAGAAGTTTACACTGGAACAAAGTTAAGGACATACAGACCTCATACTTTTGACACCAAAGGTCACACTTTGGATTAGGCGCTAGGGGCCAGGCCTCTAGACCACAGGAGCAAACACAACAGCAGTTTTTCAGAAGCCAAATCGGTGGGAAACAAGGCAAAGATGAAGCTGAGAGAGATTTTTGTGGCTGTTTTAAGGACATAAAAAGTCATGAAGCATAAAAAGGCCTCATAGGGATTCCCCCTTATTCCCAGCTGCAGAAACATTCTGCCTAGCTCATTTTGGAATCTGAGCCAGAAGACCCTTGGTGAGAGTGCCAATGGCCTGCTCCTGGCCCAGCTACCTGCTCCCCTGTATGCCTTAGAAAACATGGACAGGCCCGGCTCCTCCTCAGCCTTGGGACAGTTCCTTCCAGCTTCCCAGCCAGCTTCCCAGAGATGTTCTTGGACTGCACCAGCAACTGCTGGCCTAGAGTCAGTCCAAGTGCCCAGATGTGCCAATGCAGAGCCAGGGATGCCAGACTTGGCATGGGGGTCCGCCTGCCTGGGGCCATTGGCTTGCCTCAAGAAAATAGAGTTTGAGAGGGCCTGGAGTTTCAGCCCCTAGATGGGGCTGGGTGCCAGTGGTTTTCTGTAATTACACATGGTCCTAAAATGTGTTGTTCTCAAAATTGGAAAATGAACTGTGGATTGGAGTCTCCACATGTACCCACCATTCTATACAAAATGCTTCATTTGGGAATATTCAATTCTTTTTCATTTCCTTAAAGCAGTCATTTTTCAAACATTTTCAAAGCAGTAGAATCCACCTTTCCAAGAAACCTTACACATATATCCCACAGGGAAACCGACGAGATTGGGGCTTACACACCCTACTCCATTAAGCAATTTCATTGTATAGCTTGTCATCCCCTGAGGTCTAACCACAGTTTCCTTAAGCTTGCAGAAAAACTTATTTGAAAGCAATAGTTTAAGAAGTTTTAGAAACAAATCCATTCTTTCTTAAAATCCAATGTTTTCATGACCAATTTTTAGCAGAAAAAAAATAAGAAAATTCATATTTTTTTCAGTGTCAAAATTCATTCAACAAACATTTTCTGAATATAGGGTACAAGCCAGGCACTGAGCTGGGCATTGAGGATGAAGAGATGAAACACAATTCTAGCATCTAAATAGACCTTGGTTGGTGAGTGGCCTTGGGAAAGTCATTTGCATCTCTCTGAGTCCCTGTGAAATCATGAAGGAAAAAAGTGCTAACAATGTGAGAACTGATGATTATTGTCATATGGACTCTTCATTTTACACTAAAGGAAGTTGAGTTCCAGAGTGGGATATCAGACTCAAGGCCCAGACTTCACTTCTGGTCTCCTGACTTCCAAGTGAACAGTGTTGCAGCTTCCCTGACTGCAGTTATAGGAGAAGACAGGGAGGAGATAAAGATGAGAGTGCCTCGGGAAGAGCAGGGATGGAGGAGACAACCTGAGTCTTCTGATCCAAAGGTAAAAACTGAAGATACTGAGTATTAGATGATGGGGCAAAAGGACTGCAGAAGTTGGGTATTCAGAGCCTCATAGAAATGACGTGAAAATCCAATATACCAGTTTGGTATACAATGAGTTCCCATTACAGATGACATTCCTTATGGTTTTCACAGCATTTACACTGCCAGTATCATATTTAACCCTCCCAGCAAGCATCTAGATAGGGTAGGAGGGACATTGTCCCCATTTCAGAAATGGAGAAACTGAGTCTCAGAGATGTAAGCTGACTTGCCCAATGTTGAACAACTGATAAGTAGCAGAGCCTGGATACCTTAGTGAGTCAGGGGCTATGAGTTCTACCCTTTCTGTTCCAGTTGAGTAATGTATTGAGTTAAGAGATAGGCATGGGTCTGAATTCTGTCCTAGGAGTGTGAAGATGGAGTGACATTGAGAGAACTGCAGAAGAAAGGGACTTGGCATTTATGGAGCATACACCTGTACCATCATATCAAAATGCAACACAGCTATTGCCTCTTGGAACATTATAATAGAATGGGGAAATCAAGTATATAAAGAGGTAAATAGCATCTAGGGTCATGAGTCCTATACCAGAGATATGCACAGGAGCTTGTTTAATGATTATAGCAACCAGGTAACAGACTTTTTACTAAATTTCCAACTCTCTGATGAGAAAACTGCGACTCTGAGAGTCCAAGTAACCAGCTCCCAGGTCATGCAATCAATACATTGAGGGAGCAGGCGTTGAACTCTTGTCACTGACTCCAAAGCCCTCTTTGTACTTTACCCAGCTGCCCGCAGCTTCTATGAGAGTGTCTGCAGGCACGCCGGCTGGAGGGGGTAGGAATAATATTATTTCATTTATGTTTTATTTATGTGGTGGTGTGATATTTATCTAGCAGCTTTCATCTGGGAAATGTGAAGTGTTTTATAAACAGGTTCTTATTTTTTTCTCCCTCCCCTTCCACTCCTCCACCTGAGTACTTAAGAACCAAAGAGGTTTCCAGAGAAGACCAAGGTCACAAGGGTGGACAGATGTATATGGGATGGTGGTTCCCCATGTGTGGATGCAGCTGTGTTTGGTGATAACAGCAATAATCTCTTAGATTTGTATATCCCTCTGTTGTTTACTAACCTGTTTCGTGTCCAACTTTTATTTGATACCCACACCAGTCATGTGAAATTGGCAAGACAAGCATCAATTTACAGAGGAGGAAACTGAGGTCCAGAGAGATCAATTAAACTGTCTAAAGTCACATGGCCTGACATAAAAGTAGTGGAGAGTCAAACTCAGGTCTGCTGATTCATACAAAAACAGTGTTGTGTAATGGCTAAGAGGCTGAACTTTGGAATCAGGCTGAATTGAGTTTGATTCTGATCTCCTCTGTGCCTTCAGGGCTATGTACCTGCGGTGGTGGACTTCATCTTTCCAATCCTACTTCCTTATCTGTGAAGTGGGCAAACCAATCATTTTTACCCCAGAGAGCTGTGAAGAACCTGTATCAGTTATACAGAAAGTTAAAGAACTTATCGCAGTGCCTGGTAGGTGGAGATCTCTCAATAAACAGCAGCTATAACTAAGATCCCAACCAAGGTCTCTTTCCACTATAACCAGTGTCTGAGAGGAGGGCTTGGAGCTCACATACACCTGAGAGGGTCTATTTGCAGGCAGGTCAAGGCGCCCGGTTTACCTGAGCTGCCCCCCAAGCTGAGGTTCTGTGTCCCATTCCCTCCCCTCCAGGCATCAGCCTCTGCGTGGGGTGCATTCTCAGGCAGGCTGTCTGAGGCAGCAGCTGCGGGAGGCATACACTCCCAACTCACCCCCACACACCCTGCCCACCTGTCTCCACTCCTTGCCTCTGGCAGCCCCACTTTGCCTAGGAGAAAAGCAGCAAACCTGCGTCCTCAGGTGCTCTCCTCTTAGCTCCCCCACCCCAGGATGCAGCCAAAGAAAACCAAAGCACTCTGTTTTCTAAGCCGGAGCCAGGAGCGATTCCCGTAAGGCACTGCCTGGCTTAATGGGGCTGTGTCTGGGCCTTGCCTCTAAGCCAGGCTCTGGCAGTCAGGAGGCTGCCCTCCTGCCTGGCTCCATCAGAGGCCGTGGCATTTGCTTAAGGTGATTCAAAGTCGAGGCCAAGGGGACAGAGATGGCAGGAGGCTTGGTTCTGGTTCTGTCTGTACTGACTCACAGCATGACTCTGGACATGACCCTGACCAGCTCCAGGCCTCAGTGCCTCTGTCTCTCTACCTTTACTAAACGGCAGCTGCTTCTATGTCAGTAATTCTTTACCCTGGCTGCATATGAGAATGACCTGGGGGAGGGTTTTGTTGTTGTTGTTTTGATTTTTTGAGACTGAGTTTCACTCTTGTTGCCCAGGCTGGAGTGCCATGGCGTGATCTCAGCTCATTGCAACCTCTGCCTCCTGGGTTCAAGTGATTCTCCTGTCTCAGCCTCCTGAGTATCTGGGATTACAGGTGCCCCCCACTATGCTCGGCTAATTTTTGGTACTTTTAGTAGATATGGGGTTTCACCATGTTGGCCAGGTTGGTCTCGAACTCCTGACCTCAGGTGATCCACCGGCCTCAGCCTCCCAAAGTGCTGGGATTATAGGTGTTAGCCACTGTGCCCGGCCTGGGGAAGGTTTTAAAAATGAACACCTGTGCCCCATCCCCATAAATTACCATTGAACTGGCTTGGTATAGGGGTCTGGGCAGCAGTACTTTTCAGAAGCTCAATAGGTGATTCCTGTAGGCAACCAGGGTCTAGATCCATGACCCTAAATAAATGCTGAGATCCCTGTAAGCTTTTGCATTTAAGGATTCTATCAAAGAGATAAAGGAGTAAGAAACAGAGACTTCTAGAAGGAGAAATTCTGATGGGTTTTGGTCTTTAAAGTATCATCAAATTAAGTTGTCTCATTGGACAGATGGGAAAATTGGGGCCCCAAACTAAGGGATGAGTTTAAAACCACATAATGAGCGGCTGGTGGCCTGGTCTAGAACCTGTGTCATCTGAAGCAAACCACAAAAATGTCAGTAATAAAAAGATCAGAGGAGGAGGAGGAGGAAGCTGAAAATAAAGAAAGAAGGAAATGCAAAAAAGGGCAAATAAAAAATGAAAAAAAAAAAACAGAAGGAAGTAAAAGAAAGGAATGGGAGGTCAGGGAAGAGAAAGGGGTAAAACGTAGAGGGACAAAAAGAAATAAAAGCCACAACTGAGGCACGAGCAACTCGGATAGTACCCTGTGAGTCAGGGCAGCTCTGAGCCACACTTGGCTGTACAGTTCGTATTTGGCAATTGCAACCCGGGCAAGAGCTCTGATCCCAGCTGGGGCCCCAGGCCCAGGGCTGGAGCCTGCGTGGGGACGGTCTGACTCACAGCTGCTACTTCCTCACCCTGTTTCCAGCCTCTTGCTCAATCCAGGCAGGAGGCAGGATAGATGCTCTTTTGCAAGGTGATCCCAGCCCAGAGGGCCCTGCAACCTTTATGAAACGATTCTGGTTAGGTGTAGGAAACAAATGGGGCAGCAGACCCTGTACTCCCAACATGCTGAACAGCAAGATGACTCCCAAAGCGGCCAGCCCTTTCCTGCCTCCAGGCCTTTGTTTGATGCCCATTTCCACTGGAGTGCCCTTCCCCACAGATACCCTGCCTCACATGGCATCTGAGGCCTCCCAAGTCTGGCCCTGTAATATCTCTCTACTCATGGTTCCCCTCCATGCTTTCTACACTACCCATAAAGCCATTTATTAAAAGTAATGGCAAAAACCACAATTACCAACCTTAAGACATTTACTACTCCTCACCTTTGCTTATGATGTGCTCACTCTCCTACGCAATGGAACCCACAGGCATCTTTCAAATCCCACAAACACACAAAAATCCCACATGAAATGTCCCTGCTTTAATTCCATCTTTCCAAATGGCTTTCTCTTATCACTACAGTCAAAATCATTCTCTCTCTTCTACAACTCCACATCAAGTGTTCAGTCTGTCCCCTGTAATACTTAGCACTCTGACTCTTTTATCTCAGACCACAAAATTGGAAGTTCTACGTGACCAGATTTACATCCATATAACGTCTCTGGGCATAAACTGTGAACTGTGACAGATCTGGGTTTCAATCTAGCTTCCACCACCTGCTATCTGTCTGCTTCAAAGCACAGTATCTTCATCTGCAATATAAACCTGTCAATTTTACCCTGTATTATAGTTTTAAGTATTACTAGCAATAATACAGGAGGAGTATCTGGAACATAGTGCCAGCTTTAAAAAACAGTTACTTTGCTGTTGTCATGAGTCACCTATGGGATTCCCTATGGGATCCTGTGCTGGGTCTGGCCTGGAGTGGTCTTCAGAAAATGTAGCTTACATTACTCAACTGAAGCTCAGTTGCTCTCTGAAAACAGTGTGGGCAAGGTGGGGATTGGGAGAGGAAAAGGGAGAGAAAATAAGAATGCGTCCAACAGTGCTGCAATATAAGGATGTTGTTCTGCTCTTTTACTCGTGAAAGAAATGAAGGCTGGCAGATCTACAGCAACTTTAACACTCAAAAACTCATTCCCTCCTCCTAATATCCCTGAGAGATAGGCAGGAATTCCTGTCCCTGACAAATGCAGAAAGATCCAACCTGATGCAGGTGGGTTGGGACAAGGTAAAGTTAGGGCTTAAACTCTCCTGCCCTTTAGAGGCCTTGCTGTAAGACTCTGCTGCCTGCTAGGAGAGGAAGCAGTCTTGGCTCCCGTTATGAATAGATGTCAGCCTTTTGGCACAATGCAACCCAACTGTCAGCCTAAAGGAAGCCGCATGTACTCAGGGAAACCCTGTCTGCTCTGCCTTTCACAGGAAGCCAGGATGTGGAGCCAGGAGAGAAGGGGCATTCAAAGGGCCTGGGAGACCCTTGGTGAAAACAATCAGTTGGTTTCAACATCCCAGAGAGATTCTCAATCAGGGTGAGTCTCAAATATTAGTAGACATAAAAATCACCTGGGGAGAGTGTAAAAAAATAAAAATTCCCAGAAATTCTGGTTCAGTCATTTTGGGGCCAACCTAGTCATTTGCATTAATCAGCATGCACTCCCTGATGATTCTGATATAAATGAATCACATGTTGCAAAATGCTTTAGCCTGTTCCCTAATCTAAATCTTATCTCTCTCCTCTCAGCCTGGTCTACCCCTCCTTCAGAATTACCTTTTACTGAGAACACTGAGAAAATCAATGTGCATATCCCATTCCCTTTATTCTGCCATCACCCATAATTTCTTCCTGTCCTGTTTCATCTGGGCCGTATAGACTAGGAGAGGGATGTTTGAGAGAGTAACAGCAACCTTCAACCTCTATAAAACCAGCTCCTGCCCTTCCTGACTCCTTGGGACTCAGTTCTATCAGTTACTGTATTTCCTTTCCTCTGGAATTGCTTCTCCTCCAATCTTTCCCATTTGGGGGACTGGCCCCAACATTCAGAGTCAGTGGTCTTGGTTAAACCCTCTGTGCCTATATCCGCTCTGCCCACTGTCTTTTCCTCCAGCACCCCCTACAACACAAACACACATCACTCATAACCCATGGATCCCACCTCTCAGTACCTCCATCCTCACTGCCATCATTCTAGTTTAGTCTTCATTTCTCCCAAAAACACTGTAGTTCAATAAGGCTAGAAAAGACAGTATGAGAGGGTAAGAAATCAAGCTGGAGAGTGCGGGAGCAGGAACTTTTAGTCTCAGATTCTCAGGAAATAGGAAGAACTGTGAAGAATTGTAGGGGAGGTAGAGAAAAGGAAAATGCTATCTAGCCAAATTTGTAGCTCTATCCATAATGATATGTCCAAAAGATTCTGAAGTAGCCTGCCACATATACATATACATATACATACACATATACATATACATACACATATACATATACTTAATTGCAATAATTTTCAGATAAAGCAAAGGCATCCATGAAGACTTTGCTTCCTTCTTCTAGTAGCTCACAGAGACCAAAGTTGGCACACAGCACTCTCCTAACACTAAAGACTCTACAACTCCTTCTTCATGGGATGTGTGAAAGCACAGAGAGGTGAGTAAGGTGTTTTTTTAGTTAACTTCCTTCCCATGCCTCATATCTGTTACATAGAAAGGGCATATCACTGGGAAAATAATGTGTTTTGCTCATTTTATTTATTTTCTTTGAGAAAATTGGTGTCAGAGTTAAGGGGGATAAGTGTTTTTCATACTCTTTTATTTAAACATAGAACTATTTATTCCTAATAAAATCTCATGGGAAAACTCAACAGGTAAAGGTAAAACATTCTGCTAGTAGCAGGAACTTAGTAGGCTCAAGCTCTCATCCACTAGAATTTGCCTCTCTCAGTGATTCCTGGGGTGCCTCAAAGTATGCCTACAGTCTAATAACATCATTTTGAAAACTGCTGAGCTAGTCCACACACATTATTTTGAAAGGAGAGAAGGAGAGACTTATCAGAGCTCATATATCAAGTCACAGTGGAACTGGGATTTGAACCCTTGATTCCTGACTCTCCTCCCAGTACTCCACCAGCTAGATGACTCTGCTATGTGTTCTGGGGTAAAAAGCCCAACTCAGGAGTCAAAGCAAAAATAAAGATCCCAAGGCCTGGTGCCCTAAAACTTGGCATCACCAGGGATGAGGTTTGGGGCCAGACACTCTGATCTAAGCTGCATGGGCACAGTCAGTGGACGTGCACAACCTCTGCAGGGCAGTCAAGGGCTTTTCTTGGGATTTTATGGCTTACAGTGGAAATCCATTAAATTATTAGTGTGATGAAGAGAATGGGAAAGGTTGCAGCAAGGTTGGCTAGCAGGACTGAAGGTGAAAAGACTCACTACAGAGAAAGTTCAGGCAGCATCAGAGGATGAGGCCAGGTAAGACAGAGAATTGAAGGCTTCCCCTGGCTGCATATCTTAAAAGATGTCTGAGTTAGGCTTAGGCAAAATCTCCTCCTTAAGAGCAAGTTCCCCCTTCCTCCTCTTTCTTCTTCTTTTTTTAATGGTTTGCTGGTTTGAGGAAGATTCTGTGGACCTGCAGACGTGCCAGGGAAGAAGCCAGAAAGTCTACCTTTGACTCTAAAACAAGAATGGTCGATAATCACTCGGACCTCACTTCATTTTAGTTTCCAAATTAAAAATAATAAAAAGGTGCAACTTTAGATGTTTATGGCATTCACCTCTAAAGAGCCCTAGCGGAGGGAGGGAAGTCCAGAGAGTACTGGCCCAGTGGTCACTGCTTGTTTTCCTTAACTTTTCTCTTCTGAACTTCAATTTCCCTTCCTCTGTTATGTCACTGTTATCCTCGGCAGATATTTTCTGCACAGAAACGATGTGTCCAGGACAGTGTTAGGCTTTGCAATGGAACAGAAAACAAATGTGAGAAAAATATTCCACTCTCAAAATGTTTATAAGCATGTAGCTCTGAGATGTAGCAGAAAGTGCATTGGCTTGGGGATCAGGAAGACTTGAGCCCAAGTCGAACTTTTACCTTCCTAGGCTGGTGTGATGGATAAATCACTTCAGCTGGGCCTCCACTTTTCCATGCATGAGGTAGGGACCACAGCACTTACCTAGCACACCTAGCCACATTGCCAGTACTCAACAAAGGTTATAGCCTCTTTTCCCTCTCTTAGACAGTCTGGGAAAGTCAAATTTGGGGTGAACCTGTCTTTTGACTTTCTGACCTTAGGCAAAAATTGAAGTTTTAGAAAACTGCTATGGAAGGACAAGATATCAGCCTCCAAAGGGTCTTCTATTAGCTATGGGTGGATGCATCTAAAGGTGTAAGTTGTTCAGTGAGCATTGAACGAATGAACGAATGAATGAATGTATGAATAAATGAATAAATGAACAAGCTACCCACAGTCAAAGTTCAACATGCCTGTGACTTATTTACTTTTTAGTTTTTATAATTTAGCACAGATTACCTAATCACTTTATCACTATAGTAGTTACATTAGTTCACTTAACTCTCATGTCCTTCTTATGTATGATGGAAAAATATGCAGTGGTAGATAGAATGCTGAATATGTATTATCTCTCGTAATGATACCACAGAGACACAGTGTTGCTGTGAAAAATATGTATAATATTTTTCTCAAGAAAATCCTTACCTATGAGACCCTATACGTGGAAGGTGAATTGTTTCCTTCAAAGAGGCAACTTGGTGGATGTTAAGAAGACAGGGAGGACCCACTTTGGGATCTGGTGTCAAGAGTCTAGTCCTATCATTGTCACAGGTTTGCTGTGATCAGAAGCCGGTCCTTTCCATAGTAAAAATCATTCTATTGTGTTACATGGTATTTACGAAAGTGTGGAACACATCAGAATCAAATCATTTAATGCAAAGGAAGCCTCCCACACTTTCTAATTTTCTTATAGTGCTTCAAATTAAGTCATGAAGGATGGCTTGTTTTAGTGCTAATATGTCCTTGACACCTCTGTAACATTCGCCAGCCTCCCTTTTTTAGAAGAGAGAGACCAAGGCTCTGGCTCAGAACATTCCAGAGGCAACAGTATCTGTCTAGAATTTTATAAAATTCTTTTGTTTTCACTGTATTGATTTTTAGAGTTATCTTCTATTTATGGCATGTAATCCTGGTTTTCCATTTACCAGTAGTGTTACATATTTCCATTTTGAAATCATTGATTTTAACCAAAAATAAAAAAAGAAAGAAGAAAAGAAAGAAATGAGTCAATTTCAAGAAAAACACATTAAGTTAATAATATCCCAGGTATGGCAAAATTGTGAAGGTGATGCTCAGATGAGATGCAGGAGACACTGTGCTTGTTGATTTTCCAGGGTCTTTCGAGGAGGGAAACTGTGAGATTATCTGTGCACTGCAAACCCTGAAACTGCCAGCCAGAACATTCTAATGGAGATTAAATGAACTTCAGTTTTCATGACAGCTTCTGGGAAAATTAGTTTGTATAAAGTGATACCCAGATATTCATGAGCAACTATTATCTTTAATTGGTGCTTGTAAGAGAGAAAAACGGGTCTATAGAGACTGAAAAGGCTAAAGTGCCCTTTAACTTTAGAGGCCACAGAAAACAGCCCACACTGCCCAGAGGCCACCCCAGCAAGAGGCTGAGGGCCTATGTGTTCTTCGAGCTCCCCCAGTCTGCGCCTCTCTGCTCCCTGGCCAAGAAGAGAGACAAGGCCAGCTGCACAGGCTGGCCCACTTTCGCGCTGCTGAGATCTCTGAGCCAAAGTGAGCTAGGGGCCCGGATTCAGGCCTCTTCCCCTGCTCTGTCCCCACTCTCAGTTTGAAATATAGCAGAGCAGGAAGGTGAAACCAGGACAACCCTAAACTGTAGAGAATGGGTTTAAGTGAATGGGAATGGGCTTTCCTCTCCCGACTCTGTGCGGTCCACCTCCCCACCCCGTCCCCACCCCAGGCCATCAGAGCTCACAGAAGACCTCTGGCTGAAGCTGACCTCTGGGAAAGCTATTGGATAGTGCTCTGAAGTCACTGACAGAAAGGAGGATATCCCAGCTCTGGAGAAGGAAGGAAAGGATGATGGATTTTTCCATGGATTTAACATTCACTGAACAATAAATGGGGTCAGCTGAACTAAACAAACAAACAAAAAAAACCACACACACACACAACCCTGCATCTGACAGCTGAGTGACAAGAGCTGCTGGCTGTGGACTGAGGATAGGCCTCGGGGTGCAGAGGTGCAGAGAGGGAGAGATAATTATTCAGGATAATTAGCGTCTTGGGTTAGAGGCTGCTAGTTCTGGGATGCACATGTGTGAGTATACTGACCCATCATTTGCATGCATCATCAACTCACAGCATGGCAGCACCAGACTGGGCAAAAATAATTGGCATTCATCCATCCAATCCTCTCTTCAACAGCACTGCATTCAACACTTACCATGTACATGGCTCTGTGCTATGTACTGAGGATACAGTGGAGAACAGTTCAGACACTGTCCCTGCCCTCCACGTACTTCATCTTCCAGCAGGAAAGATAAAAATATGAATAAATAATTGGAATGAAGCACGAGGAGTGCTCTGAGTTGAGTGCTCAAGTCCTACCTCACCTTTGGTAAAAAGCTTCCAAGAGACTGGGAAAATTTTATTTATACTTCTTTGTCTTGAGTTTCCTCACTGGTGACAAAAGTTGGGGTGGAGGAGAGGTCCTACATCCATGGTTTTTAAGCTGTAGGGCTCTTTAAAAGTGCCCAGAGGGCTGGACATGGTAGCTCATCCCAGCCCTTTGGGAGGCTGAGGTGAGAGGATTGCTTGAGACCAGGAGTTTGAGCAGCCTGGGCAACACAGCCAGACTCCACTTAATTTTTCGTAAATAATTAAATAAAATAAAAGTCCCCAGAGGCTGTTGAGAAGGAGGCTTCAACCAGATCTCTAAGCCACCTGTTTTTATTTTGTTTCATACATCGGAATTTTCTAAAATTGTGTTGGAACAAACAGTTCTGCTGAAATAGAGAGAGAGAAAGTGAAAAGAGGTTGACAATGACTCAATTTGACGATGACCAATATTCCTTCTAGCTCTAGCTTTCTAAGACTTTAGTGACCCTAATGTCCCTAAGTTTAACCCCATAACTCTTTTATAAGCAAATATAAATCTATGACCAGACCCACATATTGAAGTAATTTTCTACCCACTTTATCCACTTGTTTTTCTGTAAACACCTAGAAAGCTGAAGTCATTAGTATATATGTACGCACACACATATATGTGTACATTATATTATTTATGTAGAATACATAGATACAGAAAAAATGTAGATGGAGAGGTATGTTAATATGTTTACTACTGGGTTTAACTAAGTGTTGTTAAACTCCATGATATATTGGGAGGCCGAGGCAGGTGGACCACGAGGTTAGGAGATCGAGACCATCTGGCTAACATGGTGAAACCCCGCCTCTACTAAAAAAATACAAAAATATTAGCCGGGCGTGGTGGCGGGTGCCTGTAGTCCCAGCTACTCGGGAGGCTGAGGCAGGAGAATGGCGTGAACCTGGGAGGTGGAACTTGCAGTGAGCTGATATCATGCCACTGTGCTCCAGCCTGGGCAACAGAGCGAGACTCTGTCTCAAAAAAAAAAAAAAAAAAAAAAAAAAGAAAAGAAAAAATTCAGTGATATAGTGGTTAAAAGTACAGAATTTTGAGAGTACATCACTACAACTTCCTAGATATGTTATTTGGGAGAACATATTTAATTTTTCTATATCTCAGTCTCTTTTTTGTAAAATGGGAAGAGAGATGCCTAACTTTTCAGTATTCTTGAGTTAAATGAAAGTGTCTAATTTTTGCAGTATTCTTGGATTAAATGAAAGTATTTATAGCACACAGCATGATATGTAGCAGGTAATAGAAGCCTATAAATAATATTTCCCTTCCCTTTTATGGCCCTTCCTAAATGCCAAGAGATGGATGGCCACGAGTTTCTTTATGTGTCCTTCTTGCTCTCAATTTAGATGGAGACATGGCTGCTTGGAAATTGTCCTTAAAGGAACCACAGGTTGGTACAGAAGTGAAAGTACTATAATTTGGAAGATCTTCAAAAAAACTCTTTTGACATTGTGGCATGTAATTTCCATACCTTTTTCCTACGTGTATATAAAGAATGTAATATCTTCTGTCTTTGAGCAATTATAAACCCTCAGGATGAAAGAGGCAGAGTGATAGTACAAACAAATAAAACTTCATAACAAACAAGCAAACATAGACCTCTCATGTGGTTCTTGGGGTTTTCAACAGCTCTGAACTTGCATTTGCTTCAAGCACTGCCCAGTTCTAAGAGACTGTAATTGAATATACATTGTTCGATTTTTGTTTTTTGCACTAGTCCCATTACAGAGCTATAAGCATAGAAATAGAATGACCATGTCCACCCTGTTGATCAGTCTTTTCTTTCAGCAAATGAGTACTGTGATCCCACTATGGACCATATCCTATATCATGGGTGCTGAGATGAAGGGCAGAGTCCCTGTCCACACAGTACTCTCAGACTAATGTCAGCACACAGCCCCCACCCCATCTTGAGTCCCAAAATTCAGCTGTGATGTTGCAGACAAGCTGGAGACTTTCAGATAAGATAACAATACAAACAGCAGCAGTAGTAGCAGCTTCTACTTAGGAGGGCTTACTAATATGACAGAATCTACTCTAGACCCTTTACATTTTCTGTCTCTGATTCTCTCCATACCTCTGCAAGACAAGTATGGTCACTACTTTTTTTTTTTTTAACTGCACTGAAGAGAAAAAGAAAAAAGTGATTTGCTTAAGGTAGTGCAGTCAGTGAGTGACTGAGCCAGAATTACATAACAGGGTTCCCTTTTCCTCTGGGGACCAAGAGAGCTTATGGAAGGACATGGGCCATTTCTCAGCAAGATGACACTGCACAGCCACAGGCCAATGACTTGGCATTGCTTTGGCCCAGGAAGTTCAACTCAGAGAAGTAGACTCAAGCAGCCCAGGAATTTTAGGTCCGGAAAAGTCATGTTTCCTCAGAGATGCTTGCTTTTGTCAAGCCACGGGTTCTGACAGGGCTATATTCTCAGACCATTCAGCTCATCCTCAATCTTTAGTACCTACCAGACACAAGGTTCACCCATCTTGATACAGTGAGACACAGAAGAAAAAGCCAGGGCTTGAGTTTGTCTGAGCCTCAGTTTCCTCAGATGTAAAAAGGATATGAGAATATACCCTTCTACACAAGAATGATGTGATAACGAAATAAATTATCTAAATGGCCTGGCACATGGTAGATACTTAAGAAATGCTCATTCTCGTTCATTTAATATTTATTGAGTGTCTACTATGAGCCAGTCACTCTTGTTGGTGCTTAGAACATACCAGTCAGCAAAACATGCAACAGATTGTTGCCTTTATGCAGATTACATTCAAGGGTAGGGAAGCAGTTCTTACCCGACTCTACTTTATGTGCTTCCTTGCCAGGCAATGACAAAGGAACTTGCCTCCTGGTGAAGCCTACAACCTGTGGGACTGGAGGAGATCTCCCCTCCTCTTCCATATGTGTTAAATGTTGCAATCAGAAAGACCCTTGGAAACTCCACTCTGGGGCATTTGTTACACTGTAAATCCCTTGCCCTAACCTTATTCCGTCCCACAAACCAATTTAGAGAGCTGAGACCTTGGATATCTCATCAGACCAGATGGACGAGAAAATCATCTAGGGAGAGGAAATTCAACAAACATATGCTGAATACATCTCTATGCAGAGTCCTATGCTTCTGGTGCTGAGAAACAGGCTGAAGCACATACACAGTTTATTTCACAACTTATTTGGAAGATAATTCTTTTCTGAATTAAATTATGATCTATGGTCTTTTTTCTTTACTCTCAACTTAGTGTGTTTGTGTATGTACATGTCTAACTGCAGAAGTAGGAAGTATGATGATGGGGATGTTGTCTGTGAATCCAACGAGAATGTTACAAAATATATGGTGTATGCACTGCAGTGCCTTTCTAAAAATCCAAAAAGAAATTCTGAATCCTGATCACATCTAATACCAAGGACTTTGGATAAGGACCTTTAGTACTAATTTCCTTATTTTGCCTGGGAAGCTGAGCTTCAAGGAACCTAAGGAACTTGTCCAAAGTTACACAGCTAATAAGTAACAGAATCAGGATTTGAGCCTGGGAAGTTTGACTTAAGAACCTGTATTTGTGGCCTTTATATTACTCTGCCTTCTTATTCCTTGAACTATTAATATGAGCCAGGAGCATTTTCTTCTTCCTCTTTCTTCTTAGTTTACTCTTCACAACACTCTAAAAGGCACTTACTATTATTGCCGCTTTTTATTGATAAAGAAACAACTGTACAAAGCAATTTTAAGGTCTTGCTGGTTAATAAGTAGCAGTACTCGGATTTGAACCCAGGATGGTCTGGCTGTAATTCTATTATTTGTAACTATTGTACTATACTGCCACAGGCCAGTGAGGTCCCAAGTGGGTTGCAATTAACATTGTAAATGTTAATTGTGTAGTTAACAATGTGTAAATGTGACTTACACATTTCTTTGGCTTATATACATTGCCTCTCTTGCCTCCTTGCAATTCATTCTCCACATAACAGCCCAGTGGCATTTGTAAAGTAAAATCTCATTACATCACTAACTCACTAGCTCCTTCACTCATTCCATAAGCCTTCATGCCAGGCACTTTTCTGGTAACTGCGGAGGCAGTGATTAATAAAATAGTCTTACCCCTTACGGAGCATCAAGCCAGCCAGTCCCCAGATTTCCATTATATTTAGAATAATTCCAAAAACCTTAACATTAGACCCAGTGGATCTGGACTTCCCTATCCTTCCTCCCTCTTCTTCTTGTTCTTCCCCTCTCTCTCTCCTCCCTTCATAGTAACCTTCAATAAGTTTGTCTATCAGTCCATCATTCCAGCTTCCCTCCAGCCTCAAGTCTTTAGCACAAGTGAGCTCTTTCTTCTGGATGGTTCTTCCTTATACATTCATTAGTTTTATAATTCAATTGATGTGTTTGTCTCCTACTAGACTGCAAGTGCCATGTGGTCAGAGCTATGCCATATCCTCTTGACATATCTGTCTTTAACCTCTAGCAAAATGTCTCTGGGACCTGGGAGGCATTCAATAGATATTTTTTGAATAGCTGAAGGCATGAACATTATGTTAGGTGCACAGAATTTAAGTATCAATATTTGTGTCTGGAAGGGAGGTAGAGAGGGAAAATAGTCAGAAAGCTTCTCAGAAAAAGTTAAAGTTATTTAAACTACACATCAAAACTGGTATTTGGCAAAGCAGCCAGGAAAGTTTCCACAAGAACAAAGAAAAATGTACATGTGTTGTTATGCTAGGATGGGGTAGACATAGAGATATCTAGATGAACTCTGGGTTAGTTTGTAAAGATGAAGCTGAGAGAGGGTGTAGGGAAAATAAGGCTGGAGGACTAACATGTTGAGAACCAATGCTTTAAGAGAGAGAGAGTGTGTCCCTGCTTCAAACTCATCCCATGAGCACAAATCGTCCAAACACTCGCACCCAGATTCCCTCTTGCCTAATATCCTCTAATCTGGTATGCATCGTGATGCATTTGGTCATCTTCTTATGTCTGTCTCCCCTGCTATGCTAGAAAGTTCTTGTGAACAATGGCTAGAACTTAATCATCTTAGCCTCCTCAATGCCTTGACTGAAAAGGGCCCTTGGTAGAAGTTCAATAAATCTTCATTAATTTAAATGAAATTCAAGTAGAATAAAATATATTGAGGTAAAATCAGTTATATTTTTCTCATTTCTCCACTATACCAGTTATCATCTTCCACTCCCTAAAGTTTGGCTGGATCATCAGGTGCCAGGTTGAGAAAAGCCATTCCAAATCAACACAAAGGAATTACACAAATTTACACCAAGGAGACAAAGTAGACTACCAAAGAGAAAAACAGAAACAGAGAATGACTTTGAGAAAGACACAAATAAAATGAGAAGGAGAAAACAAGAGTCTCCTTGTCAAAATCTAAAGGAGCCTGTTGGAGTCTCCCACAGCCCCAGGGAGCAAAGATAAAGATCCCATCCCTATGAGTATCAAGCTGCATCTATTACATACCACAACTAATTTAATTGTTACAGCATGAACTGACCTGCCAAACTTTTATTGTTGAGACTATTTGAGAAGGTAGCTATGGAGGGTAAGAAGGAAAGCCATGTCTTTGTCCTCCACTGGCCTGGGACATAGGTGTCCCCTTTTCATTCCCTTGACTTCCTCTCAATTCACACAATTAGGATTCTTCATATTCCTTTAGGAATTCCCTAATGGCCAGGAAAATGTTAAAATGTTGGGTAATTTCTTCTTCCTGAGAAGCCCTTTTCTCCGCAGGCAAGCGGGAGGTAGAAATCAAAACCAGGGTGGCTGCCACAGGCGATGAAGCTAGAGTGAAAGAGGTTGGCTGAGGTTAAACCAAAGAACAGTCCAGAAGATGGGAGAATCCCAACAAATTTTCAGTCAGTATTTCCCAAAGTGGGTTCCTGAAAATTGTTCCTTTAGAAAAAGCATCATAGTCAAGCACATTTAGGAAACTTTCCTTAATTCCCCTCTCTTTGAAATTCACAAGCCCCTTTGACATATTAAAGTTTCTGTAAAGTCAGTGAATAAAGAAACCTGTTTACATTTGATTAACCAACGTTTTTCCAAACTAACTAGTCCCAGAACTGTTTTTATATTCTACGGCTCATATATTAGCATTCCACTGGACTAATGTTCTCCTGTGTGAACTTTGGAGATCAGGTTAAGGAGAGGTGAGCATAACCTTGACAAGTTAAAGCATGCTTCTTGGGCTGGGCACGGTGGCTCACATCTGTAATCCCAGCACTTTGGGAGGCCTAGGCGGGCGGATCACCTGAGGTCAGGAGTTCAAGACCAGCCTGGCCAACATGGCGAAACCCCATCTCTACTAAGAAAAAAAATACAAAAATTAGCAGGGTGCCTGTAATCCCAGTTACTCAGGAGGCTGAGGCAGAAAAATTGCTTGAAACTGGGAGGCAGAGGTTGCAGTGAGCCGAGATCATGCCATTGCACTGCAGCCTGGGTGACAGTGCGAGTGACTGCCTCATTAAAAAAAAAAAAAAAAAAAAAAAAGAATGCTTCTTGGAGAAAGCAAAGGTTATGCGTGATTTTGAAAAATGAAGGATGAAGAGGCACTGATTAAGCTGAAGACAGAGGGAAGGTTCGGAAAGCTCATGTGTTCATTTAACACTGCATTTAATAAATATTCATTCAGTGCCTACTCTGAGCCAGAAAGTATGCTTGGTCTTAAAGACACAGAGGTGACCAAGAGAGGCATAAGCCTTGCCCTCATGGAACTTGCATTCTGCAGGAGAAGAGATGTAAGTAGACCATTGCAGAGTAATTTTTCTATCTGGTATGACAAAAGAGAAGGAGGGTCTAAAGATTAGGTAAGAATTCTCCCAGCCAGGCTGGGTGCGGTGGCTCACACCTGTAATCCCAGCACTTTGGGAGGCCGAGGTGGGCGGATCATAAGGTCAGGAGATAGAGACCATCCTGGCTAACACGGTGAAACCCCGTCTCTATTAAAAATACAAAAAATTAGCCGGGTGCGGGGGTGGGTGCCTATAGTCCCAGCTACTCAGGAGGCTGAGGCAGGAGAATGGTGTGAACCCGGGAGGCAGAGTTTGCAGTGAGCCAAGATCACGCCACTGCACTCCAGCCTGGGTGATAGAGCGAGACTCTGTCTCAAAAAAATAAAAATAAAAATAAAAATAAAAATAAAAATAAAAAAATTATCCCAACAGAATAGCAAGGAAAGAATTTGCAATAGAGAGAACCACATGAACAATGATCTCTTTGTCATCCTCAAACACATCAGACGCGCTTCCATCTCAAGGTCTTGCACTTGCTATTCCCTCTACCTGAGATGCTCTTTGTTCAGGTCTCTCATCTCCTTCCGATCTTTGCTCCAACATTGCCCTTTTCTGACTTACTTATTTAAAACTAGACAGCCCTTTCCCTCATCTAGCATAGTTGTCTTTTTTTCTGCTTTTCTTTTTCTTCTGTATCAATTATCAACATCTGATAAAATATTTATTTTGTACTTTTTTCCTTTTCCTGTCTCCCTTTCCTTCTAGAATCATCTTTTAGAGCTGAGTGAATGGTGTCTCTGGATTGCATCTGCAACCTGACGTTCCAGAATGCTGGCTCCATGAAGACAAGGAGTTTTCTCTCTTTGGTTAACTGCTGATACCAGTGCCTGGTACATAGTAAGAACTCAATAGATATTTGTTGAATAACTGAATTGGTAAGCAGATAAAAAGCATGGGAGATTTTAAGGACAAAGAAGAGAGGTAGAGGACAAGCATTTATATACCATAAACTCTTTGCAAAGCACATGGATTACAGAACTAGTTTAAGATTGATATTTTGTCTATTTTACAGTTGAGTAAGTGGAAGCTCAGAATGGTAAAGTGACTAACCCAGTGCCACACATCAAATAAGTAGAGAAGTCCAGAGTCGAACCTAAACCTGATTCAAATAGTTAAAATGACATAGGCCTGATTAACTTTTAGTGATCTCAGGTGGCTCTTTGGGTCTTGCTCTTCCATGTTAATGCACTTCTCCCCTGAACTAAACATGTAGCTTTCTGAGGTGGCCCAAAGTGCATGGAACTGATTGCCTCCCAGTCATGGGATGGATAAATGATGGCATGGCAACCCTTGGGGCTGGAGATGACTCAGCAGACCAGAGCTGGAAAAAGAGCCCACCTCTCCCCACCCTAAACATCTCATTCATTCTCTAATGTCAGGTGCCTTGCTACCCCCATGCTGGGACAGTTAATAGCTCACCCAATAAACGGGTGTGTAACAAAGTCTACTGCAAGGCCATCGTTACTTGCAGTATCAAGTAATGATACTTGCATCAACTTTGGCTGATCTCTGTGCTGGCCACATGATTAATTCCAACTGGTTGTTGTCCCCTGCCTGGGGTCATTCAGAAATCCTTCACTTCTTGGCTGATAGTCTACAGATTCCCAGTGCTTGTGAAAGGATTCGAGAGTTTTCTTCCTCCCTCCCATTCTTCTTTCCTTCATTACTTCATTTATTTATTTTTTCATATAGTCATATATAGATCTAGTTATTCATTCATTCATGGATTCATTTATTCATTAATTAATTTACTCAAATATTTCTATGATACTAATTTATAATCTGTATTCATTCATAAATGCATACACAGATTCAGTTTCTTAATCAACTCAGGTATTGTAAGGGATATGATGAGAGTTATCTCATCTTGGAGAAATCACTTAACTCCTCTAAGCATCATTGTCCAATTGAAGGAGGTAGACTTAGAGTACAAACCTAAGCCAGCTAGAACCAAACGCCTCATTCAACTCAATAATTCCTTGAGTTTAAGATATGTAAGACACAACACTGCCTTACAATATTTTCTAGTCTATTTCATATATTTTCCATCCCAACCTAGTGTGATTCATATGTTTTCCATCCCAACCTAGTATACACATGCATGTATATATGACTGAAATGCAAGCTTTATGAAAAAATCCTTAGGCTTGCCACAAACACACACACACACACACACACACACACACACACACACACACATATGCCCCATACTGAGGAGATTAACAAGTAAACAAATACATTCAGGATAATGTATGTATAATACATTCAGGATAATGTTTTTAAGACACTGTTTCTCTCTCTCTCTCTCTCTCTCTCTCTCTCTCTCTCCATATATATATATATATATATATATATATATATATATATATATTTATTTATTTATTTTGAGACAGTGTCTCACTTCATCACCCAGGCTGGAGTGCAGTAGTGTGATATCGGCTCACTGCAACCTCCAGTCACACCCTTCCCTCCACCTGCCCACCCATTCCCACCCCGGACCCCAAGCTCAAGTGATCTTCCCACCTCAGCCTCAGTCTCCTGAGTAACTGGGACCATGGGCACACACCACCATGTGGCCTGGCTATTTTTTTGTTTGTATTTTTAGCAGAGACAGGGTCTCGCCATGTTGTCCAGGCTGGTCTTGAACTCCTGGACTCAAGAGATCCACCTGTCTCAGCCTCCCAAAGGGCTGGGATTACAGGCATGAGCCACCACACTCAGCCTACATCCTATTTTCTTTTTTTAAATGTTGGCTCCAATCCAATAAGTTGACTTTACAACCTACTAATGGATTATGACCTGAAGTTAGAAAACTATGGTGTAGAAGATCTAGAGAGAGACCTTCGATTACAAGTACATATAACACAAGCTGGATACTTGGATACTGTTTTAGACTCTTCACTCATCTTCCACATCCAGCAGCCTTCTACATGTGTAAGCTCTGTCTCTTACATAGCCCTCCAGTCCATCCTCCAAGCTGCAGCCAGTGATCATTCTAAAATATGCCTCTGATGGAAAGTCTGTAATAGTCTTCACTTGTCTACACTATAAAAGAAAAAAACAATAAATGCATCTAATTCCTTAGTCTTGTCTGGCCTTGATTTCTCCTCCAGGGTCATTTCTCACTAATTCTGCTTTTGTATCTCATGTTGAATCAATGTTGAGTCATGCACAAGTCCTTGAATCTTTCATGTTCTTTCATATGTTGGGCCTTTGCTTTTGAAGATTTTTCTGCCTGGAATTCCCATTTCACCCAATACTGGGCTCATTCCAGGATCAGCTCAATCCTTTGTTTTTCTATGTAGCCTTTACTGACAGCCTCCTTAGCCATCATCCCCTTACTTTTCACATTATCCTGAATATATCTGTTTACTTGTTAATCTCCTCTGTATGGGGCCCATAAGGTCCAGAACTTTATTAATGGAAATTTCTCCATCCCCAGGACTCAGAACAGTGTTTCACATAGGTTAGGTGCTTAGAAAATATTTCTAAAGGTATATGTAGTGACCTGGATCAACAGGATTTGATGTGTCAATACCTGCAGCGGAATTGATTCACCATGCGGAAATCCAATGGCAGGGGGCTTAACTAATCAAGAGCCCTAGTCTGAGTACTCTGAATTTTAACCCTGCATCTGCACTGAGGACACACTTCCTACAGGCTGTTCCTAGCCAACGACTGGGCATAGCAGGGATACTAAGGCAAGCCCATTCTGGGAGATACAGGAATCCTCAGATGGCAGACTGTCTTGAGGATTCCCTTAGGCTGGGCAGCAGCCTGGGATGCTTCTGCACAGCCTTCCTTCCCACTCTCCTTCACACAGGGTCAGACTCCCCCCAACCTGATGGCTCCCACCCAGCCTTCACAGCAAACTCCCATCTTCTCTCACATAGGCCTTTCCCTTAATACAATCCTTTGATGTTTTATCCCATCTCAGCATCTGCTTCTCAGAGGATCCAAGCTAACACACTATCCTCAATGTACATATGAAGGAACCAAGGCTGAGAGAGGTCATGTGACTTGTGAACAATTGATAAGACTGAGGTTCAGTTGAGTGCTGGTAAATGTTTAACAACTTGGCTCTCTGTGGGAAGAGAGGAAAAGTGCCGATTCATAGCACTGGCTGATTTCCAACATATAAATACTTCCACCCTGGCCAATTTCACACTACCACTGTGATTTACCTGAACGTGGACTTGGGAAGATATGTGTGCAGTTGTCCTCAGGAGCCAGACAAGCTGGCTGTAGTGCACCTCTGTGAGGCTGCAAGCCTAGGCTTCTGTCTCTCTGGGTGGCACCCTTGACAGCCCTCCCCAGTTTTTCCCCACTGAGTGCTCTTCTCAGTTGGCGGGGTGGGGCGCCAACAGCCTATTCTGGGAAGTCTCTGTCCAGTCAGTGGGCTGGAAACCTTGTGGACATGCAGCTTCTCCCTGGGTTCAGGGGGTGGATAGGGGCTCTCATGTCCCTAAAAATGTAGGCTCTGCCAGATGGGGAATAGTCACAGGAGGCTTGTGACATCAAAATGGCCTTGGAGGACCCTTCTGGCTGTAGCATGGAAGATGGATTGAAGGAGTGAAGGCAGAAGACAGCAAGACCAGTAAGAGGTGGTTTAAATAAGAGACATAAAGTAGTGGTGTGGGAACTATTTCACGAAGAAGATGAAGGAAGGACGGTTGGCAGGCAGAAGGCAGGACAGATCATACTACTAGTTATTGAATAACTGCTAGTTATTGAAACTGTACTGCCTGCCAGGCTGTATGCTAGGCACTTTCTCATTTTACACCCCTCTCCCAAAATGTCAAGGTAAGAGTTATTATCTCTGCATCCCAGATATGAAAACCAAGCCTCAGAGAGACTGTGCCTTTAATAATAACCATAATGAAACAGGTAGCAAAAATAGTAGCTAACATTCACTGAGCCTCTACTGTATACATGAATATTATTATCACCTCACTGTAAAGATGCGATTAAACAGCTAACAAATGGTGGAGCTGAAACTATAATTCAGGTACTTAGTCTCTTGGTAAAGGCCTAAGTATTCTTCTCTAGATGTCATTAATAATTCAGATGAAGCCCCCAAATGTGGGATATACTCTCATTTCTCCTTCTCACCAGGATATTAGAAAATGTATAATGCAAAAAAAATTAAGAAATGATTCTGAGATCCATTTAGCAGGTAGAAAACCTTCCTATTGGGACAAGGATGCTTTGCATTTCAATTCAATACTGTACTAGTGGACTAGCCTATAGTGAGCTCATCACATGGAAAGAGTTTTGGATATTTTTTTAAATTTTTAAATTTTAATTTTTATCTTTTTTTAGGAGATGTTAAGTAGATGAAAGACCAAGAAAAGCGAGGGAGAAAATTCAATATATTTGAGAACAAAGGCAGCCATTAACCTGTCCATCTTCAGAACCTGAATCGGTAGCCAAATCTCAGCAGACAGAGCTACGTAATGCCAGATAAATCTTCTTGCTGAATGAGAGACCCATCCTACCAGCATAAACAACATTTGAACACTCTAGCCCCCAGCCTTACCAGCCAGCTCTCCATTCTCTACACACAGAGTCTTTGTTGGGACACTCCAGGCCAGTTATTTCACCATCCTGAGTCTGGTCCCTCTCTGAGGCCCAGGGACATATATTCAGTTCAGGTTTGAATTAAGGAAAGATACTACTACCTTGATGGGGGATCAGGACCACAGGACCAAATTGAACCAGGCAAGACTGAAGGGGCCAAGGGATAGAGGATCCCCCTCCCGAAGGAGCCAACTGGAAGGCAACAATTGGATGGCCTGTTAAAGAAGAAAGAAGCTTAGGACAGGGAGAATGCCACTTTCCAGTATTACAAAAATATCCTTTAGGCAAGGTGAGGCCTTTTTTTACTCTGACACTATTTTTTTTTAAACCAACCCTGAAAGAAAAATGATAGGGTCAAGGTTGGTCCAAGGAACAGTAGGTAGGGAAGCAGATGAGAGGTTCAGAGCTCTGGAGTGTGAGCAAGATATTCTTCTTCTAGGCACCTGAGTTACCTTCTTTCTAAATCAGGGCGAAATGTCCCTTTTCATGTTTCCTGAGTAGTCAGGGAAGCAACGAACCAAAGTCATTGGGAATTAGAACTAAGAATCAGACGGGCCTCGTTTGCATGCCAATGGTGTCACTGGCTAGCCGTGCAACCCATGGCAAGCCACTGCAAGTCTCAGAGCTTTGGTTTGCTTGTGTGTGAAAATGACAAATATAGTGCAGGCCTAACAGAAGCATGGTGAACATCTGATGATGCAATATGTGCAAAGTGCTTAACGTAGTTCCTGGCACAATATTAAGTACTTCATAAATGTTTGCTGTTATGATTATCAATCAAAACACAGCAGTAATAAATTAAGGCATGTTATTAGACCTTAGCTTTCCTACCAGTAAAGAACTAGACAATCTCAAGTGTTCCTTCCAGCTCTGCTGTTTATCTGAAAATTCACGACAGACACTCAGTGATACAGAAATGTGTGCTCCAGACCATGTGAACTGGAGAACAGAATTTGGTTCTCTTCAGCTTCAATTCACATTTGGGTTCATGTGTTTTGCTGCCTTCCTTCTTTTCTCTACGTATTGACACCTAGGAAAACTCAAGATGCCAGAGATCCCTGACACCTGGCTCATATGGTAGGCTGCGTGATGATGGAGCCGAGAGCTGAACCGCCCAAGGACAGAGGGCCTCAGCAGGAACTTTGGGAATCAGCATATTGATACCTAAGTGGAGACCTCTTTCCAGACCCAGAAACTGGAGCATGCAAGGCCTTGGGGAAATGACCAGCAAGTTCATAGCCCAAGGTTTCTCTGACTGGTTGGAGAGTCTAATGTATTCCGTCATGCCGTCTAATTCAGAGTCTCCTTGCTTTGACTGTCTGTCTCCTGCTTCTGTTGGCTCTTGCTCAAGATGTGAAAAGTCATTGGAGATGCTTATTACCATGGGGTGGAAAAGTCAGGGGGCTTTGAAGCAGATTACTCGGTTCGAATCTGGGCTCCCTAACTTTGTTGTCTTGAGCAGGTGGTTTCACGTTTCTAGCCTTGCTTTCTTTATCTGAAGCATGAAGCTGATAATTTCTACTTTCCAAAGTTGTTTTATGAGCTTTAACTGAGATAACTGATATACAGTGCCCAGCACAGTTCATATAGTGGGTTTACAATTAATGTTCATTCTGCCCCTTCTTTCCTTATCAATATAAGAATAACCAAATCCTATATATTTACTTAACCCTTTCTCTCTTATTGTATAAGTTTTAAATTTTATATCTCTATCACCTATTGTTCTACAGGTTTTAACATGAGGGCTTTTAGTCTCTTTTTTTTTTTGAGACAGAATCTCACTCGGTCGCCCCGGCTCCAGGCTGGAGTGCAGTGGCATCATCTCGGCTCACTGCAAGCTCCGCCTCCCAGGTTCATGCCTTTCTCCTGCCTCAGCCTCTCGAGTAGCTGGGACTACCGGCGCCCGCCACCATGCCCGGCTAATTTTTTTTGTATTTTTAGTACAGACGGGGTTTCACCGTGTTAGCCAGGATGGTCTTGATCTCCTGACCTCGTGATCCACCCGCCTTGGCCTCCCAAAGTGCTGGGATTACAGGCGTGAGCCACCGCGCCCGGCTGAGTCTGTTATTTCTATATCCCAGCACCCTGCATTGATCTGGGCCAGGATGGTTGCTTGAGAAAGTGTGCTCATCTGAATCTGTTTCACTCAAAATCCTGTGATTCCAAGTAAGTTTTATTTGTTTAGTTACATAATAAGCAACCTTTGCTGAATCCTGTACCATCCTGACCTGTCCTGTCTTTTCTGGCAGAACAAGCTCTGTTAGGATCACTCACATGTTCTCCTTTTATTTTTTAAAAAAGGTATATTTTTAAAAGGAAGAAGGAGATACATCCTGAGAGTTTTGGTAATTGTTTCTTTGCAACATTTGCTGCCTAGAGAAAGTCAGATATGAACAGTAAGACACTCACAGGTCAGGATTAAATGAGATGGGGAAGATTGGAGCTGATCTCCCTGGAGATGAAATGGAAGCTGCAAGGACTCAGATATGATTCGGTGCCACTGCCCCAGATGAGACTGAGGCACAATCCCTGGCCCCACGCTGGTGGTTTCCTCTCCCTGGGGCACCATCAGCTCCTACTGTAGCCATCAAGTCTATGTGGTTTCCCCAAGGGAGCCACCTGAAATCACCTTGTTCTTTGCTATCATGACCGAGGCAGAGAGGGGAAAGAGACCAAGCTGAGCACTCAATCTGGACTCCAGCCCTCCTTCCCTGGGTCTTCTCACTTTTCTTCTATTCTGTCTCTTTTTCCATCTTTCACAACCCTTTCTCTTTCCCTATTTCTGGCCTCTCCCTCTTTTCTCTTTTAGAAACATTTACTGAATTACAAGTGCTTTTGATCCATGTGGAGTTATGTCCATACGGTGAGTGTGAGTATTTGGTGTGTGCTGTGCTGTGGGTGCTACGTGAGTGGATGCCATCTAATGTGTCTGTGTCTGTTTGTGCTGGGTGGATCCATGTGGCACACGGTATGTATATCTTTACAGTATGCCTGTGGGAAGGTGGCTATGTTTACGCATCTGTGTGCCTGTGCTGTTTATCTATGATACGCCTCTTGAGGCATCTGTCATGTGTTGAGTACAAGCTGTGTGTTGTCTGTGCGTGGCATGCTATCCCCATGGTGTGTAACTTTGTATGTGTTGTGGATCTACTGTATGTGTCTGTGTGCTTCCCGTGTGTGTGTGACCGTGTCTCTTTGTTATCTGCCTTTCGTTGGCTGCACATAGCTTGAATGTCCCTGTTGGGTGATGTGCTCACATGCATGTTTATATGTGTTGGTATCTGTGTGTTGCCTTTGTTTTTGTTTAGCTGGCTGAGGTGACTGCATTGTGTATACCTGTATGGGATGGATTGCATTCATTTGTGAGTCTGCACCCTATATGATTTCTCTAAATCCCCTGGCTGCATGCTGTGTCTGTGTGGGGTATGTTGCATTTGTTGTTTGTAGGTACAACTGCATATTCTGTGTGTTCCCCTGTGTCTCTGCCTCTGTGAAATGTGTCTGTGTGTTTTCCCTGCCAGCTCCTCCTCCCCTTCGGGTGCCCCAGCCTCTCTCCCTGCCTTCTCCTCCCCAGGCTGTGACCACTCTCAGCTGACACCTCCGCTGCTCTGGCAACCCAAGAACAGCCTGGAGAAAGGTCAGCTGGCCGCCTTCCCCAGGGCCTGCCTGGATCCTTGGACCCCAGTGTTGCGTGGTGTGGGAGCGCCCTCTGTTGGCTGTATGGGCCATGAACACCACTGGAAACAGACTTCCTCTTTCCCTTGCTGCTCACCCCTGAGACTTCCAGCCTTCTTAATAAGGGACTTTAGGAGAGGAATGGGTAGGGTCGCCTATAATTTGCCGTTGAAAGCGAGATGTTTTGGAGAATGAAAGAGGGTGTGAATAAGTGCACTGAGATACTGAGTATTCGGCAGATGCGTCTTAAGCAGATGGTGAGGAAGGCTTCCCTGACCGCCTACTTGGGTCTCAGCCCCATGGGCATAAGCCAACAAAATGTGTGCTAGCCCTCACTGGTGAAAGGGTCAGCTATTCCCAATTTATGTTTGAGGAAGTCAGAATCTCAAATCTATGCTTACCCAATGACTTCACGCTTTCCCTTGGGAATAATTTCCCAAGACCCCAATTTCCCCTTTGCAGCAGGGACCCAAGGTGGAGACCCAAGGGTTCCAGTTCCAGAAAGAGGGAGGACTGAAATGTTTCTAGGGGATTTAACAGAAAGAGGTCAAAGGCACTCTTGTGAGAAGAAAGGGAATAGTTATAGAGGTACCCAGGACTTGTAATGCCCCAGGTGCGTGACTCTGACAGCCTCAAGAGGAAGAGAAAGGTGCTGTGTGCACACATGTGGGTACATGCGTGCACACATGTGGGTACATGCACACACACACACACACACACATATATACACACACACACATCAGGAGGCAGAACATCCAACAGCCTGCATGGCTAATATCGTGGGGTTTGAGAATATACACATTTACTATTTCCTGCGTTATAGAAGAAACACAACCAAAGGCACCATTTTATGCAAAAACATGAGTTTTCATTGCATTCCTTGTGCTGGTGATTAAAGAAGAGGCTCTGATAAGCAATGGCTATTCTTTAACTCAGGATGACAGCTCCAGGTGAACCAAAAGACCACTTGGCCCAATTGGTCGAAAGTGTGTTCTTCAGAACATTACCTCCCATGAGACATTAATAGTTATTTGAAGGTGTGGCCAAATAAATTTGAAAAATACAGGATTAAATAAAGTTAAACAGATTTTTTTTCTCATGGGATATCTCAGAGCCTTTAATATGATAATGTCTTATGAATTTCTAAGAAAGGAGGAGACTGTACTCAGCATTTCACAAAAGATATGAATAATGGATTTTTTTTCCAGAATGTTATGGGACAAAATTCTAAATTTACACATGGGCAAAGCAAGACCCCAAGTAGCATAATTCAGTTATTATTAAATAACTATTTACTACAAGAATCATGTTTTTTGTTTGTTTGCTTTTGCTTTTGTGTGTTTGTTTTAGTTAATCTCTTTGGATCTTGTACTAACCTACACAGGTAGGTACTATGTTATCATGTTAAATGACAGATGAGAAGAGAGACTCAGAGAAGTGAAGTGGTTTGTCCCAAGTTATGGCATTGGTCAGTGACAGCAACACTCAATACCAGGCACCTCTCTATAAACCATATACAACTTCCACTTTGCCAACTCCTGTGAGTATGATTTTATAGAAAGTATAAAATGTGGCAGTTGTCCCCAAAGCCATACGTTGTACTTAGAATTGTTTTTAAAATCATATAAAAAAGAGAAACATGGTATAAAAAATGTGGACAAGAAGTGGCATTGTACATCCAAGGTGAGAGGACTGAGTGAGACCTGGGAGAATCGGGGAAAACTTCCCAGGGGAAGTGAATTTTAGCTATGCTTTGAAGGATAGAGGAAGCTTAGTTAGATCAAAGGTCAGCAACTTTTAAATATGAAGTAGCTGGTAGTAAATATTTTCTGCCTTGTGAGCCACACAGTCTCTGTTGCAAGTGCTTGACATTGCCATGTAGTGTGAAAACAGCCATAGATAATATGTAAATAAAAGGACATGGCTGTGTTCCAATAAAACTTTATCTACAAAACAGACAGCCAGCCCATGGGTCCTAACTTGCCAAGCCTTAAGTAAGAAGGAAAAAGGTAGGAAATGTGGCCTTTTTTGGCTACAGGAATCACTTTTTAAAAGATAGTGAGCAGTATACTCAAAGGCCAGTGCCAGGCCCCAGACCTGCTCATAACTGTTCCCTTTCTGTCTCCCACTCCACCCAACCCCACTTCAATTGTGTTCTAAGCCCTGAGGGTGAGCTTATTGCAGCTATGCAAAGAGAAAGCTGCCTGCATTTGAGATAAGCTGAATAAACAGCTCACTGATCCCAGTGGAAGGTGCTTGTGAACATGTGCCTGGATTTAGTCTGTTGGGAAGGCAGAGAAAGACAACAAATCTAGTTTCCTCTTGAAAAAGAGATTGGCCTTTTCTCCTTTCAATAAGTCAAGGCCAATGGTAAAATGCTTGCCCGTTTCTACCGACTGTGTGTGGACCACCTCCCCCTTTGCAGGTAGCAAAGCCAACGTGCAGAAGTCCCAGTTTCATCAGATGTATCAGGGCAACATCTCTGCTATTTTATCTGTAGCACAGACCCCATGATGTTATTCCTTTGCACATTAAACTTCAGTAACCCTCCAACTGGTACGGGCTCAAAATCAAGTGCAGCAGCCTGGCATTCAATGAAAGACAATGTACAGCAGATTTCAAGTTAAGACTCTATCCTTACTCCCTTCAGCATCCATACCAACTAACCTACATTTGTCTTGGTGTCTCTTGTCCTTGTGCATGATTCACAAGCTACAACCTTCAGACTTTTGTACTTGCAATTAGAACACCCTTCTTTCTTCGTTTCATTCAAGTCCTACCTTGTCCTTCAAGGCTCTACTTTTAATTCCTTTTGCTTGGTGATGACACCTGTATTTACCTCTAAATTACCACAACCCAGATACTGCAGTATCACTTTTATTGGCTTACCTCTTTTTTTCATAGTAAAATTATGTTTTTAATAATTATAAAAATACAAACTTACTGATTAAAAAACTCAAGTGTTCTGGAATGTATAATTA
Source organism: Homo sapiens (assembly GCF_000001405.40). NCBI lineage: Eukaryota > Metazoa > Chordata > Mammalia > Primates > Hominidae > Homo > Homo sapiens. The sequence goes on from NC_000009.12 coordinate 116,575,296, forward strand.
AAAAAAAAAGAAAGAAAAATTCAGAAGGATGGTAAGGTCCAAAAAGATGAACAAAGGTAATATGGCACAGTCTTTCAGGGAATGCAACTGCTTTGGTGTGGATGAGTACAGGATCCCTACAGAGGAGTGATGAGAAGTGAGGCTGGGGAGATGGCAGGATCCAGACCACCTTAAATTCTCTAGCTTCCATTGAGTCTTAATTTATAGATCATTAGAGAAAAAGCACATCTTTACTAAGCATCTAGGTTGACACATAGTCAGCAATCAATGTATCTTTGTTATATTAATATAAGGTCTTGGGGTCCTAGGCTAAGAAAGCACCCCAAGTGGATTTCCTAACATTGTTCATATAGAAAAGGCACTGTCTGAGAGAGTCTGCAGTAGAAAGTTCAGGGGGTGCTGACTACTGCAGATAGTCCCAAAAGCAAGTTCCTTAATCATTTTCCCCTCAAAATATTGACTGTGTGCCTCTCCCTGTATATTGGACTGTACACTAAAGCTAGGCAGGAGAATGTGAACAGATTCATTGCATAGTGAGCTGATAAGGGAAATGAGAATACATGCTGGGGAGTTATCCAGCTAAAGGGCAACTCTCTGGCAATGTGCTAAAAGGAGAAAAGCTCAGGGCACTGGTGATGGGGAGAGGAAGAGGGAGGAGGAAGCTCATGAGTGGCCCTTTGTCCCAACACTGACCTTCCCAACCTGGGAAGCATTTTACAAAGTAGCAGAATTATAAGTTTCAATGAACCCAAAAGGTTATTGAGCGCCCCACCCCTCTATTTGCATTTGGGTGCCATTTGGCCTCACTTTGAACTCTCCCTTTTACAGGGAATTCATCCTATATCCAGGAGGCCGGTGTGGAGCAGTGGCCAGATGCAGCTGTGGACAATGAAAAGAGGAAGGAGGACTGATCAGTCCCCTAAGAAGCAGTTACTAATATGTCAGGCACTGACTAGGCATACGACCTGGTGTTTCACATATCTCTCATGACAACCTTGTGAATGGGGATTAATATCCCTATTATACATGCAAGAAAACTGGGGCTCAGGGATATTGAGTTATTTGACCTAATTACAAATCTGGTAAGCAGTAGCTGGAATTCAAACTCAGGATGTTCTACCACCCAAGCCCATAGTATTTTAGCCAAAACAAAGAGCTTCCCATCAAACCAAGAAAAGGCAAGATGATTTAGGTGGCCCCCATGGGAGGCCAGGGTAGGAGGGGATGATCCTACAGGCTGGCACTGCCACAGGGAGAGCATGAGAGGATGCTAGGCCGGGACAGGAATGCAGGAAGTGCTTCAGGACAGGATTACAGCACACTAGCAAGAACGGCCCTGCTGGCTCATGTGTTGTTGGTACTCTGTGTGCCTGTGCCTGTGCCTGCCCCACAATGAACGTTTCGGGCATTCTCCCCTTCTTACCCCCTTCCCAAATCTCAAATAAAAGAGGGAAAGAGTACAGCTCAGGGTGTACAGAAGTGTTCTGGCTTGATCCCATAATCACACAAAGCAAGCCCCACCTTGGATCTTTTACCATCTCTCCTTTGAAAACCATCAGAAAGCTCATCCCACCCTTACCTTGCTTATAAAGCACTTTTATCCTTTCAACAATCATCATCTCTTCCCTGGGCCAGGCACTAGGAATACCAAAAACAACACCAACAATAACAGTAAACATTTATAGGGTTCTTCCTGTGTGCCAGGAGCTCTGCTAAGGACTTTATGTGCATTTTCTTACTTAATCCTAACAACAACCTTGTGAATAGATGCTGTGGTTATTTCCATTTTACAGATGAGGAAACTGAGGCTCAGACTAATTCATCCAAAGTCACGCACAGTTGGTGATGGGGCTAGGATCTGAAATCAGAATCCAAGTGCAGAACTACAGTGACTTTCAAAGAACTAACTCAGAGGCCAGTAAAATGGGAAGACACAAGAATACATGTTATAGGCCAGGCACGGTGGCTCATGCCTGTAACCTCAGCATTTTGGGTAGTCAAGGTGACTGAATTGCTTGAGCTCAAGAGTTGCAGACCAGCCTGGGAAACATGGAAAAACCCCATCTCTATAAAACAAAATACAAAAATTAGCTGGGTGTGGTGGCTTGTGCCTGTTGTCCCAGCTATGCTGGGGGGCTGAGGCAGGATCACTTGAGCCCGGGGGAGGTCAAGGCTGCAGTGAGCTGAGATCATGCCACCACACTCCAGCATGGGCAACAGAATGAAACTGTGTCTCAAAAAAAAAAGAAAAAGAAAAAGAAAAAAGAATGTATGTTATGATCCAGTGTGATGAGCACTGGGTCTATGAAAACAGTGTCTGAGTTGAGTTGAAGAGAACAAAAAAAGGGAGAACTAATCCTGTGAAAAGTACTTAGTTTATGCCAAGTGCTGAACAAGTGATGTTAGTTATCTCATCTAATTTTTCCTTTGACCCTGTGGAGAAGGGATTGATGGTCCCTATTTTACAGATGAGCAACTTGAAGCTAGAAGGGATAGAATCATTGATTTAAATTATCAATCCAATAATTAGGGGGCTTGTAGGTGAATCTCTTCTGATAATCTCAGGTTGAGGTAGAAGGGCATTTCAGCAGAGGGATTTAAACTTGCAGTGACCAGAGATAAGGGTGGGCAGGGCAGAGCCAGGGGATGGGAGAGGAGATCATTGGGGGATGCAAGAAGGGGTAAGATTTTGGAGAATGTTATAAACCACACTAAGAAACGGGAACCTTACTCTGAAGGCAAAAGATAATTATGAAGGGCTTTAGGATCCTTTCTCTGACTACAGAGTGGAAAGTGAACCAGAGAGGTAATAGGGGAAGAATGAATGGAGACAGGGAGACTAGTTAAGAAAACATTTACAATAACCCAGAAGAGCAATGATGAGGACAGGGGCTCAGGCTAAGGGGCAGTGAGCCCAGAGACGACAGGACAAGTGTCAGAGATACTGTGTTGAATTCCATTTGATTGACTGAAAAATTGAGTCTCAGGAAACTAAGTCCCCATCATTGTTAAAACTAGGACCCAAACTCTGTTTTTCTGATTCTGAGGATCCTTTCTGGAACTACTCACGTCCTTTTTTCTAGAATTCTCTCTCTCACTCACTCCTGTAACAATGTGAATATCTACCACGGGCTACACCTCCTGACAAATGTTCTAAGAACATTTTTAATTCTTATAATAATCACTAGATATTATGAGAATTATAATCCTCATTTTGAAATTATGAAATCAGAATTCCAGAAATGCAAAAAAAAAATGTGTCTACAACCATGTAAATAGGAAGTAGCAGAGTCAGGATTTGAACCCAGGCCGTCTGGCTCCAACGTGTGTGTGTGTGTGTGTGTGTGTGTGTGTGTGTGTGTGTGTGTGTGTTTCTACTGTACAGTACCAATCCCTGAAACAACACCATTGTTTTTCCCCCAAACTCTACCTGTCCGACTCCACTTTATTTTAAAAAGCTGCGTTTTTCAAATGGAAAAAAAAAATACCAACTGAGGAAACCTAATATGTAATACATTCTTGGATAAAGTTATTATTGTCCACAGAATTACAGAAGGCTCTGAGCAGCAGAAAAACAGCCTGGAAATTTCATGCTTTAAAAACTTCCAAATATTTTTGTATTATTATTTACTTATTTTCTTAGGAAGTAAATTCCGCACTTAGAGGAAGAGGGGTGGGCAAGAAGTGTCCACATTCACAGGTATTTGTTCTCAAGAAGTGAGGCACCTGTGATTCTCAAAATAGTAGAGTCGAAAGGAAAAAAAAAAGGTAAGGCACCTGGAAAAACCACAGCCTCCAAGTATTGATTTGCTACTGTGGGATGACTACACCCACTAACTCATTTAGGTGTCTCAACATTTGTAGGAGGGTGGTACTTATATCTCTATTTTACAAATGGGGCAATCAATGCCTGGAAAGGTGAAGTGACTTGCCCAGTGTCATCCAGATGAAAATGCAGGAAGATACGATCCAAACACAGGATCTGTCTGGAAGATGTGATTCAAACACTGGATCTGTCTGTCATAAAGTGTTTTCTGTTTCTGCTGCAATCTACCACAACCTCCTTGATGGTTAGCCTAGCTCATATCTTGCTTTCTCATGACCGATGTTATGAGAAGGTAACGGATACAACCATTATCAGGGTATAATGTGAGAAGCAGAGCAAACACCACCCCTCCGAAGCCTACAACATTTTCTCTTACCATCTTGCTGTCAGAAATTCCACTGTGAGAAAGTCATCTTTATGAAAGAGTGAAAGGAACATTATACTTAGTGTCTGGCCCTAAGGGCTAACCCTTGCTCCAGCCAGGCGCAATGGTACATGCCTGTAGACCCAGCGGCTTGAGAGGCTGAGGTGGGAGAATCACTTAAGCCCAGGAATTTGAGACCAGACTGGGCAATATAGTGAGACCCCATCTCAAAGTAAATAAATAAATACATAAAATAAAATAACCCCGGCTCTGCTGTGCCATAGGTGTGGGACTATGGGCAAACAATTCCCCCTCACTGGCCCTAAGTCACACCTAAGTCACATTATCTTTTTTTTTGAAGAGTCTTGCTCTGTCACCCAGGCTGGAGTGCAGTGGCGCGATCTCTGCTCACTGCAACCTCCGCCTCCTGGATTCAAGCAATTCTCCTGCCTCGGCCTCCTGAGTAGCTGGGATTACAGGCACGTGCCACCACGCCCGGCTAACTTTTGTATTTTTAGTAGAGACGGGATTTCACCATGTTGATCAGGTTGGTCTCAAACTCCTGACTTCGTGATCCACCCACCTTGGCCTCCCAAAGTGCTGGGATTACAGGCGTGAGCCCCCGCACCCGGCCAGTCACATTATCTTTAAAGTAAGAAAGTTAGAAGATAACTAGAGGCCCTTCGTTGTTTCACATTTTGGGACATTAGCAGCTCAGAGGAAATACACTGGATTAGTTCTCAGAGCAAAGGTGAACATATACAGAGCAGAAGAGGCAGAGGTATGGGGCAGGGGAGAGGAAACAGGAAGACTTGAAATAAGGAGTAGGTCTCTAATAGAGGGGCAAGAGGTAGCCCAAGGTGACAGCTCTGCCCCCTTGTCCACAACCTTGCTGACAAGATTCATCCCACATCAAGGACCCATGGCCCTGGGAGAACATTGATCAGGGGTTATTAGAATCTGGGGTGAGAAAAGGGGAGCAGAAGACAGCCAGCAAAAAATCTTCCAGTTACTCTGAATACCCTGTGACACCAGGCTGTGTTCTAAACCTGTGCTTTGCTGCAGGGCTGCTAAGCTGGTGGCAAGGGATGGCCAGCCATAATTGCAGAACCAGCCTAGTCTTCCCGCTCTCTTTTTCTGGCTGCCATTTTCACATGAAAACCATAAAAGATCCCAGAAGTGGGAGGTGCACTTAATGGGTTTTTTTGGCACCAAGAAATTAATCTTTTTTAAACCAAAGGGATTTTTTTTTCTTTCCTAAAGATCTTTGGCAAACAGAAGCTAAATTGCTTCCAGACCTCATGAAAGGTATTTTGTGCAAACGAGGTGTGATTTACACTTCCTTTAATTAGTCTGAACCCTGGAAAAAGAGAGAAATAATAGAAAACAAGAGCTATGTAGAAAACAAGTCCAAACAGCCCTAAAATAACAGTTTTGTGAAAGCATCAGTTGAGGGTGTTAGAAGGAGACCAACAACAAAAAAAATCCTTCTAATTCTGGGAGTGGAGCAATTACAAGTGAATTGAAGTTTTGTTGGACTCTTTTCCCTGGGGATGGGGGTGGGGAGAAAGTTTGGCAGAAATGAGCCTTAGTGTTCTCAGAGTGAGTTTCAAGTTCTGGTTGACCTTCCTGCCGTTAAGCTTCAGTCTTTTCTGAGGGCATTTGGGGTCTAGGAAGCCAGAGAGTCAGGGAAACAAAAAGACAGTGCTGCTTGCTATCATGGATATTTTGCCATCAAGCTTGTCTCAGCTGGATGGCAACATGGCATTTTGGAAGGGGAGTGGCCTCTGGAATCACAGACCTGGGTTCAAATTTTGGCTCTGCCATTTACCACCACCATGACCTGGAAACTTACATCTCCAATCAGTTGACCACTACCTTACTTCTTTAAGGCTTCTTTCCCTGGTTACCTGGTGCCCCAGTTCCCGTAGTCATTCTATCATGTTGCTCCTGCATTGTCCTCAGTTTCAAGCCCACTTCTCCTTTTGGTCAGTTGGCTTTATCAAGATAATATATAGACATGCATTGTTTCACCTTTAACCCGACAACCCCCCAAATTCTATTGCCCAGACGGATATTCTTCCTTAGTTCTGGTCCTCATATCCAATTGTCTTGCCACTTTGCACTGACATATTGCATGATCTGAGCTAATCTTGCCTCATCTCTATGCAAAATGGGAAAGTTGAGTGAGATGGTCTCTGAGCATATCCTTGCTCTGACCCTTTGTGGCAACTCCACTGTGATCATTTTTCTTCATTCATTCATCTCTTCTTAATTAGTTCACTTATAGTCTACCACAATCTCTGGACCCATCCACACAGCCTAGGTCTAAGAGCCCTTGTAGGAGTTTAAGTTTATTCAGACAATACTGGACACAGCAAGAACGGCTGCAGGGGTGAATCTTATCTTTAACTTTAACTAATCCCATCCTTTCTGACTATTCTTTCCCCAGGGAGGTGGAAGGGGAGAAAAAGAAACAAAAAACTACCTTTTGGGCAAAAGGAATGGAATGGCCAAGGCTACATTATATACAAGCCAAAAGAACAATTTCCATTGACCTTGAGGAATGTGTAAGGGCAAAGTCATAAGCCGAGTTTAATTGATAATTTCACTGTCCATATGTGAAGAAAGAGCAATGAACCACAAGACTTGGGCTCAAGGCCCAGCTCTGCCTCTAACATGCTGCAGGACCTAGGATCAGTCCTTTCCTGTCTCCAGGACTCAATTTTCTTGCTATACAATGAAGGGATTGTACGGAGTGATCTACATGGACTAGCAGCTCTAAGGTTTGTAAGACTGTATTATAAACTTTGAAGAGAATGAGGGAAGGGTCCAAGGATTCTCCTTTGCAGCTTTCCTAGAAAACCATGTATCTTCCCCATGAAAGGAAGAATACAAATAATGATGGTCAAATTTACTGAATGCCTATTATGTGCCACATACTAATGTCCATAGTTAAGAGTCAAACTAAGACCCAAAGCCAAAAGAAAGTATTGTACCCAAGGCCACATAACTAGTAAGTGATGTAACTGAGACTTCAGATATCAAACTAACTCCAAGCCTGTGCTGAACACCGTTCTCTTCATCTACCCAGCCACTTTTTGTTGTTATTGTACCTTTGTTTGTTTATTCTTCCATTCACTCATGCTACCAATGTTCCCTAAGTACTTTCTCTGTGCACGAAACTGTGTAAACACCAGTAAGCATGAGAAAAGATCTATCAGGAAGTTCACAGTTGAGCAAAAGAAACAAGAAACCGTGATCAGGAGGTTTAGAAAAGTTATCTTTCTTTCCAAAGCACCATTCTGATTATGTTTACGATCCTCAAAAGGCTTCAAAGGTTCCCCTTTTCCTACAGGATAAAGTCCAAGTAGCTTAGCCTGTTTTCTTATCCCTCTGAGATCTGGTCCCTGTCTTGTCTCCTCTCGACATCATTCATTCAACATTTGTTAAGTGCTGACTATGTGCCAGACACTGTACCAGAGTCTTGGAATGCAATGCTGAGTGGCACAGACTTAGGCCCTGCTCTCCTGGAGCTTGCAGATATTAATCAAATTATCACACTGATACAGAATTAGGCAATCCTTTAAACTTCCAGTGGTCCAGCCCCACTTGATTCAGGATCCTTCCTTCCAGCAGAGGTTCCCAGCCCAGGAAGTACATAGTCATGCAGTTCTCCTTGGACTCTTTAGATAACCAGTTGATCTTTAATAAAGTGATTTGTCTAATTAATCAACCAGGAACATCTGCTTCTGAAGAGAGAACTTTTCTTGGATCCCATGAATAAATGTTTATTTTATTTTAACATAGTTTTTCAACAACAGGTTAAAATTGCTGGCTACACACTACTATGGAATGCCATGATCTCCCTCCAGAGGAGTCTCTGCTTAAAGTTAATTGCTTATTACTTATGTTCCCAATTTAATCCTAAATTTCAAGAAGGCAGAGTTTTTGCCTATTCTTGCTCATCATCGAATACCCAGCACTTTGCCCAGTGCTAGGCACGCTGTTCTGTACATGTGCTGGTTAGGCATCCTTAACTACATAAAGCCTTAATTCAAAATGAGACTGTGGCAGACATAGATCCTTACCTTAAAAAAAAAAAAAAGTTTTCAGAAGGTGAAACAGAGCCTGAGAGGAAAAGCAACTTTCCAAAAGCCACAGAGAAAGTTGATAGCTTAATTGAAGTTGGAACCAAAGAGAACCAGAAGTCCTGAACTCCTGCTATACCACACCCACTCACACACCTTGAGTCTGAAATGGCAAGGAGGACAGGTCCTCAAAGCAAAAAGGTGCATAACTCGAGGCAGACAGTCTCCCATCCCAAGCTTCTGTTGTACATGAATTTACATCAGAGAGTCACTGAGCCGACTCTTTTAGATGTAGAAGAGACCATCTTCATGGGAGAAACTCTTGCCTGCCCCCAAACAAGACCTCTGACTGAGGAATATATTCAATCACTCCCTCTAACCCAAACTCCCCAAAACACTATTTCCTATTATGTCTCCATAACCAAATTCAACCCACCCAAATCTCAAGATTAGATCTGTGAGCTCACAAAGGCCTAATCACCCAATTAAGAGGAGGAAAACCTGATCCTTTCTAAACAAAGTGAAATGTGAGGTAACCCAGTTGCTGAGATTAAGTCTCACTCAGGAAGAAGCAAAGGAGCTAGGAGAGAATGGGTGGGTCATTCATTAAACGGAATTTTCCAGGAAATTTGAGTGATGTGTCTCCCCAGATCTCAGTGTTCCAGGCCCCAGAACAATGCTGGAGGCAAGGCCCTGGCTTTAGGAGGACCATGGGGGTGAAGACAGCATTACTCTCCTTGCCCGAAATCCCTAGGTACTATCTGGGGCATTCTGATCTCTCACTGGACAAATGGCCTGCTATCAATGATGAACTTTATACTCAGGCCCAAAAAATTCCAAGAGAAAAGTGCTTAGAAAGATAAACTATAGCCCACTACCATCATTTCAATAGACTCAGAAAATTCAACATCCATTTCAAATGGAAACAAAACAAAGCTTTTGCAGCAAACTAGAAATAGAAGATACCTCCTTCCATGTAATAAAGGGCATATACCATAAAAAAATACAACTAGCATTATACTTAATGGTGAAAGACTAAACGTCTAAAATTAGAAAAAAGGCAAAGATGTCTGTTCTTACCACTTCTGTTCATATAGTACTAAAAGTCCTAGCTACAGCAATTAGACAAGTAATAAATAAATAAAAGTCATCCAAATTGGAAAGGAAGAAGTATAATTGTCTCTGTTTGCAGATGACATGATCATACATATAGAACACTTTAGGAAGAACTGAGTTTTCCAACACTGGAGGCATGTTACCAGTGCATGTTCAAGGGCATACAAAAATGTTAAAGAGAAAGCAAGACTAGATGATCTCTTAAGATCCTTCCAACTCTGATACAGAAGAGGTACTCCAAGACAAAGAATGGAGTATGCCAAATAAACGGTAGAGAGAATGAGTGAGTGCACTATGTTGAGAAGGAAAAGACTTTGTGCTGAAAGGGTCAAGAAGCCTTTGTGGAAGAAGCAACACTTGAGTAGTTTTGATCTAGACTATGGTCTATAAGAACAAGCACTGTGCTGGGCATAAGACTGACCTGGTTTTATATATATATAAAAATTATCTGGTTCAGGAATTGAAAGACAGTTTGGCATACCGTTAAGGGCAAGGACTCAGATAGACCTGGATTCAAATCCCAATTCTGCCTTAGACAAGTGATTTCTCCTGACAGAGCATCAATTTTCTCCTCTTCAATATGAGAATAACAACTTCTAGCTTATAGAATTGCTGGAAGAATTTGTGAAAATGTATTTGATGTTCCCAGTAGAGTGCCTGTCATACAGATGTGTGCAGTATGTAATTGGTAGTGATTACTCTGAGAAGGTGTTTGGACTTTGGTTAATTACTTACTGATTTCTGGAATGAGACCTTTATGACTGATACAAAAATGGACACATAAACCAATGGAACAGAATAGAGAACTCAGAAATAAAACCATACACCCAAGCCATCTGGTCTTCTACAAAGTTGACAAAAGTAAGAAATGAAGAAAGGACTCCTTATTCAGTAAATGGTGCTGGGATAGCTGGCTAGCCACATGCAGAAGAATAAAACTGGGCCCTTACCTTTCACCATATACAAAAATTAACTCAAGATGGATTAAAGATTTAAATTTAAGTCCTCCAACTATAAGAATCCTAGAAGAAAACCTATAAAACACCATTCTCAATGTCAGCCTTGGGAAAGAATTTATGATTAAGTCTTCAAATGCAGCTGCAACAAAAACAAAAATTGACAGTGGGATCTAATTAAAGAGCTTTCGCACAGCAAAAGAAATTATCAATAAACAGACAACCTACAGAATGAAAGAAAATATTCAAACTATGCATCCAACAGAAGTCTAATATTCAGACTCTGTAAGAAACTTAATAAGCAAAAAACAAATAACTCCAATAAAAAAATGGGCAAAAGACATTAACAGACACTTCTGAAAAGAAGACACTCAAGCAGCCAATAAACATGAAAAACTGCTCCACATTACTAGTCATCAGAGAAACAGAAATCAAAACCACAATTGCGTGCTATCTCACACTAGTCAGAATGGCTATTATCAAAAAGTCAAAAAACAACAGATGCTGATGAGGCTGTACAGAAAGGGGAACACTTATTCACTGTTGGTGAGAATGTAAATTGGTTAAGCCACTGTGGAAAGTAGTTTGGAGATTTCTCAAAGAACTTAGAATTATCATTCAACCCAGCAATCCCATTACTGGGTATATATCCAAAAGAAAATAAATCCTTCTACAAAAAAGACATCTATGTTTCTGTGTTCATTGGAGCACTATTCACAATAACAAAGACATGGAATCAACCTAGGTGCCCATCAACAGTGGACTGGATAAAGAAAATGTAGTACATACACACCACAGAATACTACACAGCCTTAAAAAAGAATGAACTCATGTTCTTTGCAGCATCATAGATGCAGCTGGAGGCGATTATCCTAAGCAAATTAATGCAGGAACAGGAAACTAAATATTTGTGTTCTCACTTATAAGTGGGAGCTTAACATTGAGTACCCATGGGCATAAAGATAGCAACAATAGACACTGGGCACTATAGGAAGGGGGAGGGAGGGAGAGATCCGGCTCAAAAACTACCTATTGGGTACTATGCTCACTACCTGGGTGATGGAATCATTCATATCCCAAACCTCAGCATCATGTAGTAGAGCTATGTAATAAACCTGAACATGTACCCCTTGAATCCAAAAATCTAAAATACCAGTTGAAATTCACACACACACACATACATACACACACACACACACACACACACACACACGTATGTATATATAATAATGAGATCTTAATGAGATCTTTATGGACAAAATCCTGACAGTGACTTTGAGTTTAGAGAGGAGCCACGCTCTCAAGTTGAAGATTCTGCTAACTCATCAGCAACTGCTCATCTACAGAGGCCACCAATTCCCATCTGGAGAAATCTGCTTTCCTAAAATCAACAATTAAAAAGCAACACTGGGCCAAGCGTGGTGGCTCTCGCCTGTAATCCCAACACTTTGGGAGGCTGAGGTGGGCGGATCACCTGAGGTCAGGAGTTTGAGACTAGCCTGGCCAACATGGTGAAACCACATCTCTACTAAAAATACAAAAACTAGCTGGGTGTGGTGACGCATGCCTGTAATCCCAGCTACTTGGGAGGCTGAGGCAGGAGAATTGCTTGAACCCAGGAGGAGGAGGTTGTGGTGAGCTAAGATCACACCACTGCACTCCAGCCTGGGTGACAGAGCAAGACCCCATCTCAAATTTAAAAAAAAAAAAAAAAAAAAGCACACTGTTATAGAAGATCAGATCTCAGGCAATCTTATGAGAGACCCATTCTTTGATGTGGAGGGTTACCAAGAAGGATCTTGGTATGGACTCAGGGTTAGACAACCTATGGTCACTTCTGCTGGTAGTGAGCCATGTGATTTATTTTAGGCTACCCACACTACCATTCTCAGGTTTTAGTTTTCCCATTTATATAGTAGGGATAATGATATAAGCTTCCAGGACTTGCTGTGATTACTCCAAATCCTTGTAGAGTAACTGGTTGACAGCAGGAGCAAGAATCCTTAGTGGTTACATCCCAACTGCACTTCTTACTAGTTATATGTCCTTGGTTAAGTCACTGTCCCCTTCTGAGCTTCTATTGACATATCTGGAAAATGAGTCCAAGGATACACCACATTATAGGACTGTTGTAGGCAACTGGATGAGACTATGTATAAAATAGTTTATAAAGTAGAATACATTACTGAAAGGCAGGAGATGCTCATATTCTATGCCCAGGCCCTTTGAGAGAAGCATTCCAGTATCTCCTTATTATTCTTCCAGTCTTAAAGGGATTGTACTTCCATGTAGAGAAGAGTTTGAAAGCCCCATTTCAATGTCTGCTCTGTGAAAAGGTTACCAGTATTTTTTATTGTCATTTAGAGTGACCTGAGGGGAAATTGGCCAGACTTCTCTCCTAGGTCTACAGTGTTACTACAAAACTGAAACTCCACCCAGAAACCTGAGCCAGCTGGAGAATGAGGCACTGGGCATGAAACATGCCAAAAATATCTACCCGCTGCTTTCCAGGATCCCAAATGACACTGGTCATTGAAAACCCATCCCTCTAACCCAAAGGGAAAAATTCAGCTCTGCTTAAGAAGAACTTAATGCCCAATATTAATGTTAAAATCCAAAAAGGTCCTTCCAAAATTCTGACCTTCTATTGAAAGACATGTTTTTGTTTCACTGTCTCTTGGAAAATACTTTAGCAGCACATTTCAGAGTTACAAAATGGAGCAGATTGACAGACCTGGGAACCGATAGTCTGTTTATTCACTGAGCAGTGACAGTGGGGTCATAGCAACAGACAAAAGGATGATCATGCCAGGGCTTCTGAAGCAAAGATATCTAAGAACCTGAAGTCTTAATGGGTCCTGGGGTGGGAATTAGGATAGGCTTTGAAACTATGATGAGTTAAAACTGGAAACCACTTGATCTTGGATATGTTACTTAATCTGTCATAATAATAGTGTCTTCATCAATAAAATGGGATGATACACTTCCTATTATATAGCTTTAGAATATTATGCTGGAACGCTCAAGAAATGGTAGTTTTTTTTCTCTGACACCTATTCACACTGATTTTTTAAAATTGAAGAATGCCACTTACATACAGATCTTAAGTGCATAGTTCATACTTCAACGTTTTTGAAAAATGGCTGGATTATCCACTTTTATATGGGTAGCTGACCCACATCTTAGCAACACAGACAAGGTAAATAAAGAAAAAGAGGTTATCCCTCTGGGATCTAAGAAATACAGACCTATAAGGAAACAGACATGAACTGATCCAAAAAATTTCTCTTTTTCTTTCAGTGTAAATTGAGGTCAAGAATTGACTTGGGGAGGAAGATTTGGAGAAAGGTCATATAATTCTACAGTTACAGAAATAATCCCAATAATTAGCAAATACGTATTCAGTGTTTAATATGTCCAACAAGGATAACTCTCCCCACTAAATTATTTATCATCAAACATTTCCAGGGGGGTGTGGTCACAGGGAACCTTCTGGCTGTAGTTCAACATACTGGTTGCATTAAGAAAGGTAGGAGGAATGAAAGAGAGCTGAAAGGAGAAATAGATTGCAATTAAAGATGTATTACTTTTAAAAGTGCCAAGCATATTGGACACATAGTTAACAGAAATTCATTAAATAATTGCTGAATGAATGAATGATCATGTAGACAACTTCAAAATGGAGTACAAACATTTACTTTGATGAATCGCTCTCTTGGTCTCTCATGTGCAGTGTTGATATGTATAGTGTCCCTCTCAGAACTAACCTTTCTCCCTTTGGATTGTAAAAGAATTCCAGGAGTTTCTTAATCAAGGTTCCTAATGAGTTGTGGAGAGAGAAGGGAGAAATGCAACAGGTCTTCGTTTTTTTCTGTGCCTGTAATTCCTGCCACTGCCACATGATGTCACTATTGAAAACAAAGATTCTGCATGGCTCTGTGTCAAGTCATGGTGGAGGCGAAGGGAATAGAAAGGAGCCTTAAACAGATTACAGTGTTTCTCCAGTAGAGGGCAATCCCACTCCCTCAGTGACAACAGGCTCAAGCTTAGACTCCCAAGCCTCCAACTCTTTAGTTTTATGTTTCATTCCTCATTCTCAGGTCATGCCTACTGTGGCAAAGTGGCTGTACATACTGTGGCTTTGAGCCTGTCATACCAATCAGACATCTTCCTCCCTCATGATAAGTCCCCCTAGATGTTGGGACAATTTTAACCCACTGTAGAGTTTCTACACTTCACATGAAGAAGATCAGAACCTTCCACCCATTTATTCCCAGGAGTTCCTAGATTTATAATCAAATTTTCACAGCCACTCCACAGGGGCATCTGGGCTATGCATACTCACTGAGGTGGTCATTGAGGGGTAGCCTACTAATGGCAGTGGCAGCCCATATGAAGCGGCCACTGCAAAGACACCGGCTGCAGCAGGGGAGATGCAGCAGGGGCTGAGTGCTCCATGGAGCTGGCAGGAGCTAGGAACAGGTAGAAGCCCCACCCACTTCCAAGTTGGAGGAGCGGGAGCCCCACCCTCCGAGGCACAGTGTGGCCACACAGTTGCAGCTGTGGATCCAGGCATTCCTGCAGTCTCAGGGACCTGGGGATCACCCCCTTCCCCCACAGGCTCAGAAATACCTGCTCCCACTGCCTGGCCTCTCCCCGCTTCAAGCAGCCCCTCCAATTTCAGATCAAAGTTGAGGTTGGGCCCAGGCACTGTTGTGACCTGGCTGGGTGCATGTGAGCTCAGGGCAGTGCTGACATGCCAGCCCCCTGTTGCCTTGGCCCTCTCAAGACTTTGGGTGCCAATAAGCACGGGAAAGGGGCTGGGACAGCTCTGCACAGGCCAGCAGGCACCCCTCAGTATGAACAACCTGGTGCCAGGGATGGCAGGTTGACGGCAGCAGGAGGCAGAGAGTTTCCTGTGTGGAAAGGGGCAGGTCCCCAGTGCAGCCCCACCTTCAGGCCTGGGATGGCCTGAACCCTGGGGGCTGGGCTGCCAGATCTATGGACCAGAGTGAGAACTTACAGTGATTTTTCCAGACTTGACCATGGACACCTATGGACAAATCAGTATACAGTTCCTCCTCCCTGAAGCCCATAAAAACTCCGGACTCAGCCAGACTCAGATAGATGTCAGGACTATCAGCTGCAGGATTGAGCTACCCAGGAAGGAGCTTTGGTCTCCTCGACTTGCCCATGGAAAGCAGTGACCCATTGTAGGTCTCCTCTCTGCTGAGAGCTAGAGAGCTGGACACTCATCAGGATGACCTGCCTTCAGAAAGGAGCTACCCACTTCAAGTCTCCTGAGGGCTGTTCTGTCACTCAATGAAGCTCCTCTTTGCCGTGCTCACCCTTCACTTGTCTGTGTACCTTATTTTTCCTGGAAGCAGGACAAGAACTCGAGACTTGCCAAATGGCAGGGCTGAAAAAGCTCTAACACAAACAGGGTTGAAAGACACCCCTTGCTCACCACATTGCAGGCAATGAGGAGAGAAGAGCTGCAGCAGTTCAGGGAGCTCAGACCTAGGAGCTCCCTGAGCCAGGGCCATGACGCCCTCTTTGGGGCTCTGGTATCTCCAAGCTTCCAGATGCCACCATGTTCCCTGGTGCCAGCCATGGAAGCTGCTTGTGGTACATCTGGTCCAGCTGTAGCCTCACAGGGAGCTGGCACCCATGCCGGAACCTGAAGCCACCTGCCCTTCTGCAGCCAGAGTGCCTGACTATGTGCAGTAGCTGCACCCCACACCCACTAGCTCACACACCCCTCACCACTCCATGGCTGGCTTGCCCTTGGCAGGCATGGGATCCAGGCTGGTAGCATAAGCCAAGTGCAGCCTCAAGCTAATTTGCTACCTCTAGATATAAAAACATCTATCAGCTTTTTAAATGGCAGCTACTCCTAAGAACAAGAGAAATAATAATAACTATGACTCTACCCAACAATATGAATGGATCCTGTAGTGTGATAAGCATGGGAAGCTAGAAAAAAACAGAATGCATATTGGATAACTTTTTTAATGCATAAAGTTTGAAAACAGGCAAAAGTAATCTCTTTATGGCATTAGAAGTAAGGATAGTGTTTTAACCTTCAGGAAGAGGCTATAACTGAATGGGAGCACAAAGTGGGCTCTGTGAAGCTGGTAATTTGTTTCTTGATTTGGGTACTGGTTATATGGCTGTGTTCACTTCCTAAAATTACATCCATATATGTACTTATGATACGTGCATTTTTATGTGGGAATGTTATACTTCCATAGAAATTTCAAAAATAAATGAAGACATTCTGCCACAAATAAATGAAAGAAGAGATAATAGTGCAGCTGGCCCTCAGTATCTATGGGGAATTGGTTCCAGGTACCCCCTTGGATATCAAAATTTGCAGTGGCTCAAGTCTCATATATAAAATGGCATAGTATTTGCATATAGCCTATGCACATCCTCCCTTAAATTTTAAATCATCTCTAGATTACTTATAAAACCTAATACAATGTCTACAATCACTTCATTCATGTGGATTTAACATAGTACCAGTGTATCAGTCCATTCTTGCGTTGCTATAAAGAAATAACTGAGAATGGACAATTTATAAAGAAAAGAGGTTTAATTGGTTCACAGTTCCACAGCCATGAAGCGTGGCTGAGGAGGCCTCAGGAAACTTACAATCATGGGCAGAAGATGAAGGGGAAGCAGGCACATCTTACATGGTTGGAGCAGGAGGGAGAGAGAAGGGGGAGGTGCTACACACTTTTAAACAGCCAGATCTCAGGATAACTCACTCAGTATCACAAGAACAGCCACAAAGGGGAAATGCTCCCCCAAAGATCCAATCACCTTCCACCAGCCCTCGCCTCCAACAGTGGGGATTACAATTTTACATGAGATTTGGGTGAGGACACAGACCCAAACCATATCAACTGGGCATACAGCAAATTCAAGTTTTGCTTTTTAAAACTTTGTGGAAAATGTTTTCAAGTATTTTCCATTTGAGCTTGGTTGCATTCATGAATGCAAAACTCACAGATACAGAGGGGTGACTATATGCATTTAATATCCCTAAAGGCTGAAAGTCATACAACCTTAGAGATAGAAAGCTCTCAAAGATGACTGAATTCAACCACTTCACTTCACAGATACAGAAACTGAGGCCCATAGATGGGAATCTCAAGATCACAAAGGGATTCAGCATTAGAAGCAAGTCTCCTACAACCCATTCATGGATCTTTTCCCTTCATAATGTTGCCTTCCTTCTCCCAGTGATAAAGGTGAGATGTGGATGAAGTCTAACAATGAGCTGTGCATCAGAATGTCATGGTCTAAAATTTTTCAGGCAATGATTAACATTAATATCTGCCTTGCAAATGGACTCAGCAGCTGGGACAAGGCAGATGTGGCAACACAAATATGTTGCCCATGACACATGAATTGGAAGAGTGGGGTGGAGGCAGCTCTTGAGTGAAGGAACAAAAGAAAAGCCTGTCTGTCTGGAATGCAATGGGAATGAAGATTCCAAGGAGGTCATTTAGGGAGAAGCAGTGCCTGAACCCCAGACAAGGCTGGGTGCGGTAACATCTGTGCTTTTGCAAGGGAAATAAAAGGGAATCTGCTTCCCTGCCTGAAGGGATGATATATGGGCTTCTGAGGCACTGGGCGTGGGCCGAAGGCATGATACAGGGCTTGATGGATGAAGGCTGAGGTAACTCAGTAGGCCACACATTAATAAAAATTATCAAACTGTCCCAGTTGGTGGAGTAGAATGCTAATGCCATTCTCCACATGTATGTTAAAGGAAGAGAATGTCTGAAGGGAGGTAACCTGCTTTTTATCTTTACCTTCATTTCACTTGTCCAAATTATATCCTCTGTTCTGCTGCCAAGATCCTATGCAAGCCAAGTCTGGCAGAGCCTACTCTATACTACAACCACCTGTGATAGTTCACCTGCATCTAGCCATTCTTAACTGAGAATGAGAAGTGTATTCTAATCACAACTTAGCCCCATAAACAACTTTCATCACTCTCAAGTGCCCAAAGAATCAACTTCAGATATCATAACCTAGCCTTCAAGGCTTTCATCCGCTTGACCATGAATTCCAGTCTTGCTCATTCTATACTTCTCCAGACACCTTTCATTTCCATCTTCATGATTTTCTTGCTTTATGCTCTTCCATCTGTCTGAATTTCCTCTTACTTGTTCTCTATTATTGAAATCCCTTCCATCCTTCCAGGTTGAGATGAAAGCCCACTTTATTCACAAAGGCCGCACATCCTTAGCCTCTGATTTCAGCCTCAATTGCAATGGACAGTTCCAATGTGAGTTCAAACTCACTTTGCGCTGCCCCAAGACCTACCTCCTTGAATATATGCCAGGTATATCTTTGCACTTCCTGCCCCAAGGCCTTCAATGATGCCGTGGGACCTCTCTCAGCTCATATGAGCAAGTATAGCCTAGAAGTTTAAGAAACATCAATCTTTAAACAATTGAGATAGGGAGCTAGAGAAGACATAATCTAGCTTTGCATCTTTAAGCCAGCAAGAGCCTCAATACATCAATAGTAATCTTGTGAACACATCCCTGTACTGGCTTTTTCCCCTTCTGGGTCCTGTTCATGATCCTTCATAACTGTTTCCTATGGATACCTACCTAATCTGTGCTCAAGCTCTGTTTTAGGGTTATCAAAACAAAAACAGAATGAGTACACATCTTCTACCTTGAATTACAGCTAGACCTGTCTCTGGAATTTCCCCAGTAATTAGAACTAGTAGTCAATAATTGTTTGTCAGCTAGAAATAAATTTTAAAATACAAGCCACTAGTATCAACTCTACATGTGGAGAAGAACCTCACTTATAAACTATATAATTATCAAGACTGTCCACGTAGCTAATAGTAGGTGAGGAACATCAGAAGAGTCCAGTCTCACTGACATTCGATTTTGCAGTCACTTTATGTTCAGCCAGTTAACAGTACTCATTGGATGTCATTTCCATCACCTCTGCTTCCCTATTTTATGGGCCCAGAACTCCTTTGAGAAGCTCAGCTGCTGCAGAACAGCCAGATCTGACCTTCCTAAGGCATGATTCATCATGCATTGATGACAGAACATCTGCACCCAATGTATGAAACATGGTGACTCGCAGTGTCTGGCTCAGGATATGACCTGGCTCAGAGCTTAAGTCTTCCCATGATTTCTGTCTTGAAAATAGCTCCTAGCATGGTCCCCATACCCTCAGCCAAAAGCACATCCCCCTCAAGTTTTTTTCATTATACTCTCCTCTCCTTTTATTAAAATAAATAAATACATAGGTACATACATACATACACACATACATACATAATTTCCCCTTCAGGGATTCCTTGGAAGCCATCAAGAGTAGGGATAAAGAGCAGAATTTCTGAGTGAGAAAGAATTAGGTTCAAGTTCAAACTTAATACTTCTATGCCCTTAAGTAAGTGACTATGCCCCCTCTAAACCTGAGTTTTCCCACATGTGAAATGAAGATAATACTAACTAATTTTCAGAACAATTTTGATGATTATATAGGATAACTTGGCATCTAGGTGTTCAATAAATGCTGACTATCTTCTCTTTCCCTTTAATAGCTTTACACTTCCCACAATGCTTACAAAATTTCTGGTATGGTGTAGGTACTTAACAAATGTCATTACTCTTGCTTCATTCTTGTTGTTGCTGTTGTTGTTGTTGAGACGGAGTCTCACTCTGTTGCCCAGGCTGGAGTGCAGTGGTGTGATCTCGGCTCACTACAACCTCCACCTCCCAATTCAAGAGATTCTCCTGCCTCAGCCTCCTGAATAGCTGGGACTACAGGGGCGCACCACCATGCCTGGCTAATTTTTGAATTTTCAGT
Source organism: Homo sapiens (assembly GCF_000001405.40). Lineage (NCBI taxonomy): Eukaryota > Metazoa > Chordata > Mammalia > Primates > Hominidae > Homo > Homo sapiens. The sequence continues at coordinate 116,595,510 of NC_000009.12, forward strand.
AGAGACGGGGTTTCACTATGTTGGCCAGGCTGGTTTTGAACTCCTGACCTCATGGTCCGCCCACCTCAACCTCCCAAAGTGCTGGGATTATAGGCGTGAGCCACCGCGCCCGGCCACTCTTGCTTCATTCTTGTTTGGGCTCCGTTTACATTAGATACCTTTCTGCTTGTGGTGTGACTGTCTTGTTTCATGACATATGACAATAGCATAATTTACATATTTGATATTAGGGATACAGCATGGAATGGGACAAGTAAGGTCCTAAGGCATGATTACACTTAGCTTACGCTCAAGAGCAAGAGAACTCTTATCACTGTTGGGAATGTAGAAAGGCGAAGCCACTATGAAAAACAGTATGCAGGTTCCTGAAAAAATTAAAAATAGAACTGCTAGATGATCCAGCAATCCCACTTCTGGATTTATATCCAAAATAATTGAAATCAGGATCTTGGAAAGATATCTGTACCCCCGTGCTCACTGCAGCATTATACACAGTAGCCAAGATAGAGAAATAACCCAAGTGTGCATCGACAAATAAATGGATGAAGAAAACATGGTATATGCATACAATGGATTATCATTCAGCCTTAAAAAAGAAGGAAATTCTGCCATTTGAAATGACATGAATGAACCTAAAGGACGTTATGCTGAGTATAATAAGCCAGTCACAGAAGAACAAATACTGCCTAATTCCACTTATATGAGAGGTATCTAAAATAGGCAAAGTCAAAGAAGCTGAGAATAGAGTGATGGTTTCCAGGTGCTGGGAATGCGGAAACAAGGAATTGGTTTTCAATGGAGTATAAAGTTTCTGTTATGCAAAACGAATATGTTCTAGAAATCTGCTGTAAAACATAGCACCTATAGTGAATATGGTATTGTGTGCTTTAAAATGTGTTAAGAGGCTAGATGTCATGTTAAGTGTTCTTACCAAACACACACATGTACACACACACACACATAAATGGACAAAATAAAATTATTGGAGGCGATGGGTATGTTTGTATCTTGCTTGTGGTGATGACATCATGGATACACGCACATGTCCAAAGTCATCAGTATCTATATATTAAATGTATGCAATTTTTATATATCAATTATACCTCAATAAAGCTGTCTTTTAAAGGGCAGGCAAATCAAAAGTAAATGAGCAAATATATAAATAAATGAGATAATTTCAACAAATGCTGAATGACATAAGGGTAGTAATACTGAGGGATGTGATAGAAAATGACAGAGAAGAAACCTGATATTTAGGTAGTCAGGAAAGGCTTTCTGTGCAGATGAAAATGGGATTAAGACTCACGTGCTTAATCCCATTAACTCCCATAAAGGAGTTAACAATTCCAGTTAAGGGAATCACTAGAGGAAAGGGTGGAAAATTCAAAGCAGAGGGAGGTAGATGTGAAGTAACAAGCTTGGTGTGTCTAACAATGAGAAAGTAGGCTAGTGTTGTTACTGCTCTCACGTGTCAAGTTAGTCATCAGCTTCCTAAAAGTCAACTCAAGAAGGGAAAGAGTTTGGGTTATATTGTTCTCCTCTCCAAATATAAGGGGATTATCTCTCAAGGATGGTTATATTTTTAAAAAATGTATTTTCTTGCCTACTAGAATGTATGGCTTCCATCTTTTTCTGGCCTTTGAAATTGGTACCCTTTCCAGAGGTAATTCTCCCCAGAACTCAGGATCAGGGCAGTGAGTGAACCCAAAGCCATAGGCATTGTGATCCAACTCTTTGAAACTTGAATGGTCAATGCTGAAGATACAAAATATTCCATGACTTTTGATCTATTTTTTTTTTTTTTTTTTTTTTTTGGAGATAAGAGTTTCACTCTTGTCGCCAGGCTGGAGTGCAGTGGTGCGATCTTGGCTCGCTTCAATCTCCACCTCCCAGGTTCAAGGGATTCCCCTGCTTCAGCCTCCCAAGTAGCGGGCCACCATGCCCGGCTAATTTTTTGTATTTAGTAGAGACGGGCTTTCACCATGTTGTTCAGGATGGTCTTGATCTCCTGACCTCATGATTAGCCCACCTCGGCCTCCCAAAGTGCTGGGATTATAGGCGTGAACCACCATGCCTGGCCTTGATCTATTAATACGTCCCAGGAGCTACAGAATTATATTCATGAACTTTGAATGACTTCAGTCAAGTCACTTTTCTTCTCTAAGTCTTATTTCTCATCTGTATAATGTGAGTGAGAGGTGAGGGGTGGGTAGGGGATATTGGGTAGGTGGCTACCTGTGATCTCTACATTGGGTAGAGGGCTGTGTTCACTAGAGTTCCAGATTTTCTGTGATTCTAAGAAGCCTTTGGAATCTTGGAGTGAGTATTCCCAGGGAACTCTGATGTGCTGAAAAGCTCTCCTACATCGTTGATGTCAGCTGTGCCTGAGGCTTTTTAATGGGTCAACAGACCCCAAAGGTGAGCTGGAGACAAACCTGGCAATTATAGATTAAAGGGCAATTATAACAGGGCTCATAATTGTTCTCTTACAATCTTGCCTTCATTGTTGGTTAATAACCAAATTCTCTCTTTCCAGGGAACTCCACCCTCACCTTTTCCCACTGGGGTAGGTGAGGCTGGATCAGAACAGGGTAATTGAGTTCTCCCTGGGGAGGTTGGGGTCATGTGAGCACAGCTCCTTGATCTCATCTCAGATGGCTCCAGGGAAGTACCCAAAATCTCTCCTTTGGGAGGTAGGACAGAATGACTCAGGAAAAGGGAAGTTAAAAGGAAGTTTATGAAGTCTGAGAATGGAATTGGTAAATAAATCCAAGTCTGGATACTCCTGAAGGCAGGTGGTATGGGGTAAAATACTGGGCTGAAACCCAGAAGACCCCATGTATGTGTCGGCCATAACTTGCCAGGAGACTCAGGGGAAGTTCCTTCACCACTGGGATTCAGTTGCTTCATCTGTGAAAAGAGGGGGTTGGCTTAACTGATCTGTAAGTATCTTCTAGATAGGATATGAGGTTGGTGCAAAATTAATTGTGGTTTTTGCCATTGAAAGTAAAGTAATAGCAAAATCCACAATTGCTTTTGAACCAACCACATATTTTTAGGATTCTAGATGCCTGTGACTGAGTGGACTACTTCTGAGTCTCAGTTTTTACTTCTGTAAAGAGACAATAACAAGAGTAACTTCATCATAGAATTATTGTGAGAATTAAATGAGCTTAACATGGCATCTCTACTTTATTCATTCAGTGCTCTCATTTAATGATTACTCATTAGACTTCTACTTTAAACCAGACTTTATGCTAGGAGAGGATGGATAATTCATACAGTTGAACTAGGTATCTTAGATGAACCTTCACAGAGGTGAAGATACCTTCACAGAGCTAGGAGTCTTGTGGGGCACACATGAACGTTTAAAAATGGAAGCTATTTTTATGAGGCATTTCTGTTATTGAACAGTCAGATAAAATACCACTGTCTAAATAATGGCGAATGGCAGGGGAAAATATTCCAAGGCATGGTGACATTCTCAAGAGAAGCTATCCTCTGTCCCTGGTCTAAATTAAAGATGACACATTCAAATACCTTCAGAGCAAAGCAGATAATAGAAGTTAATGTAGTGGGTTGGATGTCAGAAAATCTAAAAGAGGGGATTAAGACGACCTAGAGTTTCCATGCATTCTCTAAAGTGGAAAGCTGCTAGTCAACTCTCCTGCCTACTGCTGTCACGTGAGGGTGTGAGTCTAAAGTTGCCAGAACTCACTATTTTCCAGCAGAAGCCAGGAATCCAGATTTTCACATAAAAAGCATCCAGATTTCAAGTGATAGCCACTTATTCAAATATTTAAAAACATTATGTAGCCACTGGTTTGCTATCTCTAAGTTAAAGCCAATATTTCAGATAAGCGAGAGTATTGTAACTGTGTTCATTTTCAAAAGGAAGGTAAGGAGAAAGTAAAGGGGATGAATGATTATTGGCTATCATCTACATGCCCCAGGCATCTTACAGACAACATATATCATTTCATCTGTTGCTCACAACAATTCTGAGAAGCACCTGCGTTTAGTTCTGATATTTTTCCCTGAGGCAATTCACATATGGAAAATGTGTTTTGAGAAACACTGGTATGGACAGATATGACTGGCAGCATAAGGAAGATTGAATATAGGGGCAAGATAAGAGGCAGGACAGCCTGGTGAGGAAGTCATAGTGGAAATACACAAGGTGCCCCTAGTGGGGAGAAAAACAAGGACAGATTTGAGACAAAATGAAGTAATTAACCTATATTTTTCAAAGTTCATCAATAATGTCTGAGAGGGGAATTTTACCTCCCTTCCACCTCCCCATGTCAGATGGAGGAGGAAGGGACTTTACAACTGTACCCCTTTTCTTATTTTCTCTCTTCACCCTCAGGCTATCTATTTAATGGCTGTGTTCAGACCAAGGTCAGCCATCCGTCTAAGTGGACAACAGAAACTAAACCCTAGTCCTATAGCCTGGATCTCCTAGTCCACACCTTGATGCCACACAGAATAATTTCTCAGAGCAATGAACTTCTATATTAAAGATTACTCTGGTCAGGCATGGTGGCTAATGCCTGTAATCGCAGTACTTTGGGAGGTCAAGGTGGGTGGATCACTTGAGTCCAGGAGTTTGGGACCAGCCTGGGCAACATGACAAAAGCCCATCTCTACAAAAAAATACAAAAGCTAGCCAAGAGTGGTGATGCATGCTTGTAGTCCCAGCTACTTGGGAGGCTGAGGTGGAAGGACTGACTGAGCCCGGGAGATAGAGGCTACAGCGAGGTGTGATTGGGCCCCTGCACTCCAGCCTGGGCAACAGAATGAGACCCTGTCTCAAAAAAAAAAAAAAAAAAAAAAAAGAAAGAAAGAAAGAAAGAAAAAGAAAAAGACTACTCAGCCATTCTTCCTGATCCCCTGATCCATGGGCTTCTTGCCTCTGGCTGTCATTACACTGGCAGTGAGCAATAGAGAAATGTAGATTAAATGGTCAGAAGATGTAAATTCAATTCTTGACTCCACACTTATAAGAAGTTTGACCTTCAACTATCAACTTCACAAGACTTATCCTCAACTCCCTCATCTGTAGATGTAGATAATATTGTCCTCTTACTTGGAAGGACTAATTTGTAGATAAAATAAGATAATGGATTTGAAGGTCCTTCAATCCATACTTCATAGAGCAGCCAGGGTGATAAAACTTTTACTCTTTACCATGACTTAAATCACTCTCTATAATTTCATCCCTCCTATAGTCCCTTCTTTTTAAATTCCATACTCAGAATTTAAACTCCAGCCCCACTGTCCTTTTATTCCTTAAGGCCACTGTGCGTGCTGTTTCCTCTACCTGAACCGCTTTCCATCCCACCCGCCCCTCAATCTTCACTTCATTTCACTACTGCCTGTTCACACTTCAGGTATTTATTGAGTGCTTACTATGTGCCTGGCAATGTACTAGGCACTGGGGATAGGGTGATTAAAAAAAAGATAAATATAACAACACTTTGGAGAAGCTAATATTTTAGTGAGAAAGGCAAATGCTACATTCCTGCCTTCACCAACCAAAATATATTGAGAATTGTAATAAGTGCTACCAAGCTAGGAATAGTATAGAATGCTAAAAGTTCATGTAGTCAACAAGAGGGCCAAATCTAATCTAAGGATTCAGATAAGTGACATTTAAACTGAGACCTCATTGTACAGACCCAAGTGGGAAAGAAAATCTGTAGCATCAATAGTAGAGAGAAGAAGTAGGTAAGTGCAATTATTCAAACCTTGTACGATGTGTCAAAAAGTTTTCATCTGGAAGTTAGAAGAGTTATGAAAGTTCTTAAAAGGTTTAAATTAGAAGAATCATAGTTATAAATAAGATACCTATTCATCAAATATTTATTGAGTGCCCATGGTATGCCAGCTACTGTGCCAGATATGATCAAATGTATATTTTAACAGGTAACTCTGGCTTTAGAGTTGAGAATTGAAAGGGAGGGAAAAGTGGCTAATGTGAGGACTATTTAAAAGATGATCACAGAAGATGTTGAGTGGCTTAGATTAGGCAACGGAAATAAAAAGAAAGGACCCGATTTGAGAGATAATGGGGATCAAAGCAAAATAGCTTGGTTATAAATTGAACATGAAGGTGAACAAGAGAAAAGAGTTAAAGATAACTGCTTTAAGAAACTTAAGTTTATAGAGGCACCAGCTATATAGAGTAAATGAACAATTGGAAAGGAGCAAACTTGTAGGGAGATGATAGCAAATCCAGTTTTGAATGTGTTGAGTTTGAATTGCTTGTGAGATATCGAATTACAGATGCTTATAGTCAGTTGAATATAATTAGGGGGTTCCGAAGAATGAGGTGGAGACCCAAATGTAAAAGCAATGACTACATTGATTGTTATGATTGGACTAGATGTGGTAACCCAGAGAGAGATTAAATTGAGAAAAGATTATACAGGACCAAGCCATAAGGAGCTTCAAGATAAAGAACAGATAAAGGGACCCTGCAAGAGAGGCTAAGTTGGTGTTAGAGAGTTAGATACCAAACCAGGAAGGTATAGTACTGAAGAAACCAAGGACAGCAAATGTTTCAGACCCTGTAGAATGCATAGAGATATGAAGTAAGTTTATGACCCAAAAATGTCACTGGATTTAATGACATAGAGTTCACAAATGTTCATGGAGAAAAATGTTTTAGTAACTTGGTGGTAGCAGAAGACAGAGGGGAGTAAGCTGAGGAATGAAAAGATGAAGTGAACCATTGTAGGCTATACTTTCAAAGGTGTGTTTATAAAGAAAAGGAAAGAGATCATTTTGATGCTGGAAGATGCAATGTTTTGTTTGTGTCTTTGTTCTAAGAAGAAAAATTTATAAGCATATAAATGATGTAAATAATCTACTAGAGAAGGAGAGATATAAAATATAGGATATAAGGAGAGAGATTATATGTAGATTCCTAATAATTTAGGAAGGCATAAGAAATACTGCAATGAAAAGATTAACTTTAGAAAGAAAGGAGGACATCTCCTATATTATATCAGGAGGAAATGGGGAGAGTATGCATGAAAAATGTTAAATTGTTTGGAGAAAAATTATACTACTCCATCATTGTTCTTAATGAATAAAGGGAAAATAGGGTATTATGGGTTTAAGAATGATGAAGGCTGAGTGTGGTGGCTCACATTTGTAATCCCAGCACTTTGGGAGGCCAAGGCAGGCAGATTACTTGAGCTCAGGAGTTCGAGACCAGCCTGGGCAACATGATGAATCCCTGTCTCTACCAAAAATACAAAAAATGAGCTGGGCATGGTGGCATGCATCTACAGTCCCAGCTACTCAGAAGGCTGAGGCAGAAAGATTGCTTGAGCCAGGGAGGCAGAGGTTACAGTAAGCCGAGATCACACCAGTGCACTCCAGCCTGGGTGACAGAGCGAGACCTCCATCTCAAAGAATGATGAAGAAGAATGTAAGTTGACAGGAGAAACCTAGTAAAATTGAATGGAAGCATGAAGAGTCCAGTTAACACTGATGACTGATGATACTTTGATGACAATATTCAAAACTGTGTTTTTCTGTAGCTGCGTGACTGTACCATCACAGAAGATGGAGAGTTGCATGCATCCAGTGCAGGTGTTTGACCAAGCAGGGAAATTAAAAGACCAAAAGGCAAGGGAGATCGAGAGGCTGATACAAGCAGTGATTGAAATATGAACCATGGACTCTACCATAGATAGAAAAGTTGGAACTGATAGATGGAGAAAAAGGAATGCTACCAAGCAAGAGAAAGTCCTAATGAGTTAAAAGGCACGGCTGGAGTGGGAGATCTATAAACTGACAGTATAAAAGATCATGGTCAAAGAGTGGGATGTTAGAACTGATGGCTTTTTATGGAACAATATCATGTGAGGACAAAGTCTACAGTGTGGCCCAGGAGTGGGTGGCTGAGGCAGAATGGAGAAATGGTCACTGGAGATGAGCAGATCAAAGAAGTGAGAGACTGGATTGTTGGACAGAAAATCCACAAAAACCCTGACCTTACCTATTGTGATGGCAAGAACCCAGATGAAGAGAAAGCTGCAAACCAGGAACTTAAAATACTTAAAGAACCAGTTTCAGTTGAGGCAAGAGGATGAAGGTTGGATTCAGCTTGACTTCCCCTTTTGGGGAATAACAATGTCATAGACACAAGGTAGTATAGATTTAGTCTGGGCAAACTCTCTGGATGAAAGGTAGGTACCAACCTAGCATAATTCTTGCCTGGCCTGGAAGGAGATTCTGGTGAGTGAAGAGAGAAATACAGATTTTCTTCTCTTGGCGTCTCTAACGGGAAGCTGCTACTAAGGACAAGAATGGCAACAGATGGTGACAGGGAGGGAGAAAGATCAGCTTGGGAGTGATCTCCAGGCGAGGGGTTGATAGTCTTGTGTATGAGAGGTTGATCCATATAATTAATTAGTGGAACCAGACTCTCAAACAATTTCCCACTTCCTCTGAGTAGCCTTTATTATCCCCAATGGACTGAATTTCAAATCTCTCTGCCATGCCCCTACAGCATCTGAGTTACCTCAGCACCCACCATACTATCCCAGCAATTTCTTGCTAAATTGTACCACTCTCCTTGTTGACTGCAAGTTCCATGAGGGCAGGAATTATGCCTGTCCTGTTACCATTCCATACCCAGGACATAGACCATAGTAACAGCTCCCCACACATTCATGAAATGAATGAGTGTGCTTTGTGAGCTATAAAGAACTTTGTGATATAGAAGGCAGGCTGGGTGGCATGGGGGAATGAACAGGATAAAGACTCTCCAAGTACCTTTTCCCTTTGGAAGTCTTTGACTTTAGAAACCTTTCACCCAGAAAGCAGCTGGAGTGACAGAAATATTTTCTGAGCCCCTAATATCAGTTCCAGATGTTTGCAATCATGTGGGTTTATACCTCACCCTGTAAAACATATTCCCCTCACCCCCACCCCCCAATTCTAGCTGAGAGAGTAAAGCCTAGTTTCCAATGACATCACCTCTCTCAGGCTGACCCGGAGTAAGCAGAGAGCAGGCGGGTGAGGTCCCCTCTAGTTTCTCAGATGAACAGCATGGTTCAGCCATGGCCCACACTGCATGAGGAACTAAGAGTAAATTCCACAAGATTTCATAAATACCTACAATGTAAGTGCTCCATCACAGCCACTGCTGCCACCATCCTCTCAGCTACTGGAGAAAAGAGACCTTGCTGTCCTTCACCTTGAGTTATTCCTCATACAAATTCACCTCCATAACTGCTCCCTTTTACTAGAGAAAATTTTCAGTCTAAGGTCTGAGATGGGATGGTGTGTGTGTTGGGATGAGGAGTGTCTTTTCAGTTGTAGATTATCCTTAATGATAACAGGGACAGAGAAAGAACAGGGGAACTGAGAGTGGATACAGATGGCCTCTGGACATTCTCCTTTACCTGGATGTAAGTCTAAATCAGCAGCTCATATCAGAGCCAGCTTAGAGAGACAAAGACAAGCAAAGGTCAGCTGAGACATGGGCACAGAGTGACATGGAATAAAAAGAAGAGAGAGAGAGAGACAGAGAGCCACCAAGGGAAGCCGACACACATAAAGGTAGAAAAAGAAGAAAAGAAGGAAGGAGAGAGGAAAGGAAATAATCAGGAAAGGATATAGGAAGAAAGAAACAGAGACAAGAGTTGAGAGTTGGCAGGAAGCAAGAGTGATACTGATCGGGGGGGAGAGGCCCAGTAGGCTCCCAGATGCCAGGGCAGAAAAGGGGCACTGACCAGCTCCAGATGTTGCTGCCTTGTATGAGGAGGTGCCGGGGCTAGTGGATAGGGCCTGCTGCCTCTGTGAGTGCCAACAGAGCCAGATGGCCTTCCAGCCCTGAACTAAACAAGCTGAAGCTGAGAATCCCATGAAGAAAAAGAGAAGTTTCTGATTTTTTTAAAGTTAAAAAAAAAATCCAGCAGGAGAGCAGAAGATGACCAAAGAAAATGCATGGGGGTGTGGTGAGAATATCACCAGACAGAAAAACAGGAGATTATGATGCTAGGTGTGACCTATCCCTTCTTGTCCTCACTCTTCTGATCCTTACACTGAGGGTGGCGGTTTCAATGCTTAAGGTTCTTCTACTTGGAACTTTAGGGATTCACAGAAGCTAGTTTATCAGACAAAGAAGTGGGAAGCCTGATGGGCTACAATCCCCTTTACAAGATCAGAGCTCACTAGTTGCTCACTAGTTGCTGTCAGTGGCTAGATACTCCATTCTGTCAAGCCACACAAGTGTCCTATATCCCTTTATTTCCATCTGCCTCTAGGTCTATTCTCAACAAGAGCAAACTACACTGGAGGTAATATGAACTAGTGAAAAATCTTTGAATGTAGTGGATGAGGGTGTGGGAGTAGATAGGAAAGAAACCAGAGCCCTAGTTCTAGCTCTGGCTGTACCAGTAACTCACCATGTGTGTAAGCTCTGGACAAGTCCATCTCCTCTGAGCCTTTTTCTTCGTAGGTCAAACAGGAGATTTGGATTTATTAAATCTGCCTGTGCCTCGGCCCAGCTTCTTACTCCCACATCTACCCTGCCCAAGAGGCTGAAACCCATGCCAATTGTTCTGATGAGGCCATGAGGGAGAACCAGACGTCTGTTTTTAATACTGATGACAGATTAGCGTGCGGGGCATTCAGCCACCCCCCACAACAAGCCCCATTTCTGCTCAAAACAACTGGAACAGGAGACTACTTATGCTTGGCTTTCCTAACAGCGTCCCGGAACTGACCGAGCGATGGCTTCTCTGAAGGAGACAAAGAGGGCGCCAAACCTAGAGGTGGGGGCAGGGGTAGGAGACAGGGAGGGAGAGTGAGCATTTCAAAAGTTAGTTCAGAAGGGTGTGAAACAGATGGCAGCCATAAAGTGTGTGTGTATGTGTGTGTTTGTGTTCATGTGTGCACATGGGAGAAAGAGAGAGAGAGAGATCTGTGTAAGCACCTATGCCTGTGCACATGCACGCATGAGCTCGTGGATAAATAAATAATTCCAGCACTGGACTTGGCTGCCAGCAAAAATTCAGAGAGATCAAAGGATAAAGCCTATGTTTCCCTATTCTGGCCTCACCTGACCAAATGTGTGAGTAATCCTAACTGTCTAACCAAAACAAGTCTTAAACCTTATTTTGTTTTCTTCCTAACATTTATTCCTCCCTTTAATTTTTTTTTTTTAATTCATGGAAATAGGAAACAACAAGAAAGTATTAGTACCTACTGTGTCTCAAGAACTGTGCTGGAATTAACCCTTAAAAATAGCTTGTGAAAAAGGTGCTGTTTTTCCCATTCCACAGAAAAGGAAACTGAACCCTAGAAAAGATGTTGACTACCCCTAGATCTCTCTCACTGAGAAGTGGTGAAAAATAAATCCAGAAGCCAGGTTTTCCCAAGTCCATATTTTTTCATTAGGCTTGTATCCTCAAAGATAAAACTCAACTGAGTGAACTGAGAAATTTCAATTTAAGCCAAGTTCATTTTCCAGAGGGTTTAGACATGATAAAGGTGACACAGAAGCAAACAGATGAGGTGAATGTTTCAGATGTACCCTCCCAATCATCTACAGCATCAACTGGTCATGACACATTTTTAGAAGGCTTACCATGTACTCAGCTAGGTTGTAAGACTACAGAAGACCCCATAAAACTACACAGTGCTCAAGGAGTTAATGCAGAGTCGAAAAGTTAAGACATGAATGTGTCTAACCATATGCAATTCAGTTCAGTGAACTGAACATCCATGTATGACAGGCACTGTGGGGAAACCCCAACATATAAGGATACAAGATTCATCATCTTGTATCTTTAAAAACAACTGCCCACCCACAAAGTCAGGAATTGGATAATGTGGAGAATGAAAGTCAAGTCCTAAAACAAAGGTTAAAAAATCCCTGTAAAGACAGAAGCATGTATGTCACTGTCTTCAATCTTCTGAATGGCTACAGGAAGAAGGGCCTAGATCTGTGTAAAGTGACCCTAGGCCAGATAACCAAAAATAAACAAATTTTACCTCAATTTTAAAAAGTAACTCTTGGATTAGAGCACTGTTTCCTGGAAAATAAAGAAGAATCTTGGATTTCTATTTCTGGATTAAATGGAATAACAAGGACTGGATTTATTTGCCCTACTGCCCACACCATTAAGAAATTAACACACACACACACACACACACACACACACACACACACACACACACACACACACGCTGAAGCAGGCGGGTCACGAGGTCAGGAGATCGAGACCATCCTGGCTAACACGGTGAAGCCCCGTCTCTATTTAAAATACAAAAAATTAGCCAGGCATGGTGGCACGCACCTGTAGTCCCAGCTACTCGGGAGGCTGAGGCAGGAGAATCGCTTGAATCTGGGAGATGGAGGTTGCAGTGAGCCAAGACAGCACCACTGCATGCCAGCCTGGGCGACAGAGCGAGACTCCGTCTCAAACAAACAAACAAAAAAACATAAAACAAGCTTGTCAGCAACTGGAAATTAGGCAACAAAGTACAGAGATCCTGAAAGATGGAAAACAAATTATGTGAGCCCTAAAATTTCTCTTTGCCTTTAGAGAGTTTTCAAGCCACTGTTCAGGGAGAGGAAATGCCTGACAGATTCCCTGAATTGCCCAGACAGAGTTCTGAGACCAGGGAAACCAAAGTGATTACACTTCGTAAGATAGAGTAATGGAGAGGAGAGAGCTGCATAGAGGAAAAATTGAAGCAATCTGTGGAGGAGTTCCTGTCAACATTCATCAGAGTACTGATTGATGTATGTACATGAGAAATCTCCCAAAACAAAGGGATTAGTGAGAACAATGCCTGAGGCTCATACAAGGGCCAGTAATAGTGCCTGTCTCTACCAGCCATACTGTAAAACCTCAAAACTTATGGGCAACTTGGTAGAGCACACTGAAGGGTCCTCCCTTAGTAGTAGACAATAATTAGCCCTAGACTAAACACTGCTTCAGTTCCATCTAACAAATCTTAAAAGCAAGATCTAAAGGAATCAAATTGTTTCTCTGTGCAAAAGAGTTCAAAATGTTTTTGAACTCTTTTGAACAAAAGAGTTTGAACAAAATATTTTGAACAAAAGAGTTTGAACAAAAGAGTTTGAACAAAATATTTTGAACAAAAGAGTTCAAAAATATTTTTAGTAATACAAAATATCCAGCTTCAAACAAGGCAAGAATCGCAATGTCTGGCATCTAATACGAAATTACCTGGCATGCAAAGAGGCAGGAAAATGCAACCCATAATGAGAAGGAAAAATATCAATCAATTTAAACTGACCCAGAACTGATCCAGTTGTCAGGATTAGCAAACAAGAACATTAAAAGTTACTGTAACTATATCCCATATGTAAAAAAAATTAAGAAATAGAATATATTAACAAGACTCACATTGGACTTCCAAAGGTGAAAATTACAATGTCCAAGACGAAAAATAATGCTGGATGGGATGAACAATAAATTGCACTTCACAGAAGGCATTGAAGACATGCACTAGAAACTATCCAAAATGGAATACAGAGATAACAAATAATTTTTGAAAATGAAAAAAGCATCACTGAGATGAGTAACAACTTAAAGTGACTGAATATACATGTTGTTGGAGGAAAAGAAAAATGGCGGGAGATTTTTTAAATTGACAAAATAATGTCCAAAAATTTTCCAAATTTAATGAAACCATAAATCCACAGATCCAAGAAGCTCAACAAACCCCAAACACAAGAAATAAATGGCTAATAAAGAGAAAAGCTTAGAATCAGTCAGAAAAAAGGATCTCTCTCTCTCTCTCTCTCTCTCTCTCTCTCTATATATATATACACACACACACATATATACATGAATTATATATATGGGTGTATATATATATATATATATATATATATATGAACAAAGATAGGACTGATGGCAGATTTATAATTTGAAGCAATGCAAACAAGAAGACCAAAGTGTAACATATTTAATTACTAGGATAAAAATCTGTCAATTTAAAATTTCATGCACAGCAATAATATCTTACAAAAACAAAATCAGAAAGCATGCATCACTAACTGACAAAATATAAGAAATAGTAAAAGACATCCTTTAGGCTGAAAGAAAATGACACTAGATGAAAACATGAATGATACTCAAAGAAATGAAGAGTACCAAAGTTAGTATCTACATGGGTAAATATATAAAATCATTTATGCTATTACTTAAATACCGAAAAAATAATTAAGAAAAAACAATAAAGATAAATTGTGGAATTTTTAACATATATGTGAATAACACATATGACAAAAACTGCATAAGGCTTGGAAGAGAGGAAGAACAGTATACTATTATAAGATTCCTATGCTATACTTGAAATAGTATTATATCACTTGAAGGTAACTGTGATATGTTAGATATTCATGCTGTAAACCCTGAAGCAAACACTAAATTTTTTTAAAAAAGAGTTATTGCTAATAAAGTCAACAAAGGAGATATAATGGAATCATAAAAACTATCCAAAAGAAGATAGAAAAAGAAGAGAAATAAAAGATGGGATAATATTTAAAAAAAGAAAGATGATAACCTTAAACCTAAACATACAAATATCACATTATTAAGCAGGTCATGGACTCTAAAATAAATAGTTAACAAAGAAACAAACAAATATCACATTAAATATAAATGGTCTAAACACCCCAACTTTACGGTCTAAACACCCCAAAGTTAATAATGCCAGCTTGGATTAAAAAATAAGATCCAACTATATACTATCTTCCAGAAACACACTTTTAATACAAAGCAATGATAGTATAAAAGTAAAGTGATGGCTGCGGACGGTGGCTCACACCTATAATCCCAGCACTTTGTGAGGCTGAGGCGGGTGGATCACCAGAGGTCCGGAGTTTGAGATCAGCCTGGCCAACATGGCGAAACCCCATCTCTACTAAAAATACAAAAATTAGCTGGGGTGGTGGCGGGTGCCTGTAATCTCAGCTACTCAGGAGGCTAAGGCAGGAGAATCGCTTGAATCCAGGAGGCAGAGGTTGTGTTGGCTGAGACTGTGCCATTGCGCTCCAGCCTAGACGACAAAAGCGAAATTCTGCCTCAAAAAACAAAAAAAAAGTAAAGTAATAGGAAATTATAGACTTTAACACTAATCAAAAGAAAGCTGGAGTACTTAGACAAAGTAGATTTCAGAACAGAATGTAACAGAAATATGCAAGGTCATTTCACAATATAAAGGGATCCATTCATCAAGAGAATATGAAAATTCTAAATGTTTATGAACTTAAATAACAATAACTTCAAAATATATAAAATAAAACATGATAAAACTGCAGAAGAAATAAGTCCATAATCAGAGGTTTTAATACCCCTCTCTCAAATATTGATACAAGAAGACAGAAAATCAGAAAGGCTCCAGAAGACTTGAATAACATAATTAACCGATTTTATCTAACAGGCATTTATAAAATACCCATAAATAAGTGGATACACATTATTTTAAAGTGAACACTGAATACAGCAATAGACCATCTAGACCAAAAACTAGTCTCAATAAATTTAAAATGTTTAAAGTCATAAAAACATATTTTCTGACTATAGCGGAATCAAAAATCAACAACAAAAATTTCTGAAAAAACTCCCAAATATTTGAAAACGAAGTGGCATGCCTCTAAATAACTCATAAGTCAAAGAAGAAAACAAAAGTGAAATTGGAAATACTTTGAACTGAATGAAAATGAAAACGCAACATAACACAATCTTTGAGATACTACTAAAGCAGTAGTTAAGAGGGAATGACTACATTACAAGAAAGGTCTCAAATCAATAGCCTCAGCTACCATTTCAAAAATTAAAATGCGGAGAAAACCAAACTCAAAGTAAGCCAAACAAAGAAAATTATAATAAAAATTAGAGGATAAATCAATGAAATAGGAAACAATAAGCAAAAACAGATAAAACCGAAAGTTGATTCTTTGAAAATACAAATAAATGTCATAGCTATCTAGCCAAACTGATCTAGAAAAAAAACAGAGGAGACACACATTACCAATATCAAGATGAGACTAATATCACTATAATCTCAACAGATTTCAAAAGAATAGTAACGGAATGTCATAAACAACTTTTTCCAATAAATTTGATAATTTACATGGAATGAACAAGTTCCTTAAAACACACAAGCTGCCAAAGATCACTCAAGAAGAAACAGATAATCTAAGTAAATCTATATCTATTAAATAACTAAATTAGTAGTTAAAAACCTTCTTGCAAGAAAAGGTCTAAGCCCAGATGCCTTCACTGGTGAATTCTAAAAAATGATTAAGAAAAAAATACTATCAATTTTAACCACAGTGATTCTCTGAGAAGACAGATACACTTCAGAAAACTGAAAAGGAGAAAATATTTTATAATTCATTTTGTGAGACCAGAATGATCCTAATTAAAACAAACAGATAAAACAACCTACACATTCCTGGGATAAATCTCACATAGTAGGTTGTTTTATAATATGAAAATCTATCAATGTGACTTATCATATTAACAAATTTAGAGAGATAAACTATACAATCATTTTAATAGACACAGAAAATTCAACATCTGTTTCCAATGGAAACAAAACAGAGCCTTTGCAGCAGACTAGAAATAGAAGATACCTTCTTCGAGCTAACTATCCTAAATATATATGCACCCAATATAGGAGCACCCAGATTCATAAAGCAAGTCCTTAGAGACTTACAAAGAGACTTAGACTCCCACACAATAATAATGGGAGACTTTAACACCCCACTGTCAACATTAGATAGATCAATGAGACAGAAAGTTAACAAGGATATCCAGGAATTGAACTCAGCTCTGCACCAAGCGGACCTAATAGACATCTACAGAACTATCCACCCCAATCAACAGAATATACATTCTTCTCAGCACCACATCGCAGTTATTCCAAAATTGATCACACAGTGGGAAGTAAAGCACTCCTCAGCAAATGTAAAAGAAAGAAATTATAACAAACTGTCTCTCAGAACACAGTGCAATCAAACTAGAACTCAGGATTAAGAAACTCACTCAAAACCGCTCAACTACATGGAAACTGAACAACTTGCTCCTGAATGACTACTGGGTACATAACGAAATGAAAGCGGAAATAAAGATGTTCTTTGAAACCAATGAGAACAGGACACAACATACCAGAATCTCTGGGACACATTTAAAGCAGTGTGTAGAGGGAGATTTATAGCACTAAATGCCCACAGGAGAAAGCAAGAAAGATCTGAAACTGACACCCTAACATCATAATTAAAAGAACTAGAGAAGCAAGAGCAAACACACAAAAGCTAGCAGAAGGCAAGAAATAACTAAGATGAGAGCAGAACTGAAGGAGATAGAGACAAAAAAAAAAAAACCCTTCAAAAAATCAATGAATCCAGGAGCTGGTTTTTTGAAAAAATCAACAAAATTGATAGACTACTAGCAAGACTCATAAAGAATAAAAGAGAGAAGAATCAAATAGACGCAATAAAAAATGATAAAGGGGATATCACCACCGATCCCACAGAAATACAAACTACCATTAGAGAATACTATAAACACCTCTATGCAAATAAACTAGAAAATCTAGAAGAAATGGATAAATTCCTGGACACATACAGCCTCCTCCCAAGACTAAACCAGGAAGAAGTTGAATCCCTGAATAGACCAATAACAGGTTCTGAAATTGAGGCCATAATTAATAGCCTACTAACCAAAATAAGTCCAGGACCAGATGGATTCACAGCCGAATTCTACCAGAGGTACAAAGATGAGCTGGTACCATTCCTTCTGAAACTATTCAAATCAATAGAAAAAGAGGGAATCCTCCCTAATTCATTTTATGAGGCCAACATCATCCTGATACCAAAGCCTGGCAGAGACACAACAAAAAAAGAGAATTTTAGACCAATATCCCTGATGAACATCGATGCAAAAATCTTCAATAAAATATTGGCAAACCAAATCCAGCAGCACATCAAAAAGCTTATCCACCACAATCAAGTTGGCTTCATCCCTGGGATGCAAGGCTGGTTCAATATCCGCAAATCAATAAATGTAATCCAGCAATAAACTGAAACAAAGACAAAAAACACATGATTATCTCAATAGCTGCAGAAAAGGCCTTGGACAAAATTCAACAGTGCTTCATGCTCAAAACTCTCAATAAACTAGGTACTGATGGGACGTATCTCAAAATAATAAGAGCTATTTATGACAAACCCACAACCAATATCATACTGAATGGGCAAAAACTGGAAGCATTCTCTTTGAAAACTGGCACAAGACAGGGATGCCCTCTCTCACCACTCCTATTCAACATAGTGTTGGAAGTTCTGGCCAGGGCAATCAGAGAGGAGAAAGAAATAAAGGGTATTCAATTAGGAAAAGAGGAAGTCAAATTGTCCCTGTTTGCAGATGACATGATTGTATATTTAGAAAACCCCATCGTCTCAGCACAAAATCTTCTCAAGCTGATAAGCAACTTCAGCAAAGTCTCAGGATACAAAATCAATCTGCAAAAATCACAAGCATTCCTATACACCAATAACAGACAGAGAGCCAAATCATGAGTGAACTCCCATTCACAATTGCTTCAAAGAGAATAAAATACCTAGGAATCCAACTTACAAGGGATGTGAAGGACCTCTTCACGAAGAACTACAAACCACTGCTCAACAAAATAAAAGAGGACACAAACAAATGGAAGAACATTCCATGCTCATGGATAGGAAGAATCAATATTGTGAAAATTGCCATGCTGCCAAAGATAATTTATAGATTCAGTGCCATCCCCAGCAAGCTACCAATGACTTTCTTCACAGAATTGGAAAAAACTACTTTAAAGTTCATATGGAACCAAAAAAGAGCCCACATTGCCAAGACAATCCTAAGTAAAAAGAACAAAGCTGGAGGCATCACACTACCTGACTTCAAACTATACTAAAAGGCTACAGTAACCAAAACGGCATGGTACTGGTACCAAAACAGAGTTATAGACCAATGGAACACAATAGAGCCCCCGGAAACAATACCACACATCTATAACCATCTGATCTTTGACAAATCTGACAAAAACAAGAAATGGGGAAAGGATTCCCTATTTAATAAATGGTGCTGGGAAAACTGGCTAGCCATATGTAGAAAGCTGAAACTGGATCCCTTCCTTACATCTTATACAAAAATTAATTAAGGATGGATTAAAGACTTAAATGTTAGACCTAAAACCATAAAAACCCTAGAAGAAAACCTAGGCAATACCATTCAGGCCATAGGCATGGGCAAGGATTTCATGACTAAAGCACCAAAAGCAATGGCAACACAAGCCAAAATTGACAAATGGGATCTAATTAAACTAAAGAGCTTCTGCACAACAAAAGAAACTACCAGCAGAGTGAACAGGCAACCTACAGAATGGGAGAAAATTTTTGCAATCTACTCATGTGACAATAGGCTAATATCCAGAATCTACAAAGAACTTAAACAAATTTAGAAGAAAAAAATCAAACAAACACATCAAAAAGTGGGCAAAGGATATGAACAGACACTTCTCAAAAGAAGACATTTATGCAGCCAACAGACACATGAAAAAATGCTCATCATCACTGGCCATCAGAGAAACACAAATCAAAACCACAATGAGATACCATCTCACACCAGTTAGAATGGCAATCATTAAAAAGTCAGAAAACAACAGGTGCTGGAGAGGATGTGGAGAAATAGGAAGACTTTTACACTGTTGGTGGGAACGTAAACTAGTTGAACCATTGTGGAAGACAGTGTGGCGATTCCTCAAGGATCTAGAACTAGAAATACCATTTGACCCAGCCATCCCATTACTGGGTATATACCCAAAGGATTATAAATCATGCTGCTATAAAGACACGTGCACACGTATGTTTATTGTGGCACTATTCACAATAGCAAAGACTTGGAACCAACCCAAATGTCCAACAATGATAGACTGGATTAAGAAAATGTGGCACATATACACCATGAAATACTATGCAGCCATGAAAAAGGATGAGTTCATGTCCTTTGTAGGGACATGGATGAAGCTGGAAACCATCATTCTCAGCAAACTATCACAAGGACAGAAAACCAAACACCGCATGTTCTCACTCATAGGTGGGAATTGAACAATGAGAACACTTGGACATAGGGTGGGGAACATCACACACCAGGGCCTGTCATGGGGTGGGGGCAGGGGGGACGGATAGCATTAGGAGATATACCTAATGTAAATGATGAGTTAATGGGTACAGCACACCAACATGGCACATGTATACATATGTAAAAAACCTGCACGTTGTACACATGTACCCTAGAACTTAAAGTATAATAAAAAAAATAAAAAATGAAGATACCTTCTTCGATGTAATCAAACACTACATTAAAAAACAACAACAACATACAATTAGCATCATACTTAATGGTGAAAGACTAAATGCCTGAGATTAGAAAAACAGGCAAAGATGTCTGCTCTTACCACTTCTGTTCAATATAGTACTAAAATTCCTAGCTAGAACAATTAGACAAGTAATACATAAATAAATAAACGTCATCAAAATTGGAAAGAAAGAAATATAATTGTCTCTGTATGCAGATGACATGATCATGCATACAGAAAACTTTAGGAAGAACTGAGCTTTCTAACAGTGGAGGCATGTAATCAGTGCATGTTGAAGTGTTAAAGAGAAAGCAAGACTAGGTGATCTCCTAAGATCCTTCCAATGCTGAAATTTTTCTGCTGATATAGAAGAGGTACTCCAAGGCAAGGAATGGAGTATGCCAAATAAACAGTAGAGAGAATGAGTGAGTGCACTATGTTGAGAGAGAGAAGACTTTCTGCTGAAAGGGTCAAGCACCCTAGTGGAAGAAGCAACACTTGAGTTTCAATGTAAACTCTACATAGTCTATAAGAACAAGCACTGTGCTGGGCATAAGACAGACCTGGTTACAAAGCCTGGCTCTGTCATACGTGTTTATGGGACTTCAGGAAAGTCACATACGTCTTTGGGATTTACTTACTTTATCTGTAGAACAAAGTTCATGATCATTCTTAAGTTACATTGTTTTTTATTTGTTTGTTTTAATTCTGAGAAGAACGGCACCCTATGGAGATGTGATAGAGATGTGAAGCGTTATTGTTAAAGTGTAAACCCACTGTTGGAGGACTTTCATTTCCCTTGGTTATCTGTGGTTTACAAACCTCTGCTATTATAAAACAGCACTCCAGAAGGACAAAGACACACACACACACACACACACACAAAATACACACCCACCCATTCACAGACAGTGGTAAATCTCACCCACATAAAAATAACGTACATACAGATAAATACAAACACACAGACACTTCAGTTTGCCTATGCATATTCAGATACACAGTCTTGCGCAAACACATATGCACTCCATACAGAGTCAAAAGTCAGAATTAACAAAGTTTGAAAGATGAGGCAAAATCAGCTGCCCAGTTACTGTTCCATGACCTGTCCCTCTGTGAAAGTGATGTCCACTCCAGTCTGTTCTGTCTCTTTCAGTCAATAATGTGGAAAAAGCCACATTAATCCCAGGAAACCTATTAGCAGCCAACTTGACTTCTCATGTTGTCCATAATCTGGGCTTTTCTTTTTCTGACTTCTTTTACATTCACAGCCTCATTTTATCACTTTCTTCCCAATTTCAGAGGAAGCAAAGCAAAAATAGCCCAGAGAGGAATGGGAGAGGTGTAGGAGAGAGACAGGTAGAAGACAGGAAGACAGAAAAAGAAAAGGGAACAATAAAGGTCCTTTCATTCTTTTATTATTCATTCAGTCAACTCATATTTGAATGCCAGACTTTGTGATAGGTGTTGGAAATTTAACTATGACTAACACAGAGAAGGCATCTTTCCTCTTGGAGTTTATAATTTAATTGGGCAAATAATTATACTTCTTTAATTCTTTAAATAGCCAAGTCTTGGTTCAGGATTAAAATTATAAATTTGAGGCGATACCACAAGCTGAATAACCTTGGATTAATCTCAATGTTCTAATCTGTGAAATGGGCACAATAATCACTAACTCTCCTAAAATTGTGAGGATTAAGATGCTGAACAAAACATTTAGCTCCGTGCCTGGCACACAAAAAAACAGATGTCTAATTGATGTTTTCTAGCTGGAAAATAATTGCTGAATGGAAGTCTCAACAGAGAACAGAAAATGTAAGCCCCAGTACAGATCACAGGTGAACGCTTTGCTTCTTGGCAGTGTCAAAATTTAGAAGAACTCGGAAATAATGTTCTGAGTGATAATCAAAGGTATCCCTCTTAAAAGCCAACATTCTCAAATGCTCCTGCATGCTGGAATCACTTCCAATTATCTCTCTCCCAGCACTAGTTAATGAAGACTCCAAGTGTATCTCACTAGAAAGCCAATTGTGTGAATTTCCTTACCTCAGTTCCAGAGATAATATATTTACAGATCAAGCCCTTCAAGCATGAGTCCTGCAGGCCTTCCCAGATACAGAAAGGTCAAATTGTCTTCAGAATCAACTAGTTCTCTGACATAATATTTTGAAGGTCCAACTCAGAGAATCAGACACTCTTTCTAACTGCAACTTGCTATCTTTCCTTGATCAAATTCATACAAAACAGCACACAAGGATGGACAGCGAAAAATCACTAAACAATGAAATCTTCCAATGCCTTCCCAAGACAGATGAGACCAAGTCTCCAAAGACAGTAGAAAATCCCAGTTTCCCTCTTCTGTCATACTATCCCAAGAAAATGGGAACTCATGTACCTACCTGTGTACAGGTCAGTGTCTGTGTATTCATCCACTTTCTTATGCTGCAGAATATAGTCGGAGACCTTGGTCCCAATAGCTGGCTGAACATCCACCCACTCCAAGGAGACCACAGTACTGGAGGGCTCCACTGTTGGGGACAGCCGCAGCCTACAGGGAATAAAAAGGAAGATTCGTGTTTGGCAGCCAGCACCAGCTGGGGCCCAAAAGAATCCGCATGTGTCAAGATGAAGCATAGGTTTCAGTCTGAATTTAAATCTTGATTCCACCCATGATCGCCAACTTGCATGACCGTAGGCAAGTTATTTCCCCTCTCATGGCCTCTGTTTCTCATCCATAAAATAGGGAGACAAGGAGCCACCTTTCAAGATCAAAGTAGAATTTCATAAATTAATCCATGCACACAATATGTGCTCAATGGCAGTTTATCAGTTTTCCATATATTTATACTATATTCTCAACGATGCTTCACTTTCAATTAAATTGGCAGTGCCTTCAAACAAAGGAACTTTCCATTTTTCTGCCATTTTCTTTAATACAATGTACTAGCTAACTTTTTAATATCCTTAAGTAAATACACTATTGGAAGGAGCAAAAATCCTGGAGTAAATCTTTTTGCAAAGCAAGAAAAAAAAATAGAATGATTAAAGGTTAGAACTAGAATGGTCCTTAGAGATGATGAAGTTTAATTCCCTCATTTCACAAAAGGGGGAAAGGCTCAAAAAAAGGAAACAGTTTGCACAAGGTCACACAACAAGCTGAAGACAGGACCATGATGGTGATTTTGCTTATCCTTATCCCAGATTCCCTTTTTCCACGATACCACACTGTGTCTTCAAAGACCATCTTATAACATGATTCTTCTCACCCACAGAGTTCGATTATGGGACTTTGTTTTCCAGTATTGGTTCCTGCCCCCTCTTATGCTTGTCACACCACTTCTCCCTCTTAATCACATGCTTGCAACGACAATGACTTTCCTTTACTTCCTCAGATGGTGAATTTCCAGTGTCTGGCCCTTCGCATATGCTGTTCCTTCTGCCTGAGACATGAGTCTCACCACTTGTTGCCTGGCTGGCATCTACCCTATAGGTCTCTTCAGAGAGCTTTCCCAGACTATTCCCTCTTCCTTCCAACTAAAACATCTCCCCATTATTCTCCCTAATAGCACTTCTTTGTTTCTTTTTCACATTTTTCTTATTAAAAAAATGTTGTTGTTGAGACAGGGTCTCACTCTGTCACCAGGGCTGTAGTGCAGTGGTGAAAGCATGGATCACTGCAGCCTTGAATTCCTGGGCTCAAGAGATCCTACCACCTCAGCCTCCATAGTAGCTGGGACTACAGGCATGTGCCACCACACGGGCTATTTTTTTTTTTTTTTTTTTTTTTTGGAGAGACGAGGTCTCATTATGTTGCCCAAGCTGGTCTCAATTCCTGGCCTCAAGAGATCCTCCCACCTCACCTCCTAAAGTGCAGGGATTACAGGCATGAGCCATGGTGCTCAGCCCTTATTTAAACTTTTATACTGTATTTTCCTGTTTTTGTTTTGGCATCTATCTCCTCCACTAAATTGTCCGTTCCCTGAGTACATGGACTGTGCCAATCTTGTTTCGTAGAAGAGGTTCTCCAGTTTTTTTTTGTTCTGTTTTGTTTTAAATCTCAGTAGCCCCATTGCCCAACACAAGACCTGACAAAGTAGTCAGCTGCCTACAAGCTTTTGCTGAATGGTTGCCTGAAGGAAGAAATGATGAACTGAGTGGCATCATTTAAAACAAGCATGCACTGCAATATCAGTGTCTGCTCCTGTGCCACAATTCTGTTCTGCCAAAGCTCCCTTCTTTCCTAAAAAAGGAGGTAGATTCCAGGGTCTTTGAGGATCTTGTTAGGCACCTTGGGAGCAGAAGCAAGTCATGGCATGGGCTGGCAGGACAGGAGTGTGAGTCCACGAAAAGGGATGGCCAAAGGAAAAGGGGCCATACATACGTACACCGGCTGCAGAAGGGGGCTGCAGTTGGGGAGCCCATTGGCATCAAAGGCGCTGAGGTCACACCTGCACCAGTCATCGATCACATCCCCTTTCCCTGAGCACCAGTAGGAACTCATCAGTGCACTCTTGAAGGCCTGGACAAAAAAAGAGGACAGAATAGACAATGATGACAACAGGGGAGAGATTGAGAGTAAATGTGCTGATGGCCATGATGTGAGCCATCGAGGGCTTTAGAGTAGCCCCTTTAAGCACAAGACACCATCTATTCCCTAAGTTCCTTGCACTCTACTATCAGGGTCTCCCATCCTGAGCCATCCCCTCCCCAGGAGCCACAATGATCACTGAGAAACAATAGTAACTATATCCATTGATAGTGTCCCCTAGGCTTGGCACTCCACTTGTGTTAACTTATTTAATCTTCACAACAACCTCACACAATAGATATTATTATTATAATTTCCCATTTTACAAGTTGGAAAACTGAAGCACACAGAAAGTAAATAACTTGACTGAGGTTTACGATAGCGATAGAGCTAGGATACAACCCAAGGCAATCTGCCTCCAAAGCCTGTCTTCTTATTAAACACCTTGCTGCACTGCCTTTTATAGAAGTCTGACCATCTCATTGCCCAGCTTAAAAACCTTCAAAGGTTTCCCATAGTCTTCAGGATAAAATCTAAATGCCTTGTTCTCACCCCTGGCCACCTTTTCATCTCTCACCACTCTCCTGACCTTCTTTGCACAGTATCATCTGTTCTCATGCACCCACATCATTTCCACCAACAGTGAATTCCTGTTTATATAAAATGTGCTCTAAATCAGGAGCCAGAAAACAGTTTCTATAACGGGCCAGAGAGTAAATATTTTTGGCTTTGGGACAAGGTAGACTCTTCCACAATTACTTAACACTGCCTTTGTAGCATGAAAGTGGCATAGATGATACTTTACATGAATTGGCATGGTTGTGTTCCTATAAAACTTTATTTACCAAGTCAAGTAGCAGGCTAGATTAGGTCTGAGGGCCACAGTTTTCTGACCTTTGCTCTAAATGATAATCAATGTTCTATTTAATTGGAATGTGCTTCATAGTCTTTTTAAAACACATACACACACACACACACACACATGCACGCACACACACACACACACACACACATTCCATTCTATGCCTGGAATATTCCCCTCTCTGCACTCCAATTTACTCTTTGGGTCTCAAATAGGAAACATTCTCTTCTCTGGAAAGCCCACCCTAACTTTCTTAAGTCTAGAATCATGCTCCTCTTCTGGACACCATAACACATAGACCATACCTACCAACACATTTCCTTGCCTATCTCACCCATAAACACTGGTCCCACCAAGGGCAAGGGCCAGGCCTTATTCACATGAATATTCCTGTGGGACCTAGCACAGTTATTCAGTCAACAGTTTGTAAATAAATAAATGGACATTGAAAAATAGATCATTAATAGTTGGCAGTAAAGAGAACTTGGAAGGCACTTTTTTCAGTTTAGCACAGCACAGGAGTCAAGTTTTACCTTCTATTTTGTTCCCCTCCCTTGGGCTCTGATGTAGAAGATAACTTCAGTGTGTGCTTGATGCTAACACTGACATTTCAACGCACTGCACATTCTGAATGAATGACAGCTGTCTTTAAAACATGAGGATTTCAAAGAATGTTGATCTTTTATTCCTTTGTGCTTTGCCTGCTCTGCATGATGTTCCTATTTTTCATTTCTTTCATGTTTTTTACTTTTGATATGCTTTTAAATAAAAGTTGCACACCACTAAGGGCACATGATTACCAAGATGTCACTTTTTTCATTCTGCATTGTCTAAAAGACTCAAGTAGAACATGTTTGTATAAAGTCTGGGGTCTCCCTTCTGAGTGATCCAGAACACAGATCTAGAAGGAGACAGTGTCTATCAAGAGTGTTCCTGTGTAAGCTTCCATCACATTTCTCCTGGAAGTTGACAAAAAGTCTCCAATTATTCCTGCCACATGTTCTTATCCATATCTTCTCCTAGGGATGAATGAATGAATGATCAAATTTCACCTGAGTTAAGTGTCATGACCCAAAGAAATAAAAAATAATTATAATAAAAGCTAATGTTCATGAAAAACACTAAATGGCACAGCACATGGTACTGTAAGTGCATTAAAATGTAATCATCACAATAGTCCTGAGACACAGATATTACGATCCTCATTTATATATAAGAAAACTAGGAATCAGAGCAGTCGAGCAATTTTCCCAAGATCACACAGCAAGTAAATGGTGGAAACAGAATCCCAACCCAGATTTCTGTGACTCCCAAGGGCAGGTCTTTTCTGTTCAACAATTCTGAGCCATGGGATTAATCCCAAGTAGGGTTGCCAGATTCAGTAAATTAAAACACAAGGTGCTCAGTTAAATTCAAATTCCAGGCAACATTTTTGTAGTGTAAGTATATTTCATAAACTATTTGCATATAAAGTGTCTGGGCCAGGGTGTGTCACACAGTAAGAGCACTGTTCCTCCTAGGTGCCAGAACCTATGCTAAGAACAAATGTCTATTCTCTAGCCAGCACCAGAAGGAGGCACTCTCATGAGGACAGAAACCAGATGCGACTGCATGAGGTCATGCTGACTGTTAGACCTTTTCTCACTCCCTTTGCAGGTTCCCCCTTGGTAA
Organism: Homo sapiens; assembly: GCF_000001405.40. NCBI lineage: Eukaryota > Metazoa > Chordata > Mammalia > Primates > Hominidae > Homo > Homo sapiens. Next base: position 116,622,986 of record NC_000009.12, read on the forward strand.
AATTAATGTGCTTAACTACTGATGGCTTAAAATTCTGTAACATCTCCAGCCAACACTGAAGGCTTAATTAACATAACGGTGAAACCCAGGGCCATGGGTGAAAGTGACACAGATGGGAAGGTTGCACTGGACCCCAGCAATGGGAAGAGAGAGAGCATACTCTGTGTGTGTGTGTGTGTGTGTGTGTGTGTGTGTGTGTGTGTGTGTGTGTGTGTGTGTTTGGTTTTTGTAATAAATAGGAACTTGAGCTTGTGGAAAACAAAACAGGAAATCTCTCTGGACTTCATAAGTTTCACCATCCAGGCAGTTCTTGGGAAGAAATCCTGCCTGTAAGAATCCACATCCACTGGCTCTTTCCCAAAACCCCGAGGAACAGAATGGGGACTGGTGCAATGGCCAGGCAAACACTGGTTAGAACACAAACACACCCTGATAAAAGGCCAGCATCAAACAGGGAGTCCTCATAAGGCTGCAGAAGCCAGCACTGTGTCAATGCAGGATCACTCTTTCCTTACCTCTTCTGTCCTTGCAACACTCCATCCAGAGTCCAATTAGATCCCGGGGGAGGAAAATCATAGAATGTTCCAGCTTCACAGGACTCTGTAAATCATGTAACCTAATCCGTTTCACAGATGCAGATACAGTGACCCAGAGATGCTAGTTTGCTGGACCAAGGTGATAGAACAACTTCACGATGAAACTACTCTATCCCTCCGTTAAGTGCTCAAAATTACCCATTGAAATGGATGCTCAATACCCACTTACAGAAAAGCGTGCAGGAGCAGGGAGGGACTTGAACTAAAGCCCATTTGAATCCTTGTACCCTTGACCTTAGTAGGTCACACAGGAAGAATAAATGCCAAGATTTGATCCAAAATATCCTGTTCAGCCACTCTGCTTGGGTCATGTGCTTATGTGTGTGCATGTGTTGTTTGCATGCGTATGTGTCTCTGTGTGTTTGAGAGAAAATGAAACCTTATACTGGAGGCATTATTGCCTCCTAGTTTTTGAATAAGTAGAGGGACCTAAGAAACAAATTCTGTACTTAATGGCTACATTTGCATGGCCATTGGTTTTCATAACGAAGGTTTGCATTTCCATGACTTGTAAACGCTTCCAACTTCTGGCTAATTAGCTAGCAAACCAAGCTGGGCAACAGGAGAAAACAGCCACAAAAATATTAAGCAATCAAAAAAAACTAGGATGTATTTCTGACTCTCTTGTTACTTTCCTTTTTGAACTTGCATAAAAGATTCCTCGTTCTTAACCTCAATTTCCCTATCTCCAAATGAGGGGGTAGAAGATATGTTTTCTAAGGTTTAAGTTCAGTACACATTCACTGAACTTCCTACTTCATACCTTGTGCCTTCCAGAAACTAAGAAAGGGAATGAACAAGACCAAGTCACTAACTTCAAAGGATCCGTGGCTTATTAGCAAAGAGACACACACAAACAATTACAATTACTATAGTTCAAATGCTATGAAGTAATACACATAGAAGGCTATGAGAATACAGAAGGAAGGGGGCTCTTCTAGCTCTAAAACTATGACAATATCTTAGGAATTTTAAACTTTAGGTAAACACCCTCTACTTAAGATATTTAGAAACATCTACACAGAATGTCACTAAGCCCATGAATTAAATTCCACACTCTATACTTCAAATGACTGTAATTTTTACACTAAAAAATATTTTCATGTGCTAATACCAAGTCAGTTATTTTTGATACTAAGATGGTTCTGGTCTGTATGACTCCAAAAAGATGCTCTGAAGTCCTTATTAATGCCTAATGGATTTCATCTCCACGGTATTAACAAACTTGGTCATATGGCTGCTCAACCCATAACAAATGAAGCGGGAAAAGGCTTTCTAGAGAAAAAAAAAAAATCTATTATCTTTTTACCCACTGGCTCCATTTTAGGGCCAAACACAGTATCTAGCATTTAACATAAGGCAGTCAATGTTTGTTGAATTAAAAGTTCACATGGAATGCTGAATAAAACAAACCAAATAAATGATAAAAGCAAAGAAAATGTGTGTGCATGTTTGTGATCCTCTTCTTCCCCAGGATTACTTGTATCTCCCATGTCAGTTTGGTGCTTCTAGCCAAAAAGTGGTGGTCAACCCTCTACCTTATAAGGCATCTCAAAACCAACCTCCCAGCTGGGCACAGTGGCTCACACCTGTAATCCCAGCACTTTGGAAGGCCGAGGCGGGTGGATCACGAGGTCAGGAGTTCGAGACCAGCCTGGCCAACATGGTGGAACCCCATCTCTACTCTACTAAAAATACAAAACTTAGTCAGGTGTGGTGGTGGGTGCCTGTAATCACAGTTACTCGGGAGGCTGAGGAAGGAGAATAGCTTGAACCCGGGAGGTGGAGGTTGCAGTGAGCTGAGATTGCGCTACTGCACTCCAGCCTGGGCGACAGCAAGACTCCATCTTGGAAAAAATAAAGAAACCCTCCCCACTCTGGCCCCATTGCTGTCTCCCTGGTGCCGCCCATTCTATAGGCACTTGCCGTGGCCTTTGGACTAGTCTCCCCACTCTCATGTTGCCTTCTCCAGCATGTCCTCTCACAGCTTTCTAAAACACCTCTTGCTTGGAGCCTTTTGAATGTTCCACACTTTCTGGTTAAAGCCTCCACTGATTCAACCTCCTTTGTTCTTCAGCTTATGACTCTTCTCCCATCTCAACCCCCCTGCACCCCTCTCTGTGATCTAGCACATGCCAACTTCTTACAGTAGTGCATGCACTATTTCATACCCACAAGCCTTTTCTCATGCTGTGCCTTTGGTCTGAAGTGCCCTTTTTCCACTTCTTCCTCCTTACTGAACTCTAGGAAGGAGGTGTGGACCCTGCCACACCTTGAGAGATTTTGTCCCTCTCTCCTCTCATTCAATTTTTACAAATTTCACATTTCCTTGAAACTTGCTTATTTGTGTGTCCTCGCCTATCAAACTGTGAACTTCTCCATGGCAAGGTCATAAATTTGTGTTTTTTGTTTTTTTGAGACAGAGTCTCCCTTTGTTGCCCAGGCTAGAGTGCGGTGGCACAATATTGGCTCACGGCAATCTCTGCCTCCTGGGTTCAAGAGATTCTCCTGCCTCAGCCTCCTGAGTAGCTGGGATTGCAGGCATGTACCACCATGCCTGGTTAGTTTTTGTGTTTTTTTTTTTTTTTTTTTTTTTTTTTTTTTGGTAGAGACACTGTTTCATCATGTTGACTAGGCTGGTCTCGAAATCCTGATCTCAAGTGATCTGCCTGCCTCAGCCTCTCAAAGTGCTGGGATTATAGGCATAAGCCACTGCACCCAGCCAAGGTCATAAATTTGATTCATCTCTGTGTCCCTACCTTCAAGAAAAATAGTGAACAAATAGGGCCCCAAAAATATGTTTTAAATATGTTATAAACATACTTATATTTAAATATGTTTTAAATATAAAATAGGATGTTCTGCCAAGGATTAAACTTGTGTACTTGATATTATTGTGTTCTTCTAACAAAAGAGATGACAGAAATGCATCTCTTTTGGTCACCATAAAAAGCCTAAATTACCTTGAAGCCATTGAAAGGAAATTGGGGTGGGCTATGGAGGTAGAGTCCCTTTTGGAGACAATTGTGATCACAGCTTGGAGGACAGTGGGGTTGATACCTTTTTTGTCCAGAAGTTTTTGAAGATATAAAATAAGAAGCTTCTAAGGCCTAGAAAGATGGGAGGTGAAGAGATAGTGGTTGACATCCCAACTTTATGGGGAAACATATATTGTAAGCATGGTGCGCCCATGCTGACAATATGTGTAGTTGATCAGGACGGAATTGATGAACACAGGAAGGATTGAAGAGGTTATCATAGCAGTGCTGCAAAAAAAAGCAGAAATAGAGGTTTCTAACCCAGCCTGGAACTCTGGATAGGATCTACCTGGGCCATCTGCCATCCGTCATCAGCATATCTCCTCATAATTGCTGCAGAAGATTCCAATTACCCATTTCCCTGGTAGCCATAGGAGATAGGGCACAGGGGCTGGAGGCCCCATTCCTTAGGAATGAAACAAGACATGCCCATCTAACCTGACAGTGAGAAGGTGATTAATTGGTCATTCTTTTACAAATCAAAGAATGTAGAATTAAGTAGCATGTGTAAAAACACATAAAGGGAGAAAAGTAGGTAGTGTTAGTTGACTTAAATCTTCTTATTCCCAAACAAGACAGGAAGGCAAGTGAGATGAGTCATGTCAAAAATTGCCTGGAAAAGGTAGCAACTAGGGAGTAGCCGAGCAATGGGAAGTAGAAACCTTAAACTACATATATATCCCAGAAGCTAGAGGGCTCTGAAGTGCATACAAGCATATTCATTGGCACGGATTCTTGGCATTTCAGATCCAGAAGGGTCCTGAGACATGAAGCTGGTCCTCACAACTCTGCACAGACTAGGAGGCCCAAAGAAGAGAAACATTCACTACACCAAGTTGCCTGCATTTGGTCCTGGGTTCAAGCCACCAACTTCTGTCATTTTAGTAGAAAACAAGCATAACAACAGCATTTACTGACAGGGTGGTAAGCACTTTAATATACATTATATCATTTAATCATGTCAGCCTTATGTAGTAGTTTTGCTGTTCCTAGCCCCATTTTATAGATTAGGAAACTGAGGTCTGAAGGGTAAAATAGCCTGTTCAAGGTCACTCGCTAAAATGTAGTAGAACCAGGACTTGAACTCAAGCCATCTAATCCTGAAGCCCATGCTGTCAGCCACTACAACCATAAGCAATGTTCTCACTGAAGTAGAGAATATTAATAATTACGTGATATTTATTGAGTACTTACTACAAGCCAGGCACTGTTCTAGGTTCTTTTTATGTATTACTCCTCACAATACCCTAGGTACTTTAGACATATTAACTCATTAAATTTTCCCAACAACCTGTGAGCTAGGTGTAGTTATTATATCCAATTTGCATTTGTTTCCAAGGTCACAGAGCTGGTAAGTGGTAGAGCCAGGCTTTGAATTCAGGACATTTGGCTTAAACCAGGAAATCTATGCTTTGAAATATAAAGCCTCCATATAAAAGACAATCCATTTATTAAAAATGTTATTCACACCCCTGAGTCCACCCACCTTTAGCAGATATTGGGATTTTTCACTGTACAAATGAGAATGGACCAATGAAAATATCATATGAAATTGCAATTTTGTAAGTCAAATGTCAGCAATATCATATAGTTCAATGTAATAGAAGCCACAAGTGTGAACAAAATCACACAGAAAAAGTACAGAGCATGAAAAGAGTAAAGAGACAAAGATAAGAGAATCCAAGGGAACTCCAACATTTTCTAATTTACTGTGTGACCTCAGTAAGTCTCTTCCCCTCCTTGGGTCTTTCTTCAAGTTGGACATTCAAATCACTGCATTGCTATTTCTGATCACTTTCTCACTTATGCTAAGATTTAGCTGTTTCTCAAAACTGGCCATAATTTCCCCATCCCCTTTAGAACTTCCCATCCTAGATATACTGACTAGAATTGACTGCCAGCAGGCTAACCTATGGAGACAGTAAAAGGATCCGTGGTTTCCAGAGGTTAGGGAGAAGTGAAGGATGAATAAGCAGAGCACAAAGGACTTACAGGGCAGTGAAAATACTCTGTGTGATAAGATACTGGTGTATACATGGAATTATACATTTGTAAAAACCCACAGAAAATACAACATCAAAAGGGAACCCTCTTATAAACTATGCACTTTGGGTACTAACGATGTGTCAATGCAGGTTCACTGATTGTGGCAAATGTACCACTCTGGTGGAGATGTTAATAGTGGGGGAGGCTATGTGTATATGGGGTAGAGGGTATATGGGAATTCTCTGCTCACTTTGGCTGAGAACATAAAACTACTCTAGAGAAAGTCTATTTGACTTCCTGCCAGCTGGCATCCTCTCCGCAGAGGTCACACAGATGACGAGCATACCATTAACAGTTTTTGAAGAAAGAGAGGAGTGGGATGAAGAGAACAGACACCTATTAAGCATTTCTTTATTCTGTGCCTAGTGCTAGGGCATCTCCCTGTTAGTTCCTATTATCCTCCCAACAATTTGCGGAGGCAGCAGCTTTTACTGTTTCCAGTAACTCTTTTTTTTTTTTTTTTTTTTTTTGAGACGGAGTCTCGCTCTGTTGCCCAGGCTGGAGTGCAGTGGCGCAATCTCAGCTCACTGCAAACTCCACCTCCCGGGTTCACGCCATTCTCCTGCCTCAGCCTCTGGAGTAGCTGGGACTCCAGGCGCCTGCCACCATGCCCGGCTAATTTTTTGCATTTTTGGTAGAGATGGGGTTTCACTGTGTTAGCCAGGATGGTCTTGAGCTTCTGACCTCATGATCCACCTGCCTTGGCCTCCCAAAGTGCTGGGATTACAGGCGTGAGCCACCGCGCCCGGCCTGTTTCCAGTAATTCTTACAGATGAGCAAGTGAAAGGTCAGAGAAGATACTGGATCAAGGCCAACCAGACAACACAGTAGGGCAGAGGGTCTATTTTGGACTCAACTTCAAATCCCAAGCAGTGCCCCCTGAACTTCTTCAACCCATCTCTTATTTTCAGCCTCAGATCCCCCCATACAGTGAAAAAAATACTAACTGGCAAGGACCCAATTCCTATATAAGAAATCGTGCAGCTCAATCTATTGCTCTATAAATCACAGAAACGACACCTAATTTCCCCTGTCAGGATAAGCTTCACTTTTCAAGCCATTCTCCTCTGAATGATGAGAGCCCGACAGAACAGCTCCTTAATCTGGGTGACAGGAAGAAGACATTTAGAACCAGCCAAACCCCCCTATTGCCACACTTACCTCTGCTAATGAAAAAATATTAGAGAAATAAATATACAACCCACTGAGATGCTTGTGCACAAGGCTCTGTCAGCTGTCTGTTTCTCAAGATGTACACAGACAAGATGATAGGATTATATGATCCTCAGGCAAGGAGTAATTTTTCTTGTCAGTTAGTCCCATATTTCAGCTCCCATCTATCTCACATAGAAGATGAAGTACTATGTTTTAATGCATTAAAAATAACAGTGAGCATTTTTTGAAGACTTTTCTATTCCAAACACAGTGCTCAGTGAGAAATGACATGCAGGGATTCATTTAATTTGTAGAGCAACACCATGAATTTGATAATCCTATTGGTGTCACTATATAGAGGATGAGACTGAGGCCCCAGAGAGTTTGGGTTCCTTTCCTAAGTTACATAGCCAGTATATAGCAGAACAAAACTCAGACCCACGTTTCTCAAATTCCAAAGCCTAAATGCTTAACCTCCATGGGTCACTTTCATCTCCATAAACAGCCTGTATATTAGGTTGTATTGTTTCCATGCAACCCTTGAAAAAGTTGAAATTTTTTAAAGTTTGATGCTCCTGTGATCAGGTGATTTCATCAATGTCACAAATCTAGGAATTAGGACTCAAACACAGGTCTCAACCTAAAGACTGAATCCTCTTCTCCAAACTGGTCATTTTTCCTAAATACTAAGGGCAGGTAGCACATGACAAATTCTTAGGAGGAGTGAGGGGGACCAGTTAACCTTGTCTTGGTCAGTCCCAAGTCCTTCTTTGCGACAACCAAATAATGACTTAATAAAAAAAAATAGATTCATGTTGGTCTGGGCAATACTTTTTTGAATGAGACCTCAAAAGCACAGGCAATAAAAGCAAAAATAGACAAATAGGATTACATCAAATTAAAAATCTTCCTTTGTTGACTGCAAAGGAAACAGTCAATAGAGGGAAAAGACAAAGTACAGAATGAGAGAAAATACTTGTAAATTATGGCTCTGACAAAGGGTTAATATCCAGAATATATAATAGCAAAAAAATCCCAAAACAGAAAACATATAATCCAATTTAAAAATGGGCAAGAGAGCTGAATAGACAGTCCTCAAAAAAGATATAAAAGTGGCCAAGTATATGAAAAAAATGCTTAACATCACTAATTATCAGGGAAATGCAAATCAAAACCACAATGAGATATCATCTCACTCCAATTTGGACAGTTATTACAAAAAAGACAAAAAATAACAAATGCTGACATAAATGGTCAGAGAGGGGAACTCTTACACACTGTTGGTGGGAATATAAATTAGTACAGCTATCATAGAAAACAGTATGAGAATTCCTCTAAAAATTAAAAATAAAACTACCATATAATCCAATAATCTCACTACTGGGCATATATACAAAGGAAATAAAATCAGTATGCTAAAGAGATATCTGCACTTTCAGCCTGTGTCCTGTTTATTGCAGTACTGTTAACAATAACCAAGATATGGACTCAACCTAAGTGTCCATAAATAAATGCATGGATAAAGAAAATGTGATGTATATATACAATGGAGCATTATTCAACCATCAAAAGAATAAAATTCTGTCATTTACAGCCACAGGAATAGAACTGGAGGTAATTATGTTATATGAAATAAGCCAGCTACAGAAAGAAAAATACTACTTGTTCTCATTCATATGTGGAAGCTGAAAAAGTGGATCTCATGGAGGTGGAGAGATGATTGGTAGTTACCAGAGCCTAGGAAGGGTAAGAGAGAGAGAGGGGGATGAAAACAGGCTGGTTAACAGATACAAAAATACAGTTAGTTAGAATGAATAAGATCTGGTGTTCAATAGTACAGTAGGATGACTATAGTTAACAATAATGTATTGTATTCAAAATAGCTGGAAGAGAAGAATTAGAATGTTCCCAATGTAAAAAAGGAAAAAAGATAAATGTTTTGGATGATGGATATCCGAGTTACCCTGATTTGATAATTATACATTGCATGCATGTATCAAAATATCACATGTAGGCCGGGCGTGGTGGCTCACGCTTGTAATCCCAACACTTTGGGATGCCGAGGCAGGCGGATCACAAGGTCAAGAGATGGAGACCATCCTGGCCAACATAGTGAAACCCCGTCTCTACTAAAAACACAAAAATTAGCTGGGCGTTGTGGCACACACCTGTAGTGCCAGCTACTCGGGAGGCTGAGGCAGGAGAGTCGCTTGAACCCAGGAGGTGGAGGTTGCAGTGAGCTGAGATTGTGCCACTGCCCTCCACACTGGTGATAGAGTGAGACTGTGTCAAAAGAAAAAGAAAAAGAAGAGAGAGAGAGAGAGAGAGAGAGAGAGACAGAGAGAGAGAGAGAGAGAGAGAGAGGGAGAGAGAGAGAAAGAAAGAAAAGAAAGAAAGAAAGAAAGAAAGAAAGAAAGAAAGAAAGAAAGAAGGAAAGAAAGAAAGAAAGAAAGAAAGAAAGAAAGATCACAAGTACCCCCAAAATATGTACAACTATTATGTATCAATAATAATAAAAAAAAAAGACCTGTAATCTCAGCACTTTAAGAGGATTGCTTGAGGCCAGGAATTTGAGACCAGCCTGGCCAATATAGTGAGACCTCATCTCTATTCTGTATTTCTAAAAAGAAAAACAATAAAACAACTAAAAATAATTTTGACTAAGAAAAATACAACCATTTTTCTTAGCCTGGCACACACAGCCTTTCACAAAGTGATGTCAAACAACCTCTCAGCCTCATATCCCACCGCCATAGCCTGTCCCAGTCCTACATACCAGCTACATTGAACCCTTTGTCATGGACCAGGGAGGCAACAAACTTTTATGTCACTGTATCTTTGTACATGGGTTCCCCCAGCCTATAATGCCTTTATTCTATCTTTAATCAAATTGTACTCATTCTTTAAGACCCACTGCAACTTCAGTCTTCTTTGAAAACCCTTCCTTGATTTCCCAGCAGAATTCAAAAGCCCTTACTGCACCTTTGACAACATATCTGTTAGTGGACTTACCACATTTTATGGAATTGTTATCTATATGTCTGTCCTCCCTACTGGACTATGAGTTATTTGCCTTATTTTATCAGAAATTCCTTGCACAAGGCATGACCCAAAGTAGGTACTCCATAAAAGTTTGTTGTATGAACGCCTGTTGTATGAATGAATAATAAAGTCTGAGGAAAGAAGACTGGGAGCTGTTTGGGTGTGTGATCTATGTGATCTTAGTAGACCTGCTCAGTCATCGGGGCAATAGATTGTGCTTACATTGTTCTAAACTATCTCCAAATCATTTGTCCTGCCTGTCACTAAGCTGAGAGCAATTGTGAAAGTGATGAATAGCAGACCAATTATGAGCAATAGGAAACATCGGTTATAACTCTAGGGAGAAGACATAGCCATATCAGTAGCCTCATCCATCTAATCATGAGTCATCTTCCCAAGGCATCTTGCTCTGTGACCTTGAATTGTCAAGGGTTTGTTAATCTTACACAAATTTAAGTTCTTCAGAGGATGGTTCCCCTTTTCAGCCTGTGTCCTACAAGGCGTTGCTCCTGGACTGCCCAGTCCTGGAAGGGGAAACCTGGCTGGAACTCACATACTTTTCCTAAGGGAAACCTTTAGCTGAGGATTCCAGTCCCACCCAAGAGACAAGACCTGTCTTCTAAGCCTGCTGTCCTTTGATAGATAGAAACTCGTCTTTCCTGTGGTGAGAACATCTGGAGATGAGAGGCGGGTTGGAAAGTTTCAAGTGAAGGATTTGTCCAAGACTGTGGAGTTTGCATCTCTAAATGCTAGCTTAAGTTAATGGCAAGTTCCTAAATAAAGAATTACACAATTTCTCTTCTGTGGCCACTGATGATTTCATTTTTCCAGTACGCCCATTGTCCCTAAGGAGGTATCTGAGGGAGGAAGCCTCTCCTGCTGGTGGGGCTTCTATGGGACTATGAGTGGGGGCAGGAAAATAAAGGTCACAGGACAGGAGGGGACATGCTTAGTCTAGCTAGACTCATTCTGAGTTTACCTTGGCCTTTGATAGGGAGCCTTTTAAATTTGGCTGAGGAAGCTTGGAAGTGGTAGATTCTTATCAGCTTTAAGGTAGTCATATTTCTATCATGGCAAGTGGATTCTGAAAAGTCTAGATCATTTAACCCAGGAAAGGATGTTACACGTGACGGAGGGATGGTAGAACATTGAGGTTAGGAGCATGGTCACTGGAACCAGACTCCTGGGTTCAAATTCCAGTGCTATCACTAAGCAAACTGACAGAATCATCTTCAACTCTCTATGCTTCACTTTCTGCCTGTATAAAATGGGTATATACTAAGATCTACCTCAATTAGAAATGTACAAGGATCATGTATAAAGTGCCTAAAATAATGTCAGATCTATATAAATATCCACATATACTTGATAATTAAACAAATATTGACTAGGTCCTGAACTTGGGTATTCTCTAGATGAAAGAAAGTAACTTAATAAGCAAAATAGGGCCGGGCGCGGTGGCTCACGCCTGTAATCCCAGCACTTTGGGAGGCCGAGGCGGGCGGATCACGAGGTCAGGAGATCGAGACCATCCTGGCTAACACGGTGAAACCCCGTCTCTACTAAAAATACAAAAAATTAGCCGGGCGTGGTAGCGGGCGCCTGTAGTCCCAGCTACTCGGAAGGCTGAGGCAGGAGAATGGCGTGAACCCGGGAGGCGGAGCTTGCAGTGAGCCGAGATCGCGCCACTGCACCCCAGCCTGGGCGACAGAGCGAGACTCCGTCTCAAAAAAAAAAAAAAAAAAAAAAAAAAATAAGCAAAATAATTTTTTAACAGCTGTTAGACATGCTTATTTACAGACAAAAGAAACTCAAGGCACATCTACACTCACTTGGAATTATTTTTATTCTTTGTAATATTTTCTATTGAGAAAACAATATGGCACTGGAACAAGCTATCAGAGATACTATCTTTGCCTTTGGGGAAGTAGGACTTTCCTTGTTTCTGTGAACTGATTGCCCTTTTAATTTTTGAATCAGTGGATCTCTAAGGGTAAGACAATTACTATTTTTTTTATGCCTACTCTGTGCTGGATGCTTTAATAAGAAGCAAGAGAAGAGGATTGGGGGAGAAAAAGAGAGAGAAGTGGGGGAAGACTAAGAAGAAAAAAAAGGAAGCAAGAGGAAGCTACAACTAATATTGATCAAGTGTTCAATCGTACTAGCTATTGCTAAATGCTTTACATGCATAGTCTTATTTAACAGTTAAATACTATTATTACCTCCACTGAGGTTATAAGTAATTAAATTATATCTCCATAGTATGTGGCAAAATGAGAGCTTAAACCTAAGTCTATCTGATTCAAGTACTGCCTTTTCTTTACATCCATCATCTTATATAACATTCAGAGCCACCCTATAAAGTGGGTGCTCATATTACTCCCATCTTACATCTAAGAAAACGGAGCTCAGGTAGGCTAAGTTGAATGTACAATGTCATCCAACAGGTAAGCATGAAATGTGAAATTTAAATGTAAATCTGGTTGACGGTTAAAACCATGGTTCTCTCTATGACATCTCACTAAAACCTCTAAAATATCAAAATCTCACTGGTAAGTCTGTTCACCTTGAATGTAATTAATGCTCTCCTGATACATAAAAAATAAGCAAATAAATCTATCTATATTTATACCTATATCTATAAACCTATATATTATCTATACCTATATATTCTCCAGCTCTATTCAAAATGAGTACCTGCACATATGAGAAAAAATCACCAGGGAAGCACTGTAGAGGGATGAGAAGAGCTTCACTAACATGTACTACCCTACCTCAAGCACCTGCTACGTTATACTTCAATTGCCTGGTGTTCCCTCTGATTTTTGGAAGACAAGCAATAATTTCTGAAAAAGCTCCAGGTTGGAGCAAGCTGAAGTTGAAGAAGCCAAGCCCAAAAGCCCAAGCTCTTTTGATAGTGGATGTAGGATCTCTGAAAAGGCATTAAGAAAAGGGCTTTGAATTGAGCTAATAGATGGTTTTCATTGAGTTTTGAGACAAAAACTTTGATTAGATGGTGGAGCAAAACCCAGTTTCCAAGGGGCTGAGAAATAAGAAGTGAGAACGGAGCAAGAAGTTTTATGGTCAAAGAAAGATGAAGTGGAAAATGATAGAAGAAACTCTAGAATCCAAGAAAGGCTATCTGATGATAGAACAGGCTTGCCCATGCCAAACTGTAGTGGAAAAAGCCAGTAATGACAAAGGCTCTATTCTTTGCATGCTGAGACCACAAGCTATGGAACCAGACAAACAAGGGTTTAAATCTTAGCTCCATAACCTACTGCTATGTAATACTGATACTTCTCCTTCTGAGCGTCAGTCTCCTTTAGCCACTCAAAAGTTATGTTTTGAATACCTACTATGTATATGGCACTAAATATAGAAGCTATTGTGACCCAGGATAAGTCTAAAAGTCTGGAAGCAAGATACTTGATTTCTATCCTTAACTCTAAGGCAACGGAAATAGCCTCTGTGCTTTCTAACTTCTTTCTTCATAAATCACATACCATACATTAAGATGTACTTAGACTTGCTGGGTGCAGTGGCTCATGCCTGTAATCCCAGCACTTTGAGAGGCTGATGCAGGTGGATCACCTGAGGTCAGGAGTCCTAGACTAGCCTGGCCAACATGGTGAAACCCCATCTCTATTAAAAATACAAATATTAGCCAGATGTGGTGGTGGGTACCTGTAATCCCAGCTCCCAGCTACTTGGGAGGCTGAGGCAGGAAAATCGTTTGAACCCGGGAGGTGGAGGTTGCAGTGAGCTGAGATTGCACACTCCAGCCTGGGCGACAGAGTGAGACTTCATCTCAAAGAAAAAAAAAAGAAAGAAAGAAAAAGATGTACTTAGACATACTGCAGTTATTTCAGAGCCCTATAATCAGTATGGCCTGGATAAGACTGAGTTGGCTGTGGATTACATCATGATCTCTCCCCGAAAATTCATGTTGAATCTTAATCCTCAATGCAACAGTATTAAGAGGAGTGGTCTTTGGGAGGTTATTAAGTCATGAGGGCTCTACCTTTATAAATGGGAGTATTATCTTTATAAAAGGGCTCAAGGTTAAAGCAAGTGCTCTTTTGCCCTGCCCTTTGGTCCTTTCTGCCATGTTAAGGACACAGTGTTCCTCTCCTCCCAAGTATGCAGCACCAAGGTGCCATCTTGGAAGCAGAGAGCAACCCTCACCAAACACCAATCCTGCCAGCACCTTCATCTTGGACTTCCCAGCCTCCAGAACCATGAGGAAATAAAATTCCGTATAAATTACCCAGTATCAAGTATTTTGTTAGCAGAAATGGACTAAGGTAGAGTCTACATCAAGATTCAGACCCATGTGATGACAAACTGTTGAGGGAACTGGGAATGATTTCCAGGAGAGAAGAAAAAATCAACTGAGACCTAAAATATCTTCAAATACTTGAAAGACTGTCACTTAGAATTGGAGAGAGGATTAACTTTCACTGAGCTTTTTCTAGTGCAAGGCAGTGTTGCTAAGCACCTTACATGAACTATCTCTTAATTTGTGAAACAATTGTATAAGGTAGATATTATTAATCTCATTTTACCGATGGTAAAACAAAAGCTTACGAATTTAAGTAACATCCCAAAAGGCATACAGTATTTTTTTGAGACAAAAGTAGTATTTAAACCCTCATCTCTCGCTTTCAAAACATATGCTCTGTCTAGTAAATCAATAGCTAAAACCTGCTCAGTACAGTGTTGATAAACAGAATTAGAAACTACAAGGACAAGAAATGTATAGAAAAATACTTTGATTCAATATAAAGAAGGGGCTGGGTACGGTAGTACATGCCTGTAATCCCAGTACTTTTGGAGGACAAGGCTAGCAGATTACTTGTGCCCAGCTGTTCAAGACAAGCCTGGAAAACATGGCAAAACTCCCATTTCTACAAAAAATACAAAAATTATCCAAGCATGGTGGCATGTGCCTATAGTCCCAGCTACTTGAGAGGCTGAGGTTGGAGGATCGCTTGAGCCAGGGAGATCGAGGCTACAGTGAGCAATGATCGTGCCACTGCACTCCAGCCTGGGTGACAGAGTGAGACCTGGTCTCAAAAAAATACATACATACATAAAGAAGGATGTTCTAGTAGTGGTGGAACAGGATGCTTAGTAGGTCACTCAGCAAACCATTCCAGGAGAATTCAAAAAGAAGCTCTTGCAGGATATAGGAGAAAAGAATCAAGTAATACATACAGGTTGGCCTAGATGCCTGTATAAACCCTTCTATTTCTTTCTTCTCGTAGCCTCTGTTGTGATCAAAAAATAAAACAATGAAATGTAGAGAAGGAGGAATAAGAGGAAAAGCAGAAAGTAGCAAAAATATGATAAGTAAGAATTTGTCTTTACTCAGCACTTATTACGCACCAGCACAAAACTAAACATGTTAATACCCATCTCATGCAATACAGTATTCTCAGATATTAGGAATTATTAGTAAACTCTAGTTAGTAAACATAGGTGAGGGAATTAAGGCTCAAAGTCCATTGCCACAAGTAACTAACATAGGAGAGAGGCAACAACTAGGGCTTGATGAAAGATGTGACCAGATGAAAGACAATCTTTCAACTACTAGAGTAAAAAGCTCAAGTTTTTCTAATAGATCACCTTTGTCTACAGGTTTTTCAATATGGGCTGTGGGGAATTGCCAAAAAAAAAACCATCAAGCCCGATCAAGCCTCTAGACCTAACTACACAGTTACAAGAAATACAAGGCCAGATAAGGACATTAAATAACACCATGTGAATGCAATCAGCAAAATCCAGGTTGTGGGGAACTCTGCAGCACAAACAACCCAGTTTTATCCATAAAATATCCCAAGGAATAAAAAGAGAGATAGACAGGTTAGAAGAGACTCACTTATCAGCCAACTACAACATTTGGATCTTATTTAGTTTCTGATTTGAAAAAACAAACAAGTACCAAAGATATAAGACAATCCAGTAAACATGAACAATAATGGGATGTTTGATGATATAGAGAAATTATCGTTCATTTAGGAATCCTGGATAGGGCATTAAGGTTATCTTTTGAGTGTTTATGTTTAAGAGATAAGGATTTTAACATTTACACATGAAATTATCTCATGTTTGAGATGTGTTTCAAAATTACCAGGGCAGTGTAGAAGCAGATGTGAGAGGAGGTAACACAGGATTAATCACTACTAAAACTAGAAGATGATAGGTACATGGCAGTTCATTATTATATTCTCTCTACCTTTGTGTATGTTATGCTTTTCTGAACTAAGTTGATTTTGGAGTGGGTAGCAGATCCTGGGATTTAACAGTGCTCTCCCAAATGGGATAATTTGGAGATGAAGCTAAAAATGAAAAAGAAACACATGATCCAAGGAGAATCCACATTCTTTGTGGTCTTCCTCTCCTCTCAGGATATGAATTTATAGCCTGGAATCCTTTTGCTCAGAGATGCTAGGCATGATGTAACTCTGTCACCTAGAGAAGGCACTGCACAGACTGACCATCTGTGTAATGGTACAAACTCATGCTGCTTTCAACTGCATATGCCTGGTGAATTGTGAGACACATCTGGAATGACTTTTTTTTTCTTCTTAGATTAGGAAGAAATAGAAAGAGAGTTGGATTGTTTGTGAATTCTCTCCAGGCCCTTACCACCACTGTTGACTGAAGTTGCCTAATGACCTAAGAAGAGCTCCCTGTGAACAGGGTTAAGCTCCAAAAGGGATGGAGCCTGCAGCTTGCTCTTCCTGGAAGCCCAGCATTGCCCTGGCTGGGGCAGTCTTTGATGACACCCTCAGATAAATGATGGTGGTGTGATAAATAAGTAGACATTGGACAGCTGGAAAAAGGATTCCAGCCCTGGCTCTGATATTTGCTAGTCTTACAGGGCTTCAGATGATGGCTGGCTACACTCTCTGAGTCTCAAGTTTCCTTATCTAAAAAATGAAGATAAACAGTGCTACCTTCATGCTTCTATTGAAAGGAGCCAATGTATGTGAAAACACCATGAAAGAGTGTCAGTGCAAGCTGGTGACCTTTTTTTCACTCATTCATTCAATCATTTATTTTCTTTTTAAGTGTATTTATTGAATTTCTACTATGCATCAGGCACTTTACTATCAGCTGTCGGTATAAGGCTGACTAAAAGTTGGTGTAGTACCTGGTTTCATGAAGTTTACCTGCTAATGTATAGGAAAATATTTTGACTTAATATAAGAAAGGATGTTCTCTCGGTGAGGGAAACCAAATGCTTAGGTGTCACTGAGCAAGCCATTTGAAAACTGGGAATGTTCAGACACAGTCTCCACAACTTTTTGCAAGGTGCAAAAGAAAGGAATTGAGAAATAGACTAGGGTTGGGTTGGATGCTTCTATAATCCCTTCCATTTCTGAGTTTATCTGCTGTTTCTTCCTCATAAACTCTGTTATGACCATAAAATAAAATAATAAAATTTGGAAGAGGAGGAGACACAGGCATCAATCAGTTTCAAAAAATAAAAGTATAATTAGAAAGTGTGATAACTGTTATGGAAGAAAGACAAAGAGACCCAAGAAAGTAAGTGAAAAAATAAACAAGGAGGATCTTATCAAATCTGGAAACCTTGGCAATCTGATAAATCAGTAACAGTTCACTCAGTGGAAAGAAGGGGAAAAATACATTCCAACTACAGGGAATAGCCTGTGCAAAGTCTCTTTGGCAGGACAGAGCACAGTGTTTCCAAAAACTAGAAGAAGATCACTATGGCTGGAGCACAGGAAGCAAGAGAAGTAAGAAGACAAGATGAGTTTTAAGAAATTAGAAGGTTTCCGCCCAAGCAGCCCCTGAGCACCATGGCAAGGACTTTGGTTTTTATCTTAAGAGCAACTGGAAGTCGATAAATGGTTTTAATCACGAAAGTGATGTGAGCAAGTTTTAGTTTTGAAAATATCACTCTGGCTGCAAAGAAGTGGAAGGATTAAAAGAGGCAGGGGTTGTTATTAGACAGGAGACTATTGAAATAGTACAGGCAAGATTTGGATCAGTTTGGGAAAGAGTGAATGTATTAGAGAAATTCTTAAGGAGATAAATCTACAGGACTTGGAATGGGTTGTATTTTGTGGGGAATGGGTGCAGGTGGAAAGGAAAGAGGAGTTATCAAGGCTGACTCCTTGGTTTCAGGATTTTAAAAATGGAAATAGAAAATACTGTCAGAAGAAAGGGAGGCAATTCATGGCAACCATAGTACAGTGGTCTGCAAGGGTTACAAATGAGAAGTTACTGTACTTTTATTTTATGGTAGGAGCCAATCCTAGAATGAATCGAAGTGAATCAATGTAGACAGAGATGCCTGCTTTTTCAAAAGTTTTGGCTGTTAAGAAATGAAGAGACAGTAGCTGGAGAAGGTAACTGAATGCAATGACATTGTCTTTAGCATGCATTAGACTTTAACTTTTATTTAAAATTTGAAGAAGAGAAGCTAGTAGAGAGGAAAGTGAGAAGAGGCTCAGGTGCTCAGGTCAAATCCTGGCTCTACAAGTTCCTATTTGTAAGACCTTGAGACAAGTGATTTAGCTTCTCCATGCCTCAGTTTTCATGTTGGGGAAAAAAGGATAATAATAGCACCCACCATGTGGACTTGATGAGAGGGTTCAGTGAGCCAAGTACATAAAGTGCTTTAGCTAAGCTCCTGGCACCATGGAAGTGCTCAGTAAATGTTTGTTATTATTAAAAGGACAAGGGAAAGCTTTTCTGCCATTCTCTTTTTTTATTGCATGTAATAACTAATTCAATGTCCCATGGAAAAAAAATATTCTCTGACATGCAAAAATGTTTGCATTTGCTAAAACTGTATATCTCGCATTTCTTATTGAATCTGGTAGTCTTCAGGTCCCATGAAAGAGCTATGTTTTCCAGTTTTGCAGGTAGACAAGCCAAGTATTAAGTTCCTCTTTTGTAATTGACCATGAGTGTGTTGAGTAATATGTGGATTACTTCTCCCTCTTTTCTTTGATCTTCCCTGTTGCCAAGGATTGCCTGACAGTCTGATTCTTGGCCGGTTCACCTCCTTCTCAGAATGCACTAAGATAGAAAGGAAGTGACCCACAATAGCAGAGAAGGTTTAAGCTAGATTATAGGAAGTACTTGACTTTCTTAATCCCTAAACAAGGAATTCCCTGAAGGAATTTCAAACTGAAAATGACATATGAACCAGTTTGGGTAGTGGTTCTCAAGCTCATTTTGTACCAGAATTACCTGGGGAGGCTGGGAAAATGAAGGCTCCCAACCCACAAAAAAAAAAAAACAAAAAAAAACAGAATCAGTAGGAAGAGACAAGGAAACTCCATTTTAAACAAACACTTCCCCCATTCTCACCTTAAGTGATTTTGATCCACTGAGACACTCTGAGATCCAGAACTCCACTCACTAGGCACTCTTGACCTCCCTTATTCTGCTGTACTTTTTTTGTATACTTTTTAATATACTATATTATTTACTGTGCTGATTGCTTATTTCATGTCTCTCTCACACACACTCCAGTAGAAATTAATTTCCTAGACTGTGAAGCTATAATGCCTGCTTTGCTCCTCAGGGTATCCCAAGTGCCCAGAACAGTGTCTGGCCAATAGGAGCCCCTTAGTCAATACTTGTTCAAATGATGTAAATGGAATTCTCACTCTTCAGCCATCTCATACATATACCCCCCATCTAACTGACACTGACCCTCTTAGTTTAGTATTCTACAACATTTGAGTCAAGAATATGGATCTATTCTCCAGGAGAAAAATATAAGTAATGTATAATTCTGCAAAAACTTTCTAGGGATGAGCATCCAAAGATCCTATAAAGTCAAGGATCCCCAAATGCCAAATTAACAACCCTTGCCATAAAATCAGTCCTGGTCCCCGCAATTCATCTTCTGTTGCTATAGTTGCTACTCTAAGACTCAAATCTAGTTATATTTTTCCTTGACCTACAATCTTGAAAGACTCTATATGGTTTGCACAGCACCCGAATTTTACAACATGGCATTCAAAGTTGCCCACAATGCAGCCTTCTGCCTATCCCTTTTCCAGTTTTATTTCTACCAAATCTTTCAGGCCTGTTGCAAGAATGGCTGACTGAACACAAAAGCTTTGGACTCAGACATTCTGGGTTTGAATTCTCACCCCACAATTCACTAGCCATGTTATCTTAAGTAAATTATTCACCTCTCTGAAGTCTCAGGTTTTTGTTTTTTAATTTGTAAAGTAAGCATAATAGTGAATACTTCAAATGTGTTGTAGGGGGACAGAGTAAGAGAACATATATAAATACACATGAAGCACTTTTTTAAATGCCAGGCACATAGTTGGCACTCGATAATTGTTAGGTTTTATTCTTCTATTCTTCTATTCTACATGCTCAGCACATAGTATTGACACATTTTTCTGTCTCCTGCTTTTCCAATATTGCTTAGTCTAGACCGGGGTTTGGCAAACCTTTCCTGTAAAGGACTAGAAAGTAAACACTTTGAGCTTTGCACCCCATACTGTTTTCTGTAGCTACTACTTAATTCTGCTGTTGCAGCAGGAAAGCAGTTATAGATGATACGTAAATCAAGATATGTGGCTATGTTTCATAGACTTGATTTATAAAAATAGGAAGCAGGCTGGATGTGGCCCATGGGCCATAGTTTTCCAACTTTGGTCTAGACTAGCTTTGAAATCTTACAGACCTGGGTTCAAGCTTCTCTGGGGTTCCATCTCCTTATCTGTTAGATAAGGATAATAATAGTACTTCCCTCATAAGTTGTTGGATGATTAAATTAGATAAAGCATGTAAAGTCCTTAGCACAGTTTTTGGCACATAGTACATATATATGTATCTGATGGATATTATTGTCTTCATCATCAAAAAACTTGCTTTGCAGTTCTACTATGTGCCCATATCCACCTTCCCTTCTTTAAGAATTGTTTCCAGATTCTCCCTCTCAGAGTTTCTTTCTCTCTTCTAACACTATTGGAATGTCTATTGCACTATTCAAAAATAAATCATGCATTTGTGTAGCATATGTAAGTAATTATAGTAGCATATGTGTCCTTGTTACTAGACTGTGTGCTCCTTGAAGGCACAGTCTGTGTCTTGTTCCTCTCTATAGCACATTTTCTAACACAGTATCTGGCACACAGTAGGCAACCAATGCAAGATAATCACAGTGATGGGGCTATAGCGAGGGTGATGCTGGTAGTGATAGTAGTGGTGTAGCATAGTGGTGGCGGTAGTGGTCATGGTTGTAGTGATGGTAGGTACTGGTAATAACTGGGGGAGGGGGTGAGACTTGGCTGTTAATTTCTCTTCAAAGAGTAGTTATTTGGAATTCTCTTCTCAGTTGGAGCCAAAAAGTGGAAATGAAACAAACAAGCTTTTCTGGCAGAGAGAAAGAATCTGCTGGAAGGTCAGACAACCACAAGACTAGAATTACACATGACTCTTCCTAGAGCAGCATGAACAGAAAATGCTCACAGGATTGGAAGTCTGAAAACCCGAGGGCTGGAAAGAACCATTCAGATCTACAGAGTATTTTACAGCCTTCAAAACATTGAAAGTCTCTTAATTTTTCTACAGACAGCTGTGGGGAAAGTTACCACCACCCATTTCCCAGATGAGAAAACTGAGCCTTGGAAAAATAAAAGATATTTCCAAGGGTTGAAGGCATGTCTTACTTCAAATTCAGCCTTGGCTATGTGACCTGAAAAAACTCAGTCCTCAGCTCTGTTCTTAGTTTTACTATCTGTAAAATAAAGAGGTTGATTTGTAAAATAAACAGGATAAGATTTTAATAGCCCTATCTGCTCATAAATGCTATGTCATTGTGTGCCACTGGTATGGAGTGCAAGATATGTATATCTTTCTCCTCCCAGTATTAAATTTAAGGAGTAAAATTGGCATTGTCTCTGAATGGGAAACAAATTTCAGGTCACAGGATGCCTCTTCCAACCTCAAAAGATTTGCTTTATATTCTGGGTAGAAGTTAGAGCTGACCTTATCACAGTGCCAAAGGGGACCTTGGATGAAGTTAGCCTGCTTTTCTCATCATACAGATAAAGAAATGGAGACCTAGACAGTAGAAGCATGTCCAATGTCATATAATAATCAAGGACAGAGCCTAGTTCAGATTCCTAGTGTCTCCGTTTTCTAGTTTTCCCAAAGAAAACTCCCAACCCTGAGATGAAAAGGGATAAATACTAGATTGCCTACTTTACAAATAAGTAAAAGTCAGATCACATAGACAGTAAATGGCAGAGAAGGGATTCAAATCCAACTCTGTCTGGCTCTTTAGTATGCCACTCCTCTGCCTCCTCCACTTGGAAGACTCTCTTTCACCCAGGAGCTAAGTTAACAACCACACAAAGTCTTGTACATTTAAGCACCAGTTGTGCTGAGCCAAGCTCTGTGGCTTTGGGCTGTGTAAGAGCCATTTAACAGGTGGAGGGAGGAGATTTATGCATTAATCAAATTATTCTTCATAAAGAGTTTTTCCCTGCTTCTCTTGTTCAAAACAACAGCACAAGGTATAATCAAGGGCTCGTTTCCAGCTTAGGCAGAAGGCATCATCTTTTCCCATGCATTCACTGGAATGTACCTAAGGAGACCCCAACTACCCAAGGAGCTAGGGTCCAATGGTCCCCAAGGCCATCGAGAATACCTTGGTCCAGAATCAGAGGACAAAAATACCCCACAAACCTCAGGCATGTCATATCCTCTCTCTGTTAGTCCCTAACTGTGCCATAAAATGGGGTTCAGGATTTTACTCAGAGCCTCTACTCCAGGGGTAGGGAGTTCTCATACAGAGGAACTTCCACTCTGCATTAGAATGAGCTATGATATTCATTGCCAACAGAATACAAGTTCCAGCAATGTTTATAAAGTGAGAAAATGCCCCTGAGATCCCTCCATTTGTAAAGTGCCCTTTTGGGTTAGCCAATGGCCTCTCCCATACAAAATATGAATCCTATTCTAAAATGTCATGTCCCTAGCACTTTAGGTACCAGCAAAGTTTTCAAGTACTATCTAGAAGAGGAGTTACCAAAGGAAACATAGAAAAAGAAAAGAGCCATTTTAAATAAACATATTCTTATCACTATCATAGATAACATTCGTCTGTTAAGTGATTTCTTCTTGGACATTATGCATTCATTATCTCTTTTGATTCCCATGAAGTAGGGATTGTGAGACCACATTTTACAAGTGTGGAAACTGAGGTATGAAGACACCATTCAGCATCACATAGTGAATGGGGATTGAGGAAACATCCAAACCCAAGCCGGTAGAGCAAAGAACCTGTACTATCTGCTTCCATGTAAATAAAGTGTCTTGTAGGAAACTCAGAAAGAAACTGACTCCACTTATCTGTTTTTTAATTTTTGTTTTGTTCTGTTTTGTTCTTTGTTTTTTGAAGTAGGAAAAGAAAGTCCCAGAAAGAGAAAAGAACTTGCTATGACCTGCTATGTCTCAGTGTGAAAGCCCAGGCCCCTCAACTATAGGTCAGGGCTCTGAAGTGTTTTCTTGTATCCATGTGGCCTGTAGAGATGATAGAAAGATGGAAAAGTCATGGGAGGAAGGGTGATGGGAGTTAGTGGCAGAGTTGGAGAAAAAATGATAAACAAAACGAGAGTAGCTGCTTTTTCTTCCCACCAGCGTTGTTTTGTGGCCATATTCCCTTCCTCCAGGATCATTTCCAGACCTGCAGTGGGTCTATCCCACTCATTCCCACTGCAACCTGGCTCCTTTGGAAATGTCTAAGGCACTCCATCCCTTAGGCTGTCATGACACTTTAAACAGGCCTTTCATTTGTGTTTGGGGAGGGAAAGAAGAAACTGGAGACTTGGAGGAAGCCGCCTACAGTCTTTCAGCTCTAACATTTCTTTGCAAGGATCACTAAGAGGAAAAGAGAGTAGAAGTGAGAAGATAGTGCCCATGCCTGTCTGTTTGCTCTAACTTCTCCTGGCTTCCCCATTGCCCTGGGGCTAAACTCCTCACCACATGTTGTACAGTTCTGCCTGACTTCTCTTCAGCATTGTCCATGGAGTTTTCTCCCAGTCTCAGCTCCAGCCACACTGGTTTTCATTCTCTTCCTGAAATGGGTCACATTTGCTCATTCTTCAGGTGTTTGCAGAAGTTGGGCATTCTACCAGCAATGTTCTCATTCTCCTCTTCCTTTCTGAAACCTCAGTCTTCCATATTCATTTTATGCACTTGGCCCCCAAAAGCTCACTTTACATGTCACTTTCTCAGGAAAGCCTTCTCTGACTGCGTAAGGCCCCTTAATACACGCTTGCAATCCACCAGCCTAGTACTCTATACAGTCTTGACTCTACTTATTAGTGTGATTGTTTCATTAATATCTGTCTTCTCCATAAGTCTGTGAACTCCGTAAAGATAAAGACCATATCCACTTGTCATACTGTTCACTCTTCAGGGTATAACGCAGTCTTAGCATACAGTGGGGGCTCAAAGATACTTAATGAATGAATGACTAGCACTTCCAGCTCTACAGGTCTCCTGCAAGGAGAACAGTGACATCTAGTGACCACTTTCACACTCTTGGGATTCTCTGATCACACACCACTAATTAGCCTCAGAAAGACCTCACTGGATTTCCAATAAGTTGAATATTTCAATGATGCTGAGGGAACCTGGCATGGAATCCAGACATAGGGGAATCTGGCTCCTGCACAAACAGGAAAGGCACCACCAGCCTATCTATTGCTATGCATGTGCCAAGAACACATTGCAAAAGTCCCGTGGCTTGGCTTGTAGTGTGCCACATTGCAGATGAGGACAGTGTGGCCCAGAAAGGCCGTCACTGGAGCGAGTTCACAGAGCAGTAAACAGGGATATTCACAGGCTCATTCACCAAGTCCCAGAAGGCCAGTTAAACAAAACTACATCCTCACTGATACAACACTAGTCGAACCACTAGGTATTTTTATTTATTTATGTTTTGGAGACAGTGTCTCATTCTGTTACCCAGGTTGAAGTGCAGTGACACAATCACAGCTCACTGAAGCCTTGACCTCCTCCTTGAGCGCTTGATGCGCTCAAGCGATCCTCCCACCTCAGCCTCCAGAGTAGCTGGATGACAGGTGTGCACCACCACACCAGGCCAATTTTTTCTTTTCTTTTTTTTTTTTTTGAGACAGAGTCTTGCTCTGTTGCCCAGACTGGAGTGCAATGGTGCGATCTTGGCTCACTGGAACCACTGCCTCTCGGGTTCAAGCGATTCTCCTGCCTCAGCCTCCTGAGTAGCTGGGATTATAGGTGCATGCCACCACACCCAACTAAGTTTTGTATTTTTAGTAGAGATGGGGTTTCACCATGTTGTACAAGCTGGTCTTGAACTCCTGACCTCATGATCAGCCCGTCTCGGCCTCCCAAAGTGCTAAGATTACAGGTGTGAGTCACCGCACTTGGCCTAATTTTTCTTTCAGAAATGGTGGTCTCCCTATATTGCCCAGGCTGGTCTTGAACCCACTGGGCTCAAGCTATCCTCTCACCTCAGGCTCCCAAAGTGCTGGGATTACAGGCGTGAACCACTGGCCCTGGGCCTGTTCTTGTTATTTATTGGAATCTGCAATAGCCTCCTCATGGATCTCCTTGATTCTACTCTTACATTCTCACAGTCTATCCTGACCCTGCAGCTGGAGGTGTGGAGACATACACATATGTATTTTATTGTTGGTGTTAGTTTGGGGACCTCTGATGCACAGAGTTAGATTATTTGCAGTGTTCAGTTTAGGACTGAAGCTCATTGTTGAGCCATGCATGGGTAGGCTTTATTTATTTGTTCAGTTAGCTAGTTAGTTTTAATAAACTTTTTAAACTTTAATGAACTCTCACTAATCTACCACCAAAAACACCAGCTAGGAGCTGGGCGCAGTGGCTTACACCTGTAATTCCAGCACTTTGGGAGGCTGAGGCGAGCAGATTGCTTCAGGTCAGAAGTTCGAGACCAGCCTGGCCAACATGTTGAAACCTTGTCTCTACTAAAAATACAAAAATTAGCCAGGCATGGTGGTGGACGCCTGTAATCCCAGCTACTCAGGAGGCTGAGGCAGAAGAATTGTTTGAACCCAGGAGGCGGAGGTTGCAGTGAGCCAAGATTGCGCCACTGCACCCTAGCCTGGGAGACAGAGTGAGACTCAGTCTCAAACAAACAAACAAAAAAACACCAGCTAGGAACTTGAGTACTTACATGTAACATATGCTTCCTTATGCCATTACCTTAGTTTTCCTGACTCAAGATCACCATCATCCTGTCTCCTATGTTCATCACTTCCTTGCTTCCCTTTTTAAATCATATTTATTGCATCTGTATTTATTCCTAAAAGATAGTATATTTGAGGTGTAGGTATGCTTTAACTTAAAGAAGGGAGGAAAGGGTGTTGTGCCATATAAAATCTTTGGAGCCAGGCATGGTGGCTCTTGCCTGTAATCCCAGCACTTTGGGAGGCCGAGGTGGGTGGATCACCTGAGGCCAGGAGTTCAAGACCAGCCTGACCAACATGGTGAAACCCCATCTCTACTAAAAACACAAAAAATTAGCTGGGCATGGTGGCAGGTACCTGTAATCCCAGCTACTCCGGAGGCTGAGGCAGGAGAATCGCTTGAACCCAGGAGGTGGAGGTTGCAGTGAGCTGAGATCGCGCCATTGCACTCCAGCCTGGGCAACAAGAACAAAACTGTCTCAAAAAAAAAAAAAAAAATCTTTAGGACTTACTTTCTTCAGTTAATAATACATTCATTCATTTCATATTGACAGGTATCACTACAGCTCATTCATTTTGGTTACTGTAGTATATTCTATTGAATATATATCCTGTGCTTTATTTCAATGCTGTCCCATGGATGGGAATTTGGGTTTTTTACAGAGGCCTCCTTCTGCCACACAATCTAATCCCATCAGCCTCCTGCCAATAACCATGCATCATCATCACCTCATGGCCCACAGGATAGGGTCAAAATTCCACAATTTGGCTTACAATATTGTGGAAATGATCAGGATTCATTTTGTTTCTCCCTCCGTCCTTGGTCTTAGTCATGAGGCATTTCTTTTGGTCTTTGTACAAACAATGTTCTTTTCTTCCTTAGGTCATCTACCTGACACTTTCCCTACCTCCTTTCTCCCATGCCTTCTCTTTCCTCTATGAAGCTCTGTATGAGCACTCAACACCCTCCAGCACTTAGCCAAGAAGTATGCTGTGGGAGGGGCACGGGATTCATAGAGTTCTACTAGACTTAGTCAGTGGTCTACCAGTGGAGGCCCAGGGCTGTCTGGGAGGTGTTGTAGAAGGAGGAGTGGGGATCAAATGGGAGATGCTTTATCTCCCTTCCTCTGCCTCATTGAAATAGTGGCATCACTATTCCTGATTTTATGGATTGAGGTTCAAGAAAGATTGCATTTGGAAAAAGTGTTCCATAAAGATAAGTTTGCAAACCAGTGAATCAATAATTCATATGGTCCCCTCAAGCCCTGCCATTCTATAATTAAAAGTGAGAGAACCGAAGAGAAAAAAAGAAGCAATAATTTCATGGCTAAGCATATAAACTCTGGAGCAGACCAACTTTGAGTAAATCACTTAATATCTTTGAGGTTTCCTCAGCTGTAAAAGGGGTACGATATTAAAATGAACCATATGAAATTGCCATTTTATAAGTAAAAAATGGCCAAATGTCAGCAATTTCATATGAATCGAACCAATATATGTAAGTAAATCACAGATCTGGAGGGCAGAGTAAATGAGATAATGCAAGTATTGTACTGAGGTAGATACTGCTAGGTTTTCACCAAACCCATGTCTTCTCCTAGGCACACAGCTAAAATCCATTTCCCTGTCTTCATTTCAGACAGGTATGGACAATGGCTGAGTTCTAATCAATAGAATGCATGAGAGGTAAAAATGACATTTGCCACTTTCAGGCTTGGTCTATTTAAACCTATGATGTGCAACCCTCCCTGTTCTTTCCCCTTCCACAGCAATTGTGGAAGCATCAGGTCAATGCAGCACAAGGAACAGGCTGAGTCCCTGCACTACTTTTTTTTTTTTTTTTAAACCAAGTCTCACTCTGTTACCCAGGCTGGAGTACAATGGCACGATCTCGGCTCACTGCAACCTCCACCTCCCAGGTTCAAGCAATTCTCCTGCCTCAGCCTCCCAACGTAGCTGCGATTACAGATGCCTGCCACCACACCTGGCGAATCTTTGTGTTTTTAGTAGAGATGGGGTTTCACCATGTTGGCCAGGCTGCTCTCAAACTCCTGACCTCAGGTAATCCACCCGCCTTGGCCTCCCAAAGTGTTGAGATTACAGGCATGAGCCACCATGCCCAGCCTGCACTACTTCTCATAAAGCCCCCCATCAATCAAAAACATCTATTTGGGATGTTGCACAAACAAACAAACAAACAAAAACCTTGATTGTATTAAGCCACTGAGATTTAAGGGTTTATTGTTTATAACAGCTAGTATTGTCAAACTATGTAAGTATTTAGAACATGGTAAGGAATCAATAAATGCTAGTAATCACCATGATGATGATATGATGATGATCATGATGACAATACCCCTGGACAAAGGGTCCACAAGGGTAGGAGGTAGGAGGGCTGGTCAAGTTTGACTGAGTGGCTGGGCCAGGGGAGCTCACCTCCTTTGTGCCATTGTCTTGGATGAGGGTATAAAGTGGCACCACACGGTTGATTTCCAGCAGCACTGGTGTGGGGCTCAGCTGCTCCTTGCCTGGCCGGCGGCAAAGGTGACAGGTAGATGGACAGCGCCCCTTCTCCTCACAGCGAATCTCCACACCTGAAATGAGCTGGTCATCTGACAGCATCTGGGCTGTCAGCAAACCTGAGAGGTAGGTGATGAAGGGCATGGACTTGAGCTCCTTCTTGCTGCCCAGCTCTGTGGTCTCTGGAGAGGCACAAGACAGGAAGAGCGAAAGGTAAACTCAGGATTATTCAAAAGGCCAGACTCTTGAATTCACAAAATACAGATGCTAAGAAGCTGGTATCCATTGAGGAAGTAAAAAGATGATAGAGTGATTTATTCATGATGCCTTGGAAAGACTGCCAGACTGAGGGTTCAAAGGCCAGAATGGTGTATTGTCCTACCACTTACATTAAATATCCACTTGCTTTGTCTGGCCCTCATTTTTCCCGTATGTAAAGTTGGGGCCAGGCACAATAATCCCAGCACTTTGGGAGGCTGAGGCAGGTGGACCACCTGAGGTCAAGAGTTTGAGACCAGCCTGGCCAACATTGCAAAAACCCATATCTACTAAAAATACAAAAAAATTAGCCAAGCGTGGGGTTATGTACCTATAATCCCAGCTACTCGGGAGGCTGAGGCAGGAGAATCACTTGAACCCAGGAAGCAGAGGTTGCAGTGAGCTGAGATTGTGCCACTGCACACCAACCTGGGCAAGAGAGCGAGATTCCATCTCAGAATAAATAAATGAAAAATAAATAAATTAATTAATTAAATAAAGTTGGTAGGTTGGGCTAGATTATTATTCAATAATTTTGCAAGATATAAATATTCAAAGATATTTTTTACCCAACCAAAAATTCCTTTCAGTCTTCTGTCAACCTACAAAAAGGATATCCTTCCTTTAAAATTTATATCTAGTCCTATATTTTCCATGCAGCCCAATATTACAAGAAAAACACAAGCTTTGGGTCAAGCCAACTTCATCTGAAATCTCAGTTCTGCTTGAAAATACCTCTGCAACCTTAGGAAAATGTCAGTATCCAAGTGACTCCAATGATAAATTCTGAGAAATGGGGTTAATAATACCAATGAAATCAGTTATGAATAGCAAATGAGAAAGGAGGAGGTAGGACTGTCTGGAAAAGACATCATTTCTCCTTTTTTTGTGTGTGCTTACCTGTTTCCTTGTTCACACTTTTCCTGCCTCTTTCTTCATGTGCACACTGAGATCTGACTTATGCATGCTTCATTATGTGCCATCTCTCTTGATCTATAAACCAGTATTTTCCACCTCTGTGCCTTTGCTCACTCTGTGCTGCTTTTCCCCTCTGCCTCTCCACATCTCTTCTATCAATGCTCCATTCCAATGTTACTGTCTTTAGGGAGTCATTCTTCATTGCCCCAGCCCTTCTTTTCTGAATAAGTGTTTCTATTTATGAGATCTTATTTAAGTTCATTTTCCCTTCCCATTTTCTGCTGACCTCTAAAACAATATTATCAACTCTTGGAGATCAGGGGCCATGGCTCCCATTCCTACCCACTTTCAGTGCCAAACATGGTGCGACGGATGTATTTGATACTCAGCCAGAGAGATTATAGAATTCTGAATGGCTAGAACTATATTCATGATCTAGTCTAGAGACTTCAAAACTCTTCTGAGGAATCCTAGGGATCCTAGGAAGCACCACAGCAATTGATTGCATAGAAAAAGAGGGAAACTGAGCAGGCAGGGCTCTAAACTCTCATCTCTGTTTCAAACAGAGCAGTTTCACTTTTATTTCTTTTATAGGCTGGCCTTCTATACAAGATTTCGTGAAAATAAAGAGTTCTATGGCTATATCAAAAACCTTGAAGAAGCAAAGTGATTTGTACAACCGACAGGGTTCCTTTTACATCACAGACTATGAGAATGGTATCCTCACAGATGTGCAGTGCATAATCTGAGTGGTAAAACATGGTAATTTTATACTAAGAGACAGAGCTTAATCCATCTGGCAGCTTCAACGAAGCCTAGTAATGTCAAGGCAAGCTCCTGCCTCAGTGGAAATAGGGGCCCTGCGCCCTGATGTCGGGGAGAAAAAGGAGAGTTGTCTCTTGCTCTTGGTTCTAGGCTTGTAGTGACATGCAGCTGATCTGGAAATGGACTTGCCAATTAGAAATACAAATAAACACAGCCTTCATTCATTACTCTCTGGGCCCTCAGGCCTGGAATCTGGCCTCCACCTTTTCTGTCTGGCTGTCAGCAAATGCTTATGAGCATCAGATCAAAGGCTCTGGGGGAGGAAGACAAGGAAAATTCCAGTTAACCAATCCTTCACAGGGATTAAAGAAGGGTAGTTACTAAGACAAACAAAACAAGGGTGTAAAGAAGGCATCCCAGCAGCTAGAGACAGTCTTATATCCAGACCTTTCAAAAGAAGATGATGACGACTTTTTGTAGACCAGACGGATAGTTTTGAGGAAAGATGACTTCAAACTTGGGAGAGAATAGCCGTTCGGGGAGAAGGTCAAGAGAGAGTCAGAGCAATGAGGACACTAGGGACTCATTAGCCCACGCTCTGGCCTAGGTCAACAAACTATGGCCCATGGGCCAAATCCAGTCCCCTTCCAGCTTGTGTAAATAAAGTTTTATTGGAACACAGCCACCCCCATTCATTTATTTATTGTGAATAGCTGCAAGGACAGAATTGAGTAGTTACAACAAAGACTCTATAATCACAAAGCCTAAAAATATTAACTAACTTACCCTTTACAGAAAAAGTTTGGCAACCCCTGCTCTTGACCTAGTTTACAGGTGGGGAAACTGAGTTTCAGAGAAATGATCCAACCACATAGGAATATGGAAGTATGATGGATTAAGTAATGTAAAAATTGTGGAATCAAATGCACCATCAATATACTTAGATTGTGAATCTCCGGGGAGAAAAAATAGAGTAGGGCATCTTTTCTTCATAAAATGGATTTCAAAAACTATTGAAAGAACACACTGGTATGCTGATCTAGTACAAATCTTCACATTTTAAAGAAGAGAAAAGTGTGTCCCAAAGAAGGAAAATGACTTTCCAAGGTCACACAGTGAGTCCTTTCAGCACACAATCCCAGTCTTCTAATCACCAATTTATCATTTAAACGACTATCTTATGTTATCTCATATTTTAAAGCACAGATGGCATGATCCCCATAGCACCTTGCTATATGCACATAATTTCACTGAGAAGAAATATAACTTGGTGCTAAGAGTAAAAATTCCCTTGATCAAACAAACATTCATAGTCATTGGGTTAAATATATAACTATCCATTTAACAACACAATAATCTATAGATCTTTGCTAGTCTGCTTCTGTTCAATAAATCTTCAGCTTTTTAAATCTATCACCCCTTTTGGTGCAGTTAAAAGCCCACAATCTTGGCTGAAAATTGCACCACAGTAGCAGTATAGAATTTACAGCTGAATTTAAGGGTTAGTTTTGCCAAAGGAGGGCTATAATCTGGTGCAACCCCATTGAAACCTATTACCAAAATAAGGAAAGGGACTTATTTCTAAGTCTCACACACTTGTATTAACAGTGATCCATTTCTTAGAGACTGTGTCATGCCTAAGTTATGATCTAGATGAGAGTTAAGATGAAACACCATTAGCCATTCCATTAATTATTCCTCTGTAGACATTACAATTGCAAAAGCTAATTGCTTCTGATTCAACCTTACCCTGTGGCTAAAGTCATCTATTCGAAAGGCAAACCTTTTATTCTTCTCCTGCTTAAAACACTTCCATTTCACTTCACTCCTCTTAGGTTAAAGACCAAAACCATTAAGAGAGCATGTAGAAAATGTGGGATCTAGACAACATGCTGCCTCTCTAGTTGGATCTCTTATTCTGTTCCTCTTAGTTCAGCTACAATGGCTAAATCCCTTGCATATACCCTCTGCCTCTCTCAATCGTGGCACAGGCTCTTCTCTCTGCACAGAATTCTTTCTTCCACCCCATCTCCAGCCCTGCCTTTTCCAGGCTAACTTCCACTCATCCCTCAGGTCTTAGTTCAAGTGCCCATTCCTCAGAAAAGCCTTCCCTGAATTCCTCATGCCACTAACGTACACCAAGATTTTTTTTATATATATACAGCGTCTCACTCTGTCACTTGGGTTGAAGTCAGTGGCACAATCTCAGCTCACTGAAATCTCTGCCTCCTGGGCTTAAGCAATCCCCCCACCTCAGCCTTCCAAGTAGCTGGGACCACAGACACATGCCACCACACCTGGCTAATGTTTTCTTGTGTTTTTTGTTGTTGTTGTTGTTGTTGTTTTGTATTTTTTGGTAGAGACAGCGTTTCACCATGTTGCCCAGGCTAGTCTTGAACTCCTGAGCTCAAGCAATCTGCCCACCTCAGCCTCCCAAAGTGCTGGCATTATAGACATGAGCCACCGCACCTGACCTATTAAGTTTTCCTATTACAGATCCTGATAGCATCCTATTCTCTGTATCATCTATTAATGTCTCGAGATTGTAAACTACATGAAGGAAAAGACAGCATCAGTTTTGCTGATCCCATATCCATCTTACACAGTACCTGGAACACAGCAGGCTTTCAAAAATATTTTTAATATTTGTTAAATATATAGTAAACATACATAACCTGTGCTGCCTTATCCAAGCATCGATGAACCTAAGAGCCAGAATTGGTAAATTACAAGGACGATAACTAATAAATGATTGTAGTCAACATACAACTTCTTCCCAAAGTAAAATTAGTGCTCTAATCAAAAGGTCAACAGATGAATAGCTGAGCACTTTTCCAGTTGCTCTGACCCTCTCTAGGTTTTCATGTAGGCCCTTGCCATTAAGTGAATGGGAGAGTTAGGTTAAAATACAGTGTCTTTAACAGGCCAAGGAAAAAGAACATTTTTGAAGAGACTTATCCTCTGTTCACATTTCCCATCCCTCTGAACAATGCTTCCAAAATAGGATCATGTCTGGTTTCAAGCCCAATTCAGTTCCAATGACACTACAACCCATTCATTTGAGAACCTGCCAACTGAACTCTCTTTTTTCTCCTCCCAAATTCCTGCTGGGTATTATTTTGTTGCCACCAAAAAAAAAAAAAAAAAAAAAGCCTCAGTTGAAGTGACAACTCCTTGTTGGGAGGGCAGCCAGGGCTTTTCGGCAGGAGATGATGGCACCGCTTGCCCTCATCCAGAAAACAAAACAAAGCATCAGACTAAGGGCTTCTGGGAGAGCCAAAGCTGCACGGATGTTTGTTCAATATTCGGCAACGGTGCAGGGTGCTGCCTCCCTAGTCAGACAGGCTTGCTTTGGCAATAGGTTTGCACTTGAAGCATTTAAAAGCTCCATAGGGACCAGAGGGGCTCAAATTAGAAACATTAAGGGAGAGGGGAAAGGGGTGAGACTTTTATATCATAAAGAACGGCCTTTATTACAGCAATGGCCTCCCAGGAATTACTGAAATTGGATCATTTCTTAGGCGGAGTTACTGTCTCCTGTTGGAAGAAAGCAATTGCTCTGAGGCCTGACTCAAGGACCCACACAAATATCTTTAAGAAGGGGAAAATAGCCAGCTGAAATGCCACTAGCAAGGCCTGCACTTCTGTGTTGTGCAATATGAACTTCTCAGCCTAACAATCAAAGTCCTGCATCATTAGTGTGCCCTTTATAAATAATAGTACCAACCTAAAAGAGTTATTGTGAGGATTAAGTAAGGGGCCTGGAACAAGTTAAGCACTCAATAAATATTATTTGTTATTGTTGTTGTTGCTGTAGTTGTCATAATTACATTGCTGTTGTTGTTACATGACATTAAAATTGAAATTTCTGTTCAGACACCAAGGCCTAATAGAAGTAAAATTCCCAAGTCATGCCCCTAGATGCAGAAGTTACAAAGGAGAGGAAATCTAACCAATTTCACAACTCTAGAAACCTCAGCCAGAACAAAGACATAAAAAGAGGTTAGGCCAGACACGGTGGCTCACGCCTGTAATCCCAATACTTTGGGAGGCCAAGGCGGGTGAACCACTTGAGCTCAGGAGTTTGAAACCAGCCTGGCCAACATGGCAAAACCCCATGCCGATGAAAAACACAAAAATTAGCTGGGCCTGTTGGCACACGCCTGTAATCTCAGTTATTTGGGAGGCTGAGGCACGAGAATCACTCGAACCTGGGAGGTGGAGGTTGCAGTGAACCGAGTTTCTGCCACTGCATTCCAGCCTGGGTGACACAGTGAGAACCTGTCTCAAAAAAAAGGAATATAAAAGAAAAAAGAGAGGTCAGAAAGTAGCAAGATTTTTTTTTTTTTTTTTGAGATGGAGTCTTGCTGTATCACCCAGATTGGAGTGCAGTGGCACAATCTCGGCTCACTGCAACCTCCACCTCCTGGATTCAAGCAATTCTCCCTCAGCCTCCTGAGTAGTTGGGACTACAGGTACATGCCACCATGCCTGGCTAATTTTTGTATTTGCAAGAAGAGATTTAAGGAAGTTTGTTTTTTGTTTTGTTTTTGTTTTGTTTTGTTTTTGCAAAGAACTATTACCATGTTTGGAGTCTTCAGCACCCTAGCCAGCTCAAGTGTTACATGCTATCTGCTAACTCTAAGTTTTGTGAGAGGAACCCTCAGGAGTGCCACTTGGAGAACTTGGATATATTCTCAGCAACTGGCAAGAAAATGGACTAGGTCCTATCTTCACCTGAAAAAGCTGCAGTGGCCTATACCAACAGAACAGAAGGAGCTGCATGGGGATTAGCCCAAACCCCCAGAGGTTGCCCAGTGAAAAATGCTTGCTTCCTCTGAACTGTATATGGGTCACATAGAAGAAAGAACTGGCCTGGAACTGTTTTAAGCCCTACCCAAGAGGAATCTAACAGAGTGATGGGTCCCCCACAGTGAATCTCCATGAGGTAGGAAGCCAGAGAAACAGTAGGTAGGAAGGGATCACTGAAGCCAGACAAAGAGAAATGGCACTGTTCCAGGTCTTACGAGAAGTCCCAAGCATTGGGGACCGCTGAAAAGCCCCTGAACAAGCCCCCCAAGACAAATGGCCAGCTTTATAAAGATGCCAGGACCAGAGACCGCAAAGCCAGGTAAAATAATTCTGGAGCAAGTATGACCTTCCTAATCCTGACCACCGCTCTTTTTTTTTTTTTTTTTTTTTTTTTGCTTGTACTGTGAAAGAAGGGGAAGAAGAGGTGCAAAGTAAAGAAAGAGCATGAAGGCCAACCATTCCCACCTCTTAATGCTCCTATTGGGAAAGATACGGAGATTTTATTTGTCAAAAGATTTGATTAAAATATTGGACTGGAAATCCTAATTCCTGATTTGAAAGTATGTTAGCAATGTAAAATATCGATGGTGCTGCTGCCTATTCCATAAGTGATAATAGATTAGATGTGGTCTGCTAAGATTTTCATCTAGAGGTAGAGGAAAATTATCCCAGTAAACATATCACAAAGAGTGGCAGAATCAACACATATGTATATACTTTTGAGCATACTTGTTTTCACAGACTATATTTTGACTATTCTCAATTTGCAGTATGAACTGAATCGTTTATATCCTCATTATAGTACATGTCACGTTTTTATTATTTGATTTAATATAATAATTAAATGAATATATTTCTCTCCAAATATACCATAAGTTTCATGAGAACAAGGACCATGGCCATTTTTAATGAACATTTGCATTCCAAGCACAGAGTTC
This sequence comes from Homo sapiens, assembly GCF_000001405.40. Lineage (NCBI taxonomy): Eukaryota > Metazoa > Chordata > Mammalia > Primates > Hominidae > Homo > Homo sapiens. The sequence continues at coordinate 116,659,303 of NC_000009.12, forward strand.
ACTGTTTGATATCATGTAGACAGTCTGCAGGTAAATATATGAACAAATGAATAAATGAATGCATAAATCTGACTCCTGTCCCACTAGTGTAATGCTTATCAGACTTCAGACCAACTATCCCAATTTATCACCACAGCCCCAAAGACAGTTGGTCTTTGTTTTATTTTATTAATGTACACTTGATAGATCAGAGAAGTAAAGTAACGTGACCAAAGTCACACAGCTAGCAACTAGTCTAGCTGTTTCTACCCAGTTTTTCTGCTCTTTCCACTGTCCATATTTCCTCTCTGAAAAACTTTCAGCACCAGTTTTCACTCCTACAGGATGAGTCATATCCGTTCCAAATATTTGTATCTTCCCATTACCTCCCACCCCCAGGTAATGCCCCCAATCTCCTCCACCCATTTCCATGGGCTAATAGGGTCTCCTGGGTGGAAAGCATTCTAAAGGTCACCTGGTCAGAAATCCCATCTAATTTTTCATTTACCACCAAATAATCCTCCAATTTATTCTTGGACATTTCTAAAGATGTGGAAATCAGTACCTTTCTAGGCCTCAAGTTCCATTGTGGAAAGGCTCTATTAAACTTAGACTAACTTCTCATCCAGGAACCACACTTCTCATCCTAAGCATCAGACCCAAGCCCAGAGTTATGTACTTTATGCTATTAGATGTCTTATCTACAGTACTCACGCCTGGACTCTAGTTGGGGTGTGGGGTCATACTACAATTAAACAATTAACTAACTAGGTAGATGAAATTCCTATCCCAGGAACCATAGGGCATTGTTGGGTGGCTTCTGAGAAGGTATATATGTATGAGTATGTGTATGTTGTGATGTATGTGTTGTGTTCATATTGCAAGCGCACACACACACACACACACACACACACACACACACATTTGGGGAATGGAAAGAAAAGCAACAGTGGAGATTCCAAAAATAAGAAGACAGAATTATAAAACTGCCAAACCCTAGGACAACTGATTTCCTAACCTAAGTGAATTTGCAAGCTCTTCCCCTAAATGTATAAGTAATAAGCACAATTACAGAGGGGCAGCTATAGCACAGTGTTTTGCTTGAGTTTAAATTCCATCTTTTTTGTTTTCTAGCTGGGTGACCTTGGAACAAGACCTTAACCTCTCTAAGCCTCCATTTCCTCATCTGTAAAATGCTAATAATTTTAGTACCTAAATATTGGATTATTTGGAGGATAAATGAGAATCAGAACTTAATGAAAAATATCCAATGCTAGCGTGTCAAGAGCATCATCAGAGGTCATTTGTTCCAGCCCCTGGCATTCATCCTAGCATTATTCAATTCTTGTACATGTCTGAATCTGTAAATCTTCCCTTGAAACCTGCCTGATGCTTTAACTGTCAAAAATTTCCCCTTAAATTACCTGTCTTCTACCTACAAGAAGACAGTAGACCAGGGTAGAATTGAATGCGTAAGTCCAAAACTGTTGAGTCAGACTACCTGATTTCAAATCTTAATCAAGTCACTTCACCTCTCCAACCTTAGTTTGTTCATTTGTAAAATGGGGATACTAACTCCTCATCCAACTCCTCTAGGAATAAAACAAAAGATGTTGTGCTAGCACATTTTCACCTATGATCTCTCACAGTTCTCCACCATCCTACAAAGTAGGGATTGTTGCCCCCTTTTACAAATGAGAGAACTGAGGCACAGAGTGATAAAGTATAACTTGCAAGAGGACACCTGTCTTCAAGTGAAAGCAGTTAAATTTCTGAGGCAGGTCATACTCTCTGTGGGAAAGGGACCCCTGGACACTGCCCAGTAGCCTAGTACTGGCCAGTGTCTTGGCCAGAATCAGGAATCAGTCGGCATTGAAGGGTAACATTTACTTCTTCCTCCTGGGACAAGGCAGGTTGTGGCCAGTAACAGGAGGCTGAAAAAAAAAGGTCATATGTGATCTCCTGCTGCCCTCTAGTGCCTACTTAAGATGATTGCTCTGGGGAAATCTCTGTTCTGATCCTTTCTTGGCAAAGAAGGATCATTGTGTGCAAAGCAACTTCCACTGAGGGAAGCCAGGGAAACAGTAAAAGCTAGCTATGATACAAGGAAGCTTAGTGCGATGAGTAAAAGAATTCTGAAAGAGCATTTGCTGAGAAGGCCTATTCAGTGCCAGGTTTACAGCTAGGCACAAGGGGGGAAAATATGAATAACAATTTGTTTCAATCCTTGTGGTACTCAAGTGTAGAGACCTGATGGGACGTATTGGCTGGGAAGGAAAAAACAGAGATGGAGAAGGAGACGCTTAAGATATGGCAGAGAGAAAAGATAATTGATGGAGCAGGATCTTAAAGAAGACAGTAAGAGAAAAAATTCCAAGGTGGTAATGGAATGGATGCGGTCTGAACTTCATATACATCTGGATGTGAAATTCAGTTGGTCAAAACTAGGCATGCAACCAGGCCCTCTTTGTATAGTTACACAAGTTGAGCTCTGTAAAAAGGTGACTCACTCATAGGTGGGAATTGAACAATGAGAACACTTGGACACAGGAAGGGGAACATCACACACCGGGGCCTGTTGTGGGGTGCGGGGAGGGGAGAGGGATAAAATTAGGAAATATACCTAATGTAAATGATGAGTTAATGGGTGCAGCACACCAACATGGCACATGTATACATATGTAACAAACCTGCACATTGTGTACATGTACCCTAGAACTTAAATTAAAAAAAAAAAGAAAAAAATATATATATATAAAAGGTGACAAGGCAAAAGGGTGGATGGGGACTAAATCCACCCTCAGCTTCACGTGCCATGCCTGTGCTCCTGCAATTGAGTACAAGTAGAGGAGCTCCTCTTCCTAATTCATATAAGAGGTAACTTACAGGCTAGCCACAGCCCTGCATGTGACCATAGACAAGCTTCTTCCTCATAGTAGTCTCTGCTTTTTATGTATAAAATAGGCGAATATCACCGACAATATAAAGTTGTTGAGATTTAAGATAACGGGCTGGGTGCAGTGGCTCATGCCTGTAATTCCAACACTTTGGGAGGCTAAGGTGGGCGGATCACCTGAGGTCAGGAGTTCAAGACCAGCCTGGCCAATATGGTGAAACCCTGTCTCCACTAAAAATACAAAAGTTAGCTGGGTGTGGTGGTGGGCACCTGTAATCCCAGATACTCGGGAGGCTGAGGCAGGAGAATCACTTCAACCTGGGAGGCAGAGTTTGCAGTAAGCAGAGATTGCACCATTGCACTCCAGCCTGGGCAACGAAAGTGAGACTCCATCTCAAAAAAATAAAAAAATAATGTAGGGTCATGCCAGACACTTAATAGCCACCCAAAACATGCCAGTTCTTGTTATTATTACTATTATTAGTATTATTCTAACAACATAGTCTTATTTTTAATGCAGTTTTGCTTTTAAGATGGTGATAGGAAAAGTGCTTGGTAAAGGGAGAAGACAGAAAAGAAAATCATATTTCCCAATCTTCTATTCTTTGCCAAACACAAGACATTGTGGATCTCATGGAATCCTCACAACAGTGCCTTGGACAAGTAATGTCGTAATTTTTTACAACTGTAATATACAGCTGAAAAAACAGAGTTTCCGAGAAGTGACAGACTGCAGTCGAAGGTCATTAGGCATTCAAAGACTGACTCCAAAGCCCCTTTTCTGTCCAAAGGAGCTGAGATGGATCATTAATAGGAGAACGCCTTCTCTTTCTTGGGATCAAGTTCTTTTACTTTCTTGAAAACTGTGTTTAAAACTTACTCCTCAAGAACGGATTCCAAGATTAGTTCCTTCCCAATTCCTTCCTCCTCCTTCCAATCACTTCTCAGGCTAGGGGTCAAAGAGGAAATGCTCAGAAAAGATTATTCTTGGACAAGGCTTACGGAATTGGAGGCCTCTGAGATGCTAATGACCTGCTTTAGATAAAGACTCCCAGATTGTCCCACTTGAACATATTTGAAGCAGGAGAGCAGACCAACAAGGTATACCAGCCCACCTTGGGGCCAGTAGGAGGCCACTTTGGGGCCAGGGGGAGGTTGCCAGTTTCAAACATCCAGGAGGGTATGAACATCAGCTGGAGTCATCTAGGAACCATTAGTCAGTTAAGGGAACCATTAGAAAACACTCTCTTACTGTTTTCCTGGGGGTTCACAGTCTTGCTTTCACATTTCTAACTATTTTTAACAAAATGTTAAAAATACTCATGTTAAAAGACAACCTTTAAACATGTTACCAGGCATTACTTTTGGAAAACATGTTCAAGATTGAGTTACTTCTCCGTTAGCTCCCCTCTGCGGTGTAACTCTGCTGCTAGGGGCAGGGAGAAGGATCAATGAGCCCACTCAACAAAATATAAAAGGGCTGAAACTCATAGAGATTTCCTGTCTTATATTGAGGCAATCAGTAAAATTAATATTAACTGTAGCTGCAGTTTTACAGGCACATATTCCAGGACAGATGTTCTGCTACTTGATTTGCATACATTATGCCCTTTGGTCTCTATAAATCCTAACAATGAGAGGTAGGTTTCACTATTGCTTTTTAAAGATGAGTAAATGGAAGCTCATGGAGGGAAAATCAGGGATCCAAGAACATCTGGATTGCCATTGTGACCTTCCTTATTTCTAAGCACTCTTCCACAATATTAGGCTGCCTCCCACTCTGCTACATTGCTAGAGATTCAAGTTCAGGCAGTTATAAATTCTGGAAATTGAATATTCAATTTCTGTTGCTTCTGCCCATTACATCACAGTAATCAGCAATAAATCTCTTACCATAGCAGTCTATGGACAATCAATAGGTAATTGGTTGAAAAACTATGAAGCATCCAAACAGTGGGGTACTATATACCTAAAAATGAATTAGAATAATATTGTATGTGATTGGAGTAATCACAAATATATTTTACTAAATGGAAAAAAGGAAAGTGCAGAACAGTGTTTAAGGTTTTTTGTTTTTTTTTAATATAGGCACAGGGCCTCACTATGTTGCCTAGGTTGGTCTTGAACTTGTAAGCTCAAGGAATCCACCCTCCTTGGCCTCCCAAAGTGTTGGGATTACAGTGTGAGCCACCATGTCCAGCCCAGAGCACTGTTTAGAGTGCTCTCTTTTGTATAGAAATATATATAATATATATATATGTATATGTATATATGTATATAAATTTTTTATTAGGAAACACTGACAGGTTACCCAAACCTAACACAATAGTTATCTACAGGGGAAACAAGAAAACAAGGTCCAGGGATAAGAATAGAAGCCAGAGTTCTGCAGTATATCTTCATTTATAAGTTTTAGCTTTGCACCACACAAAAGTTTTACATACTTTTTTTTAAAGCACAAAAGAAAAAAAAAAACAATCTCTACAAATTATATACCCACTGAAAAAATATCTCTAACTCTACATCAGTGTTGACATAATTGTTTAGAGAAAATAACAATTTAGAGTGGCTTTTAAATGCAGTATTTTGATTTTACAGTTTAGTGAGGAATATTCCAAACACAAAATGATCTGCGAATCTAGACTTAATGGTCTTATCACCAGCTGTAATATTGGTGATATAGCTTGGATGTTTGTCCCCTCCAAATTTCATGTTGAAATGTAATCCCCAGTGTTGGAGGTGAGACGGGGTAGGAGGTGTTTGGGTCATGGGCATGGATCCCTCATCAATGGCTTGGTGCTCTCCCTGTGATAATGAGTTACTTCAAGAGCTGATTGTTAAAAAGTCTGGGACCTCCCTCCCTCTCTCTTTCTTGCTCCCTCTCTCTTGCCATGTGATACACCTACTCTTCTACCACGTTCCACCATGACTAAGAGCTTCCTGAAGCCTTACCAGAAGCTAAGCAGATGCTGGTGCCATGCTTGTACAGCCTACAGAACTGTGAGCCAAATAAACCTTTTTTCCTTATAAATTACTCAGTCTCAGGTATTGCTTTATAGTGACACAAAATGGACTGACACAATTGGTATTGCTATTTTGAAATAATTACCTGTCTGTTGTGGGCTATAGCAAGTAAGCCATTACGTTACTGTGATTGGGAACTAAGCTTTTTCAGCATTACGGACAACTAATTCAGGTATTAAGAAGGTTTATGAAAAATTATGTAAACTGAAATTTCAGTTGGAAATCATAAAAACTTACGACTTGTTTTTGTCTTTGAAAAAATAAAAACATTTCATAGCTCTGCCTACTGAAAAGGCCTAGAAATAATGATAATGTACTAGGCAATAAATACCCCTACTGCCCAGACTCTGGTTTCTAAATGCTATTTTTCATTAAAAGGAACAAAGGATACTTGGAAAAATTCCTGAATCCAAGTCTGGAACAAGTATGGTACAAGCTGAGCCTGGGATGTTTTGTTGTAACAAAAAACAAGGTCAGGACTAATGAAGTCATTTCAAAAGGACATACAAACCAACTTAAAGGGAATCACATTGGCCTAACATTAAACAATTTGAACAAGGAAAACAATAATAATTGCAATTGATTTAAATTTATCAAACAAATACACTTCCATTAATTCATAATGTTCTGAAAACTGAAACCAAAGCCAAACCAAAACCAAGAAACAAATAAAAACCAAATTAACAAAGCTCATCAGTTACTACTGGAGACTGCTAGGAGACAAACATATTATTCTAAAAATTGATAAAAGAATGAAGTATCAGCCATGCTTTGAACTGGATTTCAGGGTAACCATATTTTTTATGGAAATACTGCAGGTAATAAGAGCAGTAATAATGACAGAATCACAAAATTACCATTTCATAATTTCTAATAAAAGAATAGATCTAGACAACTATCATCAATGAATCCTAAAACTGCTAGGAGAAAGGCTAATGAGAAAATTTCTAATGAATGGATTGGACTGATAGGTACTGAACTTACTGATCAAACCTAATGTGACTACAAGTAGTACAACAGGCATTAAGTGCCACTGATATGATTCTCTAAGATGTACATGGCACTGCCTGAGTAATTCAGGTGGTACTCCTTGGATGATAGAATTTGGGGGTCTGCAGACTTGTATAGGGAAAAGAACATACCTTTATTTTTAGTATCTTATCATTGCAATGTACTATTTCCTTAAATTATGAATGCCATTAACAAAACATAGTAGTATGAACATTTCCTATGACTTTGACATAATGAAACTCACATATACTTCTATCACATTACCATTATTACAAATCTAAAAATACTTGTGGTTGACCAAACTTAGAATTATGATAGACTGTCCGCTAGATCTTGTCATTAATAAAGATGCACATATATTACTGTATCATACTTTTAAAATATTTTGATAGTTATATATTGACATAATTTCTTTCTTTTATAGTCTTTTGTATTTTATTTTATGCATTTTAAAATGTTTTTCTGAGAAAAGGGGTTATAGTCTTCAACATTCTACAAAAGGAGCCTGTAAGACAAAAACAGGTGGTGAATCCCTAAAAAAGAGAAACAAATTAAACAACACCATGAGGAAACACTTAGCTAAATCTGTAATTTGAACAGTTCTAAAGGACAAATGAGCCAACATCTTCAACAAATAACAGCATGGGCAAAATTAAAGTGTGGAACTATTATAGATTAAAAGAACACCATATAGACATTTTGATCCATATTATTTATTTATACTTATTTATTTATTCTTTTTTTTTTTTTTTTTTTTTTTTGAGACAGAGTCTTGCTCTGTCACCCAGGCTGGGGTGTAGCGGTGTGATCTTGGCTCACTGCAACTTCTGCCTCCTGTGTTCAAGCTATTCTCCTACCTCAGCCTCCCAAGTAGCTGGGACTACAGGTGTGCACCACCACCCCTGGCTAATTTTTGTATTTTTAATAGAGACAGGAGTTCACCATGTTGGCCAGGCTGGTCTTGAACTCCTGACCTCAAGTGATCCACCCACCTCAGCCTCTCAAAGTGCTGGGATTACAGGCGTGAACCACCACACCTGGCCTTGATCCGTATTTAAATATACAGACTATGAAAGATATTTTTGAAGCAGTTAAGGTAATTTGAATATGAAATGCTAGATGTGATAATGATGTTGAGCTTATGTTAAAAAAAACTATCTGTTTGCAATATACACTGGGATATTTACAGAAGGAATAATATAATGCTGTATCTGGGATTTGCTTTGAAAGACTCTAGCAACAAAAAAACAAATTGCAGATAAGCAACAGCTGAAGCAAAGTTGGCAAAATATTGACAACAATTATTGCTAGGTGATGAATACATAGAGATTTATTATACCATTTTCTCTCCTTGTGTGTACTTAAAATCTTCCTTAATAAAACATTGAGAAAAGACGGCTGCCAGATTACACAAAATTGAAAAGGAAAATTATTGCTGGGAAATAGAATGAGGGGAGATTTTTCATATTCTACATTATGTACTGTTTTGATTCTTTCTTGTAAATGTGTGCTCACTTGTATTGTTTTTTAAAGACTATTTTTAGAACACCTTTAGGTTCACAGAAAAACTGAAATGAAGGCACAGAAAATTTCTCTATTTTCATGCCCCCCCACCCACCCACCTGCCACATAGCTTCCCCTGTCATCAACATCCCCAACAGAGTGGTACATTTGTTACAACTGATGAACGTACACTGACATATCATAAACACTTGAAGTCCAAAATTTATCATAGTAATCAGTGCTGGTGTTGAACATTCTATGGGTTTGTACAAATGTATAATGACATGTATCTACCACTGTAGTACCATGCAGAGTATTTTCACTGCCCTAAAAATACGGTGTGCTCCACCTATTCATCCATATCCCCTGCTCCCAACTCCTGGAAACCTGGAAACTCCTGAAATCTTTAGTCTCCACAGTTTTACCTTTTCCAGAATGTCATACAGTGGGAATCATACAGTATATAGATTTCAGATTGGCTTTTTTTTTTTTTTTTGAGACAGTCTCACTCTGTCACCCAGGCTGGAGTACAGTTGCACAATCTTGGGTCACCGCAACCTCCGCCCCCCAGGTTCAAGCGATTCTCCCGCCTCAGCCTCCTGAGTAGCTGGGATTATAGGCACCCGCCATCACGCCCGGCTAATTTTTGTATTTTTGTAGAGATAGGGTTTCACCCATGTTGGCCAGGCTGACCTTGAACTCCTGACCTCAGGTGATCCACCCGCCTCGGCCTCCCAAAATGCTGGGATTATAGGCATAAGCCACCATGCCCGGCCGCCTTCTTTTACTTACTAATATGCATTTAAGCTTCCTCCATGTATTTTCATGGTTTAGAAGCTCATTTCTTTTTATTGCTCAATATAGTACATTGTCTGGATGTACCACAAGCTATTTATCCATTCACCTATGAAGGACATATTGATTGCTCTCAAGTTTGGACAATTATGAATAAAGCTGATATAAATATCCATGTGCAGGTTTTTGTGTGGATATATGTTTTCAACTCCTTTGGACAAATACCAAGGAGCACAATTGCAAAGATCACATGGTAAGACTATGATTTAAGGGACATGAGAGGAATGCAGTATTTTGCTAGGACAGATGTAAGGATGGCTGGGCTTAGTGGGCTAGAAATGACTTAGTGTGTCGGTCAGTGAAGACAGGGAGGTAGGAGGTGAGACTCAACCCCAGAGGCAGAGACTCAGGCACCAGACCAGATTGAGGACTACCTAAAACAGGGCTAGGGCAGAAGCAGCTTTCCATAATATGTACCCAACAAAGTGTCATTGAGGTAGGAGGTGAGACTCAGCTCTGGAGGTGGGGATTCAGACACTGGACCAGATTGAGGACTAGCTAAAACAGGGTCAGGCGGAAGCTATTTTCCATAAGACATGTCCACCAGTGTGCCATGTCAGTTCACCATTGCCATGGCAACACCTAAAGGTTACTATCTTTTTCCACAGCAACTGTCCCATGAACCAGAAGTTACCACCCTTATCCTAGGAATTTCTGCATAAATCACCCCTTAATTTGCATGTAATTAAAAGTGGGTATAAATACGTCTGCAGAGCTGCTACTTTGGACACACTGCCTATGGAGTAGCCCTGCTCTACAGAGCGCAGGACCTATGCTGCTGCTCTACACTTCAATAAAAGTTGCTATCTAAAAAACAAACAAACAAACAAACAAAACAGTACATTTAGGTTTGTAAGAAACTGCCAAACCACCTTCCAAAGTGGCTGCGCATTTTGCATTCCTACCAGCAATGAACAAGAATTCCTGTGGCTCTGAATCATTGTCAGCACTTGATTTGCAGCATCTTTTCATATGCTTATTTGCCATATGTCTATCTTCCTTGGTGACATGTATATTAAAGTCTTCAGCCCATTTTTTTATTTGGGCTATTTTCTTATTGTTGAGTTTTAAGAGCTCTTTATATATTTTGGATAACAGTCCTTTATTGGATGTGTCTTTTGCAAATACTTTCTCCCAGTCTTTGGCTTGTATTCTCATTATCTTGACATTGTCTTTCATAGAGCAGAAGTTTTTCATTTTAATGAAATCCAGCTTATCAATGATTCCTTATGTATTGTATTTTTTTTTTTTTTGAGACAGAGTCTTGCTCTGTCACCCAGTCTGGAATGCAGTGGTGTGATCTTGGCTCACTGCAACCTCAACCTCTTGGGTTCAAGCAATTCTCTGCCTCAGCCTCCCACGTAGCTGGGATTACAGGCACGTGCCACCACGCCCAGCTAATTTTTGTATTTTTAGTAGAAATGGGGTTTCACCATGTTGGCCAGGCTGCTCTCAAACTCCTGACCTCAGGTGATCCACCCGCCTTGGCCTCCCAAAGTGTTGGGATTACAGGCATGAGCCACCATGCCCAGCCTGCACTACTTCTCATAAAGCCACCCATCAATCAAAAACATCTATTTGGGATGCTGAACAAATAAACAAAAAAACCTTGATTGTATTAAGCCACTGAGATTTAAGGGTTTATTGTTTATAACAGCTAGTATTGTCAAACTATGTAAGTACTTAGAACATGGTAAGGAATCAATAAACGCTAGTAATCACCATGATGATGATATGATGATGATCATGATGACAATCCCCCCGGACAAAGTGTCCACAAGGGCAGGAGGTAGAAGGGCTGGTCAAGTATGACTGAGTGGCTGGGCCAGGGGATCACAGCCTCCCCAAGTGCTGGGATTACAGGCATAAGCCACCGCACCTGGCCTTATGTATTGTATTTTTAAAAAGCAATAACATTTTCCTATTCTTCAAAATAAAACAGAAGAATAGATAAGCAGTGACATGAAAATAATATGTTGGGTAGAGGTGAGGGGTTGGGTAAAGGAGACTGTCTCTTTGTCTGTGGCCAGGCAGTCTTACAGATGTCAGTTGATGGAGTGGTTAATGGCAGCCACCATAAAGAGGAAAGCTGGCTGAAATACTGGAGCAAAGAGGAGCAGGAGATCTGGGACTGGGGCTGAGATGCAGGGCTTGGCAGAAATTAGGCCTATGAGAAATTTTCCCAGCAGCCTTCATTTAGCATTAAGTTGAGCTGAGGTTGTTAGCACTGCATAGGGAATCTTCTCTTGGCAATAACATTATTATTATTATTTCTGACCTTTGACTATCCATACTAGTTCAAACCATTACAAATTGGATCTGGTCAATGAACATAAATGTATATGATATTAAAATAAAGCTTCAAAATTCTGAACCAGTTGTTTCCATATCAACTCAAGGAAATAAACTAGAAAGGAAAAAAAATGTATCTGCACAAGGACATTTTTGCAATCTTATTTGAGCTAGTTCAATGTTCAAAGTTGGGTCTGTCAACTCTTAGGTAGGCAGTTTGACAATTATAAAGGCCAGTAAAAAATTATTTCAAACATTTTTCATATTAAGTAAATAAAATCCCAAAATTTATATTAGAAAAGAAAGTTTTTGAATACCTAGAATTATTATAGATACGTATTAACAGAGTAAGAGGAACTTAGTAAATGTTTACAATTAGATAAATATAACCATCATAATGATTATATTAAGGTGGTTGATAAAACTGACTCTTTTAAAATGCTCTTTTATAATTTAAATTTAAATTGAATTCAAACATCTATTGAGCACTTACCAAGTATCAGGTATAGGCTAGACTGAAAAATTTGGGGGCTGGGTACATCATATGGAGATTAGAGTCAGAATTTCAGCAAAAAGTAGAACTAAGTAGGCCAACAGATAATAAGAAAAGGAGGGAGGAAAGAAAAAGGGATGAAGAGAGAGCAAGTTGGGGTGGGGGGAACAACTCTAAAATGGCCTTCAACAATCCCCCCTCCTCATATTTACTACCTCCTCCACTTGAGTTACTTGCTCCCAAGCAACAGAATATGACAATATTGAGAGGATGCCACTTCTGTGATTAGGTTACAAAAGAGGTAACTTCCATTGTATTAGACTCCCTCTTGCTGGCTTTAAAAAAAACCAAATGAGTCATGAAGAGGCTCATGTGGCAAAGGATGGAGGGCAGTCTCCAGCCAAAAGCCAGCAAGGAACTGAGGACTTTGGTCCAACCACCCTTAAGGAACTGAATCTCATCAAAATATATATGTCATCTTGAAAATGGCTACTTCCCCATTTCAGCCTTCAGATGAGACCACAGCTTCTGCCATTAACTTGATTGCAGTTTTGTAAGACACTGTGAAGCAGAGAAACGAGATAACCTGTGCTTGGATTCCTGACTCACAAAAACTGTGAGAGGGGAAAAAAAGTGTGTTGTTTCGAGTGGCAAAATTTTGGAGGTAATTTGCTATATAATGACAGATAAGTAACATAAATACATAAAATTTTATATTATTTCATAAAAATTCTAGTGCTGGGCACAGTGACTCATACCTGTAATCCTAGCACTTTGGGAGGCTGAGGCAGGAGGATGGCTTGAGCTCAGGAGTTCAAGAACAGCCTGGGCAACATGGTGAAACCCCATATCTACAAAACATTACCTAGGCATGGTGGCATGAGCCTGTAGTCCCAGCTACTTGGGGGACTGAGGTGGGAGGATCACTTGAGCCAGGGAGGTCAAGGCTGCAGTGAGCTGAGATCATGACACTGCACTCCACCCTGGGTGACAGAATGAGATCTTGTCTCAAAAAAAAAAAAAATCTAGTAATTATAAACTTCTAGACTCAGACATATTTGTTAGGTTGTATAAGAGTTTTAAACCCTTACATTTTCTCTCCTATATTCTCTTCCTCCTCAGAATTCAGTTGCCAATGAGAGAAGAAAATGAGACTATTGTGTTGAGAATAGTAATAACAATAATAACAGTAATAATAACTACATTAACAGCTAACATCCACAGAGCACATATTCTTTACCAGGTGGTGCCTTTTGGATTTATTAAGTCATCAAACACTCACATTTCTGTGTGGTAGATGACTACTATTATCCCCCATTTTGCAGAGGAGGGAAGGGAAGTACAGAAGGCTAAGTTAGTTGTCCAAAGTTATAGAACTTGTCAGTTGCAAAAAGATACCAAGAATTGTTTCAAAATATCTTTTCATCTCTTCCTTAAAATACCCTTCCAACTGGGTGGTGTTGGGGTTCTGTCTGATTACAAAGCCCTCACTTTTTCTAGATAATGGTGTCCTTAATAAGCAAACTTAGTTTATATTATTAATAATAACAAATGCAATATAATGAACATTACTCCATATTAGGCAAAGTGCTAAATGTTTTACAACCAATTGAGACAAGAAAACAGGGTCTGAAGGCAGGGAACATAAGGCTGATTCCCACTTAAGCTATGACAGGAAATATCCTCTCCATAGGTAGGGCATAGGCCAAGTAAATAACTTCATAACTTTACTTCATCCTCTTCATTTACATAGAGCATACACCCAAGTAACCAATGGAATCATCTAGAGGGTATTTAAACTCCCCAAAATTCTGGCCCCTATGCTTGGGGCTGCTCCCACACTGTGGAGTGTTCTTTCATTTTCAATAATTCCATTCATTCCTTCCTTGCTTTGTTTGTGGGTTTTGTCCAATTCTTTGTTCAAGCCACCAAGAACCTGGACACAATTCACCGGTTACATATCTCATCTTGCTCCCAACAATCCTGTGTTAACTATTGTTATCCCTATTTTAAAGACAATGAAAGAAAACTAGAGATCTTCTTTATAAATGAAGAAAACAATATTAAGCTCAAAGGGTGGTGTTATCAGTGGAATTGTGTCCTCCCCCAAAATATGTTGAAAGCCTAATCTCCAGTACATTGGAATGTGACCTTATTTGCAAATGGGGTGATTTTAGTTGTAACTGGTTAAGACAATGTAATACTGGAGTGGGGCAGGTCCTTAATCCAATATGACAGATGGCTTTACAAGAATGCGTAGACATATACACAGAGGAAATGCCATGAGGAGGTAGAGATTGAAGTTATGCTCACACAAGGCAAAAAAATGCCTGGGGCCACCAGAAGTTGGAAGAGGCAAGGAATAATCTCTCTCTAGAAGTTTTGGAGAGAATATGGCCCTGGTGACACCTTAATTTGAGTTTTCTATGCTCCAAAACTGTGAGAGAATAAATTTTTCATTTTAAGCCACCTAGCTTGTGGTACTTTGTTACTGCAACCTTAGCAAACTGATGAAGCCACCTTTGCTAAACTATGACTGAGATAGTGAAAGAGATCTAACTTAACTGACTCCATCTTGCTTCTAACCTCCATGCTGTCCTTGTTCATTCCTGGGCATAGGCTGAACTAACTTTGGGAGAAACTTAGTTTGTAGTTTATAGTTTAAAGAAAAATGGTAACAGCTCTTTCCAAAGCAGACCTCCTTCTTGCCTGGGGACTAGATTGCCTTTGTAGGACTAACATTAGCCACAGATTAGAAATTATGGTTTAGGAGTCATGCAGCTGGAGGTTACAAGATGCTGACCCTCCCTAAACTGCTCCTGAGATCAGTGCTTGAGATATTTTGCAGACCCTGCACTTGATGGATCAGCTGGCACTACCCAAATCAATACTTGCCAGGTTCTGACCCACAGACCCCAGCTGCATGACAGATGAATAACGTACTCAGACACTGATATTCAGTGAAAGAGAGGCTACAGGGCCAGGCCACACACAGAGTTGTGGCAATCACACACTTTGATTAGCTGGCCCTGCCGGCATTTATTCAGCACAGATTTAATGACAAAGGCTTTGAGTCAACACACCTGTGGGCAATTAATCTGGTCGCCCTCCCCCGGAGAGAGCCATCCTGCCCACAAATGATCAAAGGTTGGTTTTAGGACAATGGGAGTAAACAAGCTATTTAGATAAACTTCCCCACATTCCCTTGTTATTTGCTTTTTTGCTATCAACTAAAGGTAAAGAGGACTAGGCTGCCTTCAGCCAAATCTTTTACTGAAGCTATGCAATCCCCCTGGCCTTCCAAGAAGGTT
Source organism: Homo sapiens (assembly GCF_000001405.40). Lineage (NCBI taxonomy): Eukaryota > Metazoa > Chordata > Mammalia > Primates > Hominidae > Homo > Homo sapiens. The sequence goes on from NC_000009.12 coordinate 116,674,667, forward strand.
TGTGTCTATCTCCTATAACTATATCTTTATAATTTTCTCCAACCACCCTGACCAATCCCCTACATAAACTGGCTCATCTGATCTTGTGGCCCTGGACTCAGGAACTGACTCAGTGCAAGGAGACAGCTTCAACTCCCTATGATTTCATCCCTGACCAATCAGCACTCCTGGCTCACTGGCTTCCCCCAGCCACCAAGTTATCCTTAAAAACTCTGCTCCCCAAATGCTCAGGGAGACTGATTTGAGTAATAATAAAACTCCAGTCTTCCACACAGCGAGCTCTGCTTGAATTACTCTTTCTCCATTGCAATTCCCGTCTTGATGAATCGGCTCTGTCTACGCAGTGGGCAAGGTGAACCCCCTGGGCAGTTACAAATTCAGGGGCTTGTCCAGGATTGCCCTTGTGGCTACCTGCTCATGGTTCAGTGCCCCCCCACGCTCCAGCAATGGATCCAGAGGCCAGCCCAAGTGGCTGCCTAGTTCTTTTGGACTGGGGCTGACTCTGGTACTCTATTGGTGGGGTACTGCTGATCCAATGTGCAAGGATTTAATTGCAATGGAGAAATAATCCTGGGGAGATATCCCTTAACTGTAGCCCTATCACAGGGTGTCAGTCTGTAGCTCCATTGTAGGGTGTTTGGATTGGTGACTATCCTAGGTGCTTCCAATGCCTCCTTCCTTCTCCCAGCTGGTCTGTAGCCCTATGGTGGGGTGTCTGTAGCCCCAATGCAGGGAGTCTGTTTATAGCTCCACCATGGTGTGTCTGCATCTGTAGCCCCATTGCGGGGTGTCTGTTTGGCTCCTTCCAGGGGTTCTTGGTTAGCTCTTTCCAACTAGTAGGAAGAGTCTTGGTTTGGGAGACTTCTCATTCAGGAGGATTTCGAGGAGGATTCTCAGATGGAGAATAGGAGGATAGTTTGGAAGGGATACTCTTGGAGTTCTTGATCAGGGATCTGATTTGGAAGGCCTTCTGTCTGTCATGTCTTTCTGTGTGTTTGTATATGTGAAGGGGATCTCAGAAGGAATTGCTGCTGGAAGTCCAGCAGGCTTAACTCAGAGAACCCTCCTTATTTGTCTAGTTACATTTGGTGAGCCCTAAAGAAAGCTCAACAGGCCTGTCTCAGGGTGACCATCTGCTCTTGGCCTTGCCCAGAGACCCCATTGTGAATTGCCATTTAGAGGTCATGCCTTCCCACCTGGAGTGGATCAAAGACAACAGGGACCAACAGGGAAAAAGTTTGAGCTTTGCCAGGTTGACATTGCGTGCTGAACAAGGTGACTAATGTCTGTTTTGTTATGTGTATTTTGCTGGGATGAAAAATTTTAATTCAGTTCCCTAAGCAGCATATTGGGCAGCATTTGCAAATTAAGAATCTTGTCTATGGTTCCATAAAACAGTAAAGGGTGATTTTCTCTTGTAAAGTGGCTTGACCCCCACAGCTATAGCACAAGAGAACAGGGTCACGAGAAGCCGCTCCGTTCTTCTGGAAGCTGCAGAGAAAAGGAAACTGGAAATCTGATATGCCAGCAAAAAGGGTAAGAAATTCTTACCAGCCAAATTTCTCTCTCTCTCTTTCTCTGTCTGGGTAAACAGTAAACTATTTGTCTCCCCTGCAAGGGTTTGATTAATAGCAAAAAGGATTTGTGAGACTAGTCTTAGGCCATAGCAAATCTGGTGTACTTTGTGCTAAGAATTTGTCTTTCTGTGTTCTGTAATGGAGAGAGGGGTATCACAGGATAGAATGTGGATTTAGGATCCCTACAAGCCTGCTTTTCAAGGCAGTTTGGCAGGCTGGTCAGTTACAAACTTTGCTACAGGTCCCTGAAACCAACACAGTACAAAATTCCTCTGTCTTGTTTTGTGTCCTTAAGAGCTCAACCTTGTGACCATATGGGGATACTTTCTTTTGGTTTGCACTATCCAGAAGACAGACATTTGTGGGCTCATGTCATAGTTAGCCATAAAAATTTTTTTTGAGCAGTTAAAAGCCTTGCAAGCTTGAAATTGGCTTCTCTAGGCTCCTTCTAGGAAAAGCAATAGAAACTGCTCAATGCTGTACAGCTCAGTAGCCAAGGCTTTATCTTTTGAAAGTGGTGGCCTGGGTTCAATTGTTGGCTTCTGGAATGATTCCTTTCTGGTTTGTTATTAGTGTAGCATTGCCATTTACTGAGGTTTTTCCCCCCATGGTAGTTTCTGATTTCCTCTCTTGAATTTTCCTTTTTCTGAACTACCTTGTGGAAATTCTAAATCTTGTAAAAAAGAAACTACTTACCATGTCTTTGAAGCACCTAGGAAGTTACCTTTGGTAAAGTTTAGAAGCTACAAATATTGGCCGCTTGGCATGGCTAAAGCCAGGTAATAAGAGATTTGAAATGATTTTTTTTAAAGAGCACTATGGTTAAAAGTCAGCTTAATTAAAAGTGGATAAACAAACTATAGATATATTTTAAAAGCCTTTATGTTTTTCTCTTCTTGGAACTTGTTTTTCTGGAAAAAGGTTTTTTTCCCTTCTCAGTCTACTGAATTATTTTTCTCCATTTTTTTGTCTTGCCACTCTTAATGCATACATGAGAGGCACTAAGATAACTTCTCATAGCTTGGGACTCCTTGGGAAAGACAGAGGAGGCACCATAGACCCTGTTTTGGAAAAAAAAACCTCTGTTTTCTTCATTAAAATCTAGTAATTAAAAGTGGATGGATCCCTCTCAAAATCAAACACTCTGTTCTGTTTTGCATTGTGTTATCTGACAGTTTTGAGTTTGGGGGTATCAGAAATTACTTGGCATTATGAGAGAGCTTTGGTTTGTAATAACTAGGTAGGAAATATACTTTAAGGAATGGCTAATAGCACTTATGGAGGGATACTTGACTTTTTGCACACTTGGATCAGAGAAGCATGCTATTGGCCACCTGGAAGATAAGGAAACACCCCCACCCCCCACTGGAAGATGAGACTCCCAAGAGAGATGGGCTGATTACAAAATGGGCTGATTGGCTTTGGGTTGCCTTGCAATGAAATACAGGGTAGAAGCACTGCACTGTCTTCTCCCATAGTATTTCCCTCCTTTTGGGGACCCAGGATCCAGTATAAAATGGGACCCTTAATTTTGGGTATCTGTCTTTGCGTTCAGCTGCTTATTTGCTGCTTATTTGGCCCTAGAAAGGCATGCTTTCCTGGCCCTCTTCCTCCAAGGGCTTCACCCTGAAGCCAGTAATCCAATTAAGAAACTGGGAAATGAAAAATATTACAAGTGCTGAAGCATCTGTCCATCTGCTGTCTATTTATATGTGTTGTATGTTTATATCTAAAAGAGCTCTGATTAATTGGCTTAGAAAAATAAGCATTTAAATCAAATATTTTATCAGAAAAATAGAAACTTTAATGCCTTTTTGTTCATATGACTTCAGTAATCTTTTGGAAATAAAGACAGTTTTAAAGATTATTGGTAAAATGTCTTAAAAATATAGACACTTGTTCTAAATTAAGGTCAGATATCAGATTTGTTAAATGCTTAAGGTCCAACTGTTTCCTTGACTTTTGAAAATTGTTCAACTTACCTACTTTGGGGCATTAGATTATAGATAAGGCCTGGGGACAAATGGAGAGCCATGACCAACATCTACAATAAAAAGAGTCAGACCTTATCGTCACTTCTGTCTGATGTCCTAGGCTCCACCCCTAGTACATAATTAAAATCACTTACTTATCAGGTTTTTCACTAAAAATAAAAGTTGCTAAGAGTTAACATTGTAACATGTTATTGAGACCACTGGAGAAACAGTTTTACATATAAGGTGTGTAGGGAACGTGTTTTTGGTAAAAGATTATAAGAAGGCATGGAGATACGGCTTTTGTTAAAAGGAATGTAATTTTGTCTAGTTCAGAGGGTTTTAAAGATTGTCTTAACCTACAAGTGTAATGGAACAAAACTGAAGGTTAAGCAAAGTGAAAAGGGCTTATAAAGGGTTGATCTTGTAAAAAACATTCTGTGGGTATAAACAAGATGGCTAAGATTTGATTGAAATTATTTAGCTTTTTTTCCATAGATTAAAACATTAAAATCATACTCATGTGGGGCCAGAATCTGGGACCATGTGTCTGAATAACCAGGTTTTCTTAGAAAATTGATCTGTTTGATAGAAAATTGTAAAGAGTTCTAAACAGTTTATGAAAATCTTACCTTATGACCAAACTAATTAAAAACGGATATAAAATTTTATTTTAAAAAGTAGTTTTAACATTAAAGATGCACTAATGCAAACATGAAATTTGGTTTTCTCTTTTGAAGATGATTTTCATGTAATGTTAAAAGATAATGAAAGGGTTTCGTTTTTCCCTCTGGGTAAATGGCAGGCAAGACAGAAAAGAGACAAATTCAGTTAGCCTCATGCTATCTTTATTGGGTCTTATTTGGAAAGCTAAGTCTCCTCTATCAGAGTAAAGGTTTTTCTTTTTAAAAATTTTTGAAGTTATCATTTTGGCCAAATGAATTAGTTATGGTTATCATTTTAGCCAAATTGATGACTTATGGTAACCTGGGATTCTATTTTATAATATCCAGTGTTTTAAACCTTTGTTATTTGACAAACTTTCCAAAATCAAATTATAAATTATGCCTCTTTCTAGCCTAATCTTTTAGATATTAAATCCTGTAAAGTCCAAAAATGACATTTGGCTTATTTCATATGAAACTCATACAAGAAGCACTGTCAAATAGGAAATGATGTTTGGCTTTCTTTGGAACATTTGTGTAAATGTGTTACTGGCGTATGTTCCGAAATTATGTAAAACTCCTATAATTCTAATATGACTTAGTATATGTTATCAGTAATAATTATAATTATTATGTTAAATGACTGTGTGCCACAGAGGTAACAAATTCCCTTGTCAATTGTGTCTTCAAGTGTGGCTGCCCTCACCACACCACACCTATTCCAAAATTGACCACATAGTTGGAAGTAAAACTCTCCTCAGCAAATGTAAAAGAACAGAAATTATAACTGTCTCTCAGAACACAGTGCAATCAAACTTGAACTCAGGATTAAGAAACTCACTCAAAACCGCTCAACTACATGGAAACTGAACAACCTGCTCCTGAATGACTACTGGGTACATAACGAAATGAAGGCAGAAATAAAGATGTTCTTTGAAACCAATGAGAACAAAGACACAACATACCAGAATCTCTGGGACACATTCAAAGCAGTGTGTAGAGGGAAATTTATAGCAATAAATGCCCATAAGAGAAAGCAGGAAAGATCTAAAATTGACACCCTAACATCACAATTAAAAGAACTAAAAAAGCAAGAGCAAACACATTCAAAAGCTAGCAGAAGGCAAGAAATAACTAAAATCAGAGCAGAAGTGAAGGAAATAGAGACACAAAAAACCCTTCAAAAAATTAATGAATCCAGGAGCTGGTTTTTTGAAAGGATCAACAAAATTGATAGACCACTAGCAAGACTCATAAAGAAGAAAAGAGAGAAGAATCAAATAGACGCAATAAAAAATGATAAAGGGGATATCACCACCGATCCCACGGAAATACAAACTACCATCAGAGAATACTACAAACACCTCTACGCAAATAAACTAGAAAATCTAGAAGAAATGGATAAATTCCTGGACACATACACCATCCCAAGACTAAACCAGGAAGAAGTTGAATCTCTGAATAGACCAATAACAGGATCTGAAATTGTGGCAATAATCAATAGCTTACCAACCAAAAAGAGTCCAGGACCAGATGGATTCACAGCCGAATTCTACCAGGGGTACAAGGAGGAACTGGTATCATTCCTTCTGAAACTATTCCAATCAACAGAAAAAGAGGGAATCCTCCCTAACTCATTTTATGAGGCCAGCATCATCCTGATACCAAAGCCGGGCAGAGACACAACCAAAAAGGAGAATTTTAGATCAATATCCTTGATAAACATTGATGCAAAAATCCTCAATAAAATACTGGCAAACCGAATCCAGCAGCACATCAAAAAGCGTATCCACCATGATCAAGTGGGCTTCATCCCTGGGATGCAAGGCTGGTTCAATATATGCAAATCAATAAATGCAATCCAGCATATAAACAGAACCAAAGACAAAAATCACATGATTATCTCAATAGATGCAGAAAAGGCCTTTGACAAAATTCAACAACCTTCATGCTAAAAACTCTCAATAAATTAGGTATTGATGGGACGTATTTGAAAATAACAAGAGCTATCTATGACAAACCCACAGCCAATATCATACTGAATAGACAAAAACTGGAAGCATTCCCTTTGAAAACTGGCACAAGACAGGGATGCCCTCTCTCACCACTCCTATTCAACATAGTGTTGGAAGTTCTGGCCAGGGCAATTAGGCAGGAGAAGGAAATAAAGGGTATTCAATTAGGAAAAGAGGAAGTCAAATTGCCCCTAGTTGCAGATGACATAATTGTATATCTAGAAAACCCCATTGTCTCAGCCCAAAATCTCCTTAAGCTGATAAGCAACTTCAGCAAAGTCTCAGGATACAAAATCAATGTACAAAAATCACAAGCATTCTTATATACCAATAACAGACAAACGGAGAGCCAAATCATAAGTGAACTCCCATTCACAATTGCTTCAAAGTGAATAAAATACCTAAGAATCCAACTTACAAGGGACGTGAAGGACCTCTTCAAGGAGAACTACAAACCACTGCTCAATGAAATAAAAGAGGATACAAACAAATGGAAGAACATTCCATGCTCATTGGTAGGAAGAATTAATATCGTGAAAATGGCCATACTGCCCAAGGTAATTTACAGATTCAATGCCATCCCCATCAAGCTACCAATGACTTTCTTCATAGAATTGGAAAAAACTACTTTAAGGTTCATATGGAACCAAAAAAGAGCCTGCATTGCCAAGTCAATCCTAAGCCAAAAGAACAAAGCTGGAAGCATCACGCTACCTGACTTCAAACTATACTACAAGGCTACAGTAACCAAAACAGCATGGTACTGGTACCAAAACAGAGATATAGATCAATGGAACAGAACAGAGCCCTCAGAAATAACACCGCATATCTACAACTATCTGATCTTTGACAAAACTGAGAATAACAAGCAATGGGGAAAGGATTCCCTATTTAATAAATGGTGCTGGGAAAACTGGCTAGCCATATGTAGAAAGCTGAAACTGGATCCCTTCCTTACACCTTATACAAAAATTAATTCAAGATGGATTAAAGACTTAAACGTTAGACCTAAAACCATAAAAACCCTAGAAGAAAACCTAGGCATTACCATTCAGGACATAGGCATGGGCAAGGACTTCATGTCTAAAACATCAAAAGCAATGGCAACAAAAGCCAAAATTGACAAATGGGATCTAATTAAACTAAAGAGCTTCTGCACAGCAAAAGAAACTACCATCAGAGTGAACAGGCAACCTACAAAATGGGAGAAAATTTTCGCAACCTACTTATCTGACAAAGGGCTAATATCCAGAATCTACAATGAACTCAAACAAATTTACAAGAAAAAAACAAACAACCCCATCAAAAAGTGGACGAAGGACATGAGCAGACACTTCTCAAAAGAAGACATTTATGCAGCCAAAAAACACATGAAAAAATGCTCACCATCACTGGCCATCAGAGAAATGCAAATCAAAACCACAATGAGATACCATCTCACACCAGTTAGAATGGCAATCATTAAAAAGGCAGGAAACAACAAGTGCTGGAGAGGATGTGGAGAAATAGCAACACTTTTACACTGTTGGTGGGACTGTAAACTGGTTCAAACATTGTGGAAGTCAGTGTGGCAATTCCTCAGGGATCTAGAACTAGAAATACCATTTGACCCAGCCATCCCATTACTGGGTATATACCCAAAGGACTATAAATCATGCTGCTATAAAGACGCATTCACACGTATGTTTACTGTGGCACTATTCACAATAGCAAAGACTTGGAACCAACCCAAATGTCCAACAATGATAGACTGGATTAAGAAAATGTGGCACATATACACCATGGAATACTATGCAGCCATAAAAAATGATGAGTTCATGTCCTTTGTAGAGACATGGATGAAATTGGAAATCATCATTCTCAGTAAACTATCGTAAGAACAAAAAACCAAACACCGCATATTCTCACTCATAGGTGGGAATTGAACAATGAGAACACATGGACACAGGAAGGGGAACATCACACTCTGGGGACTGTTGTGGGGTGGAGGGAGAGGGGAGGGATAGCATTAGGAGACATACCTAATGCTAAATGACGAGTTAATGGGTGCAGCACACCAGCATGGCACATGTATACATAGGTAACTAACCTGCACATTGTGCACATGTACCCTAAAACTTAAAGTATAATAATAATAAAATAAAATAAAAAATAAAAAATAAATTAAAAAAAAAAGTGTGGCTGCCCTAAAATGTTTTTGTCATCCATATACAATTGTTGTCTCGCTTTGGTCCTCTTTAACGGATGGTTTTATAATCAGCTATAAAATTTAACAGGCCCTCTTAAATGCAGGTTTCTGATTAAAAACTCTGGAGACTGTGATATTAGAATCGAGGAAAAACTTTCAAATTGAAGAGTGAATAGTGTTTGGTTTTCTTTGGACTATATTTGTATAAATATGTTATTAGTATGTGTTCCAGAAATTATGGGAAACTTCTATAATTCTGATATGATTTAGAGTACATTATTAATAATTATAATTGTTATATAAAAGTGTTGTATGCCACAGAAGTAACCAAGATTCCTAGTCAATTGCAGCTTTAATAGTAGCTATAGACTTTTGTCATCCATAGACATTTTGTCTTGCTTTTGTCCTTTTCAAAAGGCAGTTTATAATCAGATATCACACTCTGAGTGCAGGTCTCAGATAACTTTAAAAATTGTTTTATTGGAATAGAGGAAAAAATGAAACTTCTAGGCTTCTCACAGATAGCTGATGTGTTAAGCATTGCTAATCCTCTCATTTTCAGAGTCAAGATAGCATATTTCTTTAGAGTTATTTGCAACTTTTAACAAATGAGTAAAAAATACTTCCATGAAAAAAATTTAGAGCATATTTGTTTCTCTCTACCTGATTTCTCCTGAATATGGAAACTATTTGTAAGTATTCTCAATTTATGCCAGTATACTTAATTGCATAAGTGCAGTAAGAATCTGTTTTTGTCTTGTAACAGGACACAACTGGAGAAATTGATTATTTTACCAAGGCTTTTACTGGAATGGCATGCTTCCTTCAAAGAATCAAAATTAATGTATAGAGCCAATTAAAGCCCCCTGGGGAATCTAACCTCAGACCTTGTCTATAGTCCCTGTACAAGGTTCTGTCATACAGTCCCTGTACAAGGTTCCTGACCTGTGGTAAGTAAAGAATGTCACTTTCTAACAGGCCCAGGAACCCCAAGTTATTTTGGGACCTTGAGAAGAGAGGAATTTACCCAACTCATAGGTATTTGAGGATACAAACCCATGGCTGAGCTTGGCTTTTAAAAACTCTTATCTGAGATTCCTCATGGAACAGAGTTCCATCAAAGCTAATTTAAACAAAAAAGACCCTAAGTGAAAAATAATTATTCTTGCTGCACTTTATGCAAATAATCAGGCCAAGTATAGTAAGACTAAAGTACATTTCTGTAAACAAATCAGTTCTATCATGATTTGTTTTTAATAAAAATGGGGTCTGGAGAGAGAGAAATTATGCTTCAAGAGGAAACCTATTGTTAGCTGTTGTTAGCTGTCCTTGAGTTTTTTCTACAATTTTGACTAAATCCTAAATTATTTGTGGGTTGGAAGTCGCCAGACTAATGCTTTCAAATCTTTGCTTTTAAAATTGAGTATTGTACTCCTCATCCTAGGACTCATTATTTACCTTATAGTAGGCTGTTCACCTAAATACTGTACTAAAACTATAGATGAGAGTACTAATGTTTTTGCCATGCAAGCCTTAGAAGCCCAGCCAGACCTGCATGAGTCGCTCAGACACTTGAAAGTGGTCCCACTCTTCTCACCTTGGGGTTGACTCCCATTCCCACTACGTCCCCTGTCAGCAAGAAGAACCCAGAGCAATCGACAGCCTTTTCCCATCTTCATACCCTACACTTTAAGATTAAGGTGTTACAAAACCCAAAGTGATGGACTGAAACTGCCTTTGCAAAATTATGATTGAGACAGTAAAAGAGATCTAACTTAACTGACTCCATCTTGCTTCTAACTTCCAAGCTGTCCTTGTTCATTCCTGGGCATAGGCTGAACTAACTTTGGGAGAAATTTAGTCTGTAGTTCATAGTTTAAACAAAGACAGTAACAACCCTATCCCAAAGCAGACCTCCTTGCCTGGGTACTAGATTGCCTTTGTAGGACTAACATTAGCCACAAGATTAGAAATTGCGGTTTAGGAGTCATGCAGCTGGAGGTTACAAGATGCTGAGCCTCCCTAAAATGCTTCTGAGATCAGTGCTTGAGATATTTTGCAGACCCTGCACTTGATGGATCAGCTGGCACCACCCAGATCAATAAACTCACTCATCTGATCTTGTGGCCCCCCCACTCAGGAACTGACTCACTGCAAGGAGACAGCTTCGACTCCCTATGATTTCATCCCTGACCAACAGCGCTCCTGGCTCACTGGCTTCCCCCAACCCACCAAGTTATCCTTAAAATCTCTGTTCCCCAAATGCTCAGGGAGATGACTTGAGTAATCATAAAACTCCAGTCTCCCGCACAGCTGACTCTGCGTGAATTACTCTTTAACTATTGCAATTCCCCTGTCTTGATGAATCAGCTCTGTCTAGGCAGTGGGCAAGGTAAACTCCTCAGGTGGTTCCACTGATATAGGTGATTTAAGTGTTAAATAAAAATCTGTTACATTAAAATGCTGAATAAAGAGTGTTTAAAGCACTCCACAAAGATTATTTTTTAAATGCCTCTGTGTAAGAGGAATTCTAATATTGTGCCAGGATATGTCAAGCTATAAGATAAAAATTGAGTGCATTTCCTAGAATGCTTATTCTACTCTAAGATTTTGTGAGAGGTATAATAATTCATTTAACTGGTAATAAACATTAAAGAAGAGTCAAACACTGATTTTTGTTTTAAGGGAGAAGAGAGATTTTTTTTTTTCAAGACACTTGCTTGAGCTAGATCCCCAGGAGTATTTTTAACACTCCTCTGTAATTAGGGAAACATCAGTATGTCTGTATTGATACATATACACACATATATAATATGTATATATGTAAGACTATGAACAGTCCTAAATTTATACTTTGGGCTGATAACTGTGGTTTTCAGGAAAAAAAAAAATTTTAAACGGGTGCAAAGTCTCCCCAACTGGTCTAAGTGAGAAATCATTTGGCATTACCTCTCCCTTATCCCCTACCTGCTAATTACAATTTTTCAAATATAGTTATCATTAAGTGCAAACTACCATAATCTTGGCTTATCTTCATGGCAAACTTCAATTAGAAATTTAGAAAATGGGGAGAAAGAGTAAACAAGGTTAAGAGAGTGGGTTCTCAGATAGAATTGGGTACAAATTTGGGCTCCAACACTTAGGTATATGTGGCCTTGTGTAACCACCTAGGTTACACAACAGGTGTAGGTTAACCATCAGCTGCCTTATCTCATTAGGTCCTTATGAGGATTTAGTGAGCTATGCACCTGAAGTCCTCAGCTGTAGCCAGACAGCAAGTGTTCAAAGATGTTAGTCATTGTTTTTGTTTATTGTTTTATCATTGTGCAGGGTCACATAGCTAAGGGGAATTTCAAATCCAAGTCCATCCTACTTCAAACTCCTTTGTGCTCCTAAGCTGTACAGTATAGTCACCTTGGAGAGTAGGTGATTGGCCCCAAACTACTTCAGGGACTGCAGGTCGTGGCCAGCCAGTCCTGTATCAGACCTCGTCCTTGCCAGATGCCTAGTGCCCCAGATTCCCTCAAATCTCAGGCCAGATCACCTCCCACCTGGTAAGATTCCTCCACCTTCACCCGAGCAAAACTACACTTGGTTTGGGTTCCCGGGTACCTTCAGTCTGCAGGGACAGGGGCTGCAGAGTGTACTCCCCAAGTCTGCCTCTGCTGTCGGCCTCCCAGCTGAGTAGGCAAAACATTCCTTTACAGAGCAATGTGTTCATGGATAAACTTGTCTCTAGTGCAGCTCTCTGTCAGAGCACAGAACATGAGGCCAAAGCACTGCCCTTCCTAGGGAGTCCCGGTTCTCGACTTCCCCAGAATGGAAGTTTGATTTTTCCGTTGGCCCATTTCTCAGATGGAAAAACAGATTCAGTAAGGTGCCAACGCTTTGCTGAGGACTACCCTGGAGGCTACCGTTTTGTGAAGGGGTAGACATTGAGACTGGAGTCAGATACGCATTCTGGCTTATCTCCTGACTTACTGAGTGAACTTGAGCAGGTCCCTTTCGCCCATGGGCGTCGGTTTCTTCATCTGCACCAAGGAGACGGAAAACTGGATTACGTGTCGCTAAGGCCCCGGGTTCTCAGAGGAAAGCTCACCCCTGCAGGGCCGCCTTGCCCCGCGCGCTTGGGGCCAGCTGCACGACAAGCCCCAGCATGCTGGGGAGGCGGGGCTCAGTGACGGACAGGGAGCTCTGCGAATTGGCGCCCGGCAAGGGGTGCTCAACGGCGCGTGCGCAGAGGGAGGCAGGCGGGTGGGCTGCCGGCGGTGGACTCGTCGGAGCCGCGGGCGGTCAGGTAGGGGGCGGGAAGGAGGGTTGGGGACTGGGGACCGCGGCCGGAGTCGTGGGCCGTGGCTCAGCGGCCAGGCGGGGGAACGTGCCGGCGTGCAGCGGCCGCGCCCGAATGGCAGGGTGTGGGGACCGGATCTGGGGGGGGCAGGACTAGGGTGGGGGTGGGGCTGCGAGGGGCAGGCTCGGGAGGGATTCGTGGGGCTGAGGAGATCCGAGGAGATGCAGCTGGGGGAGGGGAGCGAGGGGCTCTGAAGAGATTTGCGGTTGCAGCATCTCGGGAGGTATGAGGTAATGTCGGGGCCCTGAGGAGGAACGGGGTGTAGCATGTGGGAGATGGGAGGGAATCAGGGCCCTGGAGGGACCTGGGTGCAGAATTTCAGAAATATGAAGGAACTGGGGGGCCCCGATGAGATTTGAGGAAATCTGGGGGCGCTAGGCATCTGGCAAGGACAGGGTCTGAGATGATAGGAGCAAGGTCTAGGGCGATCCTAAGTGCTATTGAGAAAGGGTTTTCGGAGTGGGCTGAGGGTGAGATTGAGGGGGTGGGGTGAGTTCTTGAGGGACTCTATCTTGTTAGCAGAAAGAAGGGAGCTGGCTGAGGTGTGAAGGCAGCACATGACATTCAGTGCATAAGAGGAAGGAGCAGGGTATGAGGGCAGCACAGTGCCCGATGGAATGCAGGAGATGGGGGCTCAGATTGAGGGAGAGCAGAAATCTGGGGTGAGGAATTGGGGCGTTGAACTGAGGTGCGGGGCTGAGTGTGGCAGAGATTTGGAAATAGGGATTAAACGATCTGAGTCCGAGGGATTTGGGGCATATGAGTGAGGAATTGACGAGGGTTGCAATATACAGCCCCAAAGATTGGAATTTGGAATTGTAAGAGGGTTGGGGACAGGGTTTGGAGAGGATTGAATCGTGGGGTGGAGATGTCCTAACTGGGCTATAAAATCAAAGGACCCTGAGTAGATTTGTGGATTGGTGTCTTGGGCTGCTAAAGAGATTTTCCTTAAATCGCTGCATGGGAGACAGAGGGAGTTCAGGGGACCCAAGGACCTAAAAGTAATGTATGAAACTGGATGAGTATATGAAGATGAGCAGAGTTCAGGTGCTGAGGAACAAAGTGATAAATCTTCAGTTCAGATAATCCTGAAGGAGTGTGGTAATCCCTGTGAAGGGCAGAATCTTCTTCATTTATTAAACAAAGATCCGTTATCATGAGGCAGGTATGGTATTGCCACTAACTCCATTCTGACCACCGGTCCCCCGGCCCACTGAAAGTGGTAGGCTTTGGGGAAGAAGAAGTGGAACTATTCAAGGTCATCTGCCTAAGCCCTTTTTCCCTGTACCCCCAAGCTACGATAGCAGATAGAAAGTGAGACCTCCAGGGGAATGAGTGGAATAATTTATCCTATATAAGATCCATTACAGCTTGAAGGGGCAGTGGCTCTGTGAGTGAGGTGTTTGGGCTCGGAGACAGACAAAACAACAACAACAACCACCAGAAAAAAAAAAGGGAACCCTTAGGTATTGAGCATTTAGTCCTGTGCTAGACTGTAAAGCAGTGGTTCTTAACCAAGTCTGGCTTTGTCTCCTAGGAGACATTAGGCAATGTCTGGAGATGTTTTTTGGTTGTCACAGGGTGGGGGATACTACTGGCCTCAAGTGGGTAGATTAAACATTAAACATAATGTTTTATGTTAAACATTTGACAATGTGTGGGATACGCCCTTCCCCCCCGCAGTAAGGAATTATCCTGCCTAAAATGTCAGTAATGCCAAAGTTGAGGCACTCTGACCTAGAGTCAGATACCCTGGGTTCAAGTCCTAGCTCTATCTCTTCCTGACTTTAAGTCCTAGCTCTATCTCTTCCTGACTTTGTGGCCTTGAATGAGTTACTTAACCACCCAGTGCCTTGGCTCTTCATCTGTAAAATGGGGTTATGATAACAAGACCAATGTCACAGAATTGTTGTGAGGATTTAGTGAAGTAAACTAGCATGCCTAGGATCTGGCACATAGTAAGTTCTCAAAATCTAGTAATTTTTAGTCTTGTATCTACTTCTTTACTCAGTTTTCATGACAGTCCTTCTAAGTAGGCTCTACTGTATTCAGTTTTACACATGAGGAAACTAAGGCTTAGGAAGTGACTTGCCTAAGTTTCCATAGCTAGGAATGACACAGTTAAGCTCATACCCAGATCTCTGTAACTCCGTATATTCCCGCTTTCCTTGCTTCTTCCTTGCTAGGGCCTGCTTAGTCTTATTTTCTCAGCCCATTCCCCTCTAATGAAAAAGAGGATTGCCAGTGAGTATCACTGACTATCAGATTGAACTCTAAAGTTGGGGGGTAAATCTCTCTGATTAGGTAGGGAGGAGCCCTGGACTTTGTTCTTGGTTTGCCCTTAGACCAAGACCTGGGGCTAGATAAGGAGAGGAGCCTGAGGTTATCAGGCAGGATGAGGTGCAACGGACTATAGGGTGAGGTATGGAGGCCATTGGCTTGAAAAAACACCTCATAGCAGGGACTGAGGCTGAAGGCAGTCATACTCTGAAGGAGAGTAACTACTGTTCTGTATGGTCTCTTTTGGTCTGCTTTTCCCTGGAACAGAATTTGGCTCTATCATTTCCAGGACTAGCTACAGGGTTGCTGAAGCCAGTTCAGAAACAAAGCTAGACTGTGTCTGACAGCAAGACTTAGCTGGAATATCTGTGCACATCCCTAAAAGAAAATATGTCATGGGAATTAAATCAGCCCTGTCTAAACTCCTTACTCTAATTTCCTATGTTACCTTGTCAGTAGCTACGGCACTTGTCCTGTCAGCCTCAATCTATTAAAAATGCAAATGATTATAATTTGTTGAGTGCTTATTATGTGCATTATCTTAGTGAATTCAATCCTGCTAACAGTCTAGGTTTTATTCCTTGTTTACAGATAAGAAAAATAACAGGTTAAATGACTTACCCAGGGCTACAGAGCAAGTAGCTAGGTTGGGATACAAACCCAGTTCTGTCTTACACCTATGTTACATTATAGTAGTTTTATTAGAAGCCTTTTCCAACCCTTCAGAGCCCCTATGTTTATGTCTGGAGAATAGTTGGAAGCCAGAAGTTTATAAGGCCCTTAAAGTAGATCATTGTCTATGCACACTGATGTGTAACCTTTGTGACATTCCCTCCATCTTGTCTTTCTGGTAAAACAATCAAATTTAAAAATCATTTCTAGGTGCCCTTACCAACCTCTCAGCCAGACTTTGTCTAAAGCTAGGGAACTATGAAACATCCTTTAAGTTAGTAATTTTATGGCTGGGAGTTGATACTGGGATTTGAATCCTTGCTCTATTACTTATTGGTTTTGAGACCTTGGACAGGCTACTTTCTCTGAGCATTGGTTTCCTTATTTTTGAAGAGGAATCACACTTACTTTACATGGTTATTATGAGACTATGAGAACATATAAAAAAATGCCTGACAATAAATAGTAGTTGCTTTAAGAGTGTTAGCAATTATGAGAGGAAGGCAGTGCTGGAAGAGAACTAAGTGTTGCTTTGTCATATTTATTTATTTATACAGGGTCTTGCTGTGTCACCCAGGCTGGAGTGCAGTGGTGCAATCACAGTTCACTGCAGCCTCAACCTCCTAGGCTCAAGTGATCCTCCCATCTCAGCCTCCCAAGTAGCTGGGACCACAAGTGCATGCCACCACACCTGATTATCTTTTAAATTTATTGTAGAGATGGTGTTTCACTCTGTTGCTCAGGCTCTTTGCCAGATTTTGATAACCCTAAGTAGTCTCTGCTAGTCTCCCCAAAATTCTCATCCCATTTTGTATATTTCCTAGGATCTCCTTGATCCTTTAATCATAATCTCATGATTAAATGAACAGATGTTATATGCAGAGAAAGGAATTGAAAGAGAGAGAGGGTTGAGGTTAGTTGGAGGTCCCTGAGAAGGGGCTATTGATTTTTCCTTTGTCTTATATTCCTTGAGTCATACTGGCAGCGTAGGTACTACTCAAATGTTTGTGAAAGATGCAAGGGAGTCTTTCTAGGTCCTGCAGTTTTAGAGGAAGACAGAGACAACAGGCAAGCATGTTTTCCAGGAAACCCTATTATTCATTTAGCCTGCCCTTGACATAGTTTAGCTATGTTTAACTTAGTAATTTAGCTAAAGTTTTCTTTCTCTACAAACATACTTCCTTCTGGATCGTTTTGTTTGCCCCAGACTGGTACAACTTCAGGAGCATGCCTGTGTTTCCCTATAAGCCCCTACTTGTTGAGTTTATCTTAGTTGTCTGCAGGTGCCTTAAATGCCCTGAGTAATCTAAACTTCATCAGAATCCTCTCCCACACACAGGAGTGGATGTCAGGTGATGACCTCACTGAATTCGTTAAAGTCAGTCCTGCTAACGAGTGGCCTTTGGTGGCACAGTGATAGTTTTGCACTTGATTAGCATTCTGTTAGAATGCATGAGGAATAAAGTTTAGAAAGCTGACATAAAAGGAAATGAGATAAACCTTGCAAAAAACCCAGTCAAACCAGGGGAGCGTGTCAATAGTAGGATGGACCTTTATGTCTTGTGAAAGGAAATGCAATATTTTACATGTTGTCTAGTTTTTAGGGGAAAGCACTGTTTATGTCTGGTTTTTGCTCAAAATTGTATCACCAGTACCGTTCACAGGGCCAGACACATAGTAGGTGCTTAGTAAAGATTTGTTTTGTTAATTGCTTAAAGTTCTCCAGTTTTGCTCATGGCCTAAGCCACCAAAGGCTGATATAGGTAAAGGAAATGGAGATATCTAGAGAACCACCCCATGGTGGCAATTCAAGCATTAGGTGAAGATTTGAAACCTTAGATCATCTCTAATCTTTAGATTCTGGGATCAGGTAAAACAATTTCTAGGAGGGCTTAGAATTTTTATTATTTAGGTTTATGTATCTGGGGCCTTGGGTACAGTCTGCTGAAAAGTGCCTATTCATTTCTTCTAATAGGTTGGGTGGTGGCAGCAGCAGTTGCTGCTACTGCTAATAATAATAAAAACTATTATTTATGTATAGTTAATTGCATGCCTGGCTTGGTACTGTACTTAGTGCTTTACACACATAATCTCATTTAATCTTTGCAATAACTTTGTGAGGAAGATACTATTTTAAAGTCCCTTTCCATAGATAAACTGAGAACTACAGAAGTATTAATAACTTGCTCACGTCTCCACAATAAGTAGTAGAGCTTGAATTCAAATCCAGGAAAGCCTGATCCCTCAGGCCTGCTTCCTTAATCTATATAATACTGTCCACTCCTAGTTCGTGTCTTTTAGTCCTAGTTCTGTTGTGTGATTTGTGGTCTTAATTTCCCTCTCCTGGTCTTAGTTTTCTCATCTATTTTACAACTTGAGATTACTACCTTTTCTTCCCCTTTTGCCCAGGCTGAAGTACAGTAGCATCATCACAGCTCACTGCAACCTCCACTTCCTGGTCTCAAGTAAGGAGATTGCTACGAATTCTAGCATTTCATACTTAGTCTCTGCTTGAAGGAGCTACAGCAGCTCATTTTCTGGGCAAGACAAGTTGTAAATTCATTTACCCATCAGTTTTTAGCCTGTATGTCTGGCATTCTCAATCAAAACTCTTCAAAACTGACCAGCCCTTTTATTAATCTTTATATGCCTTTATATGCCATGAAAGGAAAGGTTGTTCATGCTTTCAAAATGTAGTTTGTAAACTGAATGCGTTATTAATACTAGTACTAGTTATTGTTAATGCTGTTTCTGGTTATTATTTATTTAGCATCCTTTTATTGTACACCTAAGGGTATCAGGCTAAGTACTTTATATGCATTTTCCATAGTCATTACAGTACTCTTTTTATAAACTAAGAAAACAGGTTTAGACAGGTTAAATAAATTGCCTGCTTCCCCACAACTTGTGACAGTGCTAAGATATGATCTCAGTCCTATATAACTTTAAGGTTCATTCTTTTGTTTTGTTTGCTTTTTCTACTACCTTGGTTACTCATTTCATGGAATGGGGAAAACCCAGTGGTGCTAGAAGAGGCGAGATTAATATGGAATATAATTATGTAATTTTTCTGAGTCTTAGGGCAGCCAGAGTAGACACAGCTTAAGGGACAGATTCTCATCGGGAGCTGAAGAGATGTGCTAGTACAGTATGGTATGGGATGTACAGTATTAATCATTAGGTCAAGGGATGTGGGAAGATGGTAGGCTGATGTTAGATGAGGTGGGAGGTCAAGAATTAATGGCACAAAGTGCACAACAGGAAACAGACATTCAAGGGATCATGAAGGGAGCCAAGATGATACATAGCATGTTGGATACTCATTCTGATTGGTTGTACAGTTGATAGCTGGCAGAAAATGGGCAGCTTACTTAAAGATTTGGAATGATAAGACAATTCCTTTTATTTGTGTAGTCTTTTGGGGAAACTGAAGTCAAATTGACCTTCTATCTGAGTCATTCTCAGTATTACAGTAATGACCAGATGTGCCCTTCTGGAGGAGACGGGCTCTATCTGCCTGTCTCTTAGCTCCATTTCAGGCTAAGATCCTTCACAAAGCAGTGTTTTCAAGTCATGGAAGTGGGAAAAGTGGTTCTGGCTTTTTCCAGGTTTGAGACTATTTCCGTGCCTCATGCTTTAGTGAGGGGAACACAGGTTTTCCTGGCAAAGCATGGCAGCTTTGGGGCAGGAATTCTTGACATCCTCAGAGAGCTTGGTGAAGCTGTAGTCAGCTGAGATAATTTGGGGATGTGGGCATAGTAAATTCATTTTTTTAAACCTGATGTCTTAGACAGAGAGGTAGGAAGCTTTTCAATTGAAGGAGGGATATGATATTCCAGAAAGCTTGGGAAATAATTTGCTGCTATTTTTACAAGTTGGCAGCCTTGTTTAATAAACTGATCTGCACTGCCAGCTCTGGGAAGAACACAGATGTCCCTGTGCATTGTAAGGTAACGTTCTAGATTCAAACTCCAAATGTCCTCAGTCTGTTGTCCCAGATGATAGAAGAGAGAACTGTAGCTATTGATTTAGAATTGAGAAGGGTTGCATGGATCCTGAGTTGTAATTTCTCTTTTTTTTTTTTTTTTTTTTGAGATGGAGTCTCGCTCTGTCACCCAGTCTGGAGTGCAGTGGCGCGTCTCGGCTCACTGCAAGCTCCGCCTCCCAGGTTCATGCCATTGTCCTGCCTCAGCCTCCCGAGTAGCTGGGACTACAGGCGCCTGCCACCACGCCCAGCTAATTTTTTTTTTTTTTTTTGTATTTTTAGTAGAGACGGAGTTTCACCGTCTTAGCCAGGATGGTCTCGATCTCCTGACCTCATGATTCGCCCACCTCAGCCTCCCAAAGTGCTGGGATTACAGGCATGAGCCACCACGCCTGGCCCTGAGTTGTAATTTCTATCAGTATGTCTATGCTATTGCCCCTAGACACTTGGCATTTAAGAATTTACCATTCATAGTTTCAGATATCCACATCAGACCTCATACGCTCATGATATATGGTAAATATTATTTTGCTGAGGTATGGATTTGAGTCATAATGGGTTGCAAGCTTGCTGTGTGAGAGTAGGTCACTCAGCTAATAAATCAATCTATCCCACTCTATAGCAGCAGAATCTCATAACTATATTAGTGTTCCTTCTGTGTTATGGAGAAAATGCGTATGCTATAAGGCAGCATTCCCCAGAGCGTGGTCAAGGGAACATTAGTTAATCATTGTTATGTGACAGTAAAAAATAGCTTGAAATAATGTTGGGTTAAATAAAGTAAAAATATCTGTACTTCAAGGTTCCACTATGTTTGAGCTGTGTGACCTTGAGCAAGTTTTTCTGAGCATTCGTTTCCTCATCTGTAAAATAGGATAATAAAAATATTACCACTTCATAGTGTCATCATGAAGATTAAAAGAGATTAAGCATATAAAGTATCTGTCATAGTAACTAGCATATAATAGGCACTAGATGCATAGTTTCCCTTGCAGTACAAAGGAAGTGGGATATCAGGGAGGAAGGATTAACTTTAGATAATTGTGCATGTCTGCTGCTATATATTTGTCAGATTGCATTCCAAAGCTAATATGGTAGAAATTTGTTGTAATGTATATCTCTACATTAACTCCCCTTCTTCTCTATGCCTGGAGAAAGAGTTGATGTCATGTGCAAAGTGTTCTTGAGCTAAATGCATTGTCCTTAAAATCAAACGAACTTGCCCTCCACTTCCTCCTTCTCCTGGGTGGTTGACCATCTGCAGATCACAAGACTGCACAGATACAGCTGTAGGATTTGCGTTTATGAAATGCTGACTTTATCATATGCCTCAACTTGCTAGACCTATTCATTCTGATTTGGGGTATACGTTGACAGTGACCTAAGGCTACAGAGCACTGAGATCTCTCTGGGTCAACTTCATAAGTATATGTATATCAAGAGGGTTGGAGTGTTCATGGTTTGTATTGGGTGACGCAGAGGGTACTCTAAGCCAGAAATAAACTGTCTTGATAAGGCACTGCTATTTTTTAAATCATCTAGGCTTGAGTCTTTGGCTATCTCTGCTCTTCACCACTCCCCCACCATAATCCACTCACCTTTCAAATCTTACTGACTATACTTCTGGATATTGCTCAAATGAATCTTTCCATTTCCACCACCTGCTCCCTAGTTCAGACTCCCCATTATCCCCGTCTTCTCTGATGTTTCCCCACTCCATTCCTGCTTTGATCATATCATCTTCCTGCTTCAAAACATTCATCACCTCACCATGCCCTTGAAAATGACGCTCAAAAATCTCATTTTGGCTCTGAAGACCTTTTATAATTATTCCCCCAATTTACCTTTCCAAGTCTGTTACTCTATTCCCCATATATACTCCCACAGTTTTAATCTAAGGATAATAAAAAAGAGAACTAAAATTCATTAAAGGCTTTTTTGGTGCAGAGCCAAATCTTAGCATTCTATACACTCTATATATTATTTCATTCTTACATTAACTCTGTAAAGACAGTATTTTTCCATTTTAAAGGTGGAGAAAATAAAATGCATAGAGTTTAAGTATTCTCTGTTTTCTTTCTAATACATGAAACTTCTTGTCCTTTCCTTTGCCTTTTATACTTTGTTAAGGTTGTGCCTTTTGCCCACTTCTTTCTTCCCTCTCCATGTATTTATGCATCTTTCCAGGCCAATATAAAATGTCATCTTCCCTTTGAAAATTCTGTATCCCTTCAGATTGGAATGACTCCTCAACCCCCATCAAACTTAGTTTTTATTTCGTTTATAGTACCACTTTCTGCCTTCATTATTATTTACCTACATGTCTTGTCTTTTATAAAGTTTGAATATCTGAAGAGCAGGATCTGTATCCTAAAGACCTCTTGTATCTAGTACAGAACAAGATACCTAAACTTAGATGGGTGGATAGGTGAGTAAGTAGGAGGATAGATGCGTGGAAAATGTGTATTTTCTGATCTGATGTTTTGCAGATCACCTAAAACTAATCATCACAATTTTCTGCTTCTGTGGATGATTCCTAGGCCCCCAAACATGACACAATAAACTCTGTGACATGATTAAAAAAAAAAAAAAAAGCCTCCACACTTTTGCTTACATGGTTTTCTTTGCTTAAAGTACCTTTATCCTCATTCCTTCATTTCTTTCAAGACATATCTTAGGAGTGAAACTGCTTTTGGGAAGCCTTCCCCAAGTCTGTTAGGTAGAATCCATCATTCCATCCACTGTACTCCAGCAGAACATTATGTGGACTTGCATGTTATACTTATTCCTTTTACTGTGCATAATTCTCCTGTGCTTTTCTCTTAGTGTAAATCAGAAGTTGTAAAATTCACCAAATATGAAAATAATCATTAGCTCATTAGCATTTATTACAAGTATACTACTTCCCTGGTGCTATACTAAGCACATCATATTTATCTTGTTACTTAGCCCTTATAATAACCATATAAGGCAGACACCATTATTACTTCTATTTTACAGATGAGTGATGGGGAAAGAGCTTTTGGAAGTTTGAGTTAATTCCTTATGGTCATGCAGCTAAGTAAGTGTCTGAGACTACAGAATCTGAATTATTTCCCACTATGCAGTGTTTTGTCTGGTTTGTTTCCCTATCTGTCACCCTCACGTGACATATAATAGACCTCAATAAAATAGTTGTTAAGTAAGGGAATGACTGAATGACTGGTCATAGCTATTCTCTAAATGTTTCTTGAGTGAATTTATTTATATAGTCAGAGGAAAATGAATAATGGTTTCTTTTTCTCTTTAGCAGGAATTTGACCCTCTAGGGCATGAATACTGTGCTGTTCAGTTCTGAGCTGTGCTAGCAATACCCTTCAAAGGAAGAGCAATGGCTGCAGCAGCAGCTTCTCACCTGAACCTGGATGCCCTCCGGGAAGTGCTAGAATGCCCCATCTGCATGGAGTCCTTCACAGAAGAGCAGCTGCGTCCCAAGCTTCTGCACTGTGGCCATACCATCTGCCGCCAGTGCCTGGAGAAGCTATTGGCCAGTAGCATCAATGGTGTCCGCTGTCCCTTTTGCAGCAAGATTACCCGCATAACCAGCTTGACCCAGCTGACAGACAATCTGACAGTGCTAAAGATCATTGATACAGCTGGGCTCAGCGAGGCTGTGGGGCTGCTCATGTGTCGGTCCTGTGGGCGGCGTCTGCCCCGGCAATTCTGCCGGAGCTGTGGTTTGGTGTTATGTGAGCCCTGCCGGGAGGCAGACCATCAGCCTCCTGGCCACTGTACACTCCCTGTCAAAGAAGCAGCTGAGGAGCGGCGTCGGGACTTTGGAGAGAAGTTAACTCGTCTGCGGGAACTTATGGGGGAGCTGCAGCGGCGGAAGGCAGCCTTGGAAGGTGTCTCCAAGGACCTTCAGGCAAGGTATAAAGCAGTTCTCCAGGAGTATGGGCATGAGGAGCGCAGGGTCCAGGATGAGCTGGCTCGCTCTCGGAAGTTCTTCACAGGCTCTTTGGCTGAAGTTGAGAAGTCCAATAGTCAAGTGGTAGAGGAGCAGAGTTACCTGCTTAACATTGCAGAGGTGCAGGCTGTGTCTCGCTGTGACTACTTCCTGGCCAAGATCAAGCAGGCAGATGTAGCACTACTGGAGGAGACAGCTGATGAGGAGGAGCCAGAGCTCACTGCCAGCTTGCCTCGGGAGCTCACCCTGCAAGATGTGGAGCTCCTTAAGGTAGGTCATGTTGGCCCCCTCCAAATTGGACAAGCTGTTAAGAAGCCCCGGACAGTTAACGTGGAAGATTCCTGGGCCATGGAGGCCACAGCGTCTGCTGCCTCTACCTCTGTTACTTTTAGAGAGATGGACATGAGCCCGGAGGAAGTGGTTGCCAGCCCTAGGGCCTCACCTGCTAAACAGCGGGGTCCTGAGGCAGCCTCCAATATCCAGCAGTGCCTCTTTCTCAAGAAGATGGGGGCCAAAGGCAGCACTCCAGGAATGTTCAATCTTCCAGTCAGTCTCTACGTGACCAGTCAAGGTGAAGTACTAGTCGCTGACCGTGGTAACTATCGTATACAAGTCTTTACCCGCAAAGGCTTTTTGAAGGAAATCCGCCGCAGCCCCAGTGGCATTGATAGCTTTGTGCTAAGCTTCCTTGGGGCAGATCTACCCAACCTCACTCCTCTCTCAGTGGCAATGAACTGCCAGGGGCTGATTGGTGTGACTGACAGCTATGATAACTCCCTCAAGGTATATACCTTGGATGGCCACTGCGTGGCCTGTCACAGGAGCCAGCTGAGCAAACCATGGGGTATCACAGCCTTGCCATCTGGCCAGTTTGTAGTAACCGATGTGGAAGGTGGAAAGCTTTGGTGTTTCACAGTTGATCGAGGATCAGGGGTGGTCAAATACAGCTGCCTATGTAGTGCTGTGCGGCCCAAATTTGTCACCTGTGATGCTGAGGGCACCGTCTACTTCACCCAGGGCTTAGGCCTCAATCTGGAGAATCGGCAGAATGAGCACCACCTGGAGGGTGGCTTTTCCATTGGCTCTGTAGGCCCTGATGGGCAGCTGGGTCGCCAGATTAGCCACTTCTTCTCGGAGAATGAGGATTTCCGCTGCATTGCTGGCATGTGTGTGGATGCTCGTGGTGATCTCATCGTGGCTGACAGTAGTCGCAAGGAAATTCTCCATTTTCCTAAGGGTGGGGGCTATAGTGTCCTTATTCGAGAGGGACTTACCTGTCCGGTGGGCATAGCCCTAACTCCTAAGGGGCAGCTGCTGGTCTTGGACTGTTGGGATCATTGCATCAAGATCTACAGCTACCATCTGAGAAGATATTCCACCCCATAGGGGATGAGAAATTATCAGTTTCTTCTGCTCCCAAGCCAACTTCCCTTCCCTTAGTTCTTGGTTGTTAGTGGCACATGCAGAATAGACTCAGCCTATGTCCTGATTCCAGCTGGGTAGTTCTAGAACTTCAGAAGCTCCATCTTTTAATGTTTTTATTTGTTATGTCCCCCTCCCCGCTTCCCACCTAAATTTAGAGCTTTAAAAGATGCACTGCCCAAATAGGACACACGATGGTGTTAGCTGAAGTTTGATTAGCAATTAGGCACTTCCAAGGCTTTAGTAGAGAGAGCCACTTTAGCCCTTTGTGCCATGTTTGAAATTTGCCCTTGTATTAAATCCTTGATTTTTTCCCATTTGGCTTTGATGCCCTTGATCCATTGTTTCCTTCCTACTATAATGTGCTTCATCTGTGACACTTTCTCTTGAACTCTGATTGGATTCACTGTGCATGCTTCAGTGGGATCTGCTCCACCTTTCAGTGACATTTAAGACATCATATTCCCGTAACATTATGTCTCAGTCTGATCGTCTTTACCAGTATGAAAGTCATTCATTTAGTGCTACCAAAGGGGATACACAAGCCCTTTAGGAAGCAGTACCTCTCGCCTGGAGGATCTGTGCCATCTTGGATTGAGAATTGCAGATGTGACAGAATGGATTGACCCTAGTTGGTTGGTATTGATGACTTCAGCCTGGAAATTGCTTGCCTTTTAAAGAAGCATATATGGGTTGGAATTATGCCAAAGCATAGGAAGCTGGGAATAAGCAAACAAATGCTGATATAGTCAGCAAATTTGGATAGTCTCTAGGGCTCATCATTTTTCATACTACCTCTCTCTTCTGGCCTGTGTCTAAGGAATTGTACAACATAGGCCAGGGCCAACAAAGTGGAGAGGTGGACACATTTTCATGTTCATTACTAAAACAAACAGCAAAACTATTGGTTTGTTATTCTGTGTTTTCCTCAAGTCAGTACATACTATTTGGTTTCAGGATTTCTTTCCATTTCTCTATCAAGCATTAAATAATTGAGAACTGTTTCTTCATCTCTGGTGTTCATGTCTTTTAATTAAATACGGAATTTTGGAGATGATAAGAGGGATAACCTGCGCTATGCCATTTTGCTTCCTTATCTCACTGTGTTCTTTCAGAGTGTAGATATCTACCCAGGTCAAAATTCAGCCAAAAGCACTATTATGTAAAGATAATAATCCAAATCTTTCTCCCAAATACATGTGTACAGAATCATCCCCCAAGGTTTAGAGTCACCAATACCCTATTCTGAGCTTCTGCTGTATGTTTTATGTTTATAATTACAGTTCACAAAAAGGAAGTTAGTCTTGTTTTTAAGATCAGAAGTGGGTGAGAGGACCTGTGATGAGGTTCCTGAGGGTTTGGTGTTTACTAAGTAATATATCTTACTCTAGGTGCAGGGCTGATGGCAAGCCAAAGAGCAACTGCCTTACTTTGATGTAAACAAAATTTGCTAAACTGAGCTGCTCAAAATTGTTTTTATGGTAGTAGTGTTTCTTTGGATTGTATCATAATAGCTGCCAAAGGATAGGTAAAGAGGTCATTAAAATGATGTTGAACTAGTTTGTCTTGTTCTTTTCATCTGGAGAAAGCCCCATATTCTGATTATGAAATTGCATCCGATTTTCAAAGATTGGGTAATTGAGAGGAAATTGATCCAATTGAAAGTGCATCACAAATGACTCCACTAGTTATTAGAGCCACTTTATCTGTGGGGGCACCCAGCAGCAGGAGATCTGTCTTTGCTGTCAGTGGGGGACTTGCTGAGGCAATAACAGTGGCTCAGGCCTTTGGCACACAGTTTGCAGTGGAGAGAGAAATATAATATTGTGGGCAGGCTGAAGGTAAATGAGGCCAGGAATCCTCCAGCTGTCTGTGCTTTTGAAAGAGGTGCCATCACTGAGTGACATTCAGCATTTAGATCTCTACCCATCTAAACCAGTCATGCCTTTTCCCTCAAGTAAAGCAGTTATCTGTTGGCTCAAAATGGAAGTGTGATCTGAGTCTTTTTCCTTTTTCCCCTTTGATGTGAATATTTTAGGCTGTGCTTAGTACAGTCGATGTTTAATTATCTGCTGTGTTGACTAAATTGCAGACTAGGGCCCCAAGAAACTAATTTGTTCAATTACAGCAGTTTTTTGGGTTTTTTTTTTTTTTTTGCTTTGTTTTTTAAAGCAGCAGTACCCTTGTCCAAATAAAGTCTTATATGGAAGTCTATCATGTAAAATAGATCAAAGAGCAGCTGCTCTGGTTGAAGCAGGTTTGTGCCGCTGAAGAATATGCTGTTTCCTCCCTTTACCTTACCTCCTGTGCTACCATTGCAAAACTTGTGAATCTACAGAATACTTTTCTGAAAACCACTGAACTACAGCATTGCTTACCTTATAGTTCTGTCTTATTAGTCATGTGGCCTTGGGCAAGTCATTTAACTCTTCCTCTTCTGGAAAATAACAAAAATGATCCCTGCCTCCTAGAAGGGTATGAGATAACATGTGAAAATAACCTGGTTTCATTCCTGGAATATTCCATAAATGATGGCTGTTACTCTTTTATCTAGTTGCTCAAAAGAGCACCTGATGGTGGGAAGTGGTCCAACCATGCTAAACAGTTCCTTTCTTCTTGCTTAACAGGTTTCTATTTGGTGATTAAAACCTTTCTCAGGCATTTCTTTCCCCTCACAAGTCTCCAAATATATCAAGTTCATCTCTTCCTTTCTACTGTCTATTTCACATTCCTATTATATAAATCACTGTGTTGCAATTATCTGTCCATATATTTGAGCTTTATTGAGGGCTAACTAATCTAGCTACCAGCATGTAACATGGTGCCTAGTATAGAATATGTTATCAGTTATTTAATTGGTTCAGGTATTTACCTGACTTAATGGGACTCCAGTAACCCGAGTCTTCCTAGTGTAGCCCCCTTAGATTAGATAAAAAAGGATACTCAGACAAGCCCTTTTATAAGGTGTTTAAAAGCTAGTGGCAAACAATTGACTTAGAGGTTGGTTAAGCCCCTCCTCCCTTTATCATTCTGAGTGGTTACATAGAATTTAAGATTTTGGAGCAATGATTCATTCAATATTTATTAACTACCTACTGTGGGCCAGTGTACACTCCGGACTTGAGTCTGTAGAGGGGCACTCTTATTCCAATCAGTAGAATAAACGTGGCGTGAGCTTTACAGTGTTCCTCTGGGTAAGGCAAGTAATGCTTAAGTAGTTGTACTTTTAATCTAGTGCTAATTAATGGCCTCTTAAAAGTGCAGTGTTGGGTCAAATGGTATTTCTAGTTCTAGATCCCTGAGGAATCGCCACACTGACTTCCACAATGGTTGAACTAGTTTACAGTCCCACCAACAGTGTAAAAGTGTTCCTATTTCTCCACATCCTCTCCAGCACCTGTTGTTTCCTGACTTTTTAATGATTGCCATTCTAACTGGTGTGAGATGGTATCTCATAGTGGTTTTGATTCGCATTTCTCTGATGGCCAGTGATGATGAGCATTTTTTCATGTATTTTTTGGCTGCATAAATGTCTTCTTTTGAGAAGTGTCTGTTCATGTCCTTCGCCCACTTTTTGATGGGGTTGTTTGTTTTTTTCTTGTAAATTTGTTTGAGTTCATTGCAGATTCTGGATATTAGCCCTTTGTCAGATGAGTAGGTTGCGAAAATTTTCTCCCATGTTGTAGGGACATGGATGAAATTGGAAACCATCATTCTCAGTAAACTATCGCAAGAACAAAAAACCAAACACCGCATATTCTCACTCATAGGTGGGAATTGAACAATGAGATCACATGGTCACAGGAAGGGGAATATCACACTCTGGGGACTGTGGTGGGGTGGGGGGAGTGGGGAGGGGTAGCATTGGGAGATATACCTAATGCTAGATGACGAGTTAGTGGGTGCAGCGCACCAGCATGGCACATGTATACGTATGTAACTAACCTGCACAATGTGCACATGTACCCTAAAACTTAAAGTATAATAATAAAAAAAAAAAAAGTGCAGTGTTACTCTACTCTGTAGGAGGGAAGTGGAAGGGAGAACCTAGTATGAGACTCAGGTCTCCACCCTGCACTTGACTAGGATGCTGATTTGCACTCAGGACATGCAGCCCTTCAAGGCATCTCAAATTACAGACATGAAACAACAGATGCCTGGATGAATTTTACAAGCAGGGCAACAGTGAGGAAGAAGGCTGTGTAGCAAAATATACACTTAGACTCCAGACCTATGGCTTTATCTTGTCAATATCATTAATATTCACGGGACCCAAGCTAAGGCTGAAGTTAGTGAGCCAGCTCTGGGTCTGGCAATGTACTCTAGTGAGAAGATCACCGGCCTTGAAGTCAGGCTTGTGTCTGAATCACAGCTCTGCATTTTAACTAGCTGTGTGACCTCAGGTGATCACCATACCTCTGAGCCTCAATTTCCCTATCTGTTAATTTAAATAAGGGTGTTGGTATGTCACCAAAATCCCTTCTAGCTCTAAGATTTTAATTAATTTGTTAACCAATGGAATTGTTGAGTTCCCCCCAATGTTTTTGCATAATCTTTGTTATAACTGTGTTTTGTTTACATTAGAATAGTAGAACAACAACATCAACAAAAAACCCAAATCATCCCCAACTTGATATAATTGCTTCTCTACCCCAGCTGTTGTGACTTTGTGTCACTTAGCTGTTGTCACCCTGCTGAGCTAGAGTTTTCCTTGGTAAAAGAAAATGAATGACAGTTTATGTTTTAAAGGGCTGTTGTGAGAATTAAAATATATAAATGGGATAGTATATGTAAAAGTACCTAATTCAGAAAATGTGTGAC
Source organism: Homo sapiens (assembly GCF_000001405.40). Lineage (NCBI taxonomy): Eukaryota > Metazoa > Chordata > Mammalia > Primates > Hominidae > Homo > Homo sapiens. The sequence goes on from NC_000009.12 coordinate 116,704,562, forward strand.
TTCCATTATAGGGGGCAAAAGCATCCTTCCCTTCATGGTGAGTTGTTGATACACATTCAAGTGAAAGCCAGTGGAGATTTTCAGACCTGTATTGGTGATGCAATAGCATGTTCAGCACTTCTTGGCCTCTTAATTGAAAAGCCTATTGGAGGAAGAGTGGGATTGCTGGAGGGGCAGAAGCAATACTCATTCACAGCAATGTATCCCATTAGGAAAGCTGTAAATAAATCCTAAAGTCTAATCATTTGATTAAAGTAATTAAGATGGCATCTTGACTCTTTTGAGGGGTAAATAGAGCCAAGATTTTTTTAAAGATTTTATATATATATGCACTAATATGTAGTACATACATCTAAGTATATACACACACGCACAGGTAGAGATGAAATTTTTTTTAAAACCTTAGAAACATGCATGTTTAGCTATTTCTTTAGATGGCTAGCTTCAAAGAATTTTTTCTCTAGGTCAAAATTTATTAACTCAAATAATTATAAAAATAAAAGTAAGCCACAAATATCCCTGTTAAGTGGTTAAAGCTTGAGCTTTGTAAGCAGGGAGTCCTGAGTTTAGTCCTGTTTCCCTCAATTATTAGCTCTATGACCATTAAGTCACTTAACCTCTCAGTCTGTTTTCTCACTAGTAATGACTGTTTCACATTTTATTGCAGTATTGTGAAGAGATGATGGATATATAAATGCCATTTAGCAGAATAAAAAGCATTTTTGAAATTACAGTAAACCAAATATATCTGAAATTACCTCATTTTTGTGATATAAAGATGATATGAAACTGGTAAGGGAAAGTCTAACCCCTGCAACCGCAAAGGAAAATTATTTACTAACTCACTGAAATCTTGATTGAAACCATGAAGAGTTTGTGTGAATGTATATAAGTCAAATGCATGTTTTCCCTATACAGATAAAACCAGGATTTTCTTGTGGTGATTTACCCAGTTTACCTGGTTATAACTATAATGGCATTGCATATTGTGAAAGAATATCAAAACCTGAGATTCCATTTATTCACTCACTTATTAAACATATATAAGACATCTACCCTTTATTATTATTAGCAATACTTAATATGAGTAATGAATGCAAAGAAAATCAGTCATGAATTTTGTAGTCAAGTAGCTTGTGGTCTGGCTGCAGAGATAAGGTATGTAAACAAATAATAAAAAATACAAGAGAGTAAGATAAATGGTAACAGGATAGAAATGGAGTGCCAAGTGTTTGAGTAAAGACTGCTGAGAAGATCTGGTTGCTGAAGGGCCTTAAAAGTAAAGGGAATATCGTGAACAAAGGTACAAGATTAGGATGAAGAGTGAGAAGTTGGTGCCAGAAGTTAAAACCACCCCAGAATGAGGGGACATTAAAGAAATTCAAAGGTCTAAAGTGGTTAAGTAATAATTCAAATGGTTCTTTTTTTTTCTGCCCTAGTTTATATGACTTACTGCCAACAGTACCCATGGCTCAGTGAGGCTTCATACTTATAGAGGTGGTAGGGTATGAATCAGAATCTCCTTAGAGTCCTGAGGGTGGAGGGCAAAGGCATAGTTTGAAAATGCATACCCTCTTCGGTATTCTAATATCTCTCCTGATGGGGAATCACTGATTGACATTGTCTCAGAAATACATTTTCTGTCCTTTAAAAATTCTGAAATAATATCAAATTTTTCTCCCCTCAGAAGCCTACGCCAAATAAGTGCTGTAATCTTAGTACAACTTTGTAGTACAGTCAGACTCATTTGTTGATGTCTGACTGGCTGAGTTTTTAAAACCTATTATTCCCCCTTCCGCCCCATATCTGGACATGCCAGTAAGAAAGCTCAAATGCTTCCACCTTTGTGCCTGGTGGAAGTTCAAACCACCTAAGAATCCTCACTGCAGCCCTACCTCCAAGCCACTAGGAAAAGCCAGGCTCCTCTACTTTCCCTGCTCAAGCCATTTCTGGACCTGCTTGAGAACTCGCTGCTCTCTGTAAAAGCCTCGTGTGAGTGATAAACCTTTTCATATCTATTTGGTCCTAATGTAACATCAGTCCTAACACCTAAACCAAGTTTTGGGTAAGGGGTTCAACCTCTCCTCTGTGGGATGACTAAACACTTTATGCAACAAGCAGAGGGTCTAGGAGATGACCACTACCACTGCAGGGCTCTCCTCTTGCTTTAGTTTGCTAACTGACTCTTGCTGGCTAGAATTTTTTTTTTTTTTTTTTTTTTTTTGTCACTGCTGGCAAGCTCATGCTTTGTGCTGTGCTGCTTTGTACTGCGTTCACTGAGCCTTACCAAGCTTCTGTTATAGATGTGCTCAGCTAAGTTGGAATTTTTGATAATTGGCATTTAAGAACAAGAATAAAGTGGCATTTAAGAACAAGATTAAAGTGGCCCTGGGTCATGTGTCTTGGTCGAGACTTACCTGTGTCTCTGAATTGTGTTTCTGGATCCCAGTGTCAGCTGTGACTGTCACGAGGCTCAGAGGAATGACTCTTACCCTGTGACTTTTGGTTGTTTATCTCAACCAGGTGTTGCCCTCATTGTATGGCGTACTCAAAAGAAACAGTCATACCCTATGCAATATGCAGGCTGGTTGGTAGTCACTCATGGACGAAGACCATGTTGAATGCTATGGTGCACACTCCCAAAAGCAGATGGTTTACTAGGACTTTACAAAATGCCTTTCTTCCTACTTCTGCCTATGCCCTATGCCACTATGCCCCCTGACCAAAAAAAAAAAAAAAAAAAAAAAAAAATTCCTGATCCTAAGGGTTATAGGGAAAAGCATCCATGCTATAGCCAAGGAGTTCTTTCAAAGCCAACTTAAGCACTGGGTCCTCAAACCCTATAAAGCAACTGTTGGCACGGGAGAGAACCTAATCCTGATTATATGTATTTGCAACTCTGGAGGAAGAATCTTACACATATGAGCAGGATCGAGAGGACCTTCCCTCCTCCCCAACCCCTCCCCACACCACCACCAAATGATATACGGTAGCCACCAAAAGGAAAATAAAATAAACTTGGATACTGGGGGAAAGAAACAAAAAACTAAAACAGAGGTTCACAATTTGACCCAATTGGAAATCCAAAATTAAAGAATTTTTGCAACAACAACAAAACAAGATAAAAGGTTACTATTTGGCTTTTGTACCTCTACAACCTAGGTTCCGAATTAACTTTTAACATTTGCTGAAATGCACCAGTTGTCAACCCTTCATAGCCTTAATATTGGGCTTCAAATTATACCTGGAATTCCCCTAAATTTAAACAAAGTACCCCTATAATCTTAGGGTAGTTAACTGAGGATATTTTAGGACATGTTAGGAAGACAAATAGATATGCCTCATCTTAATCAGAACTATTGCCCTGCCTAAATTCCCCCATAGCCATAGCACCCATTAACTTAAAATATCCCATAGTGGGCATGGATGCTCTAACCCAATGAGTAATAAATTAAAATTGAATTAAGTCTTTGGCACTTACAAATCAGCTTGCCAAAATGGGACGGCATGGACCTTCCCCTCCTCCGTTAGTTAAAATAGTTAATATGGCCCAATTTAAATTAAAACAGAGTCTTTGAGGTTTGAAACCCATATACCAGACCTATTTGGAGAAGAGTGACTATCCCCACTGCTTCACCATTAATGGCCCAATGTAGCCTGTTCAGAAACCTAGAAAGAATGAATGGCATCTCACAGTAGATTATTGCCATGTTAATGCTGAAGTTCTATCCAATAAGGCTCCCATATCAAATATTATCAAAATTACTAACTTTAATCAACAACTGGTAAATACTTTTAATTCATAGATTTGGCTAATATTTTAGCAGCGACTCAGCCACAATTTGCCTTCACCATCAAAGGGATGCAGTATCCTTTTACTCAGCTACTCATGGGATAACAACAGCCAGGTCTTCACACAGCCTGCAGACAAGATCTTGACCACATTTAACTTTCTTCAGGAGCACAGTAAACACTGATCATACTGATCACATCATCCTCCAAGAAGGTTCATTTGGCACACTCACTGAGGACACATATAGTCATAATCATAAAAGAGCTCACGAAAAAGGGATGGACCACTACCCCACACAAATTACCAAGTCCTTCCACCTTGGATAAATTCCTGAAAGCTATTTAGCTGAGGGCCATTCTATCCCTGACACTTGCCAGAAACAGCATTCGCAATTTTTTTAAAAGCCCAATATGTTTTAGTCTATTTTGAGTTCTGGAGACAGCATATTTCTCATTTACAAATTTTACTTAAACCCGTTTATACTATTACTTAAGCTCACTTATGAATTATAATACAGGCACTGCAATTAGTGACCCCTGAGAGTCCTTTACTTAAAGGCTTTAGCAACCTCCTCCCATGATTCCTGAAGTCTCTGGCCCACACTTGATGGCCCTAAGTTGCCCACAGGCATCTTGTGCCATAAACTGTCCCTTCAGCCCCATGCTATATGCCATTAGAGTGCAATTGCTGGCTGCATATTGGACTCTCCTGGAAACAGGCTGGTTGTCACCGGCCCTCAGCCTGTGACTCTCCATACCAGCTGCCCATTATCCCTTGGGTCTTGAAATCACACCCTAAAAGTTCAACATAGCCACTGAGGTTTCCTTGCTGTAGCATAGAGCCAAACCTGGCATATTTCACCTATAGGAAAAAGTCTCCCACCACCACCCTCAGCCCCTTGCTAAATACCATGGTGCTGGTAAAAGTCATCCCCCTTCCCAGACCCTTTGGATATCTGTGGAAGCCCTTGCAATCAACAGAGTGAAGAGTAAAGGGAGTTTCTCCACTTTATAGATGGTATCACTACCATTGTATGTGATGGAGCTTGCTGGAAAGTTCCTGATTTTTAGCCCATAACTGGGACATCCCTGATAATGAAACAGGACCCAAGTCAGCACAACTGGCCAAACTTTATGCGGTCCTTTTAGCACTGAATACCCTGACCAACATCTGCACAGTTCTATAGACTGTTGAACCACTGCCAGTGATTTGCTCATCTGCTCCAGCCAATAGCAGCAAAAACAGTTTTCTATCCAAGGTTGCCTCTTTGGGTTAAATAACTCTGTGACTCTCTTGCCTCATATATATATACTTATACTCAAAGTATAAGTCAAGGTCATTTCTACTCACAATAAATCCACAATAAAAGGCCTCATTAACACTTTAACCCCTTCAGTAGTCTAGAAATTATTGATAGTGACTAAGGCATTCATTTCACATCTCAAAATACATAATATTGGGCTCTTGTACAAGGCATTTAATGGAACTTTCACCTCCCTTACCAGCCTCAGGCTGCAGGCCTCATAGAAAGCCATAATGGTTTATTTTACCTAAACAAGTTCAAGTTCAATTAAATGAAACATGCCACATTTCAGTCATCAGTCAAATATCAGGGATGAATCGTAATAAAGATTCTGACTCCATTTTTGGTACTTGACTGCTAACAACTTTCAAATTCTTCTACTTACTCCCTCTTCTTCAGCTTCACATCTGGGAAAACTGATAGGGAAGCCTAGGTAGGCCTACCTTTGGTGCCAGAGGGAAGCTCAATCCATGCAAGCCCCAGATAATATATGAGAACCTCCCCAACCTTACCCTACACCCCTCACCTCCCAATCCAAGCCAGTCTCCTTTCCCTGCTTTCTCAAACCATGTTTGGACCTGTTTGGAAGCTCCCTCTGCTCTCCCTAGAAAGCTTCATTATGTGAGTGATACATCTTTTCATATCTTCTTGGTGTGTGTGTGTGGTATCATCAGCCTCAACATCTGAAGCAAATGTTGGGTGGGGGTACATCCCACTACTTCTGAGTGACAACAGATGTTTAGAGTTAAATATTGAAAGAAATTTCATATTACGATAAATGACAATTTCAGACCAGGTGCAGTGAGCTCACGCCTGTAATCACAGCATTTTGGGAGGCCAAGGAGGGGGGAATCACCTGAGGTCGGGGGTTTGAGACCAGCCTGACCAACATGGAGAAACCCTGTCTCTACTAAAAATACAAAATTAGCAAGGCATGGTGGCGCATGCCTGTAATCCCAGCTACTCGGGGAAGTCTGAGGGAGGAGAATCACTCGAGCCCAGGAGGTGGAGGTTGCGGTGAGCTGAGATCACACCATTGCACTCCAGCCTGGGCAACAAGAGTGAAACTCCGTCTCAAAAAAAAAAAAAAAAAAAAAAAAGAAGAGAAAAAAGAAAGAAAATTTTGTAAGTTCTGAGCAACCACATGAATAAAGCCATGTGTTTTGTGAAATGACGTTTAATATTTAAACTTAAAACTAGTAATAAATCTCTAAATCTCTCAGACCCCAAGATATGAAACTTGTTTGACACATTTAATGATTCTGTAAAAGTGTAAGAAATGAAGTTAAATGAAGAATGTCATGGCCTGAAAGGATGGAAAGGCATTAGACATGCATATTACCTTGCCTGATCCAAGACTCAGGGACTGGATATAGAAGAATGAAACTTCCATTAATTGATACACTGGAAGAAAGGCCACATACAAATAGGCAAATATACCGTAGACCCTGCATAGAAGGCTAATTAGCTAAATGTAAGGTGCAAATGCTCAAGCAACAACCCTGAAAGTGTGTATTCCTCCTTTCTGCTCTGGCGACTATGCCTATTTATTCTCCTCAATGAAATGGGCATATTAACTCCAGCCTATTTAATATGTACTACAACTACTCTTCAATGCCCCATAACATTTTACACAAGTAAAAGCTGCCTAAAAATGAGCAGCATAGTCAGCCTCTCTGAATGAAATAAAATGTCTCTAAATAAAATGTCAGAAATAATACAAGGTATGGCAGCAGGAAAGTAGCTTAAGAAAACAAATTGCAAAAGGGAACATTTATTTTTCTTCTGGACGATACCATCTTTTTCTATGACTTCAATCATGTATGCAGCTACATACCAAACTGTATTTTTCATGTCTTACCTTCTTTTTGATCACCAGATTGGTGTATACCCAGCTGCCCATTTTATATTGCCAGTTGTATATACCTTAGGAATCTTAGACTCAGTATATTCAAAACTGAACTTGGCTCTACCATACCTGCTGCTCCTTTTTTATTTCACCTAAGGAACTCCAGCAGTCACTCAGGCCCTTAAGTCAGAAAGCTTGGCACCATGTCTAATCATTTTCCTCACCTTTCACCTTCTACTGTCCCATCATGAAGTTCTCATCATTCTAGCCACTTAATATTTTTCACATACATTAATTTTTTTTCTGAATCCTCATGGCTGCTAAATTTTAAGCTATTATTTTTCTCCTTGAAACACTACTACAACTCCCTAACTGATCCTCCTAACTCTAATCTAGCATCTCACATATACTTCCTCCCATCCCAAGTCAAGCCCTATCCCACACTAGCCAGAGTCAAATTCTAAAATGCAAATGCTAATGATAATATACAAAACCTTTAAATGACCTTTAAGTGCTCCTAGCAAAGGTACAACTTTCTTAACATGGTCTATACATCCCAGTGGGATTTGATTCCTGTCCATCTATCTTTCTAGGTTTATCTTACCACCACTTCCATCCCCTCTAGAGCTTTGCTCCATCCACAATTTCTTTTTTCTTATCTCAGGGACATTTTTGTACATGCTTTTCTTGCATCTTGGAACATTTACCTTCTCCATACCCACCTGTGTTGGCCTAAATCTTACCTTCTTCAAGTGTTCTGGAATGCCCTTTTGGATCCACCTTAACTGTTTTGAGCCAGGTGTTCATGCCACACTTTATATTTCTCCCTCTAGCATTTACATATTTCATGGTGATTTTTCTCATTAAATATCTTTTTCCAAGACTAAAATGAGCTCTCTGAAGGCAAGGCAATATTTAATTTACTGCTGCATCCATAGCATCTAGCACAGTACCTGAAACATAGTAGGCACTATAATTGTTGCTGAATAAAACCAGAGGTCAGCTTAGCTCATATGTTGACATATGTGAGCACTCTGGGTCACAATTAGCATCAGCTGGTTATGCCACCTCCTGCTTCTCCTAGTACCTGCATCCCTGAATCATTAAGTCTAGCTGCAATAGAAAGTGGGGTATGGTTGAAAGGTGGGAGGAGTGGTTCCCTCTGATTTGCTTTTCCTTAGAGAATCTTCTCAACTGTAAAATAATTGAAAGTTGCGTTCCTTTCTAGACTCAACCCGAACTTTGTTTTGGTGCAATGTCACCATTGGAAGAGAAGGCTCAAAAATATACCTTTCATTGTGTGTTATATGAAATATATCTCAATAAAGCTGTTACGAACGTAAAAATGTGACCTTGAGCAAGTGAGTTTCCACGTTAGGAAATGGAGATAATAAATGCCCAGCATACCTCCTGGCATGTAATGAATTCTCAGTACATGTCATGTGGACTTGGGAGTCAGACAGTCCTGAGATGGAATCCTGTCTCTGCCTATTAGCAGCCATGTGACCTTTGGACACATGGCCTTTTGAATTGCCACTCAACACACTTCCTTGGATGGGGGAAGAAAGAGAGAGTACTAATCCTGTTTGAGTCCTAATATTATTAACTAATGGTTCTCTTTGGGCAATTATTTTTCTTCTCCATGGCACTCCATTTCCACCATCTATATTTGTTAAATTAAGGATCTTTCTAGTTGTAAACTTCAATGATTCTGGTGCCCCATACCCCGGAGACTTATTGAATCAAGATCTCCAAAAGGAGCCTTCTTTCTGGGCATCTGTGGAGTAGGAGGGAACAGCAAGGAAGACCCTAAAGACAAAGGACCCTAAAGAGGAAAGCCTGGGGCCTAGGGCTGGTACATCAGATGAAGACAACTAAGGCCAGCTCCTACCCAATGTATCAATGGTGAAGTTGATCTCTAAGGCCCGTCTCAGAGCTGGCACTCTGACTCAGAGCCAAGGGGTTGCTAGGAAACAAGGGTCTAGAGCCTGCTGGTCAGCATCATGCAGGCTTACATCCTGCCGATCAATCTCCCTCTTTTTTCGCTCTTCCTGACTAAGTACTTCTAATTGTTGCAGGGAGAAGAGAAATGCCACACAAAGAGAACTTTGGGAGTGCCCACTTTGGCTAAGTAATAGTAAAATGTAAATGGTAAGAGAATCGGAGCATGAAAAGACAGAAGAAAGAGAAGGCATGAGAGAATACCATTTGCCAACTCTGTGCCTTTGGGTTGTATATCTTACCCCTCACTCCCAAATCTCAGTTTACTTCCATAAAGATACCAATTTTAGGAAGTTGTAGGGATTAAATGAAATTGTGCATGTGAAATGCCCAGCATATCTCCTGGCATGTAGTGAATTCTCAGTACATGGCATAAGGACTTGGAAGTCAGACAGCCCTAGGATGGAATCCTGGCTCTACCTTTTATTAGCCATGTAACCTTGAGCAGATAAGTTTTCACATTAGGAAGATGGAAATAATAATTTGGACCTCACAGGGTTGTTATGAAGACAATATGAGATCATGTGATTAACTAACTCATAATAGGAACTCAACACATGTAAATCATTGTTGCCCTTTCCTCTGTCACCTTCTCTTCCAACACACATATACGCACATATATACATTCTTCTAGAACAATATAAGCTTGGTGTTCAGCTGTGCAAACATGCTCCCATGTGCCCTACTGCTGAGCTCCAGGCTGTGCTATCTGACATTCTCACCTTCTATTCCCACCTCCAGGTTTAGGAAAAGCTCAAATTCAAAAGCTGACAGATTAGCCAGGGAGAAACAGCCATGACATAGGAAGTCTGGCAGGAAGAAGACATATATCTTAGGCTGCTGTAGTCAGGACCAGAAAAGGCTGTATCATTATGCCTTTTGCTTGAGAAAACTAACAGTAATAATAATCATTATTGGCTTAATTATGTCTCATGATAATAATGAATGATGATCATAATAGCATTTCCTCAGCATTTGTTATATGCCAGGTGCAGCAGTAATCACTTTACAAACATCAATTCATTTAAATCTCATAACAATACTGCAAGATAAGCATAATTATACCCATGTTAAAGATAAGAGAATTGAGTCCCAGGAACCTAAAAGACCTGACCTAAGTCACACATCTAGAGAATGGAACAGATGACACATAGCTTCTTATGTATGTTGCCATTTGTTGAAACTTACACCTGTCGGGAGGAGAATGCATCAATGACTGACTTGTGCTGAGTTCCTGCTATGAGCCACGTAATCACATGATCTCACATCATCTGCATAAGAATCATGTGAGGCCGGGCGCGGTGGCTCACGCCTGTAATCCCAGCACTTTGGGAGGCCGAGGCGGGCGGATCACGAGGTCAAGAGATCGAGACCATCCCGGCTAAAACGGTGAAACCCCGTCTCTACTAAAAATACAAAAAAATTAGCCGGGCGTAGTGGCGGGCGCCTGTAGTCCCAGCTACTTGGGAGGCTGAGGCAGGAGAATGGCGTGAACCCGGGAGGCGGAGCTTGCAGTGAGCCGAGATCCCGCCACTGCACTCCAGCCTGGGCGACAGAGCGAGACTCCGTCTCAAAAAAAAAAAAAAAAAAAAAAAAAAAAAAAAAAAAAAAAAGAATCATGTGAGATCTAAATGTTTTTCCAGCTATTCCCCTGGTATCTCCCAAAGTGGCCAGTTGTTTTCACTTAATTTAAGGCATTGGAGATTCAGTCTTTTCTATTTGTGACAGTTCTCAGCTGTGGACAGAGGCAATGGAAGTGTCTCTAACTACTTGGGAGACTGAGGCCCAGTGACATTCAAAGGTCTAACAAAGAAGCCAATAGCATTCCCTAGGAGCACTGAGGGGATGCAGGTACTATATTGCTCCTAACTGGTCCAAGAGACTTCGCCATTCCTAAAGGTGCCAGGCCTTCCTACAAATCTAGCTTTGCATTGTTGTCTCCTTGCGTGGAGTCTCCTTCCTCCCCACCTTCCCAGTTGGCAAATGCCTACTCACCCTTAGGTTCCTGTTTAGACATCTTTTCCTCCAGGAAGACTTCCCAGTCCACCCTCAGTAGGTTAGGGGCCCATCTCTCAGCCTTGTTCCCTCCACTCCCCACCCTCCATACACATGCACACTTTATGCTTTCCTCTATCACAGCATTTATCAAATTATAAAGCATTTATTAAAAAAATCTGTTCACCTATTAGTCTTTCCCATTTGACTGTGGGATCTTTGAGAGCAGGGACTGTGTCTCACTTGCCTTAGCCTCCTTAGCACCTCATATTAGGGGCTCAAGGAACTACTGTGGAATGATAGAGCGGTGAGAAAGGATAAAGGAAAGAAATGAGAGGCAGACAGGGAAGAACAGGGCCCCCTGGGGTGTGGTATCTGAAAGGACTGTCTGTGAGCAAGGCTCCTCTCAGGTTGGTAGGTTAGACCTGCTGATAATGACCAAGGGAAGGCAAAAACTTCAATGTATGTATCTGTATTCCCTCCAGGCCATTTTGTTCTCATTAAGGGGCTGAAGGCAGAGAGATAGCAAAAGCTCCACATTCATCTCCAGGGAAATTCCACATTCTTAGTGCCAGACTGCTGAGAGAAAAGGGTCCTATCTAACAATCCTGCTCCCTCAGGCCCTGCATCTCTGTCTGGGACTGTGACTGTGACAGGGGAATGAGTATGATTTTGCACCTGTTTGAATCAGAGTAACTAGTTTACAACAGTATCAATCTCTTGTCACTTCCCCTAGGAAGACGGAGAGTGGGGATGGTCTCCAGTGCTTTAGGTAATGATGCACACACATATACCCCAAATAATATAATGAGCAGTCTGCCAATCAAAGACTCTGCCATTTATAAGTACATGGGAGGCTTTGGCAACAGGTAGTCTTTGAATTTGTTCTAAGTTTTCTGGAGAGGGAAGGCCAAACCATGTTTCTACCTGGTTATTAAATTTCTCCCTTCACCACTGCAATTTCTAATTGATTGCATAAAGCTGACCTCATCTTTCCCATCTGTAGAATGGGAATGGCTAACCAAGATAAGAATGGAAAACACCTTACACAAGTCACTATTTCTTACTGTCACACCCATGACAGACATTGCTAAGTAATCACTGCATTCTTTTCCACTGAGCAGAGTCCTGGCCCAGAACCTCAATGCAGTATTCCAGGCAGTTGATTGCAATGGGCACATAAAGAAAAACTCAGGCCTGACTATGTGATTGCTAATGCCTCTTCCCACTCTGACTTTGTAAGGTTTGACTTTACTTTATAATGCAGCCCTGAAGCTAAGATTCAGAAGCAGATTATGCTGGGAGATACTGGTGGTAAAGAGAATATTTTCACCCCTGCTCAAGCTGAAGGTCTAAATTCCAAGTCTTAGCTTTCCTAATTTCTTTTACCTGTGGATAAGAGAAACAACAGGAGAGCAAATGTTTACCTTTGGGTTTGATACCAACATCTAAAGAGTTCTCTGAGGCTGCTGTGGTATGACTGAACCAACACCAACTCCGTGATTAATCAGCCTGGGTTCAAATCCCTGCTTTGCCAAATTCCCTGGTGTGAATCCTGACAAGTCACTTTCCCCTTCTGAGCCTCAGTTTCCTCAAGCATGAAATGCAGATAACAATGCTTGACTTACAGACTTTTTGTGAGGAGTAAACTGGATGAAATAATGTATGTGAAAGTGCTTTGTGTGATGCACTGCACTGAGCACATACAGAGGATTATTATTCTTGGTATGCACCAATAGGAAGAAGACTAGGGTGTTCCGTTCCAGATGGACTCAATCTAAACCGGGGAACAAATGCTTTTTTTTGGTAATTTCATCTTGTGGAAACGGCAGTCTCATGGGCCTATTTGTGTTTAATGAACCACATCCTGTATCGTCTTTTTGCATGGTTCTGAGGAGAAATACGTTGGCTCTGTCTTCTGGCGTGCTGTAGACTAGTGAGTGTCAAGCTCATATTTAACCTCCTCCAGTCTCTCTGCCTTCTGCAAGAAAACGCTTCCCTAGAGCTAGATTGATCCTACAAATAACTGCACAGAAGCTAAGGCACAAAGGGAGAGGAAAGGGATAGTTAGCCAACTCTCACCACCATGCTGGGACCCTACCATAGACAAATGCAGCCAGGCTGGGATTTTTCACCTAGGATAAAATTAAGGAGTTTAGATTCAGAGGTGACTGCCCTGGGGTCAAGCAGCTAGGAATCAGAAAAGCCAGGTTTATCTGAGTTCAAAGTCAGTGCTTTCAAATTTTCAACAAATTGCTTTTAATACATCAGTAGTCTTCATCCTTTCTGGAGTCAGAGAACCCTTTGAGACTGCAAGAAAGCTATGGAGACTTTCATCCCAAATAAAACACAAATGCAGATGAACAACACTTTGCCTATACCACTAAGGCATTTATGACCCTCCCAGGCTCACTCAATCTCACTCACTCATTTATTTCAATAAACATTATTGAATGCTATCAATATGCCAGGCACTGGCTAGGTATTAGCCAAGCAGGCATGGTCCCTGCCCTCACAGAGCTTATAGTGCAGCAAGAGAGAAAGATGTAAACTAATAAATGTGAACTTACAAACAGGTTATGTGTAGCAAAGGAACATCATTCTAAGAAAATAGGAATGTAGCAAAGGATCCTGACATAGCCTGAGGCTTCTTGAAAGGTTTTCTGAGAAAGTGACATTTGAGTTGGGTGATATGAAGTGATCTCAGCAAAAATGGGAAAAAAAAATCAGCAGAAGGCCAAGTGACAAAAGGATTGCAGCTTGTTCTAGGACTTGAAGGAAGGTCAGTATGACAAAACGGCAGAAAGCACGGAGACACACAGGGCTGAAGAGGTTGGCTGAGGACAGATCAGAACTGTTAGAGCCCTGAGGCCATGGGAAGGAATTTGCAAATTATCCTCACGGCAGTGACAAGGCACCTAGAAGTTTTAATCCAAGGAATAACATGATGGGATCTCTATTTTAGAAACATCCTATAATGGTTAATTTCATGCGTTAACTTGGCTGGGTTATCAAACTATTTGGTCAAATAGTATTCTGGTTATGTATGTGAGGATGATTTTGGAGAGATTAACATTTGAATTGGTAGACTGACTAAGCAGATTGTCCTCCTTAATGTGAGTGGACTTAAACCAGTAAGTTGAAGGCCCCAATAGAACCAAAAGGTTGACCCTCCCACCTGAATGTCTTGAGCTAGGACATTGGTTTTTTCCTGCCTCTGGACTCCAATGGAAACATCTTCTTTTGTTGGATCTCAAGCCTGCCAGCCTTCGGACTGGAACTATAGCATTGGCTCTCCCACTTCTCAGGGCTTTGGATTCACACTGGAATTACACCATCTGCTCTCCTAGGTCTCCAGCTTGCTGACTGCAGATGTTGGAACTTCTCAGCCTCAATAATTATGTTAGACAATTTATTATAATAAATCTATATCATCTATATCTATATTTACATATCTATACCTGTATCTGTACATATATATATATATATCTGCCTATAAGTCTCTCGCTACATATCCATCCTGTTGGTTCTGTTTCTCTGGTTTTGTTATCCTGGCTAATACACATCCTCAGGGCTGCCGTGTGGTTAGGATTCAGGGAGGCAGGGTAGATGCAGGCTGACCAGGCAAGAGAACAAAGCTGGAATCCAGACAAGCTATGATGGTGACTTGGAATAGGGTGGCAACAGTGAGGAAGAAAAAAGTGGGCAAATTTAAGAGTTATTTGAGAATTAAAATTGACAGAACTTGAAATGGTTTGGAAATGGGTGGCTGAAATCAGCAGAAGACCTTCTCAGAAACTAAGGTACAAAGGGAGAGGGAAGGGATAGTTAGCCAACTCCCACCACCACAGACAAATGCAGCCAGGCTGAGATTTTTCACCTTGGATAAAATTAAGGAGTTAAGATTCAGAGGTGACTGTCCTGGGATCAAGCAATTTGAAGTCAGTGCTCTCAGATCTTGAGAGAGGGTGTTGAGAAGGATTCCTAGGTTTCTGGTTCTGCTTCTAAACAGATAATGGTGCTTCTCACTAGAACACTAGAAAAGTATTAGGTTGTGTGGAGTGGAGTTTGGGCAGGCAAGAGAACTAGAATGATAGCAAATATCAGAGGAAAGCTTGATGTTGGAGGTATAAAGTAGAACTCATCAGTGTGGGGATTACAACAGAGATCATGACCATAGAAACAAGTCTAGAAAGAGGGGTCCATAAGACAGGCTCCTGTGAAACTTCACTTACTAATGTTGCAGAAGAGGATGAACCTGCAGAGGAGACAGAGATGCAACAGTCCAGAGGGGAAGTAGAAAATCATGAAGATCTAGTATCACCGAAACAAACACAGAAAGTGCCTCACACAGGAAGCAGACAACTTTGTCAAAGCCTACTGAAAGGTCAAGCAAGATGGAACCCGAAAACTGTCCGCAGGATATTGAATCACTGAGGAAGTAAACCAAGACCTTGCAGGTCTCAGACCCTAAGAACAACTCCGTTCATATCTTGTTGCCATCTTAAAAGCAAGTTCCCTCGGGAAACTGAAGGCTCTGGAGAATTATCCAGCTCTCATCAGCCCCTTGGCCACATCTGTCCTCAAAGAAAAGGCGACAGTTGAATAATCATTCCCTTCTCCTCCTCCACCCACAACCCCTGAGATGCCTTTTAAACAGCCAAAAACTCCTTTAAAAAGTAGTCTGGGAATGTTTCAGCTGACATTCAAAAGCACATTGTAATTCAAATGGAAGTGCAGAAATGCAATCCCTTGGACAGTCTAGGAAAATGATAATAGAGATAAGACACCTTTTAAAAGTGGCGACATGTATTTATCTGTGGGGACATTTCTATACCATGGACTCTCCCAATCTAAACTCAGGAGCAGTGCAAACTTCACATAGAGAATGTCCTTCCACAGGGGTCACCTAGGCAGTACACTTGGAAAAGACATGTTAATTGCATAGCATTCTTTCACTTCTAGCCTCTCTTTATCTCGCCATTTCTCTTTGTGGATTTTGGTGTGCCTTTGTCTATCTCTCTTTGTTTTTCTGTCTCCTCCTCCCCTCCCCTCTTTTCTCTCTCTCTCTCTCTCTGCCTTTCTTTTCCTCTCTTTCTTGCTCTAGCTCTCTGTCCCTCCCTCTCTCTCACACACACACACAGAATGAACAATTCTTTCACATACACACATCTGTCACCTTCCATAGTCAGTTTCTCTATAAAAAAGAAGCAATTAAAAATTCAAAAAACTTATTATATTTCTAATTCCTGCATCTATCACTATCCTCCCTAAGTAGAGAATGACAGGGGATGATAAAAGTTACAGATTCCTTTTGATATCTCCCCAGTCCAGTTCCACAGCTCTTTCCCTTCACTGGCTCCAAGCCTGTAGCTAAACTCACTGAGGCCCCTCCCAATCCCAGGACAATCTACCTCTGCCCTTGATCCTGGGTCACAACGATGACAAGGGATGAGAGCAAATTAGCAAGCCCCACCCCTGCCCACACACATGTGTGCCTTCACGCACATACATACACACAAACATACACACCTGGGAACACAGTAATCGAAGTGGATGTGGCAGCCTTGGGTGGAGGGCATGGGTTGGATCAAGATAATTAGGCCCTCAACTCAGAGCTGGATGGGTCCATCCATTGCTCTATTTTCTTATTCCATCTATACAATGACTTTGCATTTTGCATATGGAAAAACTGATCTTAAAGAATGAATCACTTTGCTCAAGATCACACATCTGGGAAGAGGTAGAGCTGGGATTTGAATTGAGATCCATCTGATTGTAAAACCTGTGCTTTATCTCCAAATGAGAAAGTCTTTATCCAAGGTAGCCACAGGAAGGGTGACTTTATACAGTGAACCCTCATCATGATATAAAGCTCATGTATCATGATCACAGCTAGGGAGAATGCGTGAATATCAAGTCAAAGGGTGAAATGGAGCCCCAGTGGGAAGAAGGTAGTTTTTTCAAAATACAGGGATATCAAGAGCACAGAAGCATGTAATGAAAGTATTATGCTAGAGGAAGAGACTCAGAAGTTCACACACTGCTTGGGGGAATGGCACGGGAGCAGAGGTGATGGCTAAAGAAACCTGACAGGCTAAACAGCTTCCATGCTAATCATGTCTGGAACCTAGAGCTTCCAGGGATGACTTTGGCTGCTCTAGTTGTTTCCTAAGGCCCAGTTCTTCCTGCATTAGATTCTACCTTATTGACCTGTTCGGTGTTCCAGTCCCCTACGGACTACTGGAAAGCTCAGAATTCCCACCTGGTGATATAAAACTCTGCCTTCCTGCCTGGAGATCTTACCAGTGGTTATTGGCATGCCCAGTGCCCCCTCTGGAATCAACATCAAAAACTAGGTCTGTTATTCTAGCTTTTATTTTTGCCCTATTACAGGGAAGAAAATACAGAGGATCTAGACCACTATACTTCCTTTCTGTGTCTAGAATAGACATTACCAACTGATCATCTCAATGATCCCAATAACTTACACACAGTGTTCTAGACAAGCCATTCCCTAGTTGATCAGAATTGGCACATGAAAGCTAGAGAGCATAATATGATAGTGACTGGGTATTCCAACCAGCCTGGAAATGTTGGCCTCCTCCCTCTTCCCAGCTGTCTACCAGTGGATTTTTAAAAGTCTGTAACAAAAATGATGAAATATTGGGATACTAAGGCATGCTGGTAATGAACAACGTAGGAACAGAGCCTATATCTTCTTTATTTGGTGCCACAACATCTGACGCACACACAAAAAAAAATACAGAGAAAAAGCAGTTGGGAAATGTTCAGACAATCAATGAATAACTATGACTTTATTTTCCCACACAATGTACCTTTAGAAACACTTAGGGGAATGAGAGTAAAGTAAACTCCTCATGGGAAATATTTTAATCAGGCACATTCACCCCATCTCCCTTGGCTTTCCAGTAATTTCCAGTGGTTTCCCCAGATCATAAAAGTGGCCAGGGTCCCATCATTATGAAACCTGGGAAGGCTAGGGCATTTGTTTCTAATATCCAGGGACACCAGAGCTAGGGTGAAGGAAGAACTGGGCTGAAGTTTGGATTCAAATACCATCTTCTTGGCCTTTTGCCTCTGTAAGTTAAGGTTTCCCTCCTGTAATGGGGGAAGTGAGTACCCTTGCCTCCTTTGCTTTCTGGGGTAGATGGGAAGATCACAGGAAGGCCATCTGGAAACTGTAGAGGGCTGTACAAATGCTCATGGTTGTTATCCATGCCCTATTTGGTCTATTTTCCCCAACCTACTCTACCGAGTTTGACCCTCCACTCCTCCCTTCACTAAGAGTTAAAATGACACTTACAGGATTGTCTTTATCTAGTGACATCTGTAATTCACAGATAAAAATGAGGGTAGAGGCTGGGCGCTGTGGCTTACGCCTGTAATCTCAGCACTTTGGGAGGCTGAGATGGGCGGATCATGAGGTCAGGAGATTGAGACTATCCTGGCTAACACAGTGAAACCCCATCTCTACTAAAAATAGAAAAAATTAGCCGGGCATGGTGGCGGGCGCCTGTAGTCCCAGCTACTCCGGGGACTGAGGCAGGAGAATGGCGTGAACCCGGAAAGCAGAGCTTTCAGTGAGCAGAGATCGTGCCACTGAGCTCCAGCCTGGGTGACAGACTGAGACTCCGTCTCAAAAAAAAAAAATGAGGGTTGACCTCACACATTAGCAAGGTATGGAGCTGGGACTAGAATCCTCAGCCAATGCCCACAATTTTTACTTTATTTCAAGCTACTGTTTTCTATGTACCTACTATGTACCAGACATTTTACCTACATCATCTCATTTTATTCTCCCAAAAGCCATGCAAGAGAATTACTATCCCTCATTTAACACATGAGGAAACTGAGACTTAGAAGTTCCTTTACCTGAGGTTACCTGCCAGGTGTGTAGAAAGAGGAGTAAAGACATGAAACACCCTCCATCCCACTTCAGCACTGCACTATCTCTCCTCCTCTCACAAGTTCTGCCCACCGAGTTATCAGCCTCCAAGCCCAGATTCATCCTGGCCTGGTTTCCAACGTTTAGCAGATGGCAGTGACACATAACTCATGGCCGGGGAGAAAAGGGGATACTAGCTATCTTTAAGTCCAAAGGCTTCTTTCAACTCTACAGATGCATATCCCCAGCTTCTCATCTCCCATTCCCTAGCATCACTCCCAAATATAAAAAATAAAACCGGAGTATTTGATCTACCATCTAGGTGGTCACAGCAGGTGAAGATGGAGGGGAAGAAACACACACAGAATGGTTAAGCTGACCTCAATGCATCCTCTGTCCTTTTCTTGGGAGCAAGTATGGACGATGGAAGCAAGAAAAGTGCCTTTGCAGACTAGAAGCCCAGGAAGGAAAACACCAAGTTTACCCCACAAGTTTGCGGCAAAGCCAGGTCTTGAGGGGGACCCCTCCAGCTGTTGTTTCAGCACTCTTTCTTCCCCTCTCCCATCTTACTTGTAACAGATTCCATGATCCACCATACAAGGAATGGGATTTTCTGGAATGAGAAAGTCAAGTCTAAAGTCTGAAGACAGCTAAGGATGGAGAAGGGGTGGGATTTAGAATCAGAGTAGTGTCCCAAGCCCCAAACGTGGTATGAAGCAAATTAGTTATGTAGCCACAGTGAGTGAAGGTTTTTATAAACATAACCTAATAGTATTACTTCAAAGTCCTGAAGCTTATTGCCCTGCTTAATGATGTGTCACATTATTTGTAGGGTAGCACAATGAGACTTCTATTGATTTAATGCACTTCCTTAAAGACTGTCATTGACACAGCCATAAAACGGAGCTATTCCCAGACAACTCAATTATATCCACTGTGCCCATAAACCACCCCGTGCCCCACACAGTTGCACACAGGAAGCAGAAAGGGCTGAGAGCACGACTGGGGATGCAAAGCCCCCAGGGACAAAAGGGAAGGGATCTAGAGATTGGGAAGCAGGTGGACTAGGGTTTTATCCAGTTGGGAATGTGCAGCTGCATAAAAAGCACTAGACAGGAGGTGTAGAGCACCCCACTTGGTCTTGGCCCTGCCAAGCAAAGCTGCGTGAAAGCTCCCTTCTTCTCCCCTATAGACTTAGTTTCCTCGACTGCAAAACTGGAGTGCTATGCTCAATGAGATCCTTCAGATCCCTCCTGGCTCCCACATTTTGTGGTTTTTTGTTATGATTGCTTTTGTTCTTGGAGATAGGGTGGCTGAGCTGTATGAAAAGATGCAAGCATGTTTTTAACATTGCTCTTCACCCTTTCCATCAATTGAGAGACTTTCTTTTACAAATAGTTGATAATAATAGTATTAACTATATCAAGAAGCATTTCAGTATAGTTGAAAGAGGGAAAGAACATGGGCTTTTGCAGCCAGCCAGCCTTGGGTTCCAATCCTGACCCTGCTACTTATTAGCTGTGTGTCTATGAGTACTTGATGTGGCATATCTGAGACTCATTTTCTCATGTGTAAAATGGGAGTATGAATACACTGACCTATTAAAACACATATATACACATGTGCGATATTCTAACTTCCTCAAAATGCTATTACATAAACCACTTATCTTTAATGTGAGAAGCAGACAAGAATAGCTACTTACGTACCCATTTCACAGGAAGAGAAAATTGAGGTGGAAAAGGAATAACCTTCACAAGGTGAGTGGGCAGAGACTGGTCTCCAGCACCTGGTCTGAGGAATTCCAATTCTGATAATAGCTGAGAGTCAGAGGAAAATGAAATCTGCTGGCCCTTCCTGAGGATAAAAGCCTCACCACAGGACAGAATGGAAACCGTCTGCTTGGTTATGAGGTGATTGTTTTTCCAAAGGAATTGAGTTCTTCTTGGGAGAGAAGAACCCAAGATCTTCTTGGGTTCTCCCAAGAAGCCTGGAGAGAAGAAAGTGTCAAGAAGACACCACTTGCTGACCCCCAACCTGATCTCTGGCAGTTGTTTCAAAGAGAGGATGTGGGAAGCAAAGTACCTGCAAGAGAAGGCAAGGGTTCTGGAGTCTAGAACACTAACTTGAGGCCTCAGAAAATGCCTGACTTGAGAGAATCCTGCAAAATCATTATACGATCCCTCACTCTGCCCATGGTGAAACTGAAGCTCAGAGAGAGGCAGGGACTTGCCCATGGTCACACAGCTTAGACGTGGCAGAGCCAGGATTTAGATCCAAGGCAGCTCAGTTGTCTCCCCAGACCCCTTGCCTCTATAGCCTGCCTGGCCACCTCCTACAGTAGGCACTCCGGGCTTACCTTTCTGATACTGGAGCCACAGCTGCTGCTGGACCTTCTTGCTGGGAAAGTGGATGATGCAGGTGAGCTCTGAGCCATAGAGGGCCTCTGCGATGTAGTGGGAGCCATAGTGCTGGATGAAGGACAGCAGCTCCTCCCGACTGCTCTCCTTGGTCAGGATCTTGAGAACATTAGTGAAGCCTGGACAAGAGAGGAGCATGTGGAGGTGGTCAGATGTGAGAGGCTGGCGGCTAGCAAATTATACGGTGGCAGGAGTTCTTCCCAACCTGTATTTTGTGCCTTACCCCTCAGCACAGTGGCAGCTTGGTGGCTGCACTAGTCCAAACATATACATAATTCCCTCACTTAAATAGCAATGAATGCCCTCTCTGAGGGGTACATCAGACACGGTGACCAAGAGGGAATCTGCAGGAGAAGAAGGCCTAAACTCAGCAACGTAGACCATGGGAACTTAAAAAAGATAAATCAAGAAGTCAAAGCTGATATCCACTCACTGAGCAACCAATGTGTACTGGGAAAACTGTTAGATGTTTCACCCTCTTTATGTAACTTAACCTTAGCCACAATCATATATAATTTGACAACAACAACACCCATTGTATAATGAGCAAGTCAAAGCTGAGAGACTAAAATTGAGTTATCTTGAACTTCCAGGTAGAGAAAGAAGCTGGACTCAAACCCACTTATGTTCTCACTGCACACTGCATGCATTTTCCACCACACCAAACAAACCAGGGCTTGAACTGCCCATGGCTGGAATCCTAAGGCTGCATTTGCCCAGAGTCAGCATGTATTCTGAGTCCATGAATCTGATTCCTGGTTTAGCTTCCTGTAGCATTGCTTTTCTTTATATCTCTGCTGTTCCCTCTCTTTAACAGTGGTATGTTCTCTCTCCCTAGATTTCCACAGAGCCTTCTTGCTGCTCTATTTCTTAGTCCTAGGCTAAGTCCTCAGCACTTAACATGGGGCCTGCACAGCAGTCACTCAGTAAAAACTGCTCCCTCTTTCTCTCCTTCCTCAAACAGGCACATGAGCAAGCTATTCTTCCAGGGACATTCCTGAGCTCCTCCCTGCTACTGGACAAAGCCTAGTGACCTTCTTTAGAAATTCAAGGTTCCAAGCTCATCTCTAATGAGCCACCCACACTAAGTTTTAGCTCCAGCCAAATTAGTTTTATTATTTATCCTGAATGTGACCTGAAATTTCTATCATTCTATCTTTCCTTGCATTCTCACTACACTCAACACACACACACACACACACACACACACACACACACACACACCTGAAATGGCCTCCCTATGTCCTCCCTAAGTCACACCTATGCTTCAAGGCCCCTGGAAGTCACCTCTTCTCCAAGAAGCCTTTCACATCATTATGGACAGGAGTGCCTACTGTCTGCACTTTCAACATGCACCACCTTAAAGTCGGAAGCTCTACCTTATTTGTCTCTATATCCGCACATGCATCCTCCCTGCACACCCACCCCAACTGGGTACATGGCCCAGTTCCTGGGACACAGCAAACACACCAACCACAATTATTACAAGAACAGCCAACACTGTGCCACATCAAAGTAAAATGTAAAAGAACAAGCTTCTCTCCAGCATTAAAAGTGAGCTCCAATTTGCCAACATTTGATTGACAAAAGGGTTTTCCGGGAGCATCATTATTGATTAATTAAAGCAGATGCACCTTTGTACTTCTAACAGGAACATCATAGTCTTATTCACAAATGCAGTGTGGGGTGTGGGGGGCAGAAAACAAAAATAGGGGGCTCAAAGAATGGGTGTTTGATGAGAACAACCCCTCTCCATCAACCTGTTAAGTAATACAACTGGGTAATTAATACAGTAGTGTTAATAACGAGATGGTTTCTGTTAAGTAATAAAAAACAATACCACAGAGATGCCCTGAGGGTCTTATCCAGGCAGACAAAACTGCAATCAAATCCTTGATTCATTCATTCCCTGCTCTGCCACTTACTAGCTGTGTGACCTTGGGCAAGTTATTTAACCTCCCTAACCCTCAGTATACTTATCTGAAGAAAAATGGGATAAATAATGTCTTCCTCACAGTACTGTTCTGTCATAAGAAATGAACTATTATAAAATGCTTAACAGATGTCAGCAATAATTACTATTTCTACTTCCCAGAGGGTGAAATCCTCCAATTCCCAGGCTGTAAGAGCTTCATTTTGCTGATGAACAAAGAAAAGAGAACAAAAGACCTCATAGATAATTAGAGGACACTCAGACAATAAACCAGTGAAAGTGTTATTAGTAAGAGTTAGGGTAGAATATCCTAGGTCAGGCCTCATCTTTCCAGATTCCTTCATTCATTCCTTATTTTTCAGTCTTCATTTATTTTTAAAAATTCCTCCATCATACATGAGCACCAACAACGTGCTAATCTTTGTTAGTTTTGGAGATACTGGAATAAATAAGACCCAAGCCCCGCCCACAGTTCTCAGGTCATAGACAAGATTCCAATATAAATCAAGGACTTGTTAATGTCTTGATATAGATATTTAAGCACCGAGAATTCCGTGAGTTGTTTTGAGGGGAATGGAGAACGGGGGAGGCATCACAGAGTAATATAGTATATGTTCCCAAGACAAAGAGGTCCAGGCAGAGGGAACGGTATGGGCAAAGTCACTGTGGCATGAGAGAACATGCACCATTTTGGGCACTATAAATTGTTGCCATCTGTTGGAGCTTAAAGTTCATGTGGATATAATGTGGGTGGTGCATGTAAAGGGATGGGGGTGTGGGGGTTATATAAGATTTTTGTATCGGAGATGGACAGGAAAATAAATTAGCCAGGAGAGAAAGAGAAATTGGTGTCTGAGGAGAATTTATAATTCACAAGCTTGAAATACTTCAAAAACATAAATATGACTTAGATACTGTTTATCCCTACTCTCCTATTCATCCCTCCACACCCTACTCAGATACCTTTTCCTCCAGGAAGCCTCTCTAGCTCCCCCAGAATGATTAGCTCCATCTTCTGTGCCACCGCTTCCCCATTATTGCATCGACCCTACTGTCTGTCAGACTCCTGTCCACCCACCCTCCCTAGGACTCCTTGATGGCAGAGAGGATGCATCCTCATTTCCTCAGCATCCCCAGTGCTCTCATATGCCCTGGCACATGCTAGGTCCTTGGCAACAAGTGCTAAATTATTCCAAGTCCCCTGGCTGCCCAGGCAGTGGTCCTCACCTGCTGCGAGGGTGATGGTGCTGAGCTTCACACGGTAGAGGTTGCTCCGGACCCGCCACTGCTGCACCATGGGGTAACCCATGGCCTCATCATACCTGATATCTCCTGGGAGAGAAAATAAGATGGTCACGTGAGCCCAGAATTAAGACGCTTCACACCACATTGTTCACCCTGCAGCTCTTGGCTCTGGGAAACAGACACCTCTTTGAAGTACAACTTTCACTGGGATTGACAATTTTATGAACCCCACCCTCCAGGCCTCTTTCTGGTCTCTAATCTCAGCCCTACCCCTCATTTTTCTCTCTGCTCTATAGCTTGCAAGTCCCCTTTACCCTACAAGCAAGAGCAACCTCAGGTCAGATCTATGTCTTACCTAACCCCATTTGCAATTTGCCACCAGGCACTAGACATCCCAGTGCTTCAGTTTCCACATCTGACACTGTAGCTCTCTCTAATACTCTTATTTCGTAGGCATGTTGTGAGGCTCAAGTAAGGTACCAGAAGTGGGAGCCCTCTGGTAACCTAGAAATGTTGTGCATGTAGACCACATGTAAGTAAACTACAGCCTATTTGTTATGTATTTTCTGTAGCTGCTTTCACACTATGACAGCAGAGTTGAGCAGTTGCAATACAAACCACCTGCAAAGGCTAATGCATTTATTAACTTTCCCTTCATGTTTGCTGACCCCTATGTAGACTATCATTTCTTAACATGGAAACATGGATGTTCATAAGTATTATGTAAAATATACGTATACAGAAATAAACTCTTTCTATTTCAAGTAAGACTGAGAAGCACAGGCAAAACAAAGTTTAACTGTATAATTTCTCAGCATCTTGATTATATTAATATGCATGAAAGTAGTGTGCAAACTTCTTTGACCATAAAACCCCTTTTGTATGAAAGGTCCTTTGGAATTCATGTTTTATAGAATAAATTTCAGGAAACACTGGTGTAAACAAGAAATAAAAACAGAAAAGACACAACGAAGTGTTAGCAAATGATTAACTTTGGGCGGTGGTAAATGAAAAATTCTTGTTTTCTGACTTATATTCACATCTATTTTCTAAATTTTCTACCCTAAGCTTTGCAAACTCTCTTTTTTATAAGCTGAACAAAAATACATTAAAAAGATGCTAGTCACATCAGCAGTTATTATTACTGTTTTTATGTATCCACACTTTCTTGTGCCTCTGCAAATGGCAGGCACATTTTCTATCCTTTTCTCTTGTCCCCTGGTGAGTAGGCACTTAAAGAGATATTTGATACCAAGATTAAAATGAGAATCTCATTGGAACAAATGATTTCTTCCTGGACATTACTGCAGTATTAAAGTTGTCCATTACTGTCAACTTTTTTTTTTTCCTCCTTATGCTCCTTAGCCTTTTCAGGAATAAAATAGTTTTTTAGAGGCTTTCATTTTAAAGTAAAATATTCATGATCCCCAAAGATATGTCCACTGGAGTGAGGTTGTTTGTTATAAATACATCCTCTTTGTTTATCTGCTCTGCCTCTCCTGGCCTTCCTTTGCAGAGGCTAGGGAGAAAAGGAGATTGTGTGGAGGGAGGAAGGGAGGGCTATGTTTTTGACTAAGGGCAGAGAAAATGTCTGCACAAGAAGATTCAGACACCAGGGACAAGGCAGTCTCTGCTCCTTCCATTACTGCTCATTCATGTTCAAAGCAGACTTGCTGGGGGCATTGGCAGCCAAGGCCTATCTCCAACAGAAGAGGCAGAATGATGCAGGCTGTTGAGAGGCAGCTCTTTCACTTGGTGGCATGATGTCCAAACATAAAAACAAAACAAATTTAAAAACTCCTTCTGATTATCAAGTAATTTGTAAAACCATCTTCTCACTCCATCCCTCACTTCCTTCCATCTCTGCTCATTCCTGGATTCATGCCTGAAATAAAAGCTTCTCCAATGGAATGGATGTCAGCTTTTTGAGGTCAAGGTCACGGTCTATATTCCTCCCCTTCTACAGAGCCTAGAAGAGAGCCTGGCTTATAGTAGCCTCTCAATAAATGCCTATCCACTGGCGGCCTAACTCTCACTCTGTTCCTAACCATAAACTCATCCCTGGGTTACTCTATCGCTGACTCTCATCTTGCCCTCCCCATCTCAGCTCCCCACCTGGGGATTATGGTTGGAATGAAGCTATGTGATGGAGGGAGGAATTTTTCCTGGTAATAATAATAATAATAATAATAATAATAATAATAATAATAATAATAAATCTTTTGAAATGCAACAGTTCCCTTTATTAGGAAATCTCCAAGGATCCTTGAGTCAAAACAAAGAATCATAACAATTTGAACCACTAATGGATACCCATAGTGTGCCAAGCATTTTATATACATGATCTTTATTTCTCATTAGAATCCTAAAAAAAAATTATCATACCCTATTTTTTTGTTATTGTGTTTTGTTTTGTTTTGTTTTGTTTTTGAGACAGAGTTTCACTCCTGTTGCCCATGCTGGAGTGCAGTGGCAAGATCTCGGCTCACTGCAACCTCCACCTCCTGGGTTCAAGTGATTCTCCTGCCTCGGCCTCTTGAGTAGTTGGAATTACAGGCACCCACCACCACCCCTGGCTAATTTTTTGTATCTTTAGTAGAGACGGGGTTTCATCATGTTGGCTAGGCTGGTCTCAAACTCCTGACCTCAGGTGATCAACCTGCCTCGGACTCCCAAAGTGTGGGGATTACAGGCATGAGCCACTGCGCCCGGCCCATACCCTATATTTTAGAGGAAGAAACTGAGGCTCAGAGAGCAAAACTGTCCAAGGACATACCAGGATCAATGACAGGTTCAGGGGCCTTTCCATTAAAGCACAGCACCTCCTCACAGACCGTGGACATGTCTGCTTTAGGAGGTAGTAAACTCCCCATCACTGGGGGTATCCAAAGAGGGATAACCACTCAGGAAGGATATTATAGACTTGATTCCTCATTAGGAGGGAAGATTAGACTAGACACCTTTTGCAGTCCATGTTAGCTCCGAAATTTTATGATCTTAAAAAAAATGAAAATTAAGGAAGGCATAGAAATTTTTGTAACATTTTACAAGGTGTCTTTTACATCCATCATTTCATTTGATCTACATCTGGGTCCCTCTTTGAAATAGCACAGGTCAGGGGTGATGTAAGATAGTGGATATGCCATCAGCTTTGGAGTCAAGACCGACTTTGTTTAAATCTTGACATGACTATAGACTAGCCACGTGGCCTTGGATTAGTTCATGTCCTTGCTAACAAGTTTAAAGGGGACAATAATGGCCTTGCAGGGTTACATGGTTTAACACACAAAAAGTGCCTGGCCCCCAGGACCCCTTAAGCACATGTGGGTTCTCTCCTCCATCTATGCTCTTTTACAGGAAAGGCTCACGGGAGTTAGATGACTCTTTTGAGGTTTCCCAGAGCTTGCAAGTGATGGGGAAGTCAGACAGAGATTTCAACCTAGGTCTGTGAGATTGTGGGGTCTTCCCTGGGGAACAATTCCCCTCTCAGTGAAAGAGCTCTATTATCCTTCCCCATGACGATTCCCCCGTGACTATTCTCCCTGGGCAGTGGATAAGGCACACAACCACAGTATCACAAAGGCAGAGTCGAGAACCTCACATCTTAGGAAATTTCTTAAGAAAAGGGTAGGAGAGGAACTGGGAGCAAAAAAAGAGGAAAGAGCATCCTGGGGTTGGACAGAAAATATGGAGTCTCAGGAAAGCCTGCAAAAGGCAACTTCCCAGTGGAGAGAGAAAGTGGTTGCAGGGGTGGGGGAGCGGCAAAGTGGAGTAGAAAGGGCAAAAGACTTGGTGCTACAGCACCCAGGTTTTAGTCCTGGCAGATATGCTGTGTAACTTTGGACTGGTCCCTTCTACCTCTCTAAGTATAGCTTCCTAATCTATCAAATGGTAAAAATAATACCCACCCCACAGATGGCACAGTGCCCACGTACAAAAACGAGCTGTGTAACTCGAGTGCTTTCAAGTAGGAGGGGCTCCTGATTGGAGAGTCCACTTCTTTTACTTTGGAATGACTTAAAACGAACCAAGAAAACAAAATACTAACAGTGGAAAAATACCAGAAAATTGTCAATGAGAATGAAAAGTGTTTTGAGACTCATTCACAGAGGCAAAACTCTCACTGAGAAAAATCGTTCCTGTTCTCACAGAGGAACCTCCTCTCAAAGATGACTGCAGTCCCAAGTCTGAGGTCTCAGGGAAGTCCCTGGTTCTGCTCAGCCAATAGCAGGAGCCCAAGAAAGGGTAAGTTCCTTCCCATACCCTTCCTCATGAAGGAGGAGGCTTGACAGAGCCCATCTTGGATCTGCTGAAGACTGATATGCACTAGGTGTGGAGACTCGGTGTGTGGTCAGGGAACCTGGGAAGGGTCTGGCACATGTGTCTTACCAGTGAGCAGTTGGAGGTCTGGAAGGGGCTCGGAGAGGACCCCCCGGCACTGCTCCTCCACCGGCAGCGGGATCACCAACAGCCCATCGGCCAGCTGGGGAAAGTCCTTGATGAAGTTGTTCTCCCTGTGGAGAGGAGCAGAGAGACTGCCAAATCGAGGAAGTGGAGACTGCTGAGGACTACAGGGCAAGGAGGCAGGATGCTGTAGTCAGAATAAAGACTCATGGTGGGGTGACTTTGCTGTAATGCCTCTGGTTTCCTGAATCCCAGCTCTGAGAACATGGTGCTAACTACAGGTTCCTGAATCAGGCAGGCTGGGGTTCAAATTTAGCCCCACTGCTTACTTGGCTGTATGATCTCAAGCATGCTACTGTTCCTCTCAGAACCTCAGTTTCCTTGTCTATAAAGTGAGACTCAGATCTAAGGGCTGTTGTAAGCACTTAATGGGAAAAACCTACCAATTATTTAAGATACTTTCTGATGCTCTATAAACTGTATGTGGCCGCTAAATGTCCCCTGGCATAAGCAGTGGCAATGTTGAACCAGGATGTGAGAACTGAGAATAGTGCGTAGTGTTTGCAGAACAAGGGGCAAGACTAGGCTGAAAAAAAGAAAAACAAACAAACAAACCTTGGAAAAAATAGATGTTTGTTAAATGGAAGGGCCCTAAGAGACTTTTTTTTTTGGCTCAAACTTTTCCTTTTACAGATGGGGAAACTGAGGCCTGGAGAAAGGGAATGACTTGCTGAATCACAACCTGATAGGTTAGACTCAAACCCATGTCTTCTGACTCCAGGTTAGTGCTCTTTCCCTTGCTCTAACTTCTTTAGGTGCCTCTAACCCTTTCCTGCAGGCCAGTCCCAGGGAACAGAAGACAGACCTCTGAATGACCCCAGAAAACTGAACTGTGAACAAAGTTCTGAGAGGATGGTAGTAACAGTGCAGCAGAGGGAGGCAGGTTTCATTCTTCTAGACAATAGACCTGCCTAAAAATTAACAGCCTGCCAAGAGAGGTGGTGAGCTTCCTGTTACTGAGGGTGTGCAAGCAGAAAACTTGGCAGCCAGTTGGCACGGATGGTATCGAGGTCTTTTCCAAATTAAATATGACTTATGAGGTCCCTTTATATTCAGAAATTCCCAGCATTAAAGACATGAATTATAGTCTGGAGAGGAGGAGGAGAGAAGAGAAGGGGGAGGAGAAGAACAAAAGGAGGAAGATGTTTATTACTTCATTTTGACACATGGAATGGTCAACCTTGAAATGAAAATCAGAAGCACGAAAACAAAAATATGTGATGCCAAAGCAATGCCTTTGAAGCCTGTATCTCAGACAGTTCAAAAGCAGCTGTAAAAGTGTTGAGTGGCTTGGGTCACCTTCCTGTCTGCTCAACATCTCTGCACCCCACTCCAGGCACCTTTGAAGCTCATCATCAATTCATCCATTTAATGAACACTTTCTTCATTTCTGAGTCCAGAGGATGTGACATTATCACCATCTTCTATACCACCAGCATCACCATCATTATCATCATTGTCTTTGTCATCTATATTATTCATTGAATCTTTATAATTTGCTAGGATCTAGCTAAATACTTTACATACATTTTATCACTTAATCTTCACAGCAATCCCAAAAGATAGATATTATTATCTTTAAGTTGCAGACAAGTAGCATGAGATTTGGTGTTAACAGGTGGTGGAGCTGGGATACGAACCCAGGTCTGGTTGGGCCTAAGACTGTCTGCCCAGGCATGCACGTGCATGATGGTGAGTTTTAAGGCCCACACTTGCCATTTAAACATGCTGCTGTGTGTGGGTGTGCCATGGCTGTCTGTGGAGTCATCCTTGTTTATGTCTGTGTGTGCCTGTGATAATGGGTTCTACCTAGATGGTTGGTCTTTGTCTACAAATCTGGGAGTGTGGAACAGCAATATGAATTTAAAAAGACAGGCTTCTGGTAGATGGAAGTACCACCACATAGCATATAACCCTAGCCAGGACTAAATGTCCTCATGCTTCCCTTGTGAGGTGGCCTCTGGTGATAGATTTTTCCCTGAAAGATGTAGCAGGATGGAGGGGTAGTCCATGCCCTAGTCATTCAACCAGCATGCACTGAGCACATACTTGGGTGGAATCCTGTGCTGGGTGGTGCTAAGAACACAGAGACAGATTGATGTTTCCCCTTGTCCTCTAGATCTTCTCAGCCTAGTGGGGAAAACACAAAAAATGGCCATGCAGAATAATCAGTGGGGGCTGCTATCAGGAATTCTGCATGTGCTGGGTGCTGCTGCACAAGGTCTCTTCCCTACAAGATCCCCAGCACTTGTTTTCACTCTGGGCAGGAGAGGCTAAGGGTGAGGAGGTAGCTCAGCCTTGGAAGCTGAGAAGAGCCTATGAGGACTGGGCTCCAGTTCTGCCCACACTGCATCCTAGCTGTGTAACCTGGAGCAAACCAACCAAATCTCAAGGTTCTGTTCTGTAAAATGGGGATCATAACAGCTATTCAGCTGGCCTTAGTGGAATGGCTACAATAACAATAGCCTTTTATTGAGCACCTACTATGCACCAGACACAATTGGCAGTACTTATTCTTCACCCAACTCTGTGAAGTAGGTGTCATTTACATTCCCCATTCAGACATTGAAAAGCTGAAGCACAAAGAAGTTATGTAACTACCTAAAGCCACAAGGCTGGGAAGTGGGAGATCCCAGGTGGTTTGGCCCCAGATCAAAATTGAGTAATATATTGCTTTCAACCATGAGTTAAGTTTTAAAGTTGATTCAATCTGATATTTAAATTTTCCAGAATTCTATGAGGTTTAAAAGCAAACTAAATGCTTAAGTATATTTTATACTTTATTATGTACTAAAAAATGACCAGATTGTGGTGTTATTTCTCAGCTTGCCTTTCCCTAAGCATTCACTCAGAAAGTTGAATATAGAAGGGTTAATATTTATTGTATGCCTGGCATAGAGTCTTTGTTTGTCTAACAGGTCATGGTAGATGTCTTCAAAAGACATCCTAGCACTCCTCATCACTGCTTGGGTAGAGGGTGCTAAAGGACCTGCCTGTGACACACACAGACTGTCAGTGTTGGAAGGGCCATAGTGCCTGGGCGTGTGCTGAGCCCAGACAGGATGCAGCCAAGAGGAGGACCTTGCTGCTCCTACAAGAGAGGAGAGAGTTAGCTATTCACCACATGCCCCAGGCTCTGTTCTCTATGTGACCTCTTCAAGCCTCACGCAAATGCCACAAAATAGGCATATATTCCCAGTTTAACCGACAAGGAAATGGATTTTCCATGGACTTACATAATGGATGCATTTGGGAAATGAAATCTGAAGGCAAATCTATCATTTTTCACTTTACCACCCAAGAGTGTCCATTTCAAATCTCTAGAAATGTTCTTACAATTGTAGAGAAGGGAAGGTAATGCCACCTTCTCTATCCGCATGTCCCTCTCTTCCAATCCTTCTGCCTTCTTATCAAGTCACTCTTAGCTCTGCAAGGAAATCTGACCCCAACGGGACAATGCAAGGAAGTAGAGTGTGCAAACTCAGGAGGCAGGGGCCTGGCTCAGGACACCCCTTCTCGGAGGAAGGTTTTCCTTCCTGAGCTTCCAGAAAGTAGAGGGGGGACTTGGAGAAATGCAGAAAGACAGAGAAGATGGAAGGGTGACAGTTAGCCAGCCAATATGGAAGACTGGGAAGAAGGGTGGCAGGTAGGCGGAGATGAAGCCCGAATGAACAGCCCAGCGACGGCATGGTCTCTCGGGTACTGGGTCCCTTTGCGACCGCCTGGGCGATGGCCACAAGTCCTGCAAGGCCTCTGCCAGCAGAGGGCGCCCGGGGCCTTTGCATCGATCAGCTGTTTCGGGAGGCAAAACATGGATGAGAGAGTAGCTGCTGGGAAAGTTCCGCTGGGCTGAGAACCTCAGATGGAAGCCTAGACAACAGCTGCAGAACCCACCCACCTGGGAGAGGCGACCAGGGAGCTGGCAGGGTGCTGGCTTAAACTCGGGTGCTCAGGAATAATTCAGATTCTTAGCGCTCGTGTGTGTGTGTGTGAATGTGTGTGTGTGTGTGTGTGTGTGTGTGTAGTAAAAACTACCACACAACTAATTCGTATAATAGGAAGACAGAAATAATGGACAATATTTATTTATTGATTATATCTGTTGCTCATCAGTTATGCTGTAGCTCATGTGCCAACGTGTGTGTGTGTGTGTGTGTGTGTGTGTGTGTGTGTGTAGTAAAAGCTGCTAGGTAACTAACCCTAGCAATAATGATAATATTTACAGAGATTTATTGATTGCATTTGTTGACCATCTCCTATACTCAAGGTAGTGTGTCAAGATATAGTAGCGTACAGGAATGGAAAACCAAAGGTTGTATGTTCTCACTTATAACTGTGAACTAAGCTATAAGGATACAAAGGCATAAGAGTGATATAATGAGTTTTGAGGACTTGGCGGGGGAAGGTTGGAAGAGGAGTGATAAAAGACTACATATTGGCCGGGCGCGGTGGCTCACGCCTGTAATCCCAGCACTTTGGGAGGCCGAGGCGGGCGGATCACGAGGTCAGGAGATCGAGACCATCCTGGCTAACACGGTGAAACCCCGTCTCTACTAAAAATACAAAAAATTAGCCGGGCGTGGTAGCGGGCGCCTGTAGTCCCAGCTACTCGGGAGGCTGAGGCAGGAGAATGGCGTGAACCCGGGAGGCGGAGCTTGCAGTGAGCCGAGATCGCGCCACTGCACTCCAGCCTGGGCGACAGAGCGAGACTCCGTCTCAAAAAAAAAAAAAAGACTACATATTGGGGCCAGGAGCAGCGGCTCATGCCTATAATCCCAGCACTTTGGGAGGCTGAGGCAGAAAGATCCCCTGAGGTCAGGAGTTCAAGACCAACTTGGCCAACATGGTGAAACCCCATCTCTACTAAAAATACACAAATTAGCTGGGCATGGTGGCACCCACCTGTAATCCCAGCTACTCGGGAGGCTGAGGCATGAGAATCATTTGAACTCGGGAGGCGGAGGTTGCAGTGAGCTGAGATTGCGCTGAGACTCCATCTCAGAAGAAAAAAAAAAAAAGACTATGTGTTGGGTACAGTGTCTACTGTTCAGATGAAGGGTGCCCTAAAATCTCAGCAATCACCACTAAAGAACTTATCTATCTAATCAAAAACCACTTGTACCCCCAAAACGATGGAAATTAAAACAGATATAGGAGTGTGTATGCCATTTTAACCTCATAAGAACTCTGTGAGACAGGTACTATCATTATTCCCACTTTATAGACAAAGAAACATGTTCAGAGAGGTTAAGGAACTTGTCCAACTGAGGTCCATGGTTTGAAAGTGGCAGTGGCCAAGACCGCATTCTAACCCCTAGCTTCCAGCTGAGAGCCCAGCACGCAGTAAGTACATGCTCAGTGAATCGATCCCAAGCCTGTGCTCTTGATCCCTGGCATAGCTTGACTCATTTAGAGATGAGACCAGGCAGTTCTGTTATTCACCACCACAGTGGAGTCTGCTTTCAAGAAAGCATTTTTGAGAGATGCTTGTTTAAACAAACAGTGGCTCTGCTGCTGCTTGAAACACAACATTCACTTACACACACACACACACACACACAAACACACAGATAAGCATCTGCCAAATTTATCTATAAAAACAGTTCAATCTCAGTCGACATTCTAGGGAAACAATTCATCGATTCTAAAATAGTAGATCTTGGGCCCCGGGGACTCTGGCAGTGAGAGGTCTCCTTCATTTCACAAACACTTATTGGAGCTCTAACCTTTTTCAGGAACTGTTTTGGGTACTAGGGATACAGCAGTGGAAAATCAGAGGAGATGCCTCCATTCATGAAGACCAGGAGAGAATCAATGTTGCATTGAGGTCTACAAGATCCCTCATTATCTAGACCCTGCCTACTTACTCCTGCTGCCTTATTGTTTGAGCCACAGCCCCCTGGGCCACTGTTTTCCTCCTGCTCTGACTGTCCTTAAGTTCCTTTTCTGGGGCATGCTCCCATCCTACACAAGGACCCACTTAGAATTTGCCCTCTCTCTGGAATTTGCCCTCCCTCTGGAATTTGCCCTCCCTCTGCACCTGAACAACTCCTACTCATCATTCAGACCATCCACTATTCCTCTGCCTTTGAGAACTCTCGCTGGAATCAGTTCTTCCATTACACACCCTTATAGTATCTTGTTGTTTTCCACTATGAAGGGCTTTATCGTTTCTAACGATACATGTGCTCATGGAAGACCTTGTTGGACACCTGTCTTTCCCACTAGACTGTGAGTTCCATGCAGCCCCAAACTATGCCTGTCCAATGTACTGCTGCCTCCTCAGGGCCCAGCAGTGCAAACTGAGTGCCTGAGTAAAACTGAGAAAAAGTAGGTGCACCATGAGCATTTGTTGAAGCAGTGAAGGAAGAAAACCCAGAGACAATGGTAATGTGTGCATGACCACATCTATTATGAAGCCCTTTCTGATGTTTTGCCAGAGTCTCAGAATGCTTCAGGATCTAAAGCATATTGAGGATTTGAGTCTAATATTCCATAAGAAGCTTCAAAACCCTACTTTCTTACCCTAAATTCCTGAGTGCATACATACTCTGGCTCCCATGGAGCTTGGACAGAGGGGCCAGGGGCCACTGAGTGAGTGGGACCAGATGAGAAAAGATGATCTCCCTAAGAAAGGGGTTGGTTAAACCTCCCATTCTTGGTGTGCATATGTGCATTCAGGTAGAGGTAGTGGTGTGGGCACATTCTAAAATGAACAATGCCAGTGGGCAGCAAAAGGCCCCATTCAAAAACCATCATTTCCATAATACCATTCCAGTTTTCCCCAGTTGAAATACATCTTTTCTATCACTTTAATTTCATGCATCTTCTTTGTAGATTCCAGATGTGGCCTTGGGATCTAGTGATAGAAAGAGCATGGGCTTAGAACTCATACGCACATGGATACAAATTCTAGCTGTGTGACCTTCAGGAGTATCACTTCAAATTTTATGATCCTTAGTGACTTCATCTGTAACATGGGGATAATGAGTTCAGCTTCAATGCGTGAAGAGGAGGATTTATGTAAAGTTATTTTATTTTATTTATTTATTTTTTTGAGATGGAGTCTTGCTCTGTCGCCCAGGCTGGAGTGCAGTTGTGCGATCTTGGCTCACTGCAAGCTCCGCCTCCCGGGTTCACGCCATTCTCCTGCCTCAGCCTCCCGAGTAGCTGGGACTACAGGCGCCCACCACCACGCTCTGCTAATTTTTTAATTTTTTTTAGTAGAGATGGGGTTTCACTGTGTTAGCCAGGATGGTCTCTATCTCCTGACCTCGGGATCTGCCCGTGTCAGCCTCTCAAAGTGCTGGGATTACAGGCGTGAACCACCGCGCCCGGCGGTAAAGTTATTTTTAATGCTAGCTTATTTTCCTGAATCCCATACTAGATTCTGAATCTCTCCAAGGATCTCAGAGGGCCCAGCACAGTGCCTTTCTCACTGTATATGCCCCTGAGCATTTGTTGAACCATGTGTAATAGAAGGGGAAGGTCTCTTTACCCTCCCAGGCTACCTGCATATGACCTCTAAATGACAGAAATCCTACAAAGCATTTCCACTGAGATGCACTGTGTCTAGCTTCCTTCTGATCAGCCATGCTGACAGCAAAGACAAACAAGGGAAGCTGGACTCCTCTGCCACTCTGTCCTACCCTTCCTCAGGTCTTTGCTGCCTGCCGCCCCCTTTTAAGAATATGTGTGTTTTGGGTACATTAATACACAGCAGCCAGCATGCAAGAGCCATCACCCCTCAGTTCTAGGGAAATTAGCATTTAAATTGAGGTATTCCAGGAAGGTAAATCACCTTAGAGCCAGCCAGCACTGTCTGCAGTCTTTTCTTACTTGAGGGAAAGCTAGGAGCCTTGGCTTGGGAGCTATTGAGTTTGCAGGGAGGGGCTTGCTCTCCTTGCCTGGTTCTCTGGCTCTTCCTACACTGCCCATAAGCCTCAAAAAAGGTTGCCTTAAAATCCCAAAGCTGATGAGGACATATTCCCTGGTGTACACTGTGCCTCATCCCCCCTCTCTGACTGAACTGAGCCTTTATGCCAAGTGACAGGATGACTTTGGCTGAGATTTGGTGTCCTCTGACAACAAGCAGTTGGGAGACCTGTGTTCTCATCTTGGCTCTGTCACTGGCTGGCTGTGTGATGTGCAGAAGCCACTGTCCTTCTCTGGAACTGAGAAGAATGGGCTGGTACAAAACGTTTGTCTGAACCTCAAGCTGGGAGGTGCTGGGCTAGATTTTGTAGCTGTCCTGCAGGTGCCGGAGACATCTATAGGGTCTGGTGGTGATAAATTGATGCTAACACTGGTTGGTTGGTACCAGCCCACCCTGAAGCTCTGCCCTCTTAAGCAGCAGTTAGAAACTGTTCTCATATGCTCTACTTCTTAATTATGCATCATAGTTTAAGTTCTCTGGTCAAGCACTCAATATTTAGTGATTCCTTCATTTAACCATTCATTCGTTCATTCATTCATTCCTTCATTCATTCAACAAATATTTACTGTTATTTGTCAGGCATTAGGAATACAACAATAAAAATGACAATCTCTGTCCTCCAGTTACTCACAGGCTGATAGGAGACGCACATGTGTACAAATGCCTTCTATGTATGTGTGCACATGTGTGCAAGGTAAATCATTGTTTTGAAAATGTTAAAATGTTTTTCATTCTCCGGAAATCCTATTTCAGCTTTGCCTCTCAAAGTTGACTTTGCAGTGTTTCAAGCTGGACAATAGTTTCAAAACCCAGCCTGTGCTGAGGGCGAAGTTCCCTTCTCTATCAAAAGACAGACCTGCTGACTCAGATCATTATGTTTTATTTTAATATACAGATTGGGCAGGTGATGGCCTCACAGTTGTACCCACCAGATAAGAAAAGGAAATAGTACACTCTTCTTTCTGCCACTGATGCTGCAAGGAATTGTTGAAGAGGAAAGTCAAGTGGCTGAGAGTTCAGATGGGAGTGCCTCAGTGACCCTCCTCCTGGCCTTTTGGAAGTCAAACCACCCCTCATTCATTCCAAGTACAAGGGTAGTGTCAATAAATGCTTAAGATATTTAAGAATCTCGATACGGGTGAGCAGGGGTGATAGGGTTTGCTCCCCTAGACTCAGGATATAGTCTGGGAAGTTTGCAAGCCCCTCGCTCAACAAGCCAACAGGAGCTCCTGGGAGAGGGTAGCAGTAAGTGAAGAAGAGACTTGAATTTGGAGCCACCCATGCCAAGTTCTGCATACACAGGGTAAAGGGGATAAAACTGTCAAGACTTCCTGGCCCCATAAATATGTGCAATTGTTATATGTCAATTAAAATATAAAATTAAAAATAAAAAGACTTCTTGGCATAACTCCTTCGCTCCCATGGTGGCAGGGATGGTAGATGAGGCTGAGATTAGAACATTAGAACCAAGGGGGCTTCAGAGTGTTGAGACCTAATGACCTTGGACATTGGCTGTGTGTTCCAACACATTGCTTCTCTCAAAAAACTACCCAAGACCATCCATACCTCAATGGATGCCAGTGCCAGCGCTCAGAGCCAAGCTCAAACAAAAAATCACATAGCAAATACCAGCAAGGATCCACAAGAACACATTTGTACCAGAGACCTTCCCTCACCAACCTCTGCCTTCTCTGAGGCCAAGTTAAGGGGTAGGGGAGACTGTTTGGTAAGGGGGAGAGGCAAGGCTGGTGGGGAGAATGCAACTGAGGCAAGACTGGTGGGGAGTTGAACTTTGAGTGGACTAAACGTTTACCCTAGAGAAAATGTTTTGTATCCTTAATCAAAAAATGGAAATACTTGGCCGGGCATGGTGGCTTATGCCTGTAATCCCAGCACTTTGGGAGGCCGAGGCAGGCAGATCTTGAGGTCAGGAGATTGAGACCATCCTCGCTAACATGGTGAAACCCCGCCTCTACTAAAAATGCAAAAAAATTAGCCAGGCGTGGTGGCGGACGCCTGTAGTCCACGCTACTCAGGAGGCTGAGGCTGAGGCAGGAGAATGGCGTGAACCCAGGAGGCAGAGCTTGTAGTGAGCCGAGATCATGCCGCTGCACTCCAGTGAGACGGGATCTCACTCTGTCGCCCAGGCTGGAGTGCACTGGTGTGATCTCGGCTCACTGAAACCTCCATCTCCCGGGTTCAAGCGATTCGCCTGCCTCCCGAGTAGCTGGGATTACAGGGGTGTGCCACCCCACCGAGCTAATTGTATTTTTAGTAGAGACGGGGTTTCACCATGTCAGCCAGGCTGGTCTTGAACCCCTGACCTCAAATAATATGCCCACTTCGCCCTCCCAAAGTGCTGGGATTTCAGGCGTGAGCCACCGTACCAGGCAGAAACATGTTTTTGCTATCAGTGGAATGAAAACTTGAGAGAATTATTATGTCAGTTGTAGAAAATTAAGACAACAGTGTTTTTGTATACTGAGTTGCAGCAAAATAATTTTTGAATGCTTGACTGTGAGAATGGATGGTTATAGGTTAGAGGGATAAAGTCTAAGTTTCATCGGGAAAGTTCAGGGACAAAGGAAATGAAGAGAAGGAAAACTTAATGTAGACTGAGGAGGTCAGGAAGGCTCCCTGGAGGAGGTGAGACTTGACAGATTGGGAGGGGTTAACAAGGGAGAGGGCAGAAAAAGGAGGTGAGGGTGGGGCCTAGGCAGAAAGAACAGCATGCACAAAAGTCCATAGGGGTGTATGTGTGTGGGCGCATGTGTGTGTATGGAAGAGGCACAGATAAAACACATGGCATGTTCTGGAAATTGCAATAAGCTAAGTTTCAAGATGCTAAAGCAGCGAGTGAGAAGCAAGGATGGGATAGGGCTAGAGGAGGCCACATAGGGATCAGATCTCATGGGTTTTCTAAGTGATGCTACAGAAGGTGGGCTTCATTCTAAGGGTAAGGAGACCCACTGTAGGGTATTCAGCAGGAAAGCAAAACCATCAGATAGGAGCTTCAAAAAGACTGCCTGACTACAGGGTAGAGGATGGACTGAAAAAAGGCTGGAAGGAGGGAGACCAGTTAAGAGGTTTTGCAGTAATCCAGACAAGACATAACCGATTAGATGGACAACAGAATACAGAGAAGAGGCACAGATTTGAGAGAGAGTCAGGAAGTAGAAC
This sequence comes from Homo sapiens, assembly GCF_000001405.40. Classification (NCBI taxonomy): domain Eukaryota; kingdom Metazoa; phylum Chordata; class Mammalia; order Primates; family Hominidae; genus Homo; species Homo sapiens. The sequence continues at coordinate 116,744,590 of NC_000009.12, forward strand.
CTGCTGATCTCCATTGCCAACTGCACGTGGTGGGGAGTAAAAGAAGAGTCATGGGATATATTGAGCAGGTTTGAGCCCAAGCAGTCAAGCCCATGCTCCTGTGCTGACTCCAGAGACCTGCCTCCCCAGTATTTGCTTATTATTAGTACTAATAACCAGAGCCCTCCACACATGCCTGAGTTCATTAACCACAGCTAGAAAACAGACCAATGTGCTTTGTCCCATCACATATGTCCTCGGCCTCCTTTCTGCCTCTGCTAGCTGTCAGTCCACCTCAGCTTAACTGCTAACTGTGAGACCCACAGGAAGATGGCCAGATCTCAAGCCTAACCCCCAGCACTTCAAGCAGGCCAAGTCACCACCCAGACGGAGGCTCTCAGAACTGCAATTTGCTCCCTAGCAGAATGCAGCTTGTGACCCCTACTGTCCAGGGTGTTTCAAGGACCATGGCTGCAAAGTTGCTTTACTGGCCTATCCAGTGGCCCATACCCATGGGTCCACTCTAATCACATCTGATGCTCCTAGAAATGATAAGCATTACTGTTACCATTTGATAGGAAAAGAAGCAGAGGCAGTATAGAGAAGTGTCTTATTTAAGGCCTTGCAGGTGTTTTCTTGGCAGAATTGGACTGACTACCAATCCCTATTCTTAGTTTCCAATCCAGTCCTGTTTCGACTTGTGCATTCTCAAGGGTTAGGCAGAGTGACCTCTCTACCTGCCTGATACCTTCTCTGAACTGTGAACTCCTTCCAGGCAGCAGCTGTATTTGTTTCTTCTTTGCAGCCTCCTCTGCGCTCTCTCGTAGACTTCCCAGACAGACCTCGTGGTGTCGTCTCCTTCAGGAAGCTGTCACTGAGTCCCTTCTTTGGAAGCAATATCCTTCTGTTTCCACAGCACTTGACTTTGGCTCTGATCTCAAGATCACCAACTCTGCTAGGTATGATTGTTCTCTGCACGTGTTTCCCATCTCAGATTCAATGGTCAATGCTGCAAGGATCTATATAACTAGTTTCCCTCAGAGCCCTCCTCCCCACAGTCTGATTCCAGGGTTTGGTATAGACACAGTCCCTAATAGCTGTTCTTGAGGCCATCATCCCCTCTCATAGCGACTACTACAATGACCTGTTAACTATGCTTTCTGAATTCAGCCTTGCCCCTTCCAATTCATTTACTATCTTGCAGCCAGAACGATTTTCTGAAATGTTTCTAACACAAATATGTCATTAGCTCCATGTATTAGCATTCTATTGCAGCTGTAAAACATCATCACAAAGTTAGAGGCTCAAAACAACATTAATTTATTTTATAGTTCTCTAGGTCAGAAGTCTGACATGGGATTCTGGGCTAACATCTAGGTGTCAGCAGAGATGTTTCTTTCTGGAGGTTCTAGGGGAGAGTTGACTTCCTTGCCTTTCCCCTGCTTCTTAAGGCTGTCCATATGGCTCATGGCCCCTTTCCTCAATCCTGAAAGCCAGCCAAGGCAAACTGAGTACTTTTTTTTTTTTTTTTTTTTTGAGACAGAGTCTTGCTCTGTCACCCAGGCTGGAGTGTAGTGGCGCCATCTCAGCTCACTGCAACTTCCGACTCCTGGATTCAAGCGATTCTCCTGCCTCACCCTCCTGAGTAGCTGGGATTACAGGCATGCATCACCATGCCCGGCTAATGTTTGTATTTTTCAGTAGAGATGGGGTTTCACTGTGTTGGTCAGGCTGGTCTCAAACTCCTGATCTCGTGATCTGCCTGTCTCAGCCTCCTAAAATGTTGGGATTACAGGCTTGAGCCACCATGCCCGGCCAATTGAGTCCTTTTCACATCACACACTCTTACTTCATCCTATCCTCTGCCTCCCTCTTCCTCTTTAAAGATCCTTTTGGTTTCACTGGGGCCTCCTGGTTAATCCAGAGACTCTCTTCATCTCAAGATGAGCTGATTGGCAACCCTATTCCACCTGCACTCTGAATGTTTTCTTTTCTATGTAAGATAACTGATAACTTATTCATGGGTTCCAGGGATTGAGACATGGACATCTTGCATTATTCTGCCTTCACATTCTAGGTTTTTTTCTTTTATTTTCAGTTTTCTTTTTCCCTAGGAGGACTTTGTCAATGCCCCTCTTTTCATTTGGGAGTTAGATGTTCCTTCTTTGTGTTTGTGCAGCCCCTGTTCTGCTGCTATGCTAGCATTATCACACTGGACTGTTGTTCCCAGTCACCCTCTGTCTCCCTCATTGGACCATGAGCACTCGAGAGCAAGAACTACGTCTGTCTTATTCACTGCTGTGCACCCAGCCCTAACGCAGTGTCTGATGCATGCACTAGGGGCTCAAGAAGTGCTTATTCAATAAATTGCTGAATGTCTCTTAGCTGAATGGCAATGTAGGGGAGACAATCCATTCAGCTGTGGTACCGCGATCTCCCTCCCATGGGGCCTAGTCACTGCCTTATTCATCTCTGCCTCCCTTGCCGTCCTTCCTTCACTTCCCTAGATATCTAGCACACAGAATAACAAGTATCATTTTTAAAGCTAATATCTATTCATCGTTTACGACGTGCTAGACATTATTCTAAGGGCTTTGCATATACAATCTCATTTCACATGCACAACAACCATGCAAGGTAAGCACTCTTGTTCTACTTTTATAGTGAGGGAGCAGAGACATAAAAGAGGAAAAATGCACAGAACTTATAAGGTGAGGTTTGAATAATCTAACTTCATGTTCTTAAACACTATGCAAAAATATGCTGGTGAATGTTTAATTTTTCCCCAAATGAAATCCTGAAAAGTAAAGGTTGACTTGTTGCAAATGCCGATGCTGGTTGAATGTCTTAGATGGATGCCCTTTGTTAAACGTATATCATGTGTTAGGTTCTCTGCAGGCTTTGTTTCCAACCCTCTCAACAACCTTGTGAGTTAGGTATTATTATCTCCCTGCCAGAGGTGGGGGAACTGGGGCTCAGAGGGGTGAGAATCACTTTCCTGGAGTCATGTACAATTGAATCAGGGCCATCTGCCTCCACTCTACCACCTATCTCTCCAACCATAGTCACACTTGTCTTCTTCCCTCTTTACTGCCCACCCTCATTTATACACAGGTGTGCATGAGCACACACACACACACACACACACACACACACACACACCACCTACCCCCATACATACACAGAGTCAGAGTGAAGCCTGGGTTACACAAAGCACATGTCTTCCCTCTCTAAATGCAAAACAATTTCCACCAGTGGCACCAAACTCACTTAAGCATTCCAGGCATGGCTGTTACTAACTCCTGCCCTGGTAATTGCGATCCCTGAAATTGAAAGAAATTGCAGGCTAGAGGAACATTATCTTCTCCTTGGCCACTTCGCCCTCCATCTCCTTTGCCTGTGTGTATTAGCACTGGGATCCCTTGTCCTGTCATAACACTGAGAACAAGCTGAGCTGCTGTCACCAGGGCCTCTTCCAGAACTTTCCCCTCCACTACTCAAGGAAGACAGTGAAAGGCCCTCACACCTTGACATAAAATTTAGAGATGTGGCTGGAGAAAAGTCAACATTACTAGGCATTTTTCTGACAAAGTATTATCATTATATCTGTTTTCCAGATGCTATAAATGAGATTCAGAGAGGAAGATTAGCCCTGCCCCAGAAGCTAAACACAAATTGAAACCTAAAGATGGCCTCCTTAACAGATCTGCAGGGCCAGAGTGAATAATTCCCTGGTTAAAAGTGGCAGCTGAGCTCCTTGATGAGGGGGCACCTCTTAGTCCAACCCTCCTGCTCCAGCTCCAGCCTTAATCCCAGGACTGCAGGATGCAGACTGCCTCCCTCAATCCCCGAGGGGTCTAGCTGCTTACTTTATCACAGCCAAGGGCAGAAGCCCATATCCCTGTAACTTTCAGTATGTTTCCAGTTCAATTAGGATCTTCATATTCCAGTATTCAGAGTATTTTCTAATCTTAGGAATCCTCTATCTCACACCAACATTTCACTACACACTCCTCAAGGGCAAGGCCTGGACTCCATTCATACCATTGGTATCTCATGGGTCTAGAATAAGAGCAGACACACAGTAGGTACACAAAAAACACTTGCCAGATGAGTCCAAGGGTGAAGGCGACTGACTCTCCCTGAATCCTAGTGCATGTTATCATTCCTTATGCACCCAGTCCTGCCCTGGACAGGGAGCCAGGATGTCCAAGTTTTACGAAGCTGTGCCAATAACTTGCTGTGTGATCTTGAGCAAGTCATTTCCCATCTCTAGGGAGTGTTTAAGTCCTGAGGTCATTTATTTGAATAATGCAAGTGTCCCCAAATGGCTCCAGTATGAAGGGCTAAGAGAAAGTTCTCAAGATGAGAAGACCTATTCTCATGGACACCTTATGTCTTCTCTCTCACCTTTTTGGAAGTAGTCTTTGCAGTCACACACCTGGATTTGCATCCTGGTCCGCCCCCCGTCCCCTGTGTAGATCTAGTTGGACAAAACATTGAACCTTTCCTGGACCTTTGTTTCCTCATCAGAAAAATGGAAATAATAATCATCCTTGCCTCACATACTTGCTGTAAAGATGAAAAGAGCCCATAAAATGAATTGCTTAGCAGAAGACCTGAAAATAGCAGGCTCTCAATAAATGGCAGCTATTGCTGCTGTAAAATGCACCACTCTAGCACATTTTAATTTAACACACTCAAAAAGCTTGTTGTGATTAGGCATAAGAAGGATGCAAATGGACCTGAAACCCTTTTCTTCTCCTCCTGCCCTGACAGCATGCACAATTTGTCCAAGCCACATGAGAGAGCTATAATGAGAATACTGGACATATGGTCACTAATTTGGGGTTATTTTCTTTACGTCATGGGAATCCTTCCCGCCCGCCACTGGTAAATTTGATTCTTTCCTAACTACAGAACTTACCCACAACCTCTGGTGGAGTTGGTAAAGCTAAAAGCAATGCTCCCAGCACCATAAGTTGAATATCTCTCTTCCTATCACAGCATGCACTGAAATTGCCATGGTGTGTCTATTTCCCTACTTTTGGGGGGCAGGAACTAACTGATATGGTTTGGATGTTTATCCCCTCCAAATCCCATGTGGAAACATAATCCCCAGTGTTGGAGGTGGAGCCTGTTGGAGGTGATTGGATCATGGGGGTGGATCCCCATGGATGGTTTAACACCATCCCGTTGGTGACAAGTGAGTTCTCTTTCAGTTAGTTCACACAAAACCTGGTTGTTTAAGCGAGTGTGGCACCTCCCCTTCTCTCTCTTGCTCTCACTCTCATTATGTGATATGCCCAGCTCCCCCTACCTTCCAACATACTTGTAAGCTTCCTGAGGCCCTTCCCAAAAGCAGATGCTGGAGCCATGTTTGTACAGCCTGCAGAACCATGAGCTAATTATTCCTCCTTTCTTTAGAAATTACCCAACCTCAGGCATTTCCTTATAGCAATGCAAATAGTCTAACACACTAACTGTGTTTTCTCTCTCCTTCTGCAGCTCCTAACAAAGTACTGGGTGCATACTTGATATCCAATTCGAAAATGTTTGTAGATGAGCCTTCAGTAGACTGGACAGCAAATTAAAGAAAAATAACGTTTAAAAACTCTTAAAGCAAAAGATAGAAAATAATCAAAGCCACATTTTAACTGACGACACAGCATCAATTCATTTGTTACTTCATTCCTTGTAGTAGTTAGAAATAAAGAACTTTTTTGAATGTTAACATTTAAAACCAAGCCATAACATGGACTTTGGAATCAGAACATATGGCATAAATACAGCTGGTTCTGGTGTGAATTTGTGGTTGGGGTCGCATTTCTGAAAGTTTCTTCTTCCCTTTTGTCTTTCCCACTCTCCCTGGGGCACCTTAGAAGTCTTTCCATATAGCCACCTCTAATGAGCTTTGCAAAATGAGAAACCTGCTACAGTAGAAGAAAATCTAATAGCAATTGTTTCCTTGTTCACTCTCTCTCTCTCTCTTTCTTCTCTTTCCCTCTCTCTTTTATTAGTCATTAGCAATGGAGAAAGAAAACACCCAAAGGCAGTAGAAAGACAGTAATATTCGCACGTGCTTTCTGCAACACTGCACTAATGAGGAGCCCTGACCATCTTGCATATTCCTTCTTATTCAATTCCAACAGTCCTGTCATAAGTTGGAGCCACAAGCAGAACCTAGCTAGTGTGGACATTAGCCAGTTTGCTTCATAACAAAGGTGAAGTGTACATGCTGTTACAGGACAGCTGGAAATTATTGTTAAGTGCTCCTTAACACCAAGGGATATCAAGACTTTAAAAGGGCCTAGAAAAATACAAATCCAATTAATGAACAGAATTTTTGTTCTTTTCAAAATTTGACATAGAAATGTAATTGAATCCAGTTTGTAAGACCCTGGATCCAGCTTCCCACCTTCTTAGATACTGGTTATGTTGCCATATGCAATCATACAGTCATGCTGAGCCTCAGGTTTGTCTATAATACCCTACTCCACTCATAGAGAGAGGGCCTTAAACCATACCTCTTACTAGATGTGCTATCCTAAGCAGGCTGTTAAATTTCAGGAGCCTCAGTTACTTCACTCATAAAATGAGGACCGTAATAGTACCTACTTTTATAAATTCAATTATGAGGATTAAAAGAGACTATGCATATAGATAGCCTGTGTGCTTCATGGGGTGGTAAAAGGAACAATAACTATAAACAGCCTATGTATATATTTGCCTGTGTGGTAGTTACTGTTACTGTGGTTATTTATTTCCTAGTAAGAAGTTCAGAGTTAAAGTTCTGCTTCCACTCTTGCAAGTTTGGACAAGTTAGCGTTTCTTACTAAGTTTCAGTCTCCTGATATGTAATGGGGACAAAATAACAGTACCAGTGTTGCTGAATTGTTGTGGAATTAACAAGATAATGCATGCAGCATGGCACCTGACACATTATACTGTGTGCTCCATAAATGTTAACTATTATTATTGTTATTATTATTATTATTAGAAATGTGATTTAGGGTTTAAAAAATAATATGCAGCAGAAAATCCCAGAGAATCCACAACAAAATACTGCTGGAATTAATAAGTGATTATGACAAGCTTGTAGGATACAGATTTACATACAAAAGTCTATTGCTTTCCCATATGCTGGCAGTAATCAATTATAATTTGAAATTAAAAACAAAACATCATTTACATTAGTACCAAAAAATAAAATACTTGGGTATAAATCTAACAAAATACATAGAAGATCTATATAAGGAAGACTACAAAACTCTGATGAAGGAAATAAAAGATCAAAATAAATAAAAGGAGATTCCCTGTTCATCTTCAATATTGTTAATATGTCAGTTCTTTCCAACTTGATCTATAGATTCAGTGCAATCTCTATCAAAATCCTAGTAAGTTATTTTGTAGGCTTGGCAAACTGATTTTAAAGTTTATTTGAAAAGGCAAAAGACCCAGAATAGTCAAGACAATATTGAAGAAGTAAAACAAAGTCAGAGGACTGACACTACCTGACTTTAAGACTTACTATAAAGCTAGAGTAATCAAGACAGCGTGATACTGGTGAAATGACAGAAAAAGAGATCCATGGAACAGAATAGGAAGCACATAAATAGACCCACGCAAATCTAGTCAACTGATCTTTAACGCAGAAGCAAAGGCAGTTCAGTGGAGAAAAGGTAGTCTTTTTGACAAATGGTGCTGAAACAAATAGACATCCATGTGCCAAGTAAAAAGAAGGGATGAAGAAAAGAAGAAGAAAAACAGACAAAAATCTAGATATAGATTCTACACTTTTCCAAAAATAAAAATAACTCAAAATTATTGTAAGTCTAAATGTAAAAACCTACAAAACTTCTAGGAGATAATATAGGAGAAAAATTTTAGTAACCTTGGATTTGATTATGTGTTTTTAGATACAACACCAAATATATGATCCATGAGAAAAAATTGTTGTTGGACTTTATTAAAATGAAAACTGCTGCTCTGTGAAAGATACTGTTAAGAGAATGAAAAGACACGCTATAGACTGGGAATATTTACAAAACATACATCTGCTAAAGGATATCCAAAATATACAAAGAATACTTAAAATTCAACAAGAAAACAAACAGTACCATTAAAAATGAGCAAAAGAGCTGAACAGACACCTCACCAAAGAAAATATACAGATGGCAAATGAGCATATGAATGTACACACATCATCCCATGTCATTCTGGAATTGCAAATTAAATGACAATGAAACACCACTATATAACTATTGGAATAGCTAAAATCCAAAACATTAACAACAACAAATGCTGGCAAAGATGTGGAGAAACAGAAAGAGTTAATTGCTGGTGGGAATGCAAAATGGTACAGCCACTTTGGAGAATCGTTTGGCAGTTTCTTAAAAAGCTAAACAGTCTTACCACGAAATTCTGCAATTGCATGCATTCCTTAATATTTACCCAAATGAGTGTAAAACATGTCCACACAAAACTCTGCACATGTTTATGTGATCGTATTCATACTTGCCAAAACTTGGAAGCAACCTAGATGTCTTTTAATAGGTGGTTCAATAAACAAACATCCATATAATGAAATATCATTCCACAATTTTAAAAAATGAGCTATCTAGCCACAAGAAGACATGGAGGAATCTTAAATCCACATTGCTACAGGAAAGGAGCCAGTCTAAAAGGGCTTCATACTGCATGGTTCCAACTACATAACACTGTGGAAAAGGCAAAGCTATAGAGACAGTGAAAAGATCAGTGGTTGCCAGGAGTTCAGGGAGAGAGGCAGAGAGAGGAACAAGTGGAGCACAGGGGATTTTTAGGGCAGTGAAAGTATTCTGTATATTCTGTATGATACTATCATGGTGGTTACATGATATTATGCATTTGTTCAAACCCATAGAACTATACAACACCAAAAGGTAAATTGGGGACGTTAGCAACTAATATTCAATCAATATTGGCTCATCAATGGAATACATTTCACAACACTAATGCATGGTGAATAATAAGAGGAGAAACTGAAAGGAAAAGTGGAGATAATATATGAGAGCTCTGTACTTCCTGCTTAATTTTTCTATAAACATAAAACTGCCTTAAAAATAAAATCTATTAACTTAATAATAGCATGCATAGTCTAGGTATTTTTTGTAGTCAATTCTATTGTTACAAAGTGGGAGTGGACAAACTATACATCTCTAGGCAATCTGATGTCCACCTTTTTTTTTTATTATTATACTTTAAGTTCTGGGGTATGTGTGCAGAACGTGCAGGTTTGTTACATACGTATACATGTGCCATAGGGGTTTGCTGCACCCATCAACCTCAACACGTCACCTACATTACATATTTCTCCTAACTCTAACCCTCCCCGAGCCCCACACCTTGCAACAGGCCCTGCTGTGTGATGCCCGCTGCCCCCACCCCCGCCCCTGCTGCGTCCATGTGTTCTCATTGTTCACCTCCCACTTATAAGTGAGAACACGCGGTGTTTGGTTTTCTGTTCTTGTGTTAATTTGCCGAGAATAATGGTTTCCAGCTTCATCCGTGTCCCTGCAAAGGACATAACTCATCTTTTTTTATGGCTGCATAGTATTCCATGGTGTATATGTGCCACATTTTCTTTTTCCAGTCTATCATTGATGGGCATTTGGGTTGGTTCCAAGTCTTTGCTATTGTGAATAGTGCCGCCATAAACATACGTGTGCATGTGTCTTTATAGTAGAATGATTTATAATCCTTTGGGTATATACCCAGTAATGGGATTGCTGGGTCAAATGGTATTTCTAGTTCTAGATTGTTGAGGAATCGCCACACTGTCTTCCACAATGGTTGAACTAATTTACACTCACACCAACAGTGTAAAAGCATTCTTATTTCTCCACATCCTCTCCAGCATCTGCTGTTTCCTGTCTTTTTAATGATTGCCATTCTAACTGGTGTGATGTCCACCTATTTTTGTAAATAATGTTATATTGGAATACAGCCACATCCATTTGTTTTTGCATTGTTTATGGTTCCTTGGGTATTACACTGGCAGAGTTGAGTAGTTGTGGGAGAGCCCACGTGTCCTAGAGTTTAAAGTGTTACTATTCGGCCTTTTACAGAAAAAGTTTGGCAATCCCTGTTGTATAGACTCTCAAGCTGAAAAGTGTGTTTAGGAGCTGTTTAGTTCAATTACCTAAAAAAAATAAAATAAAAATGCTGGAATCCTCGCAACCACATAATTCTGGGAGGAACAATTTTATAGTCTAACCTCTCCAACAAGTGTGAACTTTGACACAATAATCTCAAGATTATTGTAGGAGAAATCAACTTCTCTTCCCTTGCTATTCCTGTAACCCACCAGGCCCACACCTTCTGATCTAGAAATAGCATGTCAGAGTAGAACCTGGACACGGACTCATCACTTACAGCCTTCATTCTGAACCAGTTTTGTCACTCAAACCCACCCTGCTTCTGAACTTCTTGGTACTGACTTTCTGCTCATGCCCCTGCCACCAACTCCGGCTTCTAATTTTTAGTTTCAATACCAGATCTGGGTGCCCCAGCTATGGCCTAAGCTCCTTTGGATCCATTTAAATGAAAAATACAATGATAGGCTAAATAATGACCTTGAAAGATATTCAGGTTCTAATTCCTGGAAACTGTGAATGACACCTTATGTTATGGGCTGAATTATACCCCCTCCCCTGCAAAAAGAAAATCCTCATATGAAATTTTCAGAGTCACTCCCTCCCTGAGAATCGCAGAATGTGTCTGTATTCAGACATAGGGCCCTTAAAGAGGTAACTGAGTTAAAATGAGGTCATTAAGATGGGTCCTAATCCAATCTGACTGGTGTCCTTTTAAGAAGAGGAAAACTGGACACATTGACAGCAGGAATGTGCACAGACAGAGGAAAGACCAGGTGATCACACAGAGAAAAGGCAGCCATCTGCAAGCCAAGGAGTGAGGCCTCGGAAGAAACCAGCCCCGCTAATGTCTTGATCTTGGACTTTTAGCCTCCAAAACTATGAAAAATAAATTTCTTTTGCTTAACCCATCCAGTTGGTGGCATTTTGTTGTGACAGCCCTAGCAAGCTAATGTATCTTATGTGGCAAAAGGGACTTTGCAGAGGAACACTCTACTAGTCTAACTTTCCATCTGCATTAAATCAAAGGTTTAAAAATGGGGAGAGTATCTGGATTATCTGGGTTGGCCCTAAGCGCCATCATGTATATCCCTGTAAGTGGGAAACAGAGGAATATCTGAGTACGGAAGAGGCAGAAGGTGATGTAAACATGGAAGGAGAGACTGGAATGATGTGGCCACAAGCCAAGGAATGCTGACAGCTGAGTGAGACAAGTAATGGCTTTTCTCTGGGAGCCTCCAGAAGAAAGCCCTCCTAACACCTTGATGGTGACCCTACAAGACTCAATTTGGTTGTTGCCTCCAGAACTGTGAGTGAATACATGTGTGTTCTTTTAATCACTAAGTCTGTGGTAATTTGTTACAGTAGCCATGTAAAACTAATGGATGTGCTTTTTCAGATAAATATTGTTTGGGGCTTAGTTTGATTTCCAGGCCCTCCTCGTCCACAGCCACCCAACTTTTAAGCAGGCATCAGACAGCCACTTAATCACTGTTCTGTCCAAATGAGAGTAGCATGCTTATTTAAGCTACATTTCTAGGAACTCCGCAGAGAACAAGCTCTAGGGGCTCAAACTTAGTCTTAACAGATGCCAGAGCTCATGGTCTCAGGCCTATTATAGAACCTATCTAAACCTCAATTTCCTAATCAGTAAATGTGGATCAAATTATCAACCTTCTAAGGTTGTTGTGACAATTTTAAATGATATAAGTAACACAAAGAACACATTTTCTGGAATACAGTTATTAACATTCTCAATAAGTAATATTAATGATTTCTGTCATTAATTGTTTGTGGCTCTCCAGTAATTCCAAGTCTAACAGATTTCCATTTCCCAAAGCCACAGAGAGAATTTGCAAACCCATGGCTTGGGGCTTAGCTCTGGCACCTATTCAGTGAATTTGTACCAATAAATGTTTATTCTAAACCCTACCCCCAACTCCCTTCCACTAGTCAGCCTTCTTCTATCAGCAGCTGGAAAGTTAGCTCAATTCGGCCTCCATCCCTGTTACTTCCCTCTCTCATTCTTTGTTATCTCCAGTTATCTATAAGATGCTCCGAATAAAACACACACACACACACACACACACACACATACACACACACTTGGTCATCGGTGACTTCAATTCTGCTATTTTGCACTAAAGGAAACTGAGTGGCTTAAATTCAGAAAGGCAAAGTGATGTACCCAAGGTCACAGAGCCAATAAGTGACAACTTTGTGAGGTTTCCAGGGTGCTATTATGCCACACTGTGTCTCACTTGCTGGGCCTGTCTCTCCAAATCCTCCACCCTGAAATAGAGTGCTTCCGCCTACAGCTCCTGCTGAAATGGGAAAAGTGTTTCCTGTCCACAGGCCAGTCCCCTCTCCTTCCCTTTTTTTGAGGACTCCTTTCCTCAGGGCAGCTCCTAGTGAGGAAACAGATAAGAGGACTCCAAGCAGGTGGTGCGAAGTTGTGAGTCGCCATGCCCTTGTGTTGGAGAATGTGGCAACACACCTAATAGTCCTCCCTCCCTGCAGGAAACCAGGAAACCAGCACTTACCCGGAGTGCCTTCCTGCTCTGTCAGCAATCCAGACCATATGGTTAATTAGCTAAAATTTGCGACTGCATCTGTGAAGCTATTTTTCTTTTTGGCATGCGTGAACTTAATTACCGAAGACATGAGAAGTTCCTGGCCCACTGGGATCACGGTGGGCATGGGTGTCACAGAACATGCCCATGGCTCAGGGTGTGAGATATGTGGGTGGTTGAGAGTTTGAGAAATGAAGGATAGAGAGAGTTGCTTGACCAGAGGAGGATGGGGTCTTTCTTCTGGTGTTCATGCAGACATATTAGTAAAGAATTTCATGGTGAGACACAATGTCACAAGGACCCCCATCTGTGTATGTGGACAAGCATCCTCAAAAAATGGCCAACCCCCTTGCATGGTAGAATGTAGGGCTCATCGTCTTATTACCCCACTGCCCTGCAAATTCTATCATTAGTTGCTCCACAGAATATTTATCTTCCCAGAACATATGACTGTCTCCCCCGCACATAGGACAGGGCCTGTAACATAGAAGGTGTCCAGTAAAGATGGCTGATTGGCCCAGTGGATGAGACCAATCATCTTCTGAGCCTTCAGTTTCTCATCGGCAGAAGGAAGATCATAAAAAAGTTATATGCTTAACAAATTCTTAATTTGTTAAGAATTAAATGAGATATAGTACATAGAACACCTATCACAGGCCCTGATATAATGACAGGTGTTTGATAAGAATTTGTTGAATGAATGAATGAATGAATGAGCAGCCAATTCAAACAGAAACTGAATGCCATTACTAGAAGAAGCCTGAGAGATCAAAATCTAGTCCAGTCCCTCCACTGTGCCTCAGTTTCCTCCCCTGTAAAATGAGGCCAATAAAATCACTTCTTTATTGGATTGTTTGGGAATCAAAATAGCATGTAGAACTTTTAGAAGAGTGCCTGGAATGTAGTAAGAAGTCAATTAATATTGCTGCTATTGTTGTTGTGAATAATAGAAAATGGGAAAACTTATTGCTAGCAAAGAAAAAGGCCTCGCACAAAGAATAGCAGTTTGTGGTGTGTCCTGCATTGTAACTTGGAGCTCCTTCTTTCAGTTCATACTGCTACTTCCTGAGCAGTATGGGCTTGCCATGCCAGGAGAGTGCCAGGGCTCACAGGACAGACATGTGCCAGCTTTCAGGGGTCACTGGTATGACAGAGGAGACAAATTCCCCTTTCCCTCTTTGGAGGACACCCAGGCTAAGAAGTAAGGTCCAGGGTTATTTTGGACATTATTGACAGAAGAAACTTATCTATCAGGAGCTCTCTGATGCTCCCAAACATAGTTTTGCAGATTGTGCCACAGCTGAGAGGGCAAATGGAGACTGAAATTCATCCCTGTTCTGCAAGCCAAGCTTAGTGCGTATGCAGGGATGTGTCTCCTTTTTTCAATTCACACATAGGCACTGTATTGGCAGCTGTGGCCTCGGAGCTTTCTCTGGGATCAATGGACAGCTTGAGGGCAGGAGAACTTGAAGCCCAAGAACACTGGGGCAGGTGTTTCATGGGACCAGGGCCATTGTCTCTCATACTCATCTCTGTATTCCCAGGGCTGCCTAGTATAGTGCTTGGCTTAGTGGACACAAACACATGTTGGATAAATAAGCCACTGTGTTCCTTTTATTTTATTTTTTCTTTTAAAGACAAAGTCTTGCTCTGTCACCCAGGCTGGAGCACAGTGGTGCTATCATGGCTCACTGTAACCTCAAACTTCTGGGCCCAAGCATTCCTCCTGCTTGGGACTACAGAAGCGTACCGCCATGCCCTGCTAATTTTTTAATTCCTTTGTAGAGACAAGGTCTCCACATGTTGCCCAGGCTGGTCTCTAACTCCCTGGGCTCTAGCTGTCATCCCCACTTCAGCCTCTCAGAGGGCTAAGATTCTAGGCCTGAGCCACCATGGTTGGCCCATGGCATTCTTAATATCTATCATAGACTCTACCACTTGGTATGGGCCCAGTTTGTGCTGGATAAATGGATGACTGAAGCATTCAGAAGAAAAGTATGTGTGAGAAATGATTTCCTAGACCTTTAGCCCTATAGAGTAAAAGCAAATAATTTATTGAGGGGCACTGAGCTGTAAACATTTTCTACCTTAAGTCTCAAAACATACATAACCGATTGTTCGCAATTTACCTATGAGGGCTCTGAGATTTGCCTGTGGTCATACAGCTCCTAAGGAGCAATAACAATATCAGAACCTGTGTTTTGCTGCTACCAGTGCCTGTTTTCACAACCATGCTCTTCTCTTCTGGGTCACTGACTTGGCTAGTGAGAAATATAACATTCCCTCTGTCTGCTATACTATTTCTTTCTGCTTGTATACTGATGACGCTTTTACTTCATTCATGCCTCTGCTTAATTGTCACCTCCTCCAAGAAGCCTGACGTGATCACTGTGTATAAAGCAAAACTTTCCAATTCCTTATCCTTCTTTATTTTTCTTTATATCACTTATAACCACTGGAAATACATGTTTATTTTCTCTCTGCTGCTGCCCCATCCCCATCTCTTCCCAGAATGTTATTTCCATGAGGGCAAGGACCTTAATCTCTCTTGCTAACTGCTATTTTACCAACATCCAGAATAGTACCTGACACATAAACCTGCTCAGCACGTATTTATGAAATGACTGAGAGGATGACTGAAAAACCCTGGGTCAGATAGTTAAATATCCGTTTAATGTCAGATATGATCTTTCTCTTGCAGGACCCTGGTTTCTTTATCAGTCAGAAAAGATACGAAGTGCCAGACCTGAGGCTTCCCTGTAAATACGGGAAGGGCTAACAGGACGGGTTTAGGAGCTTACCAAAAAAATAAGATATCATTATTATCATTGCAAAGCACATGTGCACATACTCCATGGACACAGATCTTTCATCCTCTCCAGGTAGAACATCCCAGGTGACTGCCAAAACTTCCCTGGGCTGGGATGCACAGGCTAGCCTCAAAGTGCCAGCTTTTGCCACACCCAGGAGAAAGGCCTCCACTAAGCCAAATCAGTGTCTCAGTGTTAAGACTATTTTTTGAACAGAGAAGTATGGGGCAGCATTTGTGGCACCAACACTTGGTGGCCACATAATATTGGGTGAGTCACTTGCACAAAACCAAAGTAATGATAACACCCATCTTTGAGGGCACTTGCTAGAATCAAATGAACTGATCATTTTACAAACACTTTCTGACATACAAAGCTTAACACTGATGTAAGACCCTAACCTTAGACGTGAAAGCCAGGCTGAGCAATTCAGACCTGACTGTGACTTGGGAACAATGGGAGGATTCCGAGCGAGGAACAGACACATTAAGGCATATCTTTGGGAAGCAAACCTGGTAGTGTGTGCAGGCTGGGCCTCTGCTGTTGGTTCCTTTTTTTCCTTCTAGATTGTGCCTGGGGAAGGGGGAGGGGAGAGAGGTAGAATCTGCAGTGTGGGAAATCCCACTTTGACTCTACCACTTGCAGAAGGGAGTGGGGGTGGCAGGGAACAGACTTGGGTGACAGGCACCACTTGTGCCACCCTGATTAACTGGGAAAATGCAAATCTGCACTTCCTTCCCCGCCGCAGCTAACAAGATAATGAATATTTTCATCAGCTGCAGAGAATACAAACATCTGTAGGAACACCAAACCTACTCTCAAGGGTTGGGGGAGGAGGGGAGGACGCGGAGGTGGGGAAACGCAGCTTCTCTGCAGATTTAGGGAAGAGGAAATGTGCTGAGATGCTGGAAGGATGGCTGGGAGCTGGAAATGGGCAGCTCTGGCTGGCGCCTCCCATGCATGGTACAACGGGGAATAGCTAACTGTCCTCCACCCCTCATATCTGCTGTTCATTCGTGGTTGTGCATGTTGTCACTTTGTCCAGCAACCTTCAATTTATTCACCTGCACCTGCATCGATCCCTCTGCCCTTCCACTCATCAAGTCACTAAACATTTGCTGATTGCTATTGTGTCCCAGGCATGAACCTAGGCTCTCAGAGAACACAGATAAATGAGACATCCCTTGTCCTGTTGTCTTAAAGTAGCTCATTCATTCACTTAATGATTAAATTCTTATTAATGAAGTACCTGCTGTGTGGTAGGTACTCACAATCCTGTTGAAATAGACATGGGAACTGGCCTACTCTTGAAGGTGCTCTCTGCAAGAGAAGAGCGCAGAGTAGGAAGGATCACTCAGCCTTTCACGGAAAGAGGTGTTCAAAGAAGACTCCTGGAGGAGTTGGCGGACTCCTGATGTCAATCAAGAATGAATCAGAGTATTTTAGGCAGAGAAACTAGAAGAGCATTCCAGGTAGAGGGAACAGCATGTACAAAGTCAAGTAGGCATGAGGAATCCCAGGGAACTCAGGGAACTACAAGCAGCTCTGTAGAAATGGGTGATAGCAGGTAAGACAAGGGGTGGGAACAGTGACGGGAGACACTTGAGAGATGGGCTTGAGTCCAGGTATCTGGAACTGTGTCCACCAAGATAAAGAGGTTAGACTTTATCCTGGGCACAATGAGGAGGCCCTGATGAGCTCTGAGCAGGGGAGTGATCTAATGAGACCTGCATGTTAGACGATCATTCTGGCTGCTATATGGAGAATGAATTGGAGTGAATTCAGGATGAAGAAGAGCAAGGGAGCTGTTGAGGATTCCTGTCCCTTATGCAATATTCAGAAAGAATTGGAGAGAACACTCTGTGGGTGCTGGCGAAGATTCTTAGATGTGGACATGCAGCTTTGCCATTTAATCAGGTCTGGTCTGTGGCTTTGCATAGCTCCCTGAGAGTCAGGGCCTACTAATAATTCCTCCTTTGTGGAGTTTTCAGTGAAGAACTAATGAGATAATTTGTGTCAAAGTGACCTACAAGGTCTGAGGCACTGTTGAAATATTAGTTATCAGTTATTTAATTATAGCTGTAATATTGGCTCTAATCATTACTTTACTCTTTCATTCTTATAGCTGATATTCAGAAATGAAAAATGGTAAAAAATTGGAGCCTCAAGGTCCTGGTTTTGCCACTTGTTGTCTGTGAGCTTGGAAAATCCCCTGCATCTCTGTGCTTCAGTTTCCACATCTCTGAAATGGGGATGATATTTTTCTCTTTGTCTATCTTGCAGGGCCTCCAAGGAGAACTAATTTGGATAATTGACACTGAAGTGCTTTGAAAAACATAAATGCTTAGCAACTTGAAGTAGGTGGATGTGGACTCTTATCTATTGAGTACCTGTCATGATCCCCACTTTTGTAGATTAGGTGTTGGCAAACTATTAACTGCAGGCCAAATCCAGACTTCTGCCTGTTTTGTATATTCCATGAATTAAGAATGGTTTTTACATTTTTTATTGCCTGGAAAAAAATTAAAAGGTAATAATATTTTGTGTGACATGTGAAAATTCTATAATCTTCAAAATTCAGTGTCCATAAATGAAGTTTTATTGGAATGCACTCACAACACACTGAGTAAATGGGTGGAGGGATGGATTGGCTTCCATGCAAGAGTTGTCTATGGCTGTTTTGCCAGTGCAACAGCAAAGCTGATTACTTGCAACAAAGATCAGGTAGCTGGAAAGCTCAAAATATTTACTATTGAGGCCTTTTCAGAAAGTTTGTTCACCCCTACTTCAGACATATTGACTTATTTGATTGTTGCAACCCTATGACATTGGGATTTGTTATTTCTCTCCGTTTCACAGATGATGAAACTGAGGCTCAGAGAAATTGGCTCATTTTCCCAAAGAGATACAGAATAAAAACTACTTCAATTCCATGACTACTTTATTCCAATGTCTGTTCTCTTTTTACTGCACCATGATGCTCTCATAAGAGGCAAATTTTCCTCCTTTCTGAGGACCCCCAATAATCATGGCTTCAGTGGCTGTCCTCCTCCAGACTACAAACTGTGTGAGGGTAGAGATTGAGACAATCTTGTTTGTCACTGTCTATGCAATGTTTAGCATGTCGTTTGGCATGCAGTAGGTGCTGAATAGTAATTCTCGCTGTTTTGGACACATGTGCTAGGGGTAGCCACTTCATTCTATCACAGTTTCCCCCAGCATTTATGAGCATCAGTCTTAAATTTATAAGGTATACTCATTTTCTCCTTTCCTTTTTGGAAGTGAGTATCACTCTGCCCCCTGAATGCAGCAATTTGGAGACATTAGCACACCTTCTGTTCACACAACCACTCAGCGCCCCCGAAAACCATCTTCAAATACCCAAAACTTCTTCTCCAGGCCAAACCCATCACTCAGACTTCCTGCAAAGAGGCAAGAGAATACCTATGGAGGGTATTCTATGGAGGGTGATATGCTGGGAGAAAACACAGCCTCGGTTTGTTTAAGGATGTAGAGTCAGCTAGACCTGGATGTTCATCCTAACTCCCACAATGATTGGCTGTGTGACATAGGGTAAGGTCTTTTACCTCTCTGAGTTTGTTTCTTTGTGGGTAAAGTGGGGATGCTAAACCCCAGCTGTCAGGGTTACAGAGAGGACTGAATAGGATGATAGGTGGAGAATTTGCATTCCAGCATTGGGTTAATAGTAGATACCCAGTAAGCTCTCCTATGGTTTCTTTTTTCTGCAACATGCAAAGCACTGAGCTAGGCCATTGCAGGTGGGTCTCTGCGAGAGGGTGAGGGAGAGAAACAACCAGATAACTCCAGTACCAGCAGGGTAAGAGTGCTGCAGAGGAAGCCCAGAGAAAGAGAAACAGGATGTAGCTTTCACTGAGCATCCCTTGGGGGCCAAATATTCTGAACACATCACTCACAGAACCTCTGAGTCTTTCCAACACTCCTATGATATAAGGTGCATTTTTTTCACCTCATGGATAAGAGAGCTGACCAGAGAAATCACATGTCTGGGCCAAGGTCATACAGCTAGTGTGGCAGAGGCTGTGATGCTCCGGCCAGGTTCCCTTCAAGCGGGGACTGGTCCCAGATGCTGCCTGTGTCGCTAGCATGCAGTCTTTAGCTGTCAGCCCTTATGGGGACTGCCTCGGCCTCACCTAAGGTCCTGCCCCTGCTCGGTATGACCCACAACCATGACTGGTTATTGCAGGAGTATCAAGATCTAAATGTCTTAGCCCAGTTTGAGCCAATGCTGAAGGGCCTCTTTAGTCCTGAGCTCCCTATGGGGTTGGCTGAAGTTGTCATTGAGCCTGTAGGGCAGCTGAACTTCTTCTCCCTG
Source organism: Homo sapiens (assembly GCF_000001405.40). Classification (NCBI taxonomy): domain Eukaryota; kingdom Metazoa; phylum Chordata; class Mammalia; order Primates; family Hominidae; genus Homo; species Homo sapiens. Next base: position 116,764,442 of record NC_000009.12, read on the forward strand.
GTCCTCCTTCTGCCCTGTCCCTTCCAAGGTGTCAATACCAAAGCCACTCCTTAAAAAACATTCTGCTTGTTGAACTCAGATTCTGTTTTCTTAGCAAACCCAGTTTGCAATGACAGTTACTCAGTGATGAAACTAACAATTGAACCACATCTATTTATTTCTCCATTTAACCTCTTTCTGTGGATAACTTCATTACTATTAATAGATAAAGTCATTCATTCATTTACTTATTCAAATATTTCCTGAATCTTCCAAGAAGTGTGATCCCTTTCTTAATCCCTGCCTTCAAGGAGTTTAGAGTACAATAAGCTTACATTAGTTGTTTCTGATATAATTGTCGTCCTACATTTATGTGAGTGCTGACATTTGAGAACTTTAACTGTTCTTGTTATTTTAATTGGAAGTTGAGAGCAGTATAAATTTTAAAAAATAATAATGGTCTAATGCAGACATCAGTCTAATCCTCAGTTCTTCTGAGATGCCCCCACCGTACCTTTGTATCTGCATGTGCCTGCATACTCAACCCCACCACTTCTGCTTTTGTCTCCATTTTCCTCCTCATTTAATTCTGTGTCAATCCTCTTTATCTTTGAGAGACGCTGTGTGAAATGCTGATACCTCTACAAAATACGTGCTAATGACAAATTTGAGGACTGAAACAGCATGGGCTGAATTAGGGTAATTCAGCCCAAGAGGGTTCCTTCTGAGCAGAGGCCAAATTCTACCTGAGAGCATCATCCGATATGGCAGAGCAGCCTAATGAACCTTTCCTTGCAGAGAAAGCCCTGTTCTCCTTCTCTCTCTGCATTCATCAACCAGACACCCTGCAGCTGAGTGCACAGACAGTTCCTGGCCCCAGAGTCGGGCTAGGCAAGGTCTCCAGGCTATTCAAAACCCCTTCCCCACAGCAATACCATCTACCTCCAATCTAGCTAGCTCAGTACTTTCCTTAAGCCACCGCATTAGGGACTTGAAGTGTAAACTAGTTTGACCTTTCTTAAGGGTATGTGATATTGGGTATCAACATTTAAATATGCATATCTCTTGCCCAAGAGGTTTTGCTTCTGGGATTTATCCTAAGAAGACAAGCAGACAAGTGTGCACAGCTGTATTTACAAGGATGCTTACTGCAACATAGTTTACGATAGTCAAAAGCTGGAAACAATCTAAATATCTATCAATAGGTGATTGATTAAATGAATTATAAGTCTAGGTAATAGAATACTGTACAGGCATTAAAAAATACGGCTGATCTTTAAAAAATAGAAGGGAAAAATCTCTAGGGGGTATTATTAAGTAAAAAAAAAGACAAGTGTACACTGTACCATCCTTACATGTTTCTGTATATAACATGTGACTGAAAGCACAGAGTGACACTTGGAAGGAAGTCCACTAAAATATGAAGGTGGTCACCAGCATATGGAACTTCAGAGTTTTTTAACCTGTTAATTTTTAGAAATATTGCTTGGATTTTCTACAGAAACATATGCTAATTTTATTGGGGGAGGGAATAAGCGTTGTGTGGCCTTGGGCAAATAATTTTCTCTTTCAATACTGAGTGAAAAGGGGGCTACTATTACCTGTCAATATAACTATTAAGTATTAAAAGAAAATGTATCTAAGGTGTTTAAAAGAGAGCCTAAAACATGGCAAGCCTCCATTTATGGTCACTGGTAATAGTTATTATAAAGATCCCGGGATAGGGCAGACATCCTATACAAATGGCCTAAAACTATGACAAAGAGACGACAACCCCCACTGGGCCAAACTTGAGCCCTCTTACCCCCATGGGTATACACGCACAAATACACACGTGCACTGACACACACACTCATCTCACATTCACAAAACACCAGTTACACTCACATACACTTAACCACACATGGTCACATCACACACATTCACACTCATGCACACATATACAGGCATACATTCACATACATGCCCTCACACAATTCACACTCATACACACAAACACATACATTCACACTCACACATAAACACACACATTCATACTCACACAAACTCAGTCACATCACACACACAAGCACACACATTCACAGTAACATACACATAAATGCACACACACTCACATACACAAACACATGCATTCATACTAATCACATGCATTCATACTCATACACCTAAACAGTCACATCACACACAAGCATACATATTTACAGTCAGATACCCGTAAATGCACCCACATTCGCACTCACATACACAAATACACACATTCACACTCACACATTCATAGTCATACACTTAAACAGTCATATCACACACACAAGCTCACACATTCAGTCACATACACATAAACGCACATACATTCATATTCATATACATCTAAACACACACACATTCATACACATATGCTTGAACACACAGTCACCTCACACACAAACACATATCTTCATACTCACACATAAACACACACATTCACACTCACATACACTTAAACACACACATTCATACTTACACATAAACACACACATTCATACTTATACACCTAAACACAGTAACATCACACACAGAAGCACACAGATTGATAGTCACACAAACACACACATTCACACTCACACATAAACACACACAATCATACTCACATACTTAAAACAGTTGCATCACACACACATAAACACATACATTCATGCTCACATACAGTTATGCATACCCAGAAATACACATATAAGAACACACAATCCTACATATACACACACACACACACACAGGTGTGCATGTTTAGAAGATGGAGAGAATGAGGCCTGAAGAATTGACTCAATGGGAACCCGCCCCTTCCCTGCCTGCCAACCTACTCACACCCTAGGTACCCTCCACACAGGCTCCAGCTGCTTTTTGCTGGCTCCCAGAGCTTATCTCCCTATGAGAGGAGGGAGGGGTGGCTTGGGAGAGACGAGGGTGATTGTTCAGGTTTAATTAAGCATGCCACCCAGAGACAGGCTTGGCGGATGCACTGTAAGACACATTCCGCTGAACTCAGAACCTCTGTTCTCTAGGCGTATGCAGGCCTGACAAAACATTTCAAAGCAGAGGAGAACATTAGGAACGGAGGGAGCTGACAGCTCCTAATAGCACAGTAACAAGGAGACACTAATAAAGCGTGTGGCTGTGAGCTGAGCAGCTCCAGAGACAGACGGAGACTACAGGCCTTCTTCAAAGGCATGTTGGCCATGCATGGACCTTGCTTTTGGTGACTTCTGTCCTCCACACATCACAGAACAGGGATATAACCTCTTGGTGTACTATGCTCAGAACCCTCGTGAGCAGGGGTCCCTGCAGCCAGAACTAGCAGATCCATCCTTGCTGAGAGCCCTCTTAACAATGATGGGGAACAGAGGAATGGAGCAATGTGGTAAATATCTCCAGAAGGAAGGAAAACAGGGAGGGAGAGAAGGAAGAAAGTCCTCCATTTCCTAATGGCATATCTATGGTAAAAAAGTACTAATTACTTCCATAAGCAACCCATGCAACTATTCATAGATCTAGTTATCTTTTCAAGACAAATGTTACTAAACACCTACTTTGTGCCAAACTCTATGCATTGAAGATGAAAACAAAACAAAACAAATCAGAAAAATAAAAAAGACCTTGTCTTCAAGCACTTAGCAGTCTAGTAGGGAAGTCATACAAGTAAAAAAGACAATTAGAATATATTGTAAACTCCCAAATCCAATGCTCTCTCTCCACTTTCTTGTTAAATTCTTCTTTGAAAAAGAGTTATGTCACTGATTCCAATTTCTCACCACTCATCCTCACTCAACCCATTCCTATCTGCTTTTTGCCATATTTATTCCACATATCCCACCTTACCGTGGTTATTGATGACCTCCAATTTGCCAAAACTGCTGGTCTCCATCTTTCTCTTACTCTTAGGTGACCTCTGAGTAGCCTATGACACAGAGGACCAAACTCTCCTTAAGAAGCATGTTCTCCTGGAGATCCTGTGACTTCCCAGCATCTGGTGTTTCTCTGCCTCCCTGACCCGTCCTCCATCACTGGCTGACTTTTTGTTTTCTTGTCTCCATTTCCAAATAATCTTTCTGAGCTCTTTTTCTACCTACATTTCCCCTAGACAATTGCTATGGTCTGAATATTTCTGTCCCTGATGAATTAATCTGTTGAAATTCTAATGGCCAAGATCATGGTATTAGAAGGTGAGGCCTTTGGGAAGTGATTAAATCATGAGGGTGGAACCCTCCTAAATGGGTTTAGTGCCCTGAGAGACCCGCTTGCCTCTTCCACCATTTGAGGATACAGCAAGAAGGCACTGTCTGTGAGCTAGAAAGTGGGCTCTCAACAGACAGCAAATCTGCCTTGATTTTGGACTTCCCACCCTCCAGGACTATAAGAAATAAATTTATGTTGTTTATAGATTATCCAGTTTATGATATTTTGTATGGGAGCACAAATGAATTAAGAAGACAATCTCATCTAAAATATTTTAAAATCATCTATGCTCTGGTGACTACTAAATGGGTAAGTTTGGGACTCAACTGTGAGGTGTATTTGCCCATCAAATGAAATTATTATGACCAGTTGGATATACCTTACTTTACTATAAAGAAAGACCCAGGCTGGAGATACAGATTTCAAAAACAACATACATGGGATGCTCTGAAAGTCTGTAGCCCAGAGAAAGTGTGTGGGGAGAGAAGACAAAAATACTAAGCCTAAAGCCCCAAGAAGGCTGGGAAGTATCTAAAGAGGCAAAAGAAAACCAGAAGTGTACTATACAGAGAAGTCAGGGAATGAGTTTTCAAATGAGTAAACAATGGTGCTAAATAAAAGAGTTGGGATGAACTGAAAACTGAATCACATCTATTGGATATAACCATAAATTGGTGCACTTTTGGCCTTGGGAGAAGCAGTGACTGTGAGTGATGAGTGTAGAAGGCAGACTGTGGTGGGCGGGAGAGTAAGTGGGAAGTGAGGAAGTGGAGACCATTTGCATAGATTTCTCTTTCTAGAAGGCTGGCTGTGAATGGAAGACATAAGGTGGTAGCTAAAGGCAAATGAGGAGGGGATGAGTTTGGAGAGACAAACACTTATGGGCTGAAGGAAAAGAACAGGAGAGAGGAAGATACTTAAGTCAAAAGAAGAAGTTATTAATGACATTGTATTCCTTAAAAGATTGGAGAGGATGGGGTAAGTATTAGGCAGGAGAAGAAACACCTGTTCCCCTAAGGCAGGAAGAGATGCAAGAATATATGTGTATGTGGCACAAAAGAAGAAAGTCTGAAAGTTATGCTCTTTCTTGCCTGATGATCTCACTTGTATTTTGTCTTTAAAATAGTGGATGAAGCTGGGCACAGTGGCTCATGCCTATAATCCCAACACGTTGCAAGGTCGAGGCAGGAGAATCACTTCAGGTCAGGAGTTCAAGACCATGCTGGGCAACATAGCAAGACCCCATCTGTACAAAATTAAATATATATATATGGGCATGGTGGTGGGGTGCCTTTAATTTCAGCTACTTGGGAGGCTGAAGAAGGAGTTTGAGTTTGGTGAGTAATAATTGTGCCACTGCACTCCAACCTGGGAAACACAGCAAGACCTTGTCTAAATTAATTAATTAATAAATAGTGAATGACATAAGAATACTGAGGTTAAATTGGGGGCATAAACAAGGGCTCTGAGAGTTAAAAAAAAAAAAAAAACTAAAAAGCTACCGCAAGGATAGAGAAAAGGAGGAGATCAACAAGAGAACTTCCAACTAGTGTCAAAGACCCAGCCGATATTGGAGAACATAGATGGGGGTTGGTGCCCATTTGCACTAGGTGTGGATTATGCCAACTGCAGATGGCTATTCCCAAGGTTGTAGGAAAGATAGTTGATTTTTTTTATTCAGATCTAGGGGTCTATACCAGACCAGTCCTTTCCTCACCTACATCTTCTACAGGACAATGATTATAGCAACAGCAGCTACCAGTTGCTGAGTGCGGGTTATGTGCCAGGTGCCTTATATACAATATTTTTAATTCTTAGAATAGTGCTGAAAAACTATTTCCCCTTCATCCTGAGAAACCCAGGTCCCAGAAAGGTGACATAGTTGATCCAAGGTTTCATGAGCCTGTCTGACTCCAGATCCCTGGCTCTTTCTCTATACCTTGTCACAACCTTTGAGGCTTGACATCAGCTGTCATTTCCTTTCTGAGCATTTGCTTCTCCAAGATAAACAGTTCCAGGCTTTGAACACCTTCTTATGGAAGCTTCTTTCCAGTACTCTCCTGTTTTCCTTCCCAAATTGTTAGTTTCCTGTTCTTGAACACACATGTATTTACATATGTTTTTTTCAAGGTGATGAGTACCCTACGGAAAAGCCAAGACTCCTCAATAAAAAGTTCTTGAGAAGGACTCTCTTGAGGGTTTTCCCCAAGGGCACCTTCACATGTTTTAATCTAGTCTCCTACCTAAACCAATGTGCTAATTAAGATGCTCTCTGAGGAGCCAAGAAAGTAGAACCTGCCATTATATGGAGCTTCACCACCTCTCTGGCTCCCCTTGCAAAAATTGATCCTGTGCTCCAGAAAGACCAAACCATTTACTGTCTTATGTATTTTCTGTCATGTTTTCTGCTTTATTCATCTGCTGATCTCTCTGCCTAAAATATCCATTCCTTTGTCCTTGCCTAACAACCATTTACCCTTCAAGATTCAACTCAGACATCATCTCTTAGAAACCTTCTCAGGTAGTCTGGCTACATCAGGTACTCCTTGCACTTCATGCTTCCTCTATCATCACACAGGACTTGTAGGGCACAGTGATTAAGAGAGGAAGCTAATGGACTCACCAGTCAGACTAGACAAGACCTGCTACAGGGCACTTAATGATTGTGTCACTTTACCCCTCCATGTTCCCATTTTTCAGCTGTCAGTGGAGGATAGTGAATGTCTATCTCATAGGTTTGTTGTGAAGAAGAAATAAGGTGATCCACATAAAGCACATGGCACATAATCAATGGTAGTTATTCTTATAACATGTATCAAATAGTACTACATTTATGCTTATCTTTCTCCCACCATCCCATAAGTACCAAGAGGGTAGGAACAGCATCCAATTTATGGTTCTACTCCCAGCACCTCACTCAGAATCTGGCACATAGTAGGAGCTCATGAATGAATGAATGAATGAATGAATCTAATTCATCTCAGTGTGTACTGTCTTTGGGATCACATTATCTGAAATTACCTACTTAATTTCCATTATATTTAGAGTGAAGATGAAGGGTAAGATATATCTTTTTCAATTAAAGGGCAAGAGGCCTCTCCAAGAATAGCCTGATGACATGGAGATTTATGGATCAAGTGCCAGGCTCTCAGCAGTCCATGGACAGTTGGCCATGCCCAACTGGAATATGGTCTCTTTCATTTAGAAATTGTCAAGGCCAAGAGGCCAGGCAGCCAGGAGTGTAGGCAGGCAAGAGAACATCTAGGGTACATGGAGGGATGAGGACTCTACATCAGTGCCAACATTCCACTACTACTCATGCAAACAACCTTTCTTGCTGTTTATGACTGGTGGTCAATCTGATAGCTCCAGGATCCATCCTGATTGCCTGGCAGCCATGCCATTATATTTACAAAATATATTAAATATTCTCTCTTTTAAACATCAGAATCCTAGGTTCCCAGCAGGACTGAAAAAGTTGATAAGGAACCCAATTAGAGAACTGCAAATGCAAAGACTAGATTTCAGGTTGTGATATGGTTTGGCTGTGTCCCCACCCAAATCTCATCTTGAATTTTAGCTCCCATAATCCCCACATGTCACGGGAGGGACGTGGTGGGAGGTAATTGAATTATGGGGGTGGGTGTTTCCCATGCTGTTCTTGTGATAGTGAGTAAGTCTCACGAGATCTGATGGTTTTATAATGGGCAGTTCCCCTGCACACGCTCTCTTGCCTGCCACCATGTAAGACGTGCCTTTGCTTCTCCTTTGCCTTCCACCATGATTGTGAGGCCTCCCCAGCCATGTGGAATTGTGAGTTCATTAAACCTCTTTTTCTGTATAAATTACCCAGCCTCAAGTATGTATTTAATAGCAGCATGAGAACAGAGTAATACTGGTGGTCAGAAGCTAAGATCAAGGAGGTGGACTTCAGGTCAGGTAAATGCCAACCATGTAGTTGAGTCAGTGACTTAGAAATCTGAGCACTGCCATGTGAACTATTCCTTAAAAGACTCTGTCAGCCAGAGGTTCACTATGGGTTACAATGATCACTGAGCCCCATTCCCAGGACTTCCCTCCTCCTCAACTCCCATCTCCCTAGCTCTCTTCTCCTTACACCAGAGCCATGTAATTTGGGCCAGCAGTCTCATCTTGGCTGCAGTCATCAGGACCTGATTCCAGTCAAAGGAAATATATGAACCTCCGGGTCAGAGCTCAGGGGGCTTAGCTTTAGGCTAGCACTTGATTCTCATGTCTGTTGAAAATACACCAAATGGCATAGTCATTATTTCTTTAGGGGTGTGTCTTTCCTGCTAGCCTGAGGCTTTCCTAGAAGCAGTAGAATAAAAGATGGAAGAGAAAAAGAAATAAAGGAATGGAAAGCGAAGAAACTGAGCTGGCTCCTGCTTTTCCTCTCTTTCTAGAAACCAGTTTTGGACACTGGACCTCCATCCTATTTTTTTTTTTTTTTGAATACCTGTCTTGATAGTCTGCCCAGTGAGCCATGTTCTTTTATCCTTGATATTTTTCTTTTAGGACATAGAACTCTAACTCTAAATTTTTGCCCCTTTTCTGGGGCCATTAGCCTTTAGCACATGCTTGATTCTCACTGCAAAGTCCTGGATCCCAACTCTGAGCTAACATTTACCTGCCCTGCCCAAGGGGGTCTGTATGAACCTTCCCAACCTGATATCATAAAGCTTTTTCCTCTCTGAAAGTCTCTTTTCATAAAGTTTATATTCCTGCCAAGGTCTTGACCGAGAGGTCTGTGGATTCTAAGAAGGAAATGCTGTAGTCAGGTGGGGAGGTCATGAGAAAGATGGGGTCACAGAAATGGTGGTAGCTTAATAACAGGAAAGGCAGATGGAACCATGCCTCCTTCATAAGGGAGAACCTCACACAAAGATGGGCTTTAAAAAGTTGCAATAAACACAGAACTCAGAATTAAGGTGAGAAAGAGAGAAAAAGAAAACATGCTCTGAATATACCACATACTGAGCAACACGAAATTATTAATACACATATTATCTCATTTCATGTTCCCATCTTCCCTTGCAGTAAGAGCCATTATCCTCATTTTCACAGATGAGGAAACTCTGGCTCAGAGAGGTTAAGAATCTTGTTCAATATCATCAAGCAAGTGAGGGATAGAAAACCCAGGATTGAATCTGCTTTGTCTGATTGTAAAGACTTTTTTTTCCCTCCTACAGATACAGATATTTAGCCTAGATTGGACCACCCATGCACTTCTAAGGCATACATTGTTCCCAAATTAGCCCTACATCCCCATGATACCTATCTTTCATAGTTTAAGAGAGAGGTTACTGTCTTCTCTTATTGTCTGGCTCTGTCCATCAGGAAGTTGTAGAATCATAGGATATAAAAACTGTAAGTACATGAGTGGTCTGTTGGAACAGTGGTTTGTACATTTATTTGTAGCAGAATTCATGTTTGGAATTCCTATACATGAAACTGACATTGCATGCAGCAGACTCCTCAGTATTCATCTGTATCTCTCTGGAAGGGACTCTTCAGGCTCTTCTAAAGACCACTGCCCCTCCAAGAAACACAGTCTGATGTACTCTCACCCTCATTTTCTCATTTGTACATGAGGACTCTGGAGATCAGGGTCAAGAAGGGCTTGCCCAAGGTTACTCAATGGAAGAACAAGGACAAGAATCTGTATCTCGTGCTTTCTATTCTACACAGTGGCCAAGAAATATTCATCAGGGTAAAGGAAAAGGTATCCTGGATCCATGAAAGTAAGCTATTTGGGAGTGGGTTGAAGATAGAAGCTTTCTTCTGGTGGAAAATAATAATAATAGCACCCAACATTTATTATATACCTTCTGTGGTGCTAGGTACAATGCTAGGAGCTTTTTTTGCATTATTCCATTTAATCCTCTTATCAGATTAGGATCCCATTATGCAGATAAGGAAGCTAAGCCTTAATTCTTCAGCACTAGGTGACCCAGTTGGTAAATAGCTTTGGTGGATTTGATCCCTGGCCATCTTGCTCGAGAGCCTGGCTCTTAGTCTGCTCTACTGTCTTCCTAGGAACAGGAATAATAATCCAGTGAAGGCTAGAAGCTTGTTCATATTTACCAACATATCCTTCCCTGTCCTCCTGCTAATCTCCCAGCAAATGCTCTGCACCATCAGACATCTCATTTTCCTCACCATGACTGCTAATATGCAGGGCCTTCGGTATAAATGTACACCCTCTACCCAGCCTCCAGCAAACTCACATGCACCCATCTACACACATGGGCACATGCTCATGCATAATGCATGGGACCACCATCTTAAATCCTGCTAAATTGAGATTCAGCTAGCTGTTTGGTCTGGAGACACCTCAGTGCCTGCGTCATTAGCTGAGCTCTGAAAGCCATCATTACTGCAGCCACTGTGGCTGAGTCACTGAGACCATGAGCAGGTAATAGAATTTCAGGGACACATAATAAAAGGGAATGGAATGGGATTCAGGTCGGAAAAGACTATCTGTTATCCAGTCCTGAAGGGTGGATATGTAAACAAGGAGCTCCAGGCCCCCAGGATGGCGATTCCACTGAGTCCCTCAGCAGAGGATAATAAAAGGCCCAATTACAACCTCCACACTCTGAGATTTCAAAGGAAAGGAAGAAAAAAAATCAATGAAATTAATTTAATGTGGACCCATTCTTTATGTTTGCTTTGCTAGAGTAGTTGTATGAGATACCTCTATAGACCAGCCCATCTTTTCTCACACAGTGACTTTATCCACAAGAAAGGAAGGAAGGAAGAAAGGAGAGAGGGAGAGAGGGAGGGAGGAGAGGAGAAGAGAGGAGAGGAGAGAGGGAGGCAGATGGGGAAGAAGGGAGGGAAGAAGGGAGGAAAAGAGGAAGGAAGGAAGGAAAAGAAAGGGGGCAGGGGAGGGGAGGGGAGGGGATGGAAGGGAGGGAAGGGAGGAGGAAGTAAGGGAGGGAGGGAGGGAGGGAAAGAAGGAAGGAAGGAAGGAAGGAAGGAAGGAAAAAGGACAGGAAGGGAAGGGAAGGAGGGTGAGAGGGAGGGAGGGAGGGAGAAAGGAGGGAAAGAAGGAAGGAAAGAAGGAAGGAAGGAAGGAAGGGGAAGGGAGGAAGGAAGGAGGGAGGGAGGAGGAAAGGGGGAAGGAGGGAAGGAGGAGGGAAGGAGGAGGGAAGGAAGAAAGGAAGGAAGAAAGGAAGGAAGGCAGGCAGGCAGGCAGGCAGGCAGGCAAGCCAAGCCTTCAGACATATTTGTTTCTGACATCTCAAAGGAGGACAAATCAGGGAATCCAAGGTTGGAAGAGACATTCAAATCTCATTTTTCATGGCATAAAGGAAAAGGCAGCATCTCTACGTATGATTGTGCAGCTTGTGCCCTGCATAAGGGTGCCCCACTGAAGGGAGACTGGGTATTGAGGTCCAGTCCATGGTCTAAATGGACAAGCACTAATCCTTGCATGGCTTGCATCTATACATGTATAATAAGCAGGAAGGATCCAAAGGTAGAGCTAGCTCTTCTCACTAAACAGGCAATCAGAGATCTGCATTCTGTGGGGTTTGTATTCTATGTGATCTTTTATGTGTCTGCTTTCTAGATATATTCCCTCTTTTGTAAAGGAAGGGTTTTAGGTAAGGTACAGGGTGAGGGGACTATCATTAATAGAGTATGGAATTCCCACCAAGCATAGTGCTGAGTATAAAGCATTTGTCTTAATCTTTTCAATAATCCCTTTTTAGGTTAATTAGTCCCATTTTACAGATGTAAAAAAGCAAGGCTCAGAGAGTTGTGATGGGTTACCTGCCTGCAGGTCACAAAACACCTGAGCAGAGAAGCCAGAATTGCAATCCAAGTGTCCGCGCTTGAAACCTATACTCTTCCCTGACTATATGCCTCCTCTCTAAGGCTGTTTCCGCTCCTTGTTTTCTGTGATTCTATATGTAAAATGGCCTTGGTTATTGAGGTTTTGGGGGTTTGGGATAAGGGTGGAGGGCAGAGGAATATGTTGCTACCAAGTCAAGCAACAGAGAACAACCTGACAAGAGTTAATGGGTTTGTGTAGGGGAGGCAGGAGCTTGGAGAGTGCTGGCAATGAGACTGACCAAAAACAGAACTGGTCCTTCTAGGAAGCTAATGAGTAAGTAATCCTGAAAATCACTGTCCAGTAAGCCTGGTGTCAATATTGAGTAAAATAATTGGACGAATGTGCCCAGAGATAATCTGTAAGCATTGGAAAAATAATGGAATAGTGAGCGATAAGGGACACCAGAGGTTCATGCAGAACAAATCATTCTAGACAACTTGATAGCTTTTCCTGACAAAATTACAAAATTAGTGGATGAAGGAGACATCGTAAAGGTTCTGGATTTTGAGCTCTAACAAAAAATTGAATAGCATTTCTTGGGATGCCTATCTTGCCAAGTTAATTCAAACTGCCCCTGATTCAAGCTGTGCTGTGTGAATTTGTGTTGTTACCAAATCTGGTTGGACAATGGAGCCAATAGGTGCTGATGCATGGTACTGCTCCAAGGGTAAGGGCCAGAGACTCTCACCCCTCTCTCTGGTCTGGAAAAGAATGTGACAGAAGGGCTACTGAGACCCAGACAAGAAATGCAGACATCCATACAGCAGGGAAAGACCCTGGGGCACCAGGGGGAAGGTACATTTTTTAGATAATTTGATAATCATATCCTTCCTATGGGGCAGGTGTCATCATCTCACCCTCTGCTCCATTATTCACGGTCCTCGTAATTTTGCTTATAAGGAACTGAAGGTCAGAGTGGGAGTGGCTTATCACACAGATAATGAGTTGCGGCACCTAGGTTGTAACCCAGGTGTGTCTGATTCCAAGAATTGGTATACTCTCTTCTCTGACCAGTGGTTCTCAAGCATCAGTTTACATCAAAATCACAGAGAGTAGACGTGGCATGTGAGGCGGGGTGGGAGACAGTTGTTAAATCACTGATTACTGGGACCCACCCCTAGGGTTTCTGACTCCGAGGGTCTGGAGTGGTGACTGAGAATTTGCATTTCACCAAACTCCCAGGTGATGCTGATGTTCCAATCTAAGACCACACCTCCAGAAACACTCTATTCCAGTTCCGCTCAGATATTAATGTGCAAATAACTCACCTGAAAATCTTTTTAAAATGCAGATTCTAATTTAGTGAAGTTCCTGGGAAATGAAGCAAATTGCATTACTTTCTCTTTTTTTTGTTTTTTGTTTTGTTTTGTTTTTGACATGGAGTCTGTTGTCAGGCTGGAGTACAGTGGTGCAGTCTCGGCTCACTGCAACCTCCACCTCCCGGGTTCAAGCAATTCTCCCGCCTCAGCCTCCCGAGCAGCTGGGACTATAGGTGTGTGCCACCACACCCAGCTAATTTTTATTTTTATTTTTAGTAGAGACGGGGTTTCACCATATTGGCCAGGCTGGTCTTGAACTTCTGACCTCGTGATCTACCCACCTTGGCCTCCCAAAGTGCTGGGAGTACCATGCCTGGCCTGTAAATTGCATTTCTAATAAGCTCCCAAGTGACGTCTATGCTGTGGGATGTTACCACACCCAAGAAGCAAACACTTATGCCATGATGTTGGGAAATGAGAAATCTAGAAAGATAGCACTACAGTTCAAGAACTGACTCTGGAATCCAAAAGTAGAGAAAACAGACATTATACCAAAAAAAATGAGCTGCAGGAAGGACATAATTTGGAAGATCTGAGTTCAAAATTTGGTCATGTCTTTACTAGCTTTACAATTAGGGGATTTTTATTTATTTTATTACTATTATTTTTACTTCTTTAGGTATCAGTGTGCTTATTATTTGAGGATCAATTACTAAAAAAAATTAAAAAGACCATAGGGAAAATACTTGGGGGCTTCTCAAAATGATTGCTGAAGATACCCTCCATGGTATTGCTCAACATTTCTTGTGAGGAAAGCCATGAATAAAACTGTTCTCAGGATGCAGTGCTAATTAGTCTCTCCTTCCCCTGATGACTAGCTATAGCTCCTTCCACTTGCACAAGGAACCCAGTGCACCCATCCTTGTCAAAATTTTACTCGACTCAGCACCATTTATAGCTGCTTTATTAACTCAGAATTCTAGAATAAAACTTGTTCTAAAAATAAAGTATACCCCTCTGCATTAAATACCTCACTATATATATGCAATTTATCGCCACCTGTCTGAAGTCCTTTAGGAGAACAGAGGGGGCCCGAATCTAAATGATTGATTAAGTGAATGCCAATGGAAGGAGTGTAGGCTCCTCTTGAGACATCTGTGAAACTCAAGAGGGAGAAATCAAAGAGGAACTATCGCATACTGTTAGGTACAGTCAGAATGTAATGGCTAATTACTATTATGATTGTGATTATTATACAGTAAAAAGCAATTACACTTTAAACTTGATGTTTAAGAAACCTGTAACAAATACAACTCTACCCCATGTAATTTTCCAAACTCAATCAATTCCTACCACTCTCCCCATATCTCTGTGTGCCCTCCTGTTATGGTCTGTCCCCAAAACTCATGTGTTGCAAATTTAATCCCCATTGCAACAGTGTTGCAGGGTGGGGTCTTTTGGTAGGTGTTTGGGTCATAAAGGCTCCACTCTCATTAATAAATTCAAGCCTTTATAAGAGAGCTTAACAGAGGGGGTTTGGTCCCTTTTTTCCCCTTCTGTCCCTTTTGCCAGGTGAGGACACAGCATCCCTTTCTTCCAGAGAACACAGCAACAAGGCACCATCTCAGAAAAGAGACCAAGCCCCTCACCAGACACTGAACCTACCTGTGCTTTTATTTTGGACTTCCCAGCCTCCAGGAGCATGAAAAAATAAATATCTATTCTTTATAAATTACCCAGTCTCAGATATTTTTTTTTTTTATAGCAACACAGACACCTCCCTACATCACCTGTTTCCTGGAGCATTCCCTGACCTTTCACCTTTGAGTTCCCCCGACAGGGCCTATCTACCACAAAGAAAATTCTAAACATTGACTTATTTCTTAAGGTTCCTCAAACTCCAGGAAAGTCTTCTCTAGTATTGCTAATTTCCCTTCTTTTTCTGTTCATTTTCTCAGAGTAACATAAATTTCCCCAAAGCCATGTGTTGTGTATGGCTCTCCATGGCCAATATCAGGTCAAGGCTCCTTCCATGTCCACCTGGGTCAATAATTAATTTATTCATTCATCTCCATTTTCATTCATTTTTTAAATTCCCCCCTGGTCTCAGCCTTTCCTTCAACTATTTCACCACTCATTAATCACTTCACTAATCCATTCATAGAATCAATCATTTACACACTTATTATCTACATATTAATTATATATTCATGTTTATGTATCAATCTGCTGAGTAGTTTATTTGATTTTCATTCACACATCAATTCTCTCATCACACATTCATTCACTCACCCACTCATTCATTCATTGAACAACTACAACAGTCACTGGGTGCTCACTCTGTCAGAATCTAACTTGAGTACTGATTCTAGAAGATATAATCTCTGCTCTTGAGAAATTCACAAACCAGCCAAGAGGACAAAGAAGCAAACGGTAGAATACCAAATTCTGTGTGGCCAGGGTGGAGCAGAAGAGAACAGGAGGTTGAAAAGAAAAATAAGTAATAATAACTGCACACCTACTGTGTGCTCACTGCTTCATATGCATTATCTGATTTAAATGCACCTTTCTCTTTAATAGGTAATGAAACCAAATTTGCTCACTGAATGGACTTAGCTGAAATCTAAGTCTAGGCGTTCTCATTCTGCTCCCCATGCTCTTAACCACTCTGCTGTATTCACCGTAATATAATCAGCGACCTTGGTTTAGGATTAGCATTTCTGGGGAACAGTGTGGGAGCAATCAAATTTGAAAGGTGTGAGAAGCAATTGGAAAGTGAGGAAGTGAAGACAGTAAGTTTCTATCACGCAGTTTGTCCTTCCAGGGGAGAAGAGAGAAGGCTGTAACTGAAGGGGGCTTAGGATTGAGCACCAGACAGCAGAAGAACCTCATGACCCTGGGCAAGCGTATCTATCATAGTAGCTTTCCTCATTCTTTTCCGTTAGTTCTCTTCATTTCCATTTCCCCCTACACAACCAAGAGCTATTTTATTTACTTTTGTATATACTAGGACTTAGAATAGGGCCTGTCATAGCATAGTTGATAAATTAATATACATGAATGAGTGAATGAATGAATGAATGTCAAATTCTTTTTTTTTTTTTGAGATGGTGTTTTGCTCTTGTTACCCAGGCTGGAGTGCAATGGCGCGATCTTGGCTCACTGCAACTTCCGCCTCCTGGGTTCAAGTGATTCTCCTGCCTCAGCCTCCCAAGTAGCTGGGATTACAGGCATGTGCCACCCCGCCTGGCTAATTTTTGTATTTTTAGTAGAGACGGGGTTTCTCCATGTTGGTCAGGCTGGTCTCGAACTCCTGACCTCAGGTGATCCGCCCACCTCGGCCTCCCAAAGTGTTGGGATTACATGAGCCACCCTGCCTGGCCATGTCAAATTCTTTAAAATGGATTCACACATTGCCTAGAGTTCTATTTTGCAGAAAGGAGGGAGAAGTAGGTCAGCTGACTGGAGCTTTCTACAAAACAGCCCATGGAACAGGCCTTGTCTTGGAAAGATGGTGATGCAGACAGAGTGACTATGATAACCAAAAAATAAACTAAATCAACATTGACAAGGAAAATGTAAATTCAGAAACAGGGAAAAACTGAATTCAAGCGCTAGTGGTGGACAGGACCAAAGTTGAGGACACAAGTAGGCATATAGGATGTTCTTAAAGCAGACAGGAAATTGGCCCTAGAAAACTCAGACCTGGGGGGCAAATGTCACATGCCTATATCATTTGGATGTTTGCACAATTTCCTGGCAATTTGTGTCGGTCCACAAGCCCAGCAGAGAAAAGTCTTACGGGTGTGGAGAAAATGAAGGTTTTAGCTTCAGTGGGGTGGGTTTAATTAGAACTGTTATTAGTCTGTTGTGCAAAAAGCTCATTAGAAACTCACTGGGGCTCTCAAAAGTGTTGGACATTTTTTTATAATTACATTTCTTCTGATTCCTCCATGGGTTTCTTGATGCAGTCTGAGCATTGGATCTATTAAAGGTGTGTAGGGAAGAATGACTTCCGGTTAACTTGTCATTTCAGTCCAGGGCCAGATACCTGCAGTTCTTGCCCCACATATTGTTGAAAAGAAGAAAGGAATCTGAAAGCTGGTGAACTGTAGCAGGTTCTTTGACATGTGTTATTTTATATCACAACAAGCAGAGGAACTGGATGTTCAGATACCTCGAGCAGCTTTCACAAATTTACACAGCTAGTTAGTGGCAGCATCAGCATTCAAACCCCAGTTGGTCTAACTCCAAAACCCATACTCTTTCCAGAGCCCCATGCTGCCTCCGACAGTGAGACTTCTTTTGTAAGAGAAAAGATTTCTCACTTCAGTTTGGCAACTACAGTTTGGGGAAGGGAGAGAAAGTGTGGGCAGGGTAGCAAAGGGAGAGAGGAAAAAATCATACCATGCCAGTTTCAGACTCAAAGATCACTCTCTAGCTGTCAGTGGAGCCCACAATCACTGTGGAGTTTTATTAAAAAGCAAGAGTTGTAGAAGAATGAAGCGACAGATTTAAAATTAACTTGCCAAACTCCCCATCAATATTATGACAGTCCCCAAGTACCAGTTCAGCGACCCAGTGCACCAACTTGACAATATTAACATAACTTTGTTGGAACAAAAGCTTCTCGAACTCTGTCTTTTCAAGTGAAGCTAATTTTGAGGAGACAGCCATTCTTCTTTCTGCCTTTTTTGGCACCTCTGTGACAGGTCCCCCTGGCCCAACCTAAGAGTGCATGTTTTATAAACTTCTATTATCCTTTCACCTCCCTGGGGACTGCCACCCACTCTGGATGCTTAAGTCAAGTAGAGCAGTACTTCTTCCACTTAGGGACGTACTGAATGAATGAAGGCTGGGAAAGAGATCTGCATACTTGCCACTTTCTGAACACTGACTTGGGTTCCCTTTGGTCTTTATATTTGGAATGAAGATCCGTGATGGCTAACCCAACCAAAATTCACATTTAGGGCAATGTGCTCTCTGTACCAGCTTTTATAAGCTAACTGCAGTCTGATTCCCTCTTTTTCTTCACCTAACAATCTCTTACTTACCCTTCACATCTCAGCTTAGACATTAATTTCATCTACCTGGAGTCCTACACCCCATGTGGGCTTGCCCTGGTAGCACTCTGACTTTCATACCTAACACTGCACGGGTCAGTTTATCGAATTTCACTCACTAAGTATCTTTCTTTTGTTAGTGTATGAGTTCAGTAGGTAGAGTGACTACATAATTTATCATGTGATCCAGGGGACTTTTGTCTAGGATATACGCTAAACTGGAGAGGACTTTGGACAACAGTCAAACTAGACTGTCCTAGTAAAACTAGGATATATGAGCACCCTCCACAGATGGGCATATATCGCAACTGTCAGGCTTTCTGCGTCTCTATCACCTCGAACAGTGGTTAAAATTTTAGTCAGTGTAGCATATTTTTTGAATGAATGAATGTATAAAACAGTTCCTTTTTTTTTTAAACAAGTCTCACAGGCAAACTCATAAAATCTTTCCTTCCTTCCTTCCTTCCTTCCTTCCTTCCTTCCTCCCTCCCTCCCTCCCTCTCTCCCTCTATCTCTCTTTCCCTCCCTCCCTCCCTCTCTCTCTCCTTGTCATTCTTCCCTCCTTTCAACCTTCTATCTTGTTAACGACCTACCACGCACCAAGCCCTGTTCACTCTAATTACTGGGCATACAAATAAACATGGCTCTGTCTTGGGAGTGAGAAGGAGAAACAATTAGCATGTAGTGAGCATCTACTATGCATCTGTTGCTTTAAACATTGTATATTATTAATATATATCCAACTATTCAGTGAGGTAGTTAATATGTTCACCTAGACAATGAAGCATAGAGACAGGTCAGGTGACTTGGCCAAGGTCACACAGCTAATAGCAGCAGAGGTTGAATTCAATTTCAGGTCTGCCAGAGTACAAAGCTGTGGTCTCATCTCTAAACTAAGCTACTGCCTAAACTGTGTAGAAGGAAGGCGAAATATAGGGCAGTACAGGGTGTAAAGAGCTATGGGCTGAGGAGGTTCCTAATACATGAGCACAGAAGCTTCTCTAACCCACAAAATCTTATGCTCTTTATCGATGGACATAAGAAAAATCCATCTCTAACTTACAGCTACCATTTGTTGAGAACTTAGTTGTATAGATACTTTGCTAGGTCTTGGAAATTTATAATAATGAAGAGTCAAGAGTCAAGTTAAGCAGGGGAGGTAAATATCAAATAATAATACAAATATTAATTTTATTTTTCACAGGTATTTCAGAGAAAAAAATAGTATGAGGACCATATAGTATGAGACACAGTATTTTTTAATCACTATTTTCACAGATAAGAAAAATGAAGCTTGAATGGATAAATGGATCAAGACTGCACTCTACAGAGCTAGGATTTGAACCCACATCTACTTAGCTCCGAAGTCTGTATTGTGTTTACTTCCCCACTTTTCTCCTGAACAATTCAATCATAACACCCCTAATGAAACAGAGCAAATCCTTCACCACTACTTTTCATGCTCTTTAAACCTCAAAGTTTTTACATGCAGAACAGATATAACACTGGCTCTTCTCTGTAAGCTTGTTGTGGCAATTAAAGAAAAGACAGCACTTGAAGCACCTTGCAGAGTGCCTGGTCCACAGACATGTTCAGTAAATAGCAAATATTGTCATCATTAATATTATTAGACAGTATTGAATTATTGACTAAGGTCATGTGGTGCTCCATCACACACGCAATGTCCTGTGTTGTTAGTTAACTTTAACATGGGCATGTTTTCATGGCATTCTCCCATTCCCCTATTGTCCCCACCTTTGAGTCCCTCAGCCTAGCACTGTGATATGAATGGAGCAGAATGTGTGACCAACCAAGTGTTAAAAGAGGAGAGAGGCTGTGTTGGGGGGCTCATGCCTGTAATCCCAGCACTTTGGGAAGTTGAGGTGGGTGAATCACCTGAAGTTGGGAGTTCGAGACCAGCCTGACCAACATGGAGAAACCCTGTCTCTACTGAAAATACAAAAGTAGACAGGCGTGGTGCCGCATGCCTGTGATCCCAGTTACTCGGGAGGCTGAAGCAGGAGAATCACTTGAACCAGGGAGGTGGAGGTTGCGGTGAGCTGAGATTGCACCATTGCACTCCAGCCTGGGCAACAAGAGTGAAACTCCGCCTCAAAAAAAAAAAAAAAAAAAAATAAGAGGAGCAAGAAATGGATATTTGAATATGGATTTGGAGCCAGACTGTCTGGATTCCAATCCTGTCTCCATCCTTTACCAGCCAAATGACAATGAGAAAATTATTCAGTCTCTTAACAATTCAGTGTCATCATCTGTTAAAAAATAAGGGAGGGGAAAAGGTTGACAGCTCCTCTAGGTGTCTGTAGAACTGAATGCGTTTGGACAGTGAAGCTGCTGCCTGGGTCTCTTCTTGTGTCACTGGGAGCTCATCCTCAGTCTCCTTTGCTGGTGGCTCTTCACCTCTCCGATGTTAAACTGCAGGACTCAGGGCTCAGGCTCCTCTCTTCTCTATCTACTCCCTAGTGAGTTTGTGTCCTCTCATTTCTTTTCTGTCATCTACATGCTAAATAATCTGAAATGTACATTTCAAGTCATGTTTCTCTTCTGAACTGGTATATCCTACTGGCTTCCTGACATCACCATAAGAATATATATTAGACATGGCCAGATGATGGCTATTGACGCCGGATGATGAGTGCCTGGGGTTCCATCACACTATGGTCTACTTGTATAAATGATTGCAATGTTTCACAATCAAGTTCATCTTTTAACATTATCAAAAACAAATTTCTCTTTCTATTCCCCTCCCTTGTGCCTGCTCCTCCTGTGGGCTTTCCTGTCTCCATCAATGGCACATCCGTCTGTCCAACTGCTCAGGCAAAATTCAGGGCACTAACCTTGCCTCCCTCCTTTCTCTCCCTCATCAGTAAATCTAGTTGTCCCACCTTCAGAATACATACAGAATCTGCCCACCTCTCTCCATGCTGACTTGTCTGAACATGCTCCAATCCACAGTCGTCTGACATCTGGACCACAGAAGTAGCCTGGGAACTGCTTTCCCTGATTTCACCCTGCCCACTAACGTCTATTCTTCACACCCCAGTCAGATTATAGACCTTTTCTGCTCAAATAATGCACTAGCTTGGTTTCCTTCTCACTCAGAGTAAAATTCAAGCTACTGCATTTAGGAGTCCCACAGGACCCTATACAAAATGGCCCATACTTCCCCAGTTGGTACCCATTGCCTCTTTATTTGTAACCTTTTTTCCTACTACTTGCCCCGCCTCCTTCCCCTCTGTTCTATCCACCGAGGCTCCTTTTGGTCCACAGAAAATGCCAAGGGTCTTTGAACTCGGTGTGCCTTCTACCTGGAAGCTGTTCCCCAGATATGTGCATAGTTCACTGCCTTGTTTCAGATCTTTATACAAACGTCACCTTGTCAAGTAAGTCTTCCAGCCTGTAAAACATAGAATCCCCTGCCTAAAACCCTCTAGTACCCTTAACTCAACCTGCTTTTCTCCACAGTGTATGTACCTGACAGGGTGTATATTTATTTGTTGATTGTCCCCTACACTAGAATATAAACCTTCAGAGCAGGGGTTTTTATATATTTTGTTCACTATTGTCTTCCTGGTTTCCTAGAACAGTCAGTGTCATAGAATAAGTGCTCAAAAAATATTTTTGATAGAGTGAAGATACAATAGTGTCTGGTGCAGTGTGTCATTGTTATCTGGTTACTCTTATTACTACAATCACTACTGTTACTTGTTACTCTTGTTACTACAATCACTACTACCTAAATACTGGAGAGATACCCAAGAAACTAATAAAAATGGGGGATAGGGGAAAAGGATAGAAAAAAAACTGAGAAAGGAGTGACATTCCTCATTGAATGTCTTTTATACTGTTTGTGTTTTTAAACTTTGTAACTTTAATGCCTGTAAAGAAATCAGTTTAAAAATATGCTGATATGGTTTGGCTGTGTCCCCACTGAAATCTCATCTTGAATTGTGGTTCCCATTATCTCCATGGGTCCTGGGAGAGACCAGGTGAAGATAATTGAGTCATGGGTCCTGGGAGAGACCAGGTGAAGATAATTGAGTCATGGGGGCCATTTCCCCCATCCTGTTCTCATAATAGTCAGTCAGTTCTAAAGAGAGCTGGTGGTTTTAAAAGGGGCTTCCCCTTTCACTGGACACTCATTCTCTTTCCTGCTGCCCTGTGAAGACGTAGCTTCCGCCATGACTGTAAGTTTCTTAAGGCCTCCCCAGCCATGGGGAACTGTGAGTCCATTAAACCTCTTTCCTTTACAAAATACCCAGTCTTGGGTATGTCCTTACAGTAGCATGAGAATGAACTAATACATATGCCTACCAAACTGTCGCAGCCAAGCGGAGCTAAGGAGATGGACAACTCAGTGTGAGATGGTGACCAAGATGCTCTTAAGCTTCCCATCAGCTTGACTAAACACCAGGCAGGCTTCTCCAGTCTCTAGATCCCTGACCTGCCTTTTCTTAAAGCATTTACTTTAGAAACTTGCAATTGTAAATTCTTTCTCTGCCCCTTTAAGACATAAATCTTTTATAAAGTTTCTTGCCAGTTTTACAATCTAGGACTGTCTTTCTCAAGGACGTGGGAGCTATTTCTTTGAAATGTAATCATCAAGGAAGACAGTACCCCTATCTCTTAGTCTTTGTGGAAGGGTGGAAGCCCAACTTCCATGGACACCAATTAGCAAACACAGATGGCCTAATCACAGAGAAATACATTTGCAAAGTCAAGAATAACTCAATGTGCTGGACATATCCTATTGTTCAATCTCCTAATGTCCTCCAGTACTTTTCCACTTACTCCAGCAATTAAAAACCCTCCTGTCCTTTTCAGTTTCAGTGAAATTGAGTTCAGACCTCTCTCCTTCCTCTATTGCAATAGCCTTGAATAAAGTCTTTCTTGCCTGTTTAACATCATCCAGTGTCATTTTGCTTTGATGTCTGTATGCTGAATGGGCTCCTGTATCAGAAAAAGGACATCAGATAAAAACTAAGGAAATCTGAATAAAGTATGAACTTTAGGTAATAATAATGTATCAATATTGATTTATTAATTATAACAAATGTACCATAAAAATATAAGAGGATGCTATGGGAAACTGATTGCAGGGTATATGGAAACTCTCTGTACTATCTTTGTGGTTTATCTATAAATCTAAAACTGTTTAAAATAAAAAAATATATTTTTAAAATCCTATCTGAACCTGGAGGACATCATGCTAAGTGAAATAAGCCAAACACAGAAAGACAAATACTGCATGTTCTCACTTGTATGTGGAATCTAAAAAGTCAAACTCGTATTAGAGAGTAGAATGGTGGTTATCAGAGGCAGGGGGTGGGAAGAAGATGAGGAATTGCGGGGAGATGAAGAATAGGGAGAGATTGGTCAAAGGGTACAATGTTTCGATTAGACAGGAGGAGCAAGTTTTAGTCCATTGCTCAGTGTGGTGACCATCGTTAATAATGGATTATATATTTCAAAAATTTGCTTTGAAAAGTTTTTTAATATTCTCATCACAAAAAGTATGTGAGATGATGAACATGTTTATTAGCTTGATTTAATCATTCCACAGTGAGCACATATGTCAAAACATCACATTCTATCTCATAAATATATAGAAGTAGTATTTGTACATTAAAATATATATTAAAAATAACCCTATCTGAGTGGAATACGGAAAAGAACATCCAAGTGTCAGAAAGATCCAGTAAGTAAGGCTCTGACACCAGCTATGTGATGACAGTCAAGTCATCAGATCTCTTTGAGACCCAGTTACCTCATTTATAAAATGACACTTGCAAATCCACTAACATCATGCATTCTCAGTAGTCGCAGAAATTGTCTTAGACAATACAATGGCTTGTGGTCCTCCAATGTCTAACTCTACCCAATAAAACTGTGACCCTTAGTATTTAATTTCTCTCATTAAGAAGAATTCAATCCTATTTTTTTTCTATGACAAGGGGTGACAGTAAAAAACAAGTTTGAACACAGCCTTAGATAATACAAAAAATAAAAAAGTATATTACTTTCCCTTTACACCAACATTAGACCGAGTTTTGTTCAGCCTGAATCCCCAGAACCTGTCACATAATAAGCTCTTGATGTGTACTGATTGGCTGGAGCACAAAGCTGAAGCAAATTTAATTGCAATTTAGCTTAATTCTCAAGCTGTGTTTCCACCTTCTTTGCAAATACAGCTGCAAAATGCCTATATGGTCTCTGGGCTTGTTTATTCCCAGTGGCTGGGTCCTCACTAACTCCTAAGAAGTAGGGAATTAATCGAAACTTACAGGGATATCCTTTAGAGCAACTTTAGTTCTCTGAACCACGGCATGACAAGTAAGAACAATCACTTCATCGTCTTTCTTTCCTCCTACACTAGAAAGCATCAAAAAGAAAGGGAAGCAGCCTCAAGGTCACTGGGAACTCAGTAAAGAATGAAGAGGCTGACTCAGGGTTTAAGGTTCTTTCAAAGTCCTCAGGCATACAATGAATTAACCAGCCCTGGGCTACTCAAATGCCTGTAGCTTTGACTCCTGGCTTGTGCCTGCTAATTAACTGTCCACTTAATGGGCTCCTCTGAGGATCTCAGGCAACATAAAAAAATAAATGCTCATTTTGGACTCTTAAAAGCCACCTTTGAGGTGTTCCACTAGATTATCATTAATAGTAATTATTCAGTAGTGATGTTACATAAAACCCCAGCCACTGCCCTTGGAGCTTTCTGTATAAATTCACATCCAATAAACTGTGATCATATCTTTCATTAGAACTGTTACTACATACATTTCAATTCAGGGCATCTCTTTGAAATAAAACTATTTCCTTAAAAGTTAATTTTCTTGATACACATGTGTGGGCTTATTAATGTGACCTTAGAATAGACTTACTGTTTCATTTATCTGGAAGGAATACAAAGAAAGTAATGCTGGCAAATTTGCATCTCACATGATTTCAAGTGTGACAGGACGCACACTACAACACAATTTTGGAGTAAGTGGTATCTCACAGATCCCTGGATTCATGTTGAGGAAAATGTCACTAATACTCCCACATCTTTACAAGGCATCTTAACCTGACTTTTCTCTTTCTCTTTTTTTTTTTTTTTTTTTTTTTGAGATAGAGTCTTACTCTGTCACCCAGGCTAGAGTGCAGTGGCGTGGTCTTGGCTCACTGCAACATCTGCCTCCCTGGTTCAAGCGATTCTCCTGCCTCAGCCTCCCGAGTAGTTTGGATTACAGGCACTCACAACCACACCCAGCTAATTTTTGTGTTTTTAGTAAAGACTGGGTTTCACCATGTTGGCCAGGCTGGTCTTGAACTCCTGACCTCAGATGATCTGCCTGCCTCGGCCTCCCAAAGTGCTGGGATTGCAGGCGTGAGCCCCCACACCCGGCCTACCCTTACTTTTCTCATCACCTCTTTCTCCTCTTCATAATTCTCCTGTGAGGCAGGCACTGTTATGTTCCCTGACTTCATGGTGAGAAAACTGAGGCTTAGAAAGGCAATTAGAAGGTGCAAGGTCTTACAGCTAGTAATGGCCCCCTTTGGTGCTTACATAGCCTTTCCTGTTGGAATGTCCATCCTCCGCCCTGGCTTCCTTACCTCTGCAATCCCATCCCTCCACCCCTTCATGACCCACCTTGACTTTCACGTCTGCAGACCCTCTTTGTTCTCATTTGCCTGGAACACTCCCTCACATGCTAACTGTTACTCTAGCCTCCAGGTCTCAGGAAGCACTTCTTCCAGGGAGTCTTCGCTGCCTCTCACTGAGCAAAATGCACTTGATGAGTAGTCCTTCTGCACAAGAATAGGGACGTCAACTGTCTTCTTCTCTTTATCTCCAGAGATTTTTTTTTTTTTTTTGAGATGGAGTCTCACTCTGTCACCCAGGCTGGAGTGCAGTGGTGTGATCTCGGCTCACTGCACCTCTGCCTCCCAGGTTCAAGCGATTCTCCTGCCTCAGCCTCCCGAGTAGCTGGGATTACAGGCATGCGCCACCACGCTGGGCTAATTCTTGTATTTTTACTAGAGACGGGGTTTCACCATATTGAAAAGAAAGGAAAAAGAGGAAAGAAAGAAAGAGAAAGAAAGGAAGGAATGAAAGAAAGAAAGAAAGAAAGAAAGAAAAGAAAGAAGGAAAGAAAGAAAGAAAGAAAGAAAGAAAGAAAGAAAGAAAGAAAGAAAGAAAGAAAGAAAGAAAGAAAGAAAGAAAGAAAAGAAAAGAAAGAAAGAAGGAAAGGTCTCAAACTCCTGGCCTCTAGTGATCCACCTGCCTAGGCCTCCCAAAGTGCTGGGATTACAGGCGTGAGCCACCGCACCCAGCCCTATCTCCAGAGATTTATAAGACCTGATATATAACAGATGTTCAATAAAAACTCGTTAACTCACAAATGAGAACTAGTGGTAAAGCCAGGGCTAGAACTTCTGACCTCAAGTTCATTTCTGTCATCATCTTATTCCCTCTTATAATTAATAAAACAATAACAGTAACAAATGACTTCTGAGGTGTGATTTCTTTCTTGAGTGAGATACCAATGTGGATTGACCATAATGTAATACAGTAAAATTTCAGTACTGTGGACTCCATTAAGAATGCATAATGCCTTGACCAGCAGCTGGGCTGGCTCATACCTTAGAAGTGTTTATTTATAAAAGAGATTGCTAAGCACATTAGTGCATTAGCAGTGTAAACAAGATCATGGGGGAAATGGCAGAAGACACTTAAGAGAACAAACTGCCTGGAGTCACTTTGGAAGCAGCCATTATGAACAAACAATCACTGTGCTAATTACAATTGCTCTGCTAATTACAATTACTGTGCTAATTACAATCTAACCTTATCTGTTCATAGGTTCCCTAAGGACTTTTCTTTCTGAGCGTTTAGACCAGCCTGAGTTACGGCCTGCATTTGAGTGTAATGAAATTGCGCTTCTTTAAAAATTGTCTCTGCTTCAGATGTCTCAGTGATTCAGATAGGCTTTCCCCTTCTAGAAAAAGAACACAGTCAGGGATTTTGAAGCCAGAAATTTAAAACAAAACCAAAAAAGGGGGGAAAGCGAGCTGTGAAGACAAGCAAAATGGATCTTGTTGATTTTGTTGTTTTAGCACCTCTTGCAGTCTAGAGACACATTTTTAGGTTAGTTGGAGAACATTTGAAATATACTCTGTATAATTTGTTTTCTTCATAAAATGACCAGGTTTGGTATATTTAGAGATGTTAACATTGAGAAAATTTTAAAAAATTAAAGTGGCTATTTTTCTTTCCTCTCTTACCATAAATACGGGGAAAGATTACAGAGGGCTTGTTTAAAAATGGATCCCAATTCCCTGCTCCCCATTAAAAAAATAATAATAATAAAGAACATCTTTCACTAGATCTTAATTTTACTACTTACTTTCTATCCCCAGTCAAACTAATGGGTGTTGATGCTATGAGATTTTTGTTTCAGCGCTTAAGAATAATAAAGCTTCACCCAGGCCAATGTCTTCTCCTAAATGGATTTCTCGCTACTCTTCCAGGAGTTTGTCTTCAACCTTTGACCTGAAGCAGAATGCAGCCCAGCACTCTGCTGGTAAGTAGCTTTCTGCTGCATCCAATTATGGCTGAAATTGCAGCGTGGGCACATAGAGGAGGCTCTAATCCAGGCACCCAACCGTGGCTTCAGCACCTGGGACTTAGCAGCCTGCCTTCAATAAGTGCCTTCTCTGTTGGCACTGATCTCTAAGCATCCCTGTGCCCATCAGATAGCAGAGCGGATGAACACAAAATAACCTTTGCTACATTATGCACCGGGGGCCTATTGGATTGCAGGAGAGGTCTGTCTCCCCTGGCTGCTGCAAAACTGAAACATATTCTCTGCACTTGGTCACTCTAGAGAGGATTATACGCAGAAGACTTCTTTAAGATTCCATGGATCTCTAGTGCCATTGGCCTTGGGACTTGGTTCCTGCTTTCAAACTGGCAAATGGAGGAACAACAATTCTTCATTCTCAGGCATAACCTAGGCAGCTCGTGTTTCCATCTAGCATTTAAGTTCAGTTTAACACTTTGCTATTCAAAGCTGTTCCTCTGTACTCATGGACATAAAGATGGGAATAGCAGAAACTGGGGACTACTGAGGGGGGAAGGAGAAAGGGGACAAGGGTTAAAAACTGAATATTGGGTACTATGCTCAGCACATGAGTAAAGGGATCATTCATTGCCCAAACCTCAGGATCATGCAATATACCCAGGTAAAAAACCTGCACATGTACCCCCTGAATCTCAAAGTTGAAAAAAAAATTTAAAAAGAGAAACAAACAAAAAATAATAAAATAAAACACACATAACAATTAACCCAATCATTCTATTCCTAGGAATTTGTCCTACGGATATATTAGTATGCTCAGACATATATACATAAAATTGTTCACTGAAATACGTTTTGGAAAAGCCAAAAACTGGAAGCAACCTAGATGTGCATGAATAAAGGAGTGGTTAATAATTATATGATTCAATCATTCAACACATATTCAGCAGGAACGGGGGACACAGCAATGAACAACACAGACAGAAATCCCTGCCCTCATGGAGCATATGTTATCCCTACAGTGGAAAAATATGGTATGCCTGAAACGTAGGAGGAAGATCTATAAACATTGATAGCTCTCCAAGAGCTATGAGTAAGTGAAAAACTCAAGGTGCAGAACAGTATGGCTGGCTATCTAGCTAGCTAGATATTTAGATCATATGATCCCACTTGGAAACACATATTTTAATTTGTTTAAAATTCTGGTGAATACAAAAGGAACTTAACGGTCCTTTGGGAAATGGGATTGAGGTCCAGAAAAAACAGAATCTTAAATATGTTTGAAAAACAAACAAAAAAGCTGGTCCTTGGACCCAGCAGCTAATTTGAAATACAGAGCCTCAGAATTTATTACCTGTGGCCTACTGATGCATAATCTATATTTTAGCAGGCAATTGGTTTGTACCTTAGAGTTTGAGAAGCACTGGCATAATTCATGTGTATTGAGTTCTGACTTTAAGCAGATATATGGAAAATTCCCACCTTTAGATAGGGTTTTCATGCATAATAATGATGAGCTATTATTTGCTTCCCAGCTCTTAGAGGATCATATGGTTTGGACCAGGAGTGTCCAATTTTTTGGCTTCCCTGGGCCATGTTGGAAGAAGAAAGAATGGTTTTGAGCCACACATCAAATACACTAACATCAATAATAGCTGATATGCAAAACAAAACAAAACAAAACAAAAATAAACACCTTTTTTTTTTTTTTTTTTGAGATGGGGTTTCACTCTTGTTGCCCAAGCTGGAGTGCAATGGTGCAATCTCGGTTCACCAAAACCTCCACCTCCCAGGTTCAAGTGATTCTCCTGCCTCAGCCTTCCCGAGTAGCTGGGATTACAGGCAGGCGCCACCAAGCCCGGCTAATTTTGTATTTTTAGTAGAGATGGGATTTCTCCATGTTGGTCAGGCTGGTCTCGAACTCCTGACCTCAGGTGATCCACCCACTTCGGCCTCCCAAAGTGCTGGGATTACAGGCGTGAGCCACCGAGCCGGGCCAAAAACCTCATAATATTTGAAGAAAGTCTACAAATTTGCATTAGGCCACATTCAAAGCCATCCTGAGCCACATATGGCTTGCAGGCTGTGGGTTGGATGAGCTTGGTTTAGACCATGTGCATGTGCCTGAGCACACATGTTATCTAGAGGCCATGGAGTGTTTAGAAGAGCAGCCCTTCAATCCTGGCTCCATTATTTACACGCTGTGTGGCCTTGAATGCCATGCTTCCTCTCTCTGGGCTTCAATTTTCTCATGTAAAGCGTATGAGCATCAATCTGCTTTGTCAACATGTGTCATGGGAGAAATATCTGCCTATGCCCCTCAAACACAGGCTTTGAAAGGGATAGAAAACAGTTTTACAAGATGGGTTATGCTTTAAGGGTATTGGGAAATGAACAGAGGATGTGATGTGGTGATAATAGGGGAAGAAAATTAGGACAGGTAGTAGGTGAGCGAGACTGATGTGCAGTCCAGCAAGGCTTGCTGGTTAAGCTTTATGCTGTTTGAAAGGGCCTCCTTTCCTATTGGGCAAGTGGCACTTCTATGCTTATCGTTAAATGTTTTTGTTTTTGTTTTTTTGTTTGCTTGGTTTTTTCAGATGGAGTTTCACTCTTGTTGCCCAGGCTAGAGTGCAATGGTGCAATCTCGGCTTACTGCAATCTCCGCCTCCTGGGTTCAAGTGATTCTCTGGCCTCAGCCTCCCATGTAGCTGGGATTACAGGCACCTGTCACCACACCCAGCTCATTTTTTTTGTATTTTTAATAGAGACGTGGTTTCACCATGTTGGCCAGGCTGGTCTCGAACTCCTGACCTCGTGATCCACCCGCCTCGGCTTCCCAAAGTGCTGGGATTACAGGCGTGAGCCACTGCACCCGGCCTTATCAGTAAATATTTTTAATATCACCCTAGAGGTGGGAGATTAGCACACCACTGCAACTTTTGGATCTGGGCCCAGGCCCTTTATCAAATTCCACATAGTAAATATGAACACTTAAATCCCACATTCCTAATAAGATGTGTTTCATTACAGAATGTTCAGACAGAAAAAAAAGGATGTCCCTATAAGGGACAGGTGACAGAACACACTGGAGAGATTATGTTTTCCCGAGGCTGTGATTCCACACTGCTAGCTGAGCTGTCCACTTCCCATGACCCTCACCCCCAGAGCATGAAGGGCTGAGCTTCTGCCCCTATCCTGGGCATTTGATGAAAGCACCATGTTTACCAAAACATGAGCTGCTTAGAAGAAGTTGAGAGGATAACCCTGGCTCCAGTCCAGAAATAAGTTTTGCAGGGAATGAAAAAAAACCCATCTTCATCTGCTGTATGGCTCCTGGAACTGGGGGGAAAGGAATGCAATTTAAGGCAGAGAAAGGAATGGTTATTGGGATCCTACTGTGTGCTGGGAGCTTTGCTTATTTGCCTGTTAAATCCTTGCCAAAGCTCTTCAGGGTTATTTTAAGGTAAAACACCACTTTATAGTTGAAGATCTTGAGATTACTGAAGTTAAGAAATTTATCCAAAGCCACACAGCTTGGAAAGGGCAGACACGGGATTTGGACCCTGTTAGTTTTTAACAGCAGCACACCAGCCAGGAAGAGGATCTAGTCCCTGCATAATCCTGCACATGCAAGTGAGCTTTGCTTACAGCTCCTCCTTAGTGATGAACCTGGCAGCCCTCTATGGCACGTGGGACTTCTGTCTGCCAAGGACAGATATGAAACAGGTTCCAATTCCATTTAATTATCTCAACACCAGGAAGTGGGCATTGTTACTATTATTCTTAATTTAGGGATGGGGGAAATTGAGGCTTAATGAAATAATGTGTCTATAGTCACACAGTTGGCCAAGCTGGGACTCTGAGTCCAGAGCTGGCCTCTTAAATACAAAGTCATTGTATCCCAAAATTGTTGGATCATGTGAACCACTTGGAAATACTGGTAAAAATTCGCTTTCCCGAATCCCTTTTCTGGGAAAAATGGTGGGTCTTGGTGCAGCCCCACGTGATTCTTATGATCAGGTGAATAGGAAAAGCTTCCCTAAGCTCCTGGCCATAGGAGTTGAGTAGCAAAAATGCTATGTTTTGTGTCAGATGCTCTCAGCCTCTATCTGATATTTGCATTAGCCTTAATTTACAGAAGAGGCCACAGAAACCAGGGAGAAGAATGGCCAAGGGTGATACAGCAGGAAATGGCAGAGCAGTATCAGAAACTCATAGGAGCAGAGAGTAGAATTGCAGTTGTCAGGAACTGGGTGAAGGGAAAAATGGGGAGGCAAGGACTAAAGGGCACAAAGTTTTGGGAACAGTTTTATTATGCAAGATAAATAAGTTCTGGAGATCTATTACATAGTATAGTCCCCATAGCTAACAAT
Organism: Homo sapiens; assembly: GCF_000001405.40. Lineage (NCBI taxonomy): Eukaryota > Metazoa > Chordata > Mammalia > Primates > Hominidae > Homo > Homo sapiens. The sequence goes on from NC_000009.12 coordinate 116,796,773, forward strand.
ACTGTATTGTAGACTCAAATTTCACTAAGATATGTTAAATGTTTTGTTTTGTTTTTTGAGACAGGATCTCACAGTGTCACCCAGGCTGGAATGCAGTGGTGCCATCATGGCTCACGGCAGCCTTAAATTCCTGGGCTCTAGTGATCCTCCCACCTCAGCCTCTCAAGTAGCTGTGACTACTGCTGCACAACACCATGTTCAGCTAACTTAATTTTTCTTTTTTTTTTTTGTAGATATGTGATATCACTATAATCCTCAGACTAGTCTTGAACTCCTGGCCTCAAGCAATCTTCCCATCTTGGCCTCCCAAAATGCTGGGTGTTAAATGTTCTTAGCATAAAAATCTAAATAAACAAAGAGGGTGGGAGAAAACTATGGAAGGTAATGGATCTATCTATGGCCTTGACGGTGGTGATGGATTCACTAGTATATACTTATCTCCAAACTAATCAAGTTGTGCACATTAGATAAGAACAGCTTTTTATATGTCAATTATACTTTAATAAAGTGGTTTGAAAAAAGAAAGTTAGCTTTCTGATTCCAGCCCCTATGCTACACCCAACACTGGTCTTGATTCCTGCAGAAGATGTCAGAAAACCTTGGAAACATGGAGCCACACAAAAGAAAAGAGGTTTTTTTTTCTGCAACCAGTTCAGGAGTCAGAATGCCAGGAAAATTCACCCCTTGACTCCTCTAATCCAGCCTCCAACTGCTGTCCTCAGTGCACTTCTAAGATCTTGCCAATGGTCCCTCAAAGAAGGCAGCAAAGTGCTATGTTTCCAAGTGACAAGTTGAGGATTTTGCTAAGAGCTTGAATACTGCAGAATATTGCTCCATAGAGAGGCTTGGGAATAGCCTTGAAAATCAGAAGCTAATGCCTCCTTTTAATTAATGCTGTCTCTACTAACAGCCTCTTTTGCTTTTTCTTATTTCAATGAGATCATCGTCTATTATAAAGCACACAGACCTGAGAGTGCACAAACACAACTTTCCAGGCCTGGTTCTGCCACTAATTCTCTATGGGACCTTGGCATTGGTGCTCCTGTACAGTGTCAGGGTTGGATGCCATGTCTCCAAGGCTTCAGACAGAATATAGTGCAGACAAACAGACTGAGCATTGAAGGACTGGCTTATTCATTTATTAGTGATACAATTTTAGGCAATTTACTTAACCACTGTGAGCCTCAGGTATCCCATCTACAAAAGGGGAGAGTTTAGCCAGGTGCAGTGACTCACATCTGTAACTACAGCACTTTGGGAGGCTGAGGTGGAAGGATCACTTGAGGCCAGGAGTTCAAGACCAGCCTGGCCAACATGGTGAAACCTTGTCTCTACTAAAGATACAAAAACTAGCTGGGCATGGTGGCGCACGCCTGTAATCCCAGCTACTCTGGAGGCTGAGGCAGGAGAATCAGGTCAGCCCAGGAGGCATAGGTTGCAGTGAGCCAAGATCATGCCACTGCACGCCAGCCTGGGCGACAGAGCAAGGTTCTGTCCCAGACAGACAAACAAACAAAAGAGGAGAGTTTGTTCAAATTGTTCTGCAAGGCTTTTCCAGCTATAAATTTTGTGGTTCTTCAGTAACTGAAAGAAAGAAATTGACAAGAGAATAGAATGATGTAGTATAGTTCTCAGAGGCTGCAATATGAAACAGGAGAGTGCTGGGAGCCTTGAAGGCATGACTGTTAAGTGAACTTTGGTGTTAAACCCAGATGCTACCACTTTAGCTGTTTGACTGCTAGGCTAGTTAGCCTAATCTGTCTGTGCTTCAGTGTCCCACAAATATGTCTGTGCCTTTGCTTCTCAGTGTCTTACAATGTGCTGAGATAAGACAGCATGTCTTATCGTAAGATGCATCATAAGATAGCATGTCTCTGTCCAATCCTTTGAGATAGCAATGGGACTTAATTTGACCAGAAATAGAAGCAGAATTTCACTGCTAGGAGAAAGTTATGATAGCCAAGTTTGTTTCTCACTATGAAAGCATTAATGGAAGCACAGAAAGGTGATTCTTCTGTCAGTCCAGATTTCCGAACACCAGAATGGCCAGGGCCCCTGCCATTCAGGGAGAGGCAGGTGGTATGACCAACACATAAAAACTTTCACAGTCAGGCCACTGAAGTTTGAAATTGTTTGTTCCCAAGACACAAACGAATGCATTCTGACTGATACATTCATTTCCTTTTATTCATAAAGCCAAGTTGTTAATGGCTCCTTTGCAATAGGTGTGAAAATATCAAATGAAAAAACACATAAAGTATTCAGCATAGGTCCAGACACATAAAAAATGTACACACCATTAAAGGGGCGGGGGGAGGGAAAGAGGTGGAAGGGAGGGGAAAGAAGGTTTCAGAAGCAGCATGTTTAATTAATCACCTCTTAGGAAGGCACTAGAAAAATCATAGGCCACAACAGCTTTGGAGACCACTTAATAAGAACTGACTCAGTATCCTCAGTGGGGGAATGAGTGAGTGCTACTAACAAACACCAGCTTTCCTTGAATCCTTATAGAAAGCCCTTCAGTCTTGCCAAGCGTGGGTTGTGGGTGCTGAATCCCCAAATCCCACATCTTACCCCAAACTGTCCTCTTATGCTATACAATATGCACATCTGATAAGCAGACAAGATTGAAAAGTCCCTTTCTAATAAATCTCTCATGAGCTCCTCCAGCTCTTTGCAGGTCATTCTTGAGGGCCTATTGGCAAATGCCTACTGCCAGCAGACCCATCTTATTTATGATGAGGCTTTTGCAAAATCTACCACTGTAATTTGCTCAGTCCCCATTCCCAAGCAGCTTTTCCTTCCTGTCATTTCTGAGACACCAGGTTCAATAATAGCTCTTGACTGATGTTTATCTAAATCTCTGCAATCTATAACCAAAGTTTACCTTTCTTCCTTATAGGAATGAAGTAGAATGAATGTGGGTAAGAGAGTGGGGGGGGGGAGAATAAAAAACAAACAAATAAACATCAAATACCACCAATCTTTGGTGAGTTTATCTCACTTGAATAGTCTGTCAATTCCCACACTGATCAAGAGCAAAGGAAAGGGGATTCTGACAGTGACCCTACATGGATCACTGAGACCAACACTTAGCACCGGAAGGGATAAGAAACAACAAAGCTTGACATCACTTAATGGATTTGGGGGCAATTTGGAAGTGAAATCATTGGCTCTTCACATTTCCACAGAACTTGACATTTTACCAAAGGCTTCATTCATGTCAATTTCAACATAATTCCTAATCCAGTGGTCTCTCTCAGCACCATCCAGTCTCTCAAAACAAGCCCCATTCCCTTCCGAGGAATAAACTGTATTTTGATTTTTGTATGAACTGTGTCCTTCTTTCTTGATCTTTTCATGTCTCCTTCAGTCCTTCCGTCTTGCACACATTTCCCCCTTCCCCGCCTTCTGCTGTCTGTCTCTGTACCTCCTTAACTCTGTTCACTGCTCTACATCTCTTCTTAATTCTTTCTTTGCTTGCTGTTCCCTCCTGCTGTGACATAGACTGTTCTTTAGTGTCTCCTCTGTTTTTGTCTCTTTCTCCCTGCCTCTGCTCGGTCTGACTGAGTCTCCTTGTCACTCTTGCCCTGTCTTTATCTTTCCATGTGAATCTCTTAATGTGCACCATGCTTAATTTTTGCACACAGTGCAAACCCTTGGACTGTTCAGGAAATATCACCACATGCTCGCCCCCCAGAACAGGCTGTAGCCTACATGCAGTGACCTGAAGAGGTAGCTCCCCATGGAGTGGTCTTTGCCTAAGATCCCTCCTTAGTTATAAATTTGGTCTCCCCCTGTGGCACCTGGGTCCTCACTCTACACTGAGAACAGGGATAGAACACATGGCTCTCCTCATCACATGCTGATATGGGATATAAAGTAGTTGCATACATCCTTTATTGCAGAACAAGAAACCAGGGAGCACTGGTTTGGGAGTCAGAAGCTAACTTTCAGCATGAGAGGAGTTCCAATCACTGTGAATATTGAGCCAGTTATATTATTTCCTGAGCTTCCGTTTCTCCATCTGTACAAGTAAGGTCTGAAATAGTTAATCTTTAAGTTCTTGTCTAGTTCAGAGACATTACATTTTTAAGCGCTTTGTAAAGCAGAAATCTGGGTTGCTCTTTCAGAGATTCAAGAGAGGAAATGAAAACACAGACCTCTCTTATATCAGCAGTTGCTAGGTGGGGTGATCTAGGCAGGGGCAGGGAGGAGTACAAAGCAGAACTGCAGCTGTCACACAGGAGACACTAGCTGGTAGAGAGTTTGATATCCTAGGCCAGCCAATTGTCAGGAAATGAGGCATATGGTGAGACGGCTGGTGGCAGTACTTGCTGGCTACTCTCTAGGGCTGGACCAGAGATTACTTAGAGGAGGGAGGAAAGGAAGTAGTAGGAGGAGAGAAATGACAACTGCATTTGATGCTGAAATATTTGCAGGCTTTCAGGAATGTGAAGGACAAAGGAGCTCCATCCTCCCTGCTGTCTGGAGCTCAGGAAGGGAGACTTGAAAAAGATAAATTTACGGCTGGGCGGGGTGGCTCACGCCTGTAATCCCAGCACTTTGGGAGGCCAAGGGGGGTGGATCGCGAGGTCAGGAGTTTGAGACCAGTCTGGCTAACACAGCGAAACCCCGTCTCTACTAAAAATACAAAAAATTAGCCAGGTGTGGTGTGTGCCTGTAATCCCAGCTACTTGGGAGGCTGAGGCAGGAGAATCGCGTGAACCTGGGAGGTGGAGGTTACAGTGAGCCAAGATCATGTCACTGCACTCCACATTCCAGCCCAGGCAACAGTGTGAGGCTCTGTCTCAAAAAAAAAAAAAAAAAAAAAAAAAAAAGAAAGAAAGAAAAAGAAAGAAAGAAAAGAAAAAAAGGAAAAGATAAATTTAGACCCATCAGAAGTGGCTTGCCTTTCCACAGTGGGGAGGCAACTGACTTAGCATGGTTCCAAGAGGATACATGGTCTGGAGATGGAAATAATTGCAAAGAAAGTTTAGCTGAAGCCAAGGACGACAGAGCTTAAATGGAATAGATTGCTCTAATATAATGGTGGTAGTCTTGGGAGTTTTCTAAATCTTGAGGGTCATCAAAAGAGAAAATCCTGGTCTGTTCACTGTACTCCCCTCCATGGGCAAATCAGGGCACTTAGGCTCTGGCTGTTCAGAGGCAATCCAGGGTTGAGAAGTTGGAAACAATTAGCAGAGTATTTGAGGCAGAACAATGACTTCTAATGGACCTAAAATTGTGTCTGGGACTGGACAGTCAGTCCTAGGCCAGCCTTTAAGGGGCCATGTTCTTTCTTTCTTTCTTTTTTTTTTTTTTTTTTTTTTTGACATGGAGTCTTGCTCTGTCTCCCAGGCTGGAGTGCAGTACCACTATAGGCTCACTGCAAGCTCCGCCTCCCGGGTTTACGCCCTTCTCCTGCCTCAGCCTCCTAAGTAGCTGGGACAACAGGCAGCCGCCACCACGCCCGGCTAATTTTTTGTATTTTTAGTAGAGACAGCATTTCATCATGTTAGCCAGGATGGTCTCAATCTCCTGACCTCATGATCTGCCCGCCTCAGCCTCCCAAAGTGCTGGGATGACAGGCATGAGCCACCACAACCAGCGGTGCCATGCTCTTTCTCACTGACGAGTCTGTTGGCCGTGGGAAGATAAGCACTCCAAGCAGTCAGGAGAACTGAGAACGTGGGCTGGTCCCACAATGACTTGCTTTGTGACCAAGTCCTTTCCCTGCATGTAAAATGAGATCCCAGGATTTAATGAAGTTTGTTCAGGATCTAGCCTCTTACTACCCATGTGGATCCTTCTTTTGGACCAAGCTATCCTTCACACAACAGAATGGTACATTGGCTCAATTATCAAATGCCAGCCACTCTGAGAGCTGCTGTGAGAAATGAAACTCCATAAAACATACAATGTACCTATGGAAATGGCTGGCTTCTGTTAAAAGCACCCCATTTTAAAGATGAAGCAGTAGAATTATGCTTCTCATGGGTGGGGCTGGGATTTGAAGGCATGTTCATTGGCAGTCTGTTTTCTTGACTCCCACCCTTGCTTATCCATATGTCTGGGCCTTTGCAGGCTCCTTCCTGGACAGGAAAATGCCCTTTAACTCTTATCTGTCCCAAGAGGCACTATTCTTTGCTATCACTTCAAACCTCAGTTCACAAACTTTGTCCTTTGAGAAGCCCTTTATCTTTCCTTCTAATTCCTTTCAACAGGCTTCCATGGGAACTCTTTGGAAACCATCGTCTTTCCTTGGAACACTGCTTTGCAAATTAAATTTTTCTATTTTTTTAAAACTTGTGTGTGTCATCTTGCAAGCTTTTAAATTTCTTCCTCAAAGAGAAGGAATAATTCCTTTATTTTTTTATTTTGTATTCCAAGCAACATTATTCTATCCATGATGTTGCTCAAGACACACTTTCATAGACCATTAAAATTATAGAAAACTAGTATTGTAGAATCTCAGCATTGAACTGCAATTCATCCAGACTATCCTTAAATTTTTCCCAGAGCTTTTCCTGATTTTTGTTCTTTTTTTTTTTTTAAATAGAGACAAGTGTTCACTCTGTTGCCCAGACTGGATTGCAGTGGCATGATCATAGCTCACTGTAACCTTGAATGGCCAGGCTCAAGTGATGGTCCTGCTTCAGCCTCCCAAGTAGCTGGGACTACAGACATGTACCACCAAGTTCGAATAATATATATATATATATATATATATATATATATATATATATATTTTTTTTTTTTTTTTTTTTTAGACGGAGTCTCACTCTGTCATCCAGGCTGGAGTGCAGTGGCGTAATCTCAGCTCACTGCAAGCTCCGCCTCCTGGGTTCATGCTATTCTCCTGCCTCAGCCTCCTGAGTAGCTGGGACTACAGGCGCCTGCCACTACGCCTGGCTATTTTTTTGTATTTTTAGTAGCGATGGGGTTTCATTGTGTTAGCCAGGATGGTCTCAATCTCCTTACCTCATGATCCGCCTGCCTCAGCCTCCCAAAGTGCTGGGATTACAGGTGTGAGCCACCACACCCAGCCCAGTTTAAAAAAAAAAAAAGTTAGCAGAGATGGAGTCTTGCAAAGTTACCTAGGCTGTTCTCAAACTCCTGGGCTCAAGTGATCCTCCCACCTAGGCCTCCCACAAGTGTTGGAATTACAGGTGTGAGCCACCATGCCTGGCTCGGAGCTTTTCCAGTAAAGTAGCATTCAGTCTCTGCTTGAGCAACTGAGTCATGGATCCACCTGCCAACGATACCTAAAGTGTCAGAGGGGCCATTTCTATCTCCTTTTCCATCTTATGCCCAATAACCAGCATGGTATATGAGAAAGAGGAGATTCTCAAAGAGTATATGATGATTACAAGGATGAACGGTTTTAGTGAATTCACATCTCCATTCTCATTCTGTAAAATGGGAGTAAGAGGGTATGCTGAATTGAAATACAAGAGCAAGGTTTTAGAGTCAGCTGGAGTTACATCTGATTCCTGACTCTACCTCTTACTAGATGATGATCTTGAGAAAGTCACTCAACCTCTCTGGATTAATTTCTCAATTGTAAAATGGAGGTCATAGTGCCTCCAGTGATTCTAATAATGAAGCTAAAATGAAATTATCTTGGCTCTCCTACTTCCTAGAAGGGAGTCTTTGGAAAGCTACTCTAGATTTCTCTTTCTCTTCTGTATAAAAAGGATGATAATGACTCCTGCCTCACAGGATCATTGTGAGGATTACATAAGTTAATAGACAAAAAATACTTAGAAAACCCTTTCGTGTATGCTGAATTAATGTTAGTGGACATTATTATTGTTAGTAGTTAGTAGTAAAGAACTTGACACAGAATAATTATTAATAAATGGTAACCATTTATTACCACTCATAATACAATTATCACTACTATTAGTAAGATGATGGAATGGAAACAATGATTATTATAATGGTGACTTATTACTAGTTCTGACTTTTATTGATATGACCTCAAATGATTAGGAGAGCCTTGCTTTGTGATAATATCTTTTTTTTTATGCAAACATGGTTAAAAGTATAATGTGTGTGTGTACGTGTGTGTGTGTGTGAGTGTGTGTTTAGATAATCCTTCTCCATACATACAACAAATCTCACTCTACTAGCTTATGGTTCTTCAAGCTTTGAGGCATAAGTAAGTCACCACTTAAAGTTTCTCTTCTTTAGGCAGAACAGTTTCAACTGTCCAAAAACCCTTTACCAATATCTTGCATCTTTAATCCTCACATAATCTGGCCAACCTAGCCGTCACTCACTATTGAGTGAAAAAAGCAATTTCTAAACAGCTTTACTGGGATTTGGGGAGTGTGTGTGTGTGTGTGTGTGTGTGTGTGTGTGTAGGCAGACAGGAAAAAACAGAGAGAGAAAGAGAGAAGTAGAAATTTTAAGAGCATTCAGGAAAATGTTAATTCTAGGTATTTCTGGGTGATGCGATTTTTATTTTCTACTACATTAAATGTCCTTATTTTTGAACTGCCTGAACAGCATGCATAAAATACTTATTTTTCAGTAGACTGAAAGATTAATTAATGTTTTTCAAAATGCCATTAACTGTACTTATATGATAATTTAAGATTGAATTTAAAATGTGGGGCTAGAACTAGGAAAATGGCAAAGTGGGACAAATATATGCTAGGACCATGAAAAAGAAACCTTATGGAATAAAGTTTGATGACTTTCCACACTCCTTAAGAGGGTACCTGTGAGCTTAAAGTGATGCTGGCCAGAATAACAGGTCTCTACCCCATTGTGCCCATGGCTTCCTCCCTGTGCCCAGGTTGTTTGTCAGTGACTCAGACAAGCAATGTGCAAGTATCTACAGCATACCTAAAGGTCATCTGGAAGACTTGGCCTTGGTTCACATGCTGGGTCCGGTTGTTGTAACCATGTAGCATCTCTCCAAAGAGGGTATCATTGAATTTGGAGTCAGGTTTGAGGCACTTGGGGCCCTCGCAGACATCTGAGAGCATTAAGCAGGATTTTCCATCAGGAGCCAGTTTGTACTCCTCCACGCAACTGTATGATAAAACAGAGCTCAGAATTAGCTTCACATCCTGAATGCCCCCATTGGGGGTGACCTAAAACCAAGGCCTCCTTTCCCTGCAAAACAGGTCAGAGTTTAGGAAGGAGACAGCTATTCTACCTGGAATCTATCTAGGGCACAGATGTCTAGAGAGAAGCACATTAATACTGCAAATTGGTAAATTCAAGGAAAGTCATTTGTGACATTTTGGAGGAGTCAAGGGGACACCAGCGTGCACGTTCACACACAAAGCAAATTTAAAGACTGTTTCCCATGAACATACAGACTTTAAAAAGCATGACATACCAATTCACAGGGAATCATCAACTAGTGTCTCAAACCAGAATCTATTCCCAGTACATCTGTCAACCAAGGTTGAAGACTGTAGCAAATACAAGGTTTTTATCATCCTGGTAGCTCAGAGGTGAAACCTTCCAGGACCATGGACAGCACAAGGCTTCTGTTCACTTAGGGATTTTAGCAGCCTCCGTTGGTCTAACAGCCAGAAAAGCCCTTGACAAGCCTTTGAGACAGGGGTGGCCTCATCTATGGACAAAACAGGCATCTGAATAAGGTGTGGAAACAATATTTGCAATTTGAAAAGATTTGCAGTGACAAATCTCAGAGAGGCATGGGCTGGAGGGGATGGGGATGGTTGGGGCAAGAAATCAGAGATCTCAGCCCCTGAAAAATCATTCCAGAAACTGGAATTCTATGAGTGTCTACCTTTTCAAAGTTCAGCGCTAAGCACTAGGAGTATGGTGCACATAAATAAGACAGACAAGAGAATGGTCTGTGAGATTGGACAGACCTGTACAAATGCCATTTTTCTCCTTGTGACCTATATGAACATGAGTGAGTCATTTAACTTCTATGATCCCCAGTTTCCTCATGTGTAAAATAGAGTAGACACTTCTACCTTAATTCAGTAGGATGCTATAAGGTCACATGATACATTGGCCACAAAAAAAACAGGAATTGCAATATACTTAACACAATAATCATAATAGTGGTAGTAATGGTGTTATTTCTATTTATTGAGCATGTACTATTCACTGAACACTTTATGTATTTATTATCTAACCATGAAGAAAGAAAGAGTAATATCATAATTTCTGCTTTACACATAAGCAAAATAAGGAGCCAAGAAATAAAGCATATAGTACTGTGAGTAAGTAGCAAAGTTGATATTCAAATTCAGTTCTGTTAGAAAAAGGGATGTTTGTCTATTTTTGTCTCCTCCAAATCTAGTGCTTTCTATGTGCACAAAATGACCCTGGTTGGTATGTCAGTTTGAGAAAGTAAACAGCAGGCAATCTCTTATTTGCCTTTTTTCAAAGGGTGTAGCAAAGATTCATTGAAGCTAACCGCAAAGGGACTCAGGAACTCAGATGGGAGAAGGAAGAGGCTCTGTATGGTGGTTTGGAAAGAAAATGTACACAGGTTGTGGGAACCAGTAGCTGATGCTACAGATATAGAGCTGAACTGGAGGCAGAAAGAAGACAAGCATAGCTGGAAACCTGACCCAAGATCACTCTAGTGAAAAGCCAGGAAGTCTCATGCATGAAGCAAACTGTCACTGTTTCCTTGCTTTCCCCTAATCCCTGGCGTACTGCACTGATGCACTGATGGTCTTTCTAACGTTCAAATGTTCCTTTCCATAGTACAGTGGGGAAATCTCTTGGAAAAGGGCCCTGTCTCAGAGCCTTGGTAAAGTATATCCCCTTCTTTTTGCATCTGTTAAATATTACTAAGTCCCTTTTAATACAGTTGCAGTGCAGATGAAATGAGTGTATATGGAAGTGAATCGTACATGGTGAGTGTTTCATAAAGTCTAGTTCCATCCATTTATTGAGAAAATATGGAGAAATGGTTTACTGGGTACACTGGCTAGAGTTCTCTCTCTCTCTTTATTTCTCTCACCCTCCACACATACCCACATCCCTGTGTGACTGTGAATAAATATATTATTGTTGAAGATGAGTAAACATTATCAAAGTCTGGCAGGGCGCAGTGGCTCACGCCTGTAATCCCAACACTTTAGGAGGATGAGGTGGGTGGATCATGAGGTCAGGCGTTCAAGACCAGCCCAGCCAACATAGTGAAATCCTGTCTCTACTAAAAAAAAAAAAAAAAATTAGCCAGGTGTGGTGGCAGCCACCTGTAATCCCAGCTACTCAGGAGGCGGAGGCAGGAGAATCACTTGAACCTGGGAAGTGGGGGTTGTAGTTAGCCGAGATCATGCCACTGCACTCCAGCCCAGGCAACAGTGTGAGACTTCGTCTCAAAAACAAAACAAAACAAAACAAGACAAAAAAACCATTATCAAAGTCTATAGAGTAAAATATGGAACTTCTTCATTTCCCACTCCTCACTTTCTGTCCCAGAGGTCACCATTGTTAATTTTTATGTGCTCTTCCAGGAGTTTTTCAATGCATTTAAATACATATTGTGTGTGTGTGTGTGTGTGTGTGTGTGTGTTTGTGTTTGTGTATACAGAAACATTTCTTTGAATCTGTCGACTAAATTGGGGGGATTTATATAAACACACATATGCACACACACATCTCATAATAAACTCATAAGCAGAATTACACTATATATTGTTGTGAGACATGCATTTGCACCTGATGCAATTTCTTGGAGATCTTTTCAAAACACTATATATATAGATCTATCTTTCTTAATGGTTATTTGGCATTGCACAGTATAAATGTACCATAATGCTTTTAACTAATTTTTATTGATGGGCACTTTAGCTGTTTATAGCTATTTGTTATTACAAACAATGCCATAATGAAGATCTTTGCACATATATCATTGTGCCCAACTATGTGTTTCTATAAAACAGATACTCAGAAAAGAAATTGCTTGGTTAATGTTTTATGAATTTTAAAATTTTGATAGATCTACTAAATAGTTGCCTGTAGAATCTCTACCCGTTTACAATCCTATAATTGATGAATGGGAGATCCTATTTTTCTACATCTTTCATGTTCATTACTGCCAATCTAGGATAGGAAAAATAACTCATTTTTGTTTGGATTTGCATTTCCCTTGTTACTGATTAGGTTCAGCATCTTTTCATGTTACGGTCACTTGCATTTCTCCTTCTATAGATTATCCATTAATATGCATTGACCATTTTTCTATTGTGATATTTGCCTTTTTCTTTGTGTTGGTTTATATATGCTCAATATTTTCTGGGTAGTTATCCTTCACCTTCCATATATATTAAAATTTTTTTCCAGTCTGTGCTTGTATTTTAATCTTGCTTTTGATATCTTATTACCTCTTTCTTCTGGTCTTTGTGTCTGAAATTTGTGCAATGTTTAGAAACCCACAAGACGATAAAATATATTTCTGTATATTATTGTAGTATTGTATATGTTTAAAAAAATCTTTGGTTATTTAATATGCATGGCATTTAGTTTTGAATGTAGTGTGAGTGTTTATTTTAACTTAACTATTTTTTAAAATGGGTAGCCAATTGTCTGAAGTGTCTGACCTTTCAACAACAAATTTGAAATGTTATTTTTTTTTTACACGTGCAATCCCTACATATGCCATATATACATGGTTGGTGTTTTTCCTGTTTAATTATCTGTATATTCCTGCAGTAATTCCAAGCTGTTTTAATTACTATAGCTTTATAGCCTGTTTTGGATATAGTAATAAAGTAATACTCCTCCCCTTCATCAACACTAGTTTTCTATTTCCAAATTTCCTGACTGCTCTTCCATATTTTTCCTTTCAAATGAATTTCAGAATGGGCTTATCAAATTATATGCAAATCCCTAGTGGAATTTTGGGTGGCATTGCTTTGAATTTGTAAACTAAATTGGGGGAAGATTTTAATATTAATTTTATTTCATTTTCTTTTATTTAATATATACGTTTTGCGAGTTAACTCTGTGCTGGGCGCTTCTGATAAGTGTGACAAAGACATCTTGCATTAACCACACTGTGTCCTCTTCCTGGACTTGCATTGCATTGGGTCCTCTTCCTGGACTTACATGTCTAAGCCTGTCTTGCAGTTGGGCTGAAGGGGCCATGTAACTGGATTCTGAATAATGGAATCTATGCTGACATGATTCAAGTCACTGCCAGAATTAGTCTTTTCAAAACATCCTGTGATTTTTCAAGCTGCCTCTTCCCTTGTTATGGCAAGCTTGGAGACCATGCGTTCCCGATGCATTCTACAGGATGGAGGAAGACTGCCACAATTACAATAGACCGTGCACAAATAAGAAACTAGCTTTTGTGCACAAGCTTCTGGTTGGGGGAGGGGGCTCATTTGCTACAGGAAGAAAGCTTATCTTATCCTAATACAGCATCTTTATAATTTGGAGTTCTCTAACTGAGAAACAGTTTGTATCTCTATTTATCAACTGTTCTTTTAAAACATTTGGTGAAGTTTTTGACTTTTTGTTATAAAGGTTTTGCACGTGTCTTTTGGAGGTTATTCATGGGCATTTATGAAAGGCACTATGCTGTAGAGGTTTATCGAAGTATGTTTTGGATCCAGACTAACAGAGTCCAAATGCTGAGTCTGCCACTTACCAGTTGTGTGACCTCGGACAAACTACTTAACCTCTCTGTACCGCCTTTGCTTATCTATAAAGAAGATCATGTGTGCCTTTTAGAGTGAAAATTCTACTGTTGCAATCTTTTAAACTTCAGAAATAGGATCAGTTTTTCATTTATGCTTTCTTTTATGTTTTCTACATAGTTATTACTGACTTGAGAAAAGCTGTTACTGATTTTTCGAAGTTGATGTTGCATCCTACGAACATAAAGAACTTAAACATTCTAACATGTCTACTAAATTTTTCTAAATGGAGAGCATATATTTGCTCAGTTTGGGTATTAGGATTATGGAATAAGTTAAAAAACTATCCTTTTTTGTTTCTTTCTCTGGATCAGTTTATATAAGATAGATGTTATCCATTACTTGATAATTTGATAAGTCTTGCCTATAAAATCCCCTGGGCTCGATGGCTTCTTTTCAGTTGTAGATATTTAGCTCTTATCATTTATTTCCTTATTATCTGCCTATTTAGATTTTCTATATCCTCATGACTCAAACTTCGTAATTTATATTTTCTAACATTATAATGTATTTTATCAAGACTTTCACATGTATTGGTGTAAAGTTCTATGCAGTGTTCTCATTAAATTTCTTTTATCTTTTATGTTTCTATAGTTAAGGCACTAGCTCATTCGTAATGTGTTCGTGTTCTTTCTTTGCTCTCTCCTTTGAATAGGCTTTTTGTATTTTGTATTTTATTGGTGAGCTCCCTTTTTTCTTTTCTATTTAATTTATTTCAGCTTTTATTTAATTCCTTCCTGCTGTTTTATCTGACTTTGTTTTATAATTCTTTTTATGGCTGCTTAAGTCAAATGCCTCATTTGTTTATTTTCAATCTTTCTTGCTTCTTAATAAATGTCTTGAAGCTTCTGACTGTGGCTTTGCCCACACCCCATAAGTCTGACGTGCAGCCCTCATGCTCCTGCTCATTTCTAATGAGGTGAAAATTTGAGTTTGATTTTTTCCATATCCAAGTGTCACTTAGAAGATATTTAAAAATATAATTCCAAAATAGATAATTTGTTTGTTCCTCTTTTTCTAATATTACTGCATTTTTAGACTAACAGTGTAGTTTGTATAATTTCTATGTTGGTAAATTTTTGAGATTCTAAGGTAGTCACAAGTTGAGATTTTAGAGCTAACTAAACTTGAGTTCAAATACAGGTTGTGCCATCTACCAGTTACATGACCTTGATCAAGTCTGCTAATTTCCGCAGGCTTTGGTGTCATAATCTATTAAGGAAAATGACAATCCTTATCATGGGGATGTGAAAATTAGAGATAACTTATACAAAAGATGAAACTGTATCTCTCATATAGTATTCAAGTAATGCATCAGCTATTATGCTTATTATTGTTATTGTTGTTGTTACTTAGTCCATTAACCCATTTACATATCCCAGGAAGTATAAATTTATTTCTATTGGTTCTCATATCCTAGTTGCTGGCCTCTATCTAGATCCAGATTTCTGAAAGTTGACATAGTTGCCATTCTTTGATTCCTTTTTTGTTTTTCTGCTGCTTCACAGTGTATGTTTGAGAACTTCTTATGTTGCATTCATTGGAAATAAGGTATACATATAATTTGTATATATTTTTACATGTGGAATTATCATATAGAAGTTAAATATATGCATTATTTGTGTGTGTGTCTCTGAGTGTGTGTGTGTACATACACACGTATTTGCAAAGCTCAGTCCCACATTCAGGATCCCAAAGTTTAGTGGAATGCTTTTGTATATATGACCTGGTTTGCTCCTTATAACCTGTAATAGGTAGAATAATGGCCTCCTCAAAATGCCCACATCCTAATCCCGAACACCTGAGGTTATCTGACATGGCAAAGGAGACTTTGAAGATGGGATTAAGTAAAGAATTTTGAGCTGGAAAGATTATCCTGGATTACTTGGGTGATCTCAATGTCATCACATGTTTCCCATAAGAGGGAGATAAGCGTGTTAGTCAGAGGAGGAAATGCAACTTAGAAGCAGAGGAGAATAAGAGGGGAGCAGAGTAACGGACCATGAGTCAATGAATGCAGATGCTCCCTAGCAGTTGGAAAAGGCAAGGAAATAGATCTTCCCCTAAGGCCTCCAGAAGGAATGCAGCCCTGCCACTGTCTTGATTTTAAGAATATTGACCTTGAGAACTGTAAAATAAAGTGTGTTATTTTAGGACACTAAGTTTGTGGTGATTCATTACAGAAGCAATAGGAAATGTGAGACACTCACAGGGAGGTATTGTCTCCACTTTCAGATGAGAAAATTGAGGTTTACAGAAGTTGAGTGACTTGCCCATGGAGGTATGTCTAGTCAATAGTGGTGCTGGGAATCAAAACTTAGGAGCTCAAGACGTGTGTGTGAATGTGAGTGTGTGTGTACGACTTTAAGCATATCACAACTGTGGATTTACAGTGATTTTTCTTTTCCCTGTGGGTGGGAAAAGATTGTGGCTTGCAGGAGAGATTCAGGGGGAAAAAAATTCCCATCCTTGTAAAGGAAAATGATCCCCTGAGTTTTGAAACAGGAGCAGTTCTCCCCCGCCGAGCCACCTAAGGGCATAGGAAGGTTTATGCTAAGGTCTATTTAGTTGTTGGGTTTTTTTTAAATTTTATTTTTGTACTATGACACATAATTATATAGCTTCTTTAGAACATTCTGTCATCTGGGAGATTTTCCTACAGAAATTCTAAAGAGTGTAGGCTCACAGGAAACCAGCCAAGATCTACATGAAACTCTATTTATACATGTGCCAAAATGAAAAATATAAAATAAGTGCAGAGATACATACCGGGCATTTTAGCTGAAGGCAATGGATGTGTTACCCTTAACACACCCATCACATTATAGAGAATACCAAAACTAGATGGGATTTTAGAGAGTGCACCATAAAACCTTCTATGTGTTTAGCTCAGAGCATGTTTTATTTAATCCTCATAGCAACATTGTGAGATGGGTACTTTCATTCCAACATTGTCACAGAGGATCCTGAGGCTTGGGACATCTAAGCTCACTAATCAAGGTCACATGAGCATTTTGGAAAAGCCAGAACCTTGACTTGGGTCTTCTTACTCCAAATCCTGTGCTCCTTCCAGTTAATTACAAATGACCTCTTCCTATCTGTTTGTTGTTTGAAGGAGAAAATTGAGACTGACAGACAAATGGTATTGTGTACAAACTCTCAAAGCAAAGTATTTCTTTTTCTCATGTATTTTTTCCTTATTTATTAATTTATTCTTCAATGGTTTGTGGAATCAACAGAATTATCAAAATACATATCCTAGAAACTTTTTGAAAATAAGGAAGGAATCAAATCCTTAAAAATATTAAGAATAGGCCAAGTGCGATGGCTCATGCCTATAATCCCAGCACTTTGGGGGGCTGAGACTGGCGGATCACCTGAGGTCAGGAGTTCAAGACCAGCCTGGTCAACATGGCGAAACCCCATCTCTACTAAAAATACAATAAATTAGCTGGGTGTGGTGGTGAGCGCCTGTAATCCCAGCTACCTGCAAGGCTGAGGCAGGAGAATTGTTTGAACCCGGGAGGAGGTGGTTGCGGTGAACTGAGATTGTGCCATTGCGCTCCAGCCTGGGTGACAGAGCAAGACTCTGTCTCAAGAAAAAAAAAAAAAAAAGAGAGAGAGAGAAAAGTAGTTAAGGGTAAGAATAGCTCAAGGAGCTGCACAACAGGTAGACTTGGACCAACGTTAGGAATAAATCTAAGTATCCTATTACTAAGGCAAGAAAGGAACAGGTTCCTTCCCAGCTTTCCTAGTGCAGAAACCTGTGAAAACCCCACCCTGGGATCATCAGGGCTAGAACCAGCACCTAAGGAACTCAACTGCATTAACCCTTCTAACTGATATCATGGGAATCTTTTTCACCAACACCCTCAGGATTGTCCCAACATTAACCAAACGAAGATCAGAGGAGGTGTTCTCTGAGCGGTCTTGGGTTGCAGGTTTTATTCAAGGGAAAATTTAGAGTTTCTAGAAAAAGAAAAGAAAGAAGTGAATAGAAAATGGAATTCCATGGGAAACTCTGGATTAATTATATAGCAGATTTTATCTAGTCTAAGACCCCTAATAATGGTAAGAAACACTCTCAGTTTACATAACACTAAGAAAGAAACAAGGAAAAAAAAAAGACTGCCAAATAAACTCTGTCAAATCATTAAAACTAAGATACCTTCCCACTTCAGAAATGTTAAAATGTGGAAAATATGGGCACTTTAGAATCAATGAAATATGTTTCTCCACTGCATGATTTGGGAGAGCCTTGACTATCCCCAGGCACACTGGGAACCTGTAAGAGGCAGTTAGGAGTGCAGATTTTTCCACATGGGAAACTCTGAACATTTAGTTTGTTGTTGTTGTTTAATATTTGAATGTCTCATGGAACTAATGTTCCATACAATCCACACTGGAAAATAGCTATCCAAACAAATGGATGGATATTACGTGTTTCCATCAATTGTCGGTGAGCATTTTTTACACCTGAGCTTTTACAAATGTTTAAAAAGAAGAGAAAACAAGGTTATAATGTTTGACAAGAACCTGGCATGAAAGTATTCTATGTTAACGATTAGAAGTAAAATTCACGTTCTCCAACCAGAAATGAAAGGGGTAAGGGCTCAGGCTTTAACCTAAAAGGTGGAAACCACAATAAAACAAGTGCCTGAATGAATTCCCCCATCTCCCACCAACTCTTCCACTTGTTACTGATAATCAAAATGAAGGCCATTGTCTCTGTTCTGTCGTTCAGTGTTTTCTACTGTTAGACTAGACTTCAGCTTTGACAATGAAAATACGTGGCTTCCAGTTACTATGCATATTAAACATGTTTATCTCCTTTCCCTCTTAAAATTACATAAAGAGAATATTAGACAGAGAGGCTATTAAGGACTATTTGAGGCTGGATGTGTTATTTGAGCTAATGTGTTTTTAGGGCACTTTCATTTAAATTGGAAGCAAGAAG
Source organism: Homo sapiens (assembly GCF_000001405.40). NCBI lineage: Eukaryota > Metazoa > Chordata > Mammalia > Primates > Hominidae > Homo > Homo sapiens. Next base: position 116,815,397 of record NC_000009.12, read on the forward strand.
GTTGGGATATCTCAAGCTTCTATCCCAATTTTACCTCCTAACTGGCCGTGAGTGCCCCCACCTTGAGGGCCTCAGTTTCCTCCTCTAAATGATCTGAAAAATACTGAAACTTAAAAAATGTTAATGAGGCCGGGCGCGGTGGCTCACACCTGTAATCCCAGCACTTTGGGAGGCTGAGGCGGGTGGATCACGAGGTCAGGAGATCGAGACCATCCTGGCAAACACGGTGAAACCCCATCTCTACTAAAAATATAAAAAATTAGTCGGGCGCGGTGGTGGGCACCTGTAGTCCCAACTACTTGGCAGGCTGAGGCAGGAGAATGGCCTGAACCTGGGAGGCGGAGCTTGTAGTGAGTGGAGATCGCCCCACTGCACTCCAGCCTGGGCAACAGAGCGAGACTCCGTCTCAAAAAAAAAAAAAAAAAAAAAAAAGTTGATGAAATGGCTCACTATCTCTTACATAGGAATATATGAGAAATAACTCTCTTAGCAAATAACGGCAGAAAAAGGTGTATAACTCCTGAAAACAAAACAAAACAAAAAAACTACAACTTTCCTTTTCTCATACAAGGACAACTATATAATCCACTATGGGTATTTTTTCTCTTTCTCTGTTTACTTTGGTTGCCAAGAAGCACACAGCCAAATTTATCTCATGTTGAGTGACTCTTTCATTTTGAGCTTCTGAAACCATTTTCTCTCCCCTCCTTAAAATGGCTCTGATGATTCCTATCTTTATATGAATAGCCTTTTAAAAATATATTGTCTTTATGTGAGTAAAATAAGTTCTCTTGGAAGTGTGCATGGTAGACTCTGTAAACACATACACACACACAAAACAGACAAACTTTGTTGCTAGGTAACTTGCCAAGGTCTTCACAGGAGGTGATGCCCTCTCACCTATAAGACTGGTTCTAAGGATTTATTCTACAGGCTTTAGCTTAGTGTCCAATGACCTTCTCAATCTATCTTGAATTCACCTGCTTCTGTCTACCATTCTGGTACTTGTGCTCTGTCAATATCAATCAGGACCCAGTGAGGCTTAGGCACCTCTTTGCCCCTGCTGGAGAAGAACTCTACTCAATGATTATTTGCACCTAATAAAAGACCAGGCACAGAGTAGTCACAACAAATCTTAGGCGGATGAATTCTTTAATTCAATCATTATGGTTCTAAATAAGTCTTTGGGCCAAGCAGTGGGAATGGCAATGAAGACATGCAGATGCCTAGGATGTAGTCCCTGCTCATGAGGAGTTCACAGTATGACAGAAACAGACAGGAATGCAGGTAAATCAACCAAGCTATGAGGCTATCACAGGGAGAGCCATGGGGCCTGTGCAGCCCCAGAGAAAGGATGATTTACTCTGTTTTGGAGAACGTAAACTGATGAGAGGGCAGCCAGCCAGAGGTCCAGTCTCCAAGAGATGTCAAGATTTCACTGGGATAAATAAGAATTTGAGACAAAATGTAAATATTCCTTTCCCTTGTAGGTAGAAATGAAAATAAATAAATAAATAAATAAATAGACGAGGGAAAATGTCATTTCTATATAGGCCCTAACCCCATGCAACATTCAGCCAATATTTAAATAGTATCCATTTGAAAGGATGAATATTGGCCAGGCACGGTAGCTCACGCCTGTAATCCCAGCACTTTGGGAGGATGAGGTGGGCAGATCATGAGGTCAGGAGATCGAGACCATTCTAGCTAACACGCTGAAACCCCATCTCTACTAAAAATACAAAAAATTAGCTGGGTGTGGTGGCACGCACCTATAGTCCCGGGTACTAGGGAGGCTGAGGCAGGATAATCGCTTGAACCCAGGAGGCGGAGGTTGCAGTGAGCTGAGATCTCACCGCTACACTCCAGCCTGGGTGACAGAGCGAGACTCCATCTCAAAAAAAAAAAAAGAAGAAAGAAAGAATGGGTATTAATTATCTTGTTCCAAGGTAACTGCATAACTCACACCTGATGCCTCTTAGGGCTCAGAGAAGGCTTGCTGAAAAAGTGATGCCTGAATTGAAACTTGGAGGCGAAAGCTAAAGGGCCAGGGACAAATGGGAGTCAGTGGGGGTACAAAGGAGAAAGAGACAGGAGACAGAGGGAACAGTGTTGTGAAAACTCCAGAAACTGAAACCAGGAGGCTTAACTTAGGAAGAGGAACCTAGCTGGAAATGAAACTGGAAAAGTCAGACTGGAAACTTCTTTAGCCATGTTAATGGAGGAACTTTGCTTAACAACTATTAATTGAAAACCTACTATGTGCCAGTCACTGTTTTAGCTCCTGGAGACAAAGTAGTAAACAAGAGATAAAATCCAGTAATTACATAATTAAATGAGATGGTTTTATACTTATTAGACTAATTATAATTATGGTTTACTGAGTGCTTAACTATGACAGCTCCTGTGCATGTATAATTTCATTTAATCTTCACAATGGTGCTACAATCACTTCTAATTCTACATGAAAGAGCATAGGCTCAGAGAAATTGAGTGGCTTGCCAAAGATCACATGACTAGATGTGGCCAGAGGTCAGCAATGACATCAGATCTGTCTTGACTGAGCCTGGAACCACAATACCTAAGTTTCAATCTCAACAACCTCACTTACCAGATATGTGACCTTGGACAGTTACTGAGCCACTCTGTGCTTTTTTTAAAAAAAAAAAACATAAAATGGGAATCATAATAGTAACATCGCTTGTAGAATTGTTATGAGAATTGAATGAGCTAATGTACCCAAAGCACTTAGAACAGTCATGGTACGTAGAAAGTCATTAGTAAATGTTAGCTGCTATTATTAACCTGGTTGCAAACAGATTTATTAAACCTTCTCCTACCCAGAACACTCTTAGGAAGGTCATAGAGCTTTGAGCAAGTTGGGAAGGTCCCCTTGATAATGAGTTTATTTTGTTTTCCCTGCTTAATTCAATAGCATCCCACTTCTCTCTGGACCATCTCTCTCACAAGTATCTGCTAATAGCTTTCATTGTTTACAGTGCTTCTAACAAGTGTGGTAACTTCTCATTTGCATTCCTAATAGACAGTTTCCAAATCCTGTTGAAACTGCAGTTGGTTTTAGGATGCCTGGGTTTTGTTTTTTGTTTTTTTTGTTTTTGTCCTATTTATTACCATTTGGATGGGTTTTAACAGCTCACCACACACTCTCACCCATTCAATCTTCTTTAAGACGCTCACAGTCCTTTCACAATATATTAACAGATTAGTCCTGTCTAGTGCATCAGGTCACTAGCAAATGTTATTAGAATCACTTAAGTTAATTTATTTAACAAACACATACAGTGCTAATTCTGTGCAGGACATTGTTCCAAAGCATTTCACAAATATTAATGTAAATGGTAATATATTTAGTCCTTATAACATCTCTATAGACAGATATTACTATTATCCCTGTTTTACAGATGAGAAAACTGAGGCACAGAGACATAAATTAACTTGCTGAAGGTTACACAGCAAGGAGATGTTGAGCCACATCACTAGTCATATGACCTTGGGCATGTTTCTTAGCCTTCAGAGGGTAACAAATATGAAATACTTTCCTCTCTTCAGAATTATCATTATATTAAGGTAGGTATTAAAATTTTACTGGTGAGAAAATGGAAGGTCAGGGGTCCTGAAAGGCTTGCCTTATGGCTAAGGGAGAGTGGCAGAGCTAGGATTACAATTCGTGTCTTTTGAATCCACGGTTCCCTGTAATGTGCTGTGGATGGAAGGTGGTAATAGTTTCTGATGTCAAAATCCATTATTGCTGCTCCTGCTGCTGTTACTGTTATTATTTACCACAGAAGAACAGCCCCCACCCCACCCCAAACACACAGAGAGAAAAATAACAATGACAAGAACATGGCTGATTCTGGATGCAGCCTGCAGATCTAAAGCCATGCATAATTTACTCAACACTGCCCTGCAGTCACTTAAGCTGAGGAGAGATCGCTATAAATTCAGGTCTGCATACCCTAATTTATTTCTTATTTATTTTGCTGATACATATCTAGGGCCTCCAGTGAGCTGCTTCTACACCTGCACAAAGGCACCTGCAGCCCTAAGTGCAACTAGGGCAGGAAAGGAGACCTTGAAATAAGCCCTGGAAGAAAAACTGGACTCTACACACTAGAATCATACAAGTTTAATTCATTTTTCTGGTAAACTGGAATTAAACCCATGCCCACACTCACCCCCTATTTGTGAAACACAGGACTGAAAATGTTGTTACATGTCCTGTTCTGCTTTTCTATCTTAGTAAAGACAGCATTAAATGTACTTCTTCCATGAGTACAAGATTATTTTTCTGAGTCACAGAATGTCAAAAGATAAGCAAATATTCTAATACTAAGACATAATCAGAAAGGGAATGAAGAGAAGAAAAAAGTCTGTTCTTGTAAGTGATTACTAAGGACCAAATGCTATATGCAAGGTGCTGTCAAAGGCAGAAGTAATGGCCATTGCAGTCTTTAAATGGAAAGCAATGTAAGTTGGAAGAAATGTCAGCCATCCTTCCCCAAAGATCTCTTTTCACAGATGGTCAAACTGTGGCCCAGGGAGAGAACATGACTTGTCAGAAGTCACTCAGCAAGTTGGTCCCAACGTGTTCCCCTTTTAGCCTCATACTTATTTCAAAAGTCAGTTTGAGTCCTTCAAGAGCCAGAGCTGTCCTACAAGCTTCACCTGTGTTGTTTCCTTTAGCCCTCCCCTCCTCCAGTTAATTGTCCTTACAGATACGGACATTAGGACACAGAAAGGCTGAACAGTGCCCTCACATTGCTACATTCCTGCTGAAACCAAGCTTGAAGGCTGGACTTAGCCTGTGCTTTTATGCACCATACCTGAAGCCTTTGTGAACCTTCAAGACGTCTGCTTTTGTCTCCAAACTGCACTGACTAGGCCCATACAGGTAGATTCAGAAGGGCAGGAGGCTTCAGCAGGAAAAAGCTCCTGGCTCTAGGATGAGGCCTGGGCATGGGTTATATTTATTACATTTATTAACCCAATCTTTATTTTTCTCATTTTTTTCTTTTTTAACCCACCCAACAGAAGGTTATACTTTTGGCTTTTGGCTCTTGGACTAAAACAGGAAAGGCAGAAAGGCCATTTTATTGAAGGTCAAGGTTCAGCCTTGCTGAGCTGTAGTGTCTGATCATTTTCCCATGCATCCCTCACTTCTGTAAATGGGGCACCTGGGCCTTGGGGACAGAGACTCACCCGCAGAACATGAAGATGGTGCTCGAAGTGGCATCGTAGGGCAGGGGCAGCGTCTGCTGCAGGCACAGCTGCTCACAGCCGCCATTAAAGCCATCAGAGCAGTCAATGCCTTTGGAGTGGTCGTAGCAGCCAGAGCCATCCTTCATGGGTTTCAGCTCCTCAGGGCACTGCTCAGAGAGAGGGCAACAGGGTAGTTATGGCTTGGGAGGTTGTAGGCCCCATCACACCCTCTCCTCCCTCCTGGAAGAGACATGTGTCAGGGCCTGACAGAAAGGTATTCAGTCTCCTTTTGTCAGTTAATAACTTTGTGACAAGTTCCACAAGTCCCTTTACTTCTCTGAACCTCAGTGTGCCCACCTGTAAAATGGGACTTTTGTGACTATCTGCTTATAGTGTTGTGAGAATGAAGGGTGATAATGTCAGCAAAGTGTTGAGAACACTGGCTCACACGGCAACAGCACAGCAAATGTCAGCTGCTGCTAATATTGATATTGCTGGGATCATATTCATTATTGTTTCTACTGTTATTGCCCTATAGGGTCTACTGCTAGAAGGGTCACATAGGGAGGCTGCCAGATATATATTTAAAAGCCTCTACCAGTATGAGTGTAATTTCCAGCTTTTCCTCTTCTCACTGTGTGACCCGAGAAGTTACTTGCCGTCTCTGAGCCTCAATGTTCTCATCTAATAAATGGGCACAATACCTGCAACTACAGATTTGTTGTGAAGCTTAAGTTGGATCATGGGGGTGCATACCTTACTTCGGAATTTGGCACATAATTTGGTACTCATAAAATGTGAATTACCTTCCTTCCTGTCTTGAATTAGTCTCTTCTTCTCCACCATTATCCCTGGAGCCCTAAGTAAGATTCCTGCATACTCACATCACCATGAAAAGGGCTCCTAGCCAGTCTGCTGGACTCCAGTCAGGCCTTCTCAAAACCATCCTCCAAATGGCCAACAGAGTGCTATTTCTAAATAGCATCACTCCCCAGCTTAAATAAGTAAATGAATCTTAAAACATGTGAAGCTGCTATAAACTGATAATCAAGGTCCTCCCTTTATAGACAACCTAGTCCTCTGCTTGGCCATATGCACAGCCCTCCCCATAGCCCTCTGGTCCCTAAGTAAACTCCAAGGAGTTCAACCTTCAATGGCCTCAGCTAGAACGCTCTTGTCAGTGGGTCTGGCACCTGCTATGTGCTCCTTCAGTGGAAAATCATATACTGTGGAGACAGATGGCTATTGATTAAATTTAGTTTTCCATCATTTGATGAGGCTGAGCTCATCTTCTCCATCCCAGCTGATGGAGAAGTAGTTCCAATACTCCTGCTTTCAGAAGAGAAAATGAGGTACTGGGTTTTTATTTCAGTCCTCCCGCTGGCATTTCTTGTCCACAAAGATTAACACCCAGAGCCCAGCCTTCCTCATCCATCACCGGACATCACTGATTAAAATGCCTTCCCACCATGAGACCCCACCGGCCAACTCCCCGCTCCCCTTCCCATGCCATCGTCCTAAACAACATCAATAATAAAACATACTCACAAAAATTAATTTACAAAAACCACAATAACAAAAAAAAAAAGGTCAGCCCTCTTGGAAATTAAATTTTGCCTGAGAAGAATTTGTAATTACAAATGCATGAGAGAGTTCTTCAAGACATTTGAGACTGGCGCCAGGAAGAGTGACGGAGAAAGTAGGTTATAAATGGCCTTTGTCAAGCTGCAGAAAGGTTATAAAACTGCTGCATTTTGTGCTTAAAAAATCAATTTTCCATGTGAGTGAAGTGCTGTACATATTAATACAAGCTCAGAGGAAGCCCCTGCTTGTCTCTGAACATTCACTGTCAGACAAGAGGGCACCTGGTCACAGGGTCATTTGGAGCCGTTTGTGAGTACTGGGGCCTGGCTTCAGTCTGTTTGCAGACTCGCGGAGCATGTTGAAAAGAATGACTGATTTTCTGACCAGGTAACAGGAGACACCTGGGCAGGGTATGGTCTCAGTCCTTCCCATCCCCCAATGATTCTCTACCACACTTGTTTTTTTAAACGTGTTCACTAAGCTCCAGGTTTTATCTAAGCGCTTTACCCGTTTTAACTTATTTAATCCCTATAGCAAATATATGAGGTAGAGTGGTAGGCTGATAATGGATCCCAAAGACATGTCTCTGTCCTAAGCCCTGGAACTTGGAATCTGTGAATGTGACTTTCTATGGTAAAGGTTATGCAGATGTGATTGTGTCAAAACTCTTGAGGACACCCTCCTGGGTTTTCCAGATTGGCGTAAATGCCATCACAAATGTTCTCATGACAGAGAGGCAGAAAGAAATTACACACACAGAGGAGAAGGCGATGTGGGGGTGGAACAGAGATTGGTGTGATGTGGCCACAAACCGATCGATGCTGAGGCCACCACAACCTGAAAGAGGTCAGGCACAGATTCTCCTCTAGAGCCTCCAGAAGGAGCACCACCAGAAATCAAATGCCAGCACCTTGATTTTGGATTTCTGGCCTCCAGCACTAGGAGAGAATAAATTTCTTAATAATTATCTTAAGCCACTGAGTGTGCAGCAATTTCTTGCAGCAGACAAGGTAGGTACCGTCAGGATTCCCACTTTGCAGAGGAGGAAGCGGAGGAGAGGGTCACACAGTTTGGTGGTGACAGAGGCAGAGCTTCTCAGGCTTCCCAACTTTGTTGCTATTAGCTGCCTAATGGGCAAGCCACTTCACCACCCTGTCATTTACTGACTGACTGATCTCTAGTTTTAAGAAGTCCTGTCATTTACTGACTGACTGACATCTAGTTGTAGGAAGTCCTGTTATTTACTGGCTGACTGACATCTAGTTTTAGGAAGTTAGAATAAGGCAGGGCTTAGAGCTGATCTAACCTCCTTACTTTAGAAGTGACGCCCAGAAAGTTAAAGGACATCACCCCATATTCCTCAGCACATGAGCGAAGAACGTGAAGCCAGGCTTCCCTTGCCCCAGCTTGGTGTTCTCTGTCCACTACACTCACTTCCCTTCAGGTTAAAGCATTTTGCAAACTTACATATCCTATAGTCTCTCTCCCCAAGATGATTTGCTGATGGGAAACTGAGGATCAGAAAGGTGAGGGTACTTGACCAACATCACACAGCAAATTAAAGGCAAGATTTGATCCACGCCTGTGGGAAAGGCTTCCTAAGTACATGAAGTGGGTTTACCAGTTACCATCATTCCTTCCTCTATCATGGACTTCAGGTACTGTGCCTTTGAGGATGAGTAGGGGCAGATGAGATCTAGCCATCGTTTGAAATTACTTGTATATTATTAGTATTTCAATTAGTTTGTTGCTTACTGTCTGTCTCCTCCACCAAAATGTAAATGTTATAATAGTATGGACCATGTGGCTTGTCCTAAGCCATCTGGCACACAGTTGGTACTTGTTATTTGCTGAACGAATTGGTGGAGTGCTAGAAATGACATTTAGTGTATCTGTGTATTAACTTTGGATCTGAATCCACACTACTTCTTATAAGTTGTATAACCTTCAGGCAGTGACATAAAGTCTCCTATCTTCACGTGATTACTGTGATGGGTAAATAGTACGGTAGCCAGCTTCAAAGATGGTCCCCAGTGATTCCTGCCTTCTGGTATTAAGACTCATGTAGTCCCCTCCTACACTGCACCAGAATTGGTCTATGTGACCAATAGTATGTGGCAGAAGAGGAGGTATGTGGCTTCTAAAGGTAGATCATAAGAGAGATCTTTCTCTCCCTCTGTCTGTCTCTCTCTCTCTCATCACTTGCTCTAGTGAAAGCAAGCTGCCATGTTTTCAGCAGCCCTATGGAGAGTCTTATGTGGCAAGGAAGTAACACCTCTGGCCAACAGCCAGTAAGGCTGGGGCCTGCCAGCAAAACATGAGTGAGCCTGCAAATACACTATCCAGCCCCAATCAAGCCTGTTCAGATATTGGCAACCCCAGGTGACATTTTGACTGAGACTTTGTAGAGGTAGGCCAGAACCACACATAGAAGCTGCTTTTGAATTTCTGACCCTTAAAAATTGTGTGGGATAATAAATACTTTTTGTTTTAAGTGACTTGATTTTTGAGATAATTTGTTACACAGCAATAGCTAACTAATATAGTGAAATAAATGTATGCAGTACTTAGCACAGTGATCAACAAATAGTTCTGCTGTTATAGGTATTTGTAAAGAGCTTAGAATCTGGTTTGAGAGATAAATATACACATCTATCAGAGAACGTTAGTTATAGAACAAACATAAAAAAGTATGGTAAAATTTGTTTGGGAAAATAAAAACTCTGCAAACTAGGCAATATTGAAACAGGGAGGTTTTAGTCTTTTCTCCTCCTCTAGGAAGGGAATCCTGTAGGAAGGAAGTTCCTACAGGAAGAGAAAAGAGACATCTAATGTACTAGAAGAGGAAGACTAGAATTCATTACCAGGCACTGTCACTTGCTTGCCTCGTGACCTTGGACAAGTCCTTGAAACTATTTGGGACTGTTTTCTTTCTATAAATAGAGGAGCCAGTTTGGAGACAAGAATATGAGGACTAAAGTCAGGCCTGAATTCCAAGGAAAGATTTGTGACACTGAGCATATAGGCAGGATGCTTCACCTCAGAGACAGCCTCAGGTTCCTCATCTGTAGAATGCAAATAATGTCTCTCTTGGAGGCACTTCTGAAGACTGTATGAGAAAACACTTCTAAAGTATCTGGCTTTAGACCTGGTACATAATAGACACCTAATAAATGAAGAATAATTGAATAGGGATATATAAACAAGTAATAAATTAACCAAAACCCCAAAAGAAAAACTAGCCTAGTTGGGAGGAATCACGATGTCTGACTAGATGCAGGTAGTATGTCCCTCCTCCATGGAGAGGAACCAGAATAATAAGTAGATACACACATTCCAAACAGATTGTCTAGAAGAGAATGCTAGGATTCAACAGGGGAGAAATGAGAAGCACCAGAAGTAAGTAAGCAGAGACTTTGAGGCAGCTTTTCCAGTCAGAAACCAACTGAGAGCTGGAAGGGGCTCCCAGATGTGGGGAAACAGTAAGAGAGAAACCCCCAGGGTTCCAAAATGGGGTTTTACACCTTGGCTGTGAGAGAAACTCTCAACCTACTGGGGCCTTTGGCCTGACATACGAAGTGCCTAAAGTTTGCATAAAACCATTGCCACAGAATGAGAACCCAAATAAAATCCCACAGGCATCTGAACCTGGAGTAGACACAGCTGGGCACTATTTTGAGAGCCAAAATACTGGGGATCTACAGATATGGCTGCTGCTGCCCTGTTCTAAAGAGGGAGAGGGAAGACTGGGTGCTCCCACACATCCCCAGGAAGCTCCTTACTGCCCTGCTGCAGGCTGCTATTGAGACTGAGACATGGATAGACTGTACTTCCCACAGCTTCTTGCTCACCTTTCTTGCCTGAGATGGACTCTGCCTTCTCTGGTATCAGGCCCAAAGCACCGTTTTTGACAGTTTAATGCTGAGCTGCACCCTACCATTGGCATGAGTTTGGGTTGATGTGGCTGCAGCTGCCACCCAGTCAAGGAGGGACAGGGAGACCAGGCTATCCTATGCATATCTAGGACAATACCCACTGCCCTGCAAGGGGCTGCTGTGAGACCAAGACTCAAGTGGGCCACACTCACCACAGCTTCTTGCCAATGTGGCTCACCTGAGAAGGACCCCATCCTTTCTGGTCACAGCCCACAGCTGGCACCATGCTGAGCATTTAATGCTGGACTATGTCCCAGGCTTGGGGCCGAGTTTGAGGTAACATGGCTGCAGCCACCACCCTGCTGGGAGAGGGACAGAGTACACCACACTCTCCTAAGCACACTCAGGACAATACCCACCACCCTGCTATGGGTGGCTGCGAGACTGGGGACTAGCCCGCCCAACCCATCACAGCTCCCAGCAAGACCAACACGGGTTGCTTGAGTCCCAGTGGGTTGCTCTACCACCATCATTACTGCCATCAGCCACACTACACTAGCTTCCCAGGGGCCCCAAAATCTACCCATACATCAGGCCCACTGCTCCCACTACTAGCTTCTAAGCAAGCCAACTAATGGCCCAAGAATCAGCCCTCAAAAACCTACTAACACTGAAGCCAGTGTAAGCTACTTCGGGGCCTAAAACCAGGCACACTCACCCCACTGCTGCCACTATCAGGTGTGAAGACTGGCTCACTTTGTATTCAAGGTCCCAGCTTAACTTCACCACAATCTCAACTAACAACTGTGTGATAATGAAAACACAGTATCTCAACATGTGTATTATACAGCAAAATCAGTGCTAAGAGGAAAGTTTATAGCATTAAATGCCTACATCAAAAAATTATCACAAATTAACAACCTAATATCACACCTGAAAGAACTAGAAATATGGCTGGGAGTGGTGGCTCATGCTTGTAATCCCAGCACTTTGGGAGGCTGAGGTGGGCGGATCACCTAAGGTCGGGAGTTCGAGACCAGCCTGAGCAACATGGAGAAAACCCGTCTCTATTAAAAATACAAAATTAGCCGGGTGCGGTGGTGCATGCCTGTAATCTCAGCTACTTGGGAGGCTGAGGCAAGAGAATCTCTTGAACCCAGGAGGCGGAGGTTGCAATGAGCCAGGATTGCGCCACTGCACTCCAGCCTGGGCAACAAGAGCAAAACTCCATCCCCCCCAAAAAAAAAAAAAAAAAAAAGAACTAGAAATACAAGAACAAACCACACCCAAAGTAAGCAGGAGAAAAGAAATAACAAAGATCAGAGCAGAAATAAATGAAATAGACCCAAAAAGCAATGCAAAGGATCAATGAAATGAAAAAATAATTTTTTGAAATGCTAAACAAAATTAGTAAGCCACTAGCAAGAAAAGAGAGAAGACTCAAATAAATACAACCAGAAATATAAAAACAGACACTACAACTGATGCCACGGAAATACAAAAGATCATCAGAGACTATTATGAAGACTATTATGTTCACAAACCAGAGAACTTAGAAAAAAATGAATATATTCCTGACTACACAAAACCTATGGAGATTGAACCAGGAAGAAACAGAACTCCTGAACCGAACAATAATGACTACTGAGATTGAATCAATAATAAAAAATATCTCTCAATAACAACAGAAAAAGCCAAGGACTGGATGAATTCACAGCTGACTTCTACCAAACATCCAAAGAAAACTAACACCAATTTTCCTGAAACAATCCCAAAAAAATGAGGAAGAGGAAATTCTTTCTAACTCATTCTATCAGGCCAGTATCACCCTGATACCAAAACCATACAAGGAAATAACAACAACGAAAAAGAAAACTATACACTAATATCCCTGATGAATATAGATGTTAGTATTTTGCTTAACAAAATACTAGCAAAAGGCCGGGCACAGTGGCTCACGCCTGTAAGCCCAGCACTTTGGGAGGCTGAGGCAGGCAGATCACTAGGTCAGGAGTTTGAGACCAGCCTGGCCAGCATGGTGAAACCCTGTCTCTACTAAAAATACAAAAAAATTAGCTGGGCATGGTGGCACACGCCTATAATCCCAGCTATTCGGGAGGCTGAGGCAGGAGAATTGCTTGAACCCGGGAGGTGGAGGTTGCAGTGAGCCAAGATCATGCCACTGCATGCACTCTAGCCTGGGCAACAGAGCGAGACTCCGTCTCAAAAAAAAAAAAAAAAATACTAGCAAGTCGAATCCAACAGCACATCAGAAAGATAGTACACCATGACATCATCAGGTGGAATTTATCCCTGTGATGTAATGAGGATTCAACTATGCAAATCAATAAACGTGATACATCACATAAACAGAATTCAGGAAAAAAGCCATACAATAATCTCCATAGATACAGAAAAAAAAGCATTCAATAAAATTCAACATCCTTTGATGATAAAAAAAATCCTCAACAGAGTAATCATTGAAAATACACACCTCAACATAGTAAAGGCCATGACCCACAGCCATTATCTTACTGGGGAAAAAAAAGCATTTCCTCTAAGAACTAGAACAAGACAAAGACATCCCCTTTCAACACTCTTATTCAACATAGCACTGGAAGTTCTCACCAAAGAAGTCAGGACACAGAAAAATTAAAAGTTATCCAAGCTGGAAAAGAAGAAGTCAAATTATCCCTGTTTGCTGATAGTATTGTCTTATATCTAAAAATCCCTAAAGACTCTATCAAGTTTCAAGATAAAAAATAAGATGCAGAAATCAGTAGCATTTCTATACACCAATCTAGCTGAGAACCAAATTAAGAAAGCAATCCATTTACAATAGCCACAAAAATAAAATATCTAGGAATATATTTAACAAGGAGGTGAAAGATCTCTATAAAAATAATAACAAAACACTGATGAAATAAATTGTAGATGACATAAATACACAGAGAAACATCCCATGCTCATGAATTGGATAATCAATATGTTTAAAAGGATTATATTGCCCAAAGCAATCTGCAGATTCAATCCAATCCCTATCCAATTACCAACATCATTTTTCAAAGCATTAGAAAAAAAATCCTAAAATTCATCTGTAACTAGAACAGACCCCAAATAACCAAAGCAATCTCAAGCAAAATGAACGAAGCTAGAAAATCACATTATCTGACTTCAAATTATAGTACAAGGCATAGTAACCACAAAACCATGGTATTGGTATAAAAATAGGCAACTAGATCAATGGAATAGAATGGAGAACCCAGAAATAAAGCCACATACCTACAACCAAATGATCTTTGACAAAGTCAACAAAAGTACACACTGGTAAAATGATACTCCAGTTGTATTAGTCCGTTATCACACTACTATAAAGAAATACCTGAGACTGGGTAATTTATAAATAAAAGAGGTTTAATTGGCTTATGGTTTCAGAGGCTGTACAGGAGGCATGGCTGGGGAGGTGTCAGGAAACTTATAATCATGAAGAGGAAAGAGGCACGTCTTCACATTGCTGGGAGCAGGAGAAAGAGAGCAAAATGAGAAGTGTTACACACTTTCAAACAACCAGATCTCATGAGAACTCACTATTGCAAGAACAGCAAGGGGAAAATCTGCCCCCATGATACAATCACCTCCTACCAAGCCCCTCCTCCAATACTGGGGATTACAATTCAACATGAAATTTGGGTGGGAACACAAATCCAAATCATATCACTGGTCAATAAATGGTACTGAAAAATTGGATAGCCATACACAGAAGAATGAAACTGGACTCATATTTCTCGCCACATATTTTTTAAAAACCTCAAAATGGATTAAGACCTGAAACTATAAAAATCCTAAAAGAAAACCTAGAAAACACCATTTTGGACCTTGGCCTTGGGAAAGAATTTGTGACTAAGTCCTCAGATCCAATTAAACTAAAGAGCTACACAGCAAAAGAAACTATCAACAGAGTAAACAGACAACCTACAGAATGGGAGAAAATATTCACAGATTGTGCACTCGACAAAGGTCAAATATCCAGAGACCATAAGGAACTTAAATAATGCAACAAGCAAAAACAAATAACCCCATTAAAAATTGGGCAAAAGACATAAACAGACACTTCTTAAAAGAAGACATAAGAGTGACCCACAAACATATGAAAAAATGTTCAACATTACTATTCAGCAGAGAGATGCAAATCAAAACCACAGTGAGATACCATCTCACACCAGTCAGAATGGCTACTATTAAAAAGTCAAAAAACAACAGATGCTGGTGAGGCTGTGGAGAAAAAGGAACACTTATGGAATGTAAATGAGCACAACCTTTAAGGAAGACAGTATGAAGGTTTTTTTTTAAAGAACTAAAAACAGAACTACCATTCAATCCAGCAATCCCACTATTGGGTATAAACCCAAAGAGAAAAAATCATTAATTACATTAGGTCGGTCACGGTGGCTCAAGCCTGTAATCCCAGCACTTTGGGAGGTCTAGGCAGGTGGATCACTAGAGGCCAGGAGTTTGAGACCAGCCTGGCCAACATGGTGAAACCCTGTCTCTACTAAAAGTACAAAAATTAGCCAGGCATGGTGGCAAATGCCTATACTCCCAGCTACTCAGGAGGTTGAGGTGGGAGAATCACTTGAACCCAGGAGGCGGAGGTCACAGTGAGCCAAGATCGCGCCACTGCACTCCAGCCTGGGCAACAGAGTGAGACCCTATGTCAAAAAAAAAAAAAAGAAGAAGAAGAAAAAAAGAAAGATACCAGCCCTCATATGTTTACTGCAACAATAATAACATACGAGTGCTATTTCATAATAGCAAAAATACGGAATTAACCTGAATGTCTATCAAGAGTTGATTGAATAAAGAAAATGTGGTATACACTCCTACCCCTCCCTTCTCCCCACCCACCCACAGACACACCATGGAATACTACTAGGGCATAAAAAAGAATGAAATCATGTCTTTTGCAGCAACATGGATAGAACTGGAGGCCTTTATCATAAGTTAAATAACTCAGAAACGGAAAGTCAAATATGACATGTTCTCACTTGTAAGTGGGAGCTAAACAATCGGTACACCTGCACGTACAGAGTGCAATGACAAACACTGGAGACTACAAAAGGTGGGAGAATGGAAGGGTGGGAAGAGTATGAGGGTTGACAAAGTACTACTGATTGGGTACAACGTTCACTATTCAGGTGATGGGTATAATAAAAGCTCAAACTTCACTACTACACAATGTATGCATGAAAGAGACCTGCTTATACCCCCTAAATATATAAAAATAAAAATATAAATAAAGGTAACTGAAACTATTAGCTGATTTTTTCTTTTCCATATGTCTAAGTCCTTCTTTAGAACATTTAACAAATATTCACCAAACACCTACCTACTCAGTGCTAAGCAAATGTTTTAGGAGCTGAAAATGTAGTAGTAAACAAGACAGACAAGACCTTTCTCTCATAGAATTTACATTCTAGAGAAGAGACAAATAATTAACAAGTAAACAAACAAAATGATTATTTTGTAGAGTAAAAAAATGAATAAAGATAAAAGTATAATATGATAAAAAGTTAACGAGGATGGGGTGAAAGCAGCATAAATTTAGCTTAAAAATAGGGTAGACAGACTTCTTCCACTTTAGCCTTCTTTTTCAAAAGAAGTTTTGGCCATTATAGTTCCTTTGCCGTTCGTTTAAATTCCAGAAAAATCTTGTCTATACTTATAAAAATCATGCCGAGGTTTTGATAGGAATTATATTAAACCTTTATATCAATTCGAGGCATGTGGACATCTTTATTATCTTGTGCTATCCAATTCGTGAATACGTATATCTTTCCTTGTGATTAGATCTTCTTTGATTTCTTTCACGAGTATTTTAAAGTTTTACTAAAGCTAAACGTGGCCCATGCATATTTTGTCAGATTTGCATCTGAGTATTTCATTACTTTTTAGGGATTGCAAATGATACTGTATTTTTTATATATTTTGTCAGATTCACATCTGAATATTTCATTATTTTTCAGAAATTGCAAATGGGATTGTATTTTTTATTTCAAATGTTCACATGTTCATTGCTAGTATATAGGAATACAATTGATGTTGTATATTTTTCTTGTATTCTGAGACCTTGCCAAACTTACTAATTGCTTCTAGAAATTTATTTTGTAGATTCCCTGAGATTTTCTATGTAAAAAAATCATGTGATCTGCCAATGGGTAAGTCTTATAGTCTTATTTCTTCCTTTCTTATCTGAATGCCTTCTTCCTTTTTTGATTTTTTTTTTCCCTGTTATTGCACTGGCTAGGACTTCCCACACGATGTTGAATAACAGTGGGCAGAGTGAATCTGCTTTTCTTGTCTCTGACCTTTTGGAGAAAGTATTCAGTCTTTCACCATAAATATGTCAGCTGTAGCTCTTTTATTGATGTTCTTCGTCAAGTTGAGTAAGTTCTCTTCTATTCTTATTTTTTTTTTGAAAGTTTTAAAAATCATTTTCGGTATGGAATTTTGTCAAATGTTTTTCTTGTATCCATTGATATGATGATGTGATTTTTCTTCTTCTGCCTGTTATTATAATATACTGATAGATTTTCAAATAGGGAACCATTCTTGCATCACTGTAATAAACCCCACTTAGTTATGTGTATAGTTATCTTTTATGTATTGTTGAATCCTATTTGTTAATATTTTGTTAAGGATTTTTACAACTGTGGTATATGCATGAGGGCTATTGGTCTTACTTTGTAGTTTTCTGTTTTTGAACTATCTTTGTCTGCTTTTAGTATCAAGATAATGCTAATGTCTTAAAATGATTTGGGAAGTATTCTCTCTTCTTTAATTTTCTGGAAGATTTTTTTTGTTTTGTTTTATTTATTTATTTATTTATTTTTTGGGAATTGACGTTTATTCTTCTTTAAACATTTGGTATATTTCTCCAGTGAAACTATCCAGGACAGGGATTTGGAGCTGAGGGGAGGAGGAGTCTAAAGTGACAAAATAAATTTCCTTAATAGTTATAGGGCTTTCAAAATTATCTATTTCATATTGGCGAATTGTGGTAGTTTGTGTTTTTAAGAAATTGGTCCATTTCATCTAATTCATCAAGTTTATGTGTGTAAAATTATTTGTAGCATTCCCTTATTATCCTTTTGATTTACACAAGGTCTGTGGTGATATCACCTGTTTCAGATAGTGGTAATTTATTTTTTCTCTCCTCTCTTCCTTTTCAGTCTTGCTTGTGTTTGTTTAGTTTTATTGTCATTTTCAAATAATCAATTTTTTGTTTCATTAACTTCGTTGTTTTTCTGTTTTCTACCACATTGATTTCCTTCCTTCGGCTTCCTTTGGATTTATTTTGCTCTTTTTTTTTTTTTCTAGGTTCTTGAGGTGGGAGCCTAGATTATTGATTTGTAACTTCCTCTTTTCTAATGTATGCATTTAGGGCTATACACATCCTTCTCATTGAATATAAAGACACAGATATGTTAAAAGAAAAGGATGAATCATGACTTCAGCTGTGTCCCCCACACAACTTGATACATTGTATTTTTATTTCATCTAGTTCAGTCCATTTTTTAATTTCCCTTGAGACTTCTTCTTTGACCCATTGATTATTCAGAAATATGTTGTTTACTTTCTAAGTATTTGAAGATTTTTCTGTTATATCTATTATGGGCTGAAGATTTATGTCCCCACAAAGATTTGTATGTTGAAATCCTAACCCACCTGCAAAGTGATGATATTCGCAGTTGAAGCCTTGGGGACGTGATTAGGTCACAAGAGTTAAGCCCTTATAAATGTGATTAGTACCTCACAAGAAGAGGATGGGAGACCAGAGTTCCCTCCCTCTCCAACACATGAGGACACAGAAAGAAGGCAAGCAAGGAAAAGGGAATTTCACCAAAAAACGAATTAGCCAGCACCTCAATCTTAGACTTCAGCCTCCAGAACTGTTAGAAATAAGTCTGTTGTTCAAAGCACCCAATTTATGTTATTTTGCTACAGCAGTCCACAGCTGCTGAAGGCAGCTGTTATTGCTCTGTTATTGCTTTCTTGTTTGATTCTATCGTGGTCAGAGAACACACTCCATACAATTTGAATCTTAAAATTTGCTGAGGCTTTTTTTATGGTCCAGGATATAGTCTTGTCTTGATATGTGTCCTGTAGGCACTTGAAAATAATATATGTTCTATTTTTGTTGGGCATAATGTTCTATAAATGTTAACTAGATCTTTTTTGTTGATGGTGTTATTGAGTCCTTCTATATTGTTGCTAAACTCCTGTCTAGTTCTTCTATCGGTTTTGGAAAGGGGTATTGAAGTATCCAACCATCATTGTAGAATTGTCTATTTTTTCTTTCAGTTCTGTTAGATTTTACCTCACACATTTTGCAGTTCTGTTGTTTGATGCATAAACATTTAGGATTTCTATGTCTTCATGGTAAATGATATTTTATAATTATTTGGTGTCCCTCTGTGGTAATTATTTGGAAGGCCTACTTTATCTGTTATTAATATAGCTACTCTCACTTTTGTTTGATTTGCATGTGTCTTTTTCCATCCATTTACTTTCAATCTGTCTATATCATTATAAGCAATGTGAATTTCTTGCAGACAGTATATAATTAGGTCATGCTTTTAAACCCACTCCACTAATTTATGCCTTTTAATTTTGGTATTTAAACTATTTGCGACTGGGCACAGTGGCTTATGCCCGTAATCCCAGCACATTGGGAGGCTGAGGCAGGATGGTCACTTAAGGCCAGGAGTTTGAGACTGGCCTGGGCAACATAGTGAGATCCTATCTTTTCAAAAAATTGTAAAAATTATCCAAGTATTGTGGTAAGTGCCTGTAGTCCCAGCTACTTGGGATGTTGAGGTGGGAAGGTCGCTTGAGCCTAAGAAGTCGAGGCTGCAGTGAGCTGTGGTTGTGCTACTATACTCCAGACGACAGAGCAAAATGCTGTTTCACAAAAAATAAGAAAAAATTTCTAAAACAGAAATTATTTACATTTAATGTGACCTGAACATTTCTGGCATTACATTATATTATTATGTTTCAACTCCAGGTCTTAATTATATTAATGAAGACCAATTCTGATTTTTTTCTTGCCCAAATTACTATCTGAGGGGTCTGGGGAGTCATGCCCTACAAATCATAAATTCTCATCAGATGGGTTTATTTAATCCTATACATTGTGACTTACTTTCCAATCTGGCTCTGGCATAACATGAGACAAGGAAGAAAAGGCAAAATACTTTATCCCAAAACACGTTTCTTGACATATTTTGAAATGGCCCTGCAAAGCTGTTCTTTGTAGGGAAAATTTTGCATCTGTAAAGAATGTCTATTAACATAGCTACATCTTTTTCTTTCAGACCCTCCCAATCCTAAAGAGATTAACTAAAATCTGAATAGGAAACATTTGTTGTCTATAGTCTCTAAGGGCAGCCACTAAAAGACGTCAAAGGAACTTTGGTCTCCACAATCTTTATCTTAACCAGAACATCCCTATATCCCTATAGTCTGGAACCAACAACCCGCTGCCCCCAAAAGCATTTGTAAAATGTATAAAACAAAGCTGCTCCCTGACCACCTTGGGTACATGTTTTCAGGACCTTCTGAGGGCTGTGTCACAGGCCGTGGTCACTCATATTTGGCTCAGAATAAATCTTTTCAAATATTTTACAGAGTTTGGCTCTTCTCATTGACATGTATTTATTTATTTTAGAGAGAGGTTCTCTCTCCGTCACCCAGGTTGGAGTACAGTGGCACAATCATAGCTCACTATAGCCTCAAACTCCTGGGCTTAAGCAATCCTCTAGCCTCAGCCTCCTGAATAGCTGGGATTACAGGTGTGAGCCACTGCACCCAGATAGACCTTCAAACCTTCTATTTTCTCTGGCTTCTACTGACACTCATCCAGCAGGGGAAGGTAGTGGCCTTGTTACTGACAAGGGAATGAAGAAGTCCCAGTTCCCCATGTGGCCTTCTCTGATACCCCAAAGGCCCCTCTTTTCAGCTGGATGAGGTAGGAATTCACCTCCCCACTAGGACTTCACGGATCTCTTCCTGGATGGGAGTGGTAGGTATGTCTAGTCACTGTTCCCCCCTTAATCTCCACTAACACCACACTGAGTGGAAGGTGGCCCCATGAATGCTGGTCCGTGGTGAATGTCCTGGCTTTCTACTAGTTCTTCCCTGACAACAACCCAGCAGGAAGGGGGAAGGTGCTTCAATGTCATGGATTAGGGGTGGAAGGCCATGCTCTTCACTGATGCTGAATAGGCCAGGGGATGGGGGTGCTCACTATCTATCATTGAGATTAAAGTCCTGGCTCCCCACGCCATTCAACCGTTGCTCCCATGGGGAGGGGTGTGTTCATTTTAATTTTTTTCATTTTCTGTGGTGTTTGGCTGGAGTAGAGCACTTATTGTCTAGCATTTTTCTGTCTTGCTAGGTTGTCCTTTTCCCGGTATTTTGGCTAGGGAGAGCAGTTTTGTTTTGTTTTGTTTTGTTTTGTTTTGTTTTGTTTTCCTTCACATGTACCTACTGGCATTTCTGAGCTGCAGGCTCCTTTAGCTCCAAGAATAGGACACATGAGGCAAAGAGAGAATCCAGGGAACTGACCACCATGTCTTTCCTTGGGTCCCAAAGGCTTCAGCTGGTCTGCAATGCTCCACCTTTCAGTCTTATGCTTGTTTTATATAGGACATCCAGGGTTTTTGGTTGTATTTAGCCAGAAAAATAGAGAAAATGTGTCTACTCCTCCAAAGCCTGTTTTTGCACAGCCCTAGAGCTAAGAATGGCTTTTACATTTTTTTTTTAAAAGAACATGAGACAAAAAAAGACCACATGTGACCTGGAAAGCCTAAAATATTTACTATATAATCCTTCATACAAAAAAGTTGAAGACCCGTGACTTCAGCCATGTTAAGGCACCTGGAGTTTATTCTAAGTGCAACTGGAAGGCATAGGAGGGTTGTTGGCAGAGGAATAAAGTGATTTTGTTTGCTACTTTGAAGAGATTACTGAAGTTAGTGAATCCAGTTATCTCTAAGCAATTTCCTAGAGTCCACAAAAGGAGTCTGGGGAAGCAGGCTCTGTGCATCTGGGCAGGGGCTTGAGAAAGGGAGTGAGTCAGCCTAATAAGGACTCTAGCATGTGGAGGCGTGCCTCTTTGCTGAGGTTTTATAGTAAGTAGGTGAGAAAGCGGGGAGTCTAACCCAGGTCAGTGCAGCTCCAGAGACTCATATCCCTCATTCTGCTCTATTTCAGGGGAGGACTCATAGGAAGACTCTGAGCCCAAGTCTCTGAGCCTTGAGATTTTGAAGACCTAGCGGGGAGGGAGAGGAAGATGCCTGGAGGATTCCCATAGGTTCCTCCCACAGGCTAGCCCTGCTGGGCTCCCCCGAGCTTCTTCCTCCATACTGTGAACCTGCTCTTTGCTGCTTCCTAGCTCGACTTTTCATCATCACCAAGCCATTTGTTTCTGTTTGTAATTATGCATTTTAATGTTCATTAATTATGGAATGCAAATTGCTCTGAGTACAAAATTTGTAATGAGCTGTTTTACCACCCCACCCCCAGGTCTAGAAGGTGGGCCAGCTGTTCTGAGCAGAAGGAAAAACAACCAACTTACAAAACAGAACAATTTGTCCTAGGGCCTGAGTGAATCATATGGTAAATAAGCCTGGGGGACTTCCTGCTGATGCTGGAGGTGGGGCCCTGCCCCACCTGGGTCCTGGGTGACATCAGTGTGGCAATTTCATTCTTTGCTACAAACTTGGGCCTGAAAGGCAGGTGGGGTAAAGGAACAGCACTAGTCTTAGAACCAGCCTTTTACTGGCTATGACACCTTGAGCTAGTCCCTTGGCTTGTCTGAGCCTCAGTTTGTCCTTCTGGAAGGTAAGGATTATGATGAAATTATCCTCAAAGTAGGGGTGGCAGGCAAACACTAGCAGGCCCTGGATAAATGCATGTGAATGGCTCTCCAGATTGCTGGATTCCAGTTCTGCCTGGCTGTGTTTTTTTTTGTTTTGTTTTGTTTTTTGAGACAGAGTCACGCTCTGTCACCCAGGCTGGAGTGCAGTGGTGCAATCTCGGCTCACTACAAGCTCTGCCTCCCAGGTTCACGCGATTCTCCTGCCCAAGCCTCCTGAGTAGCTGGGATTACAGGCATGCACCAACACGCCTGGCTAATTCTGTATTTTTAGTAGAGGCGGGGGTTTCTCCATGTTGGTCAGGCTGGTCTCGAATTCCTGACCTCAGGTGATCCGCCCGCCTCAGCACTCCCAAAGTACTGGGATTACAGCTGTGAGGCACCGCACCCAGCCAAAAATTTCCAGTTGCTTTCTTTTCTTTTTGAGATAGAGTTTCACTCTTGTTGCCCAGACTGGAGTGCAATGGCACGATCTCGACTCACTGCAACCTCTGCCTCCTGGGTTCAAGCAATTCTCCTGTCTCAGCCTCCCAAGTAGCTGGAATTACAGGCGTGTGCTACCATGCCCAGCAATTTTTTTTTTTTTTTTTTCAGTAGAGATGGAGTTTCACCAGGCCAGGCTGATCTCGAACTCCTGACCTCAGGTGATCCACCCGCCTCAGCCTCCCAAAGTGATAGGATTATGATTACAGGCGTGAGCCACTGCGCCCTGCCTGGGCTGTGGTCTTTAACTGGCTGAGAGCCTTCAGATGAGAACACTCTGAGCCTCAGTCTCCTTCAATGGAGGCACTGGACAGCAGGAAGTCAGAGAAGACTTTCAGTGCTAACTGCTCAGTTTTTATCAAAGCAACTGTGAATTGTAGAAAGGGGAAAATTAGCTCTGAAGTATTTAAGAGGAAAATGGGGAATTTTCTTGGAATTGATTGAACATGTTTTAAGACATCACAAGGATGCCTCCAAACCTGCTTGACTATGAACAATGACTTGTTCTCCTCCAAGGACTAGGTAAGTATTTGATTTCTTTAAGTCTCATGGCCAGAGAAAGCATAATAACAGTATCACCTCCTACTAATAGTACTCCTCTCAACAATAGTATGCCTCAAAAATTATGGTAAATATTTTTTATTTATTGTTATTATTTTTTACAGACAAGGTCTTACTCTGTCACCCAGGCTGGAGTGCAGGCAGTGGTGCAATCATAGCTCACTGCAGTCTTGAAATCCTGGGCTCAAGGGATCCTCTTGCCTCAGCCTCTCGAATAGCTGGGACTACAGGCATGTGCCATCATGCTCGGCTAATTTTATTTTTATTTTTATTTTTTTTAAAACAACAGCTTTATTGAAGTATAATCTACATATCATAAAATTTACTCATTTAAGTATATGATTCAGTTATTTTAAATTTGCAGAATTGTGCAACCAGCACCGTGATCCAATATTTAAGTTTCCATCATCCCCAAAGATCGTTCATGTACTCCTTTTGAGACAGAGTCTCGCTCTGTCACCCAGGATGGAGTGCAGTGGCACGATCTTGGCTCACTGCAACCTCTGCCTCCCAGGTTTAAGCGATTCTTATGCGTTGGCCTCCCGAGTTGCTGGAATTACAGTTGCTGGAATTACAGCCCCGTGTGTGCCACACCGGTCTAATTTTTGTATATATATATTTTTTTCCTGAGAGGGAGTCTCGCTCTGTCGCCCAAGCTGGACTGCAGTGGCGTGATCTCGGCATACTGCAACCTCCACCTCCTGGGATCAAGCAATTCTCCTTCCTCAGCCTCCTGAGTAGCCGGGACCACAGGTGCCCGCCACCACACCCAGCTGATTTTTTTATTTTATTTTATTTCATTATTATTATTATTATTATTATTTTTTTTTTTTTAATTGATCATTCTTGGGTGTTTCTCGCAGAGGGGGATTTGGCAGGGTCACAGGACAATAGTGGAGGGAAGGTCAGCAGATAAACAAGTGAACAAAGGTCTCTGGTTTTCCTAGGCAGAGGACCCTGCAGCCTTCCACAGTGTTTGTGTCCCTGGGTACTTGAGATTAGGGAGTGGTGATGACTCTTAAGGAGCATGCTGCCTTCAAGCATCTGTTTAACAAAGCACATCTTGCACCGCCCTTAATCCATTCAACCCTGAGTGGATACAGCACATGTTTCAGAGAGCACAGGGTTGGGGGTAAGGTCACCGATCAACAGGATCCCAAGGCAGAACAATTTTTCTTAGTACAGAACAAAATGAAAAGTCTCCCATGTCTACCTCTTTCTACACAGACACGGCAACCATCCGATTTCTCAATCTTTTCCTCACCTTTCCCCCCTTTCTATTCCACAAAGCCGCGATTGTCATCCTGGCCTGTTCTCAATGAGCTGTTGGGTACACCTCCCAGACGGGGTGGTGGCCAGGCAGAGGGGCTCCTCACTTCCCAGTAGGCGCGGCCGGGCAGAGGCGCCCCTCACCTCCCGGACGGGGCGGCTGGCCGGACGGGGGGCTGACCCCCCCCACCTCCCTCCTGGACGGGGCGGCTGGCCGGGTGGGGGGCTGACCCCCCCACCTCCCTCCCGGACGAGGTGGCTGCCGGGCGGAGACGCTCCTCACTTCTCAGACGGGGCGGCTGCCGGGCGGAGGGGCTCCTCACTTCTCAGACGGGGCGGTTGCCAGGCAGAGGGTCTCCTCACTTCTCAGACGGGGCGTCCGGGCAGAGACGCTCCTCACATCCCGGACGGGGCGGCAGGGCAGAGGTGCTCCCCACATCTCAGACGATGGGCGGCAGGGCAGAGACGCTCCTCACTTCCCAGATGTGATGGTGGCCGGGAAGAGGCGCTCCTCACTTCCTAGATGGGATGGCGGCCGGGTAGAGACGCTCCTCACTTTCCAGACTGGGCAGCCAGGCAGAGGGGCTCCTCACATCCCAGACGATAGGCGGCCAGGCGGAGAAGCTCCTCACTTCCCAGACGGGGTGGCGGCCGGGCAGAGGCTGCAATCTCGGCACTTTGGGAGGCCAAGGCAGGCTGCTGGGAGGTGGAGGTTGCACGAGCCAAGATCACGCCACTGCACTCCAGCCTGGGCACCATTGAGCACTGAATGAACGAGACTCCGTCTGCAATCCCGGCACCTCGGGAGGCCGAGGCTGTCGGATCACTCGCGGTTAGGAGCTGGAGACCAGCCCGGCCAACACAGCGAATCCCAGTCTCCACCAAGAAAATACGAAAACCAGTCAGGCGTGGCGGCGTGCACCTGCAATCGCAGGCACTCGGCAAGCTGAGGCAGGAGAATCAGGCAGGGAGGTTGCAGTGAGCCGAGATGGCAGCAGTACCGTCCAGCTTCGGCTCGGCATGAGAGGGAGACCGTGGAAAGAGAGGGAGAGGGAGAGGGAGAGGAGACTGACTCTAATTTTATTTTTATTTTTTGTAGATATGGAGTCTTATGCTGACCAGGCTGGTCTTGAACTCCTGACCTCCAGTGATCCTCCATCTCAGCCTCCCAAAGCCCTGGAATTACAGGTATGAGCCACCATGCCCAGCAGTAGTAAAGATGAAATGAGAGGTGAAAATAACGAGACTAAACACATAATGAAAGCCAGAATACACTGTCAGTCACAAAGAATAGACACAACTGTGAATGAAGTCTGACTGAGCCACTTCCTCAATGTGTGCCCTGGCTGTTCTGAGTCTCAGTTTCCACAATTTATACATTGGAGAAAATAACTCCTTCCTCACTAGGCTTGTGAGAGGATCCCAGGAGGTCATTTACCTGATATGTGCCTGATGCCTGACAGGTGCTCACTAAATGCTAACTGCTATTGTAGTTACCTTGTTACTTTCTCCAAATAGGACACATTCAGGGAGAAATGTAAGGGAACCATATACAGGGAAATGGTTAGGCATTTCTTCCATGCCTACTTTTCCAATGAGGAAACTAAAACTCAGAGGTCAGGTGAGCTGCCTTGGGTCATACAGCAAGCAAGAGTCTGACTGAGCCCACCACTGAAGGCCCCCTGACTATGGGGCCAAATGAGGTTCTCTTTTCCCTGAACCACATGGAGGTGGCTTGTCTGTGGTGTTACAAGTGGTTCAGACTGGCTAGTGTAACACAGAGATTCTGAGAACCTTGTGGGAAGGGCCCTGTAATGAGTTATCGGAGGACTTTGGTGCTTTAGGGACAGAGAGGTTGCTTGTGGCATAGTCTTGGATGTACAGATTAGGTACAGCATCTTGGGAAGAAGAGATAGGGAAAGATGCAAGGAAGGAAATGAAATGCATATTTATTATGCACCTACCATAAGCTGGATGTTTCCCAATATGCTATCTTTTTTAATCCCCACAAAACTCAGAGGACCTCTAAGATACAATATACTCATTTTACAGGCAAGGTTATTGAAGATCACACAGGCTGAAGAAGGGCTGCTGAATTCTTCAATATGAACCATCCCTTTGATAAGAAACTGAGTGGGCCTGGTTCTTCTCATCCCAGGAGAGCTCTGGTGTGCTTCCTGGCATATAAGTGAGTGGGAAAGGCTCTGCCAGTCCCCAGTCCCCCACCCCTCTTGCCACTCAGCCTCAATCTGTCAACCAGGCCAGCTAGCCCGTCTATTAATGCTGACATTGATTTGGATCAATCAAGATCCCATAATTACTGGGAGTTTTAATCAACTCATGCCAATTCAGCTGCCGCTCAATTTGTGCTGGACTTCGGTGCTCACAAGGAGGGAAGCGGCGAGGGTGGGGTGGGGCGGGGGGAGGGCATGCAAAAAGGATTACAGGGATCAATAGTCCTTGGTAATGAAGGACAGCAGCTGCAGGCACCACCAGGGGGCCTGAGACTTCAGAGTGGAGGAGACAGAGCCTGCCCCCATCCCCCAGGAGAGCTCCCTGGCAGAGAATGAAAACCACGCCCCTGCTTCACCTCTGCCTACACCTGGATCTGGAAACCACTTAGGCACTACCAGGCAGCACCTGTTCTCTGCAGGGTCCAACCCTCAGTATCTCTCTCCACATTTTGCCCTCAGCCAGGCCTGGCCTCCTCTTCCTGAAGAATCTTATGTATCCTTCAGAGCCAGCAATCCCATTACTGGGTATACATCCAAAAGAAAATAAATCGTTCTACCAAAAAGACACACGCAACCGTGTGTTCATTGTTGCCCTATTCACAATAGCAAAGACATGGACTCAACCTGTGCCCATCAACTGGTGGATTGGATTTAAAAAAATGTGGTGTGTATACACTTGAAATACTATGCAGCCATAAAAAAATCATGTCCTTTGCAGCAATATGGATGCAGCTGGAGGCCATTATCCTAAGCTAATTAACACAGGAAGAGAAAACTAAATACCGCATGTTCTCACTTATAAGTGGGAGCTAGGACGGGCGTGGTGGCTCATGCCTGTAATCCCAGTGCTTTGGGAGGCCAAGGTGGATAGATCACCTCAGGTCAGGAGTTTGAGATCAGCCTGGCCAACATGGTGAAACCCCATCTCTACTAAAAATACAACAAATTAGCCAGGGGTGGTGGCGGGCACCTGTAATCTCAGGTACTCGGGAGGGTGATGGGGGAGAATTGCTTGAACTCGGGAGGCAGATGTTGCAGTGAGCCAAGATCGTACCATTGCATTCCAGCCTGGGCAACATGAGCAAAACTCTGTCTCAAAAAAAAAAAAAAAAAGTGGGAGCTATATATTGGGTACTTATGGACATTAAAATGGCAATAATAGACACTGGGGACTACCAGATGGGGGAAGGAGGCAGGGAGGTGAAAGGGAAGAAACAGGTGCAAGGATTAAAAAACTACTTATTGGGCACTACGCTTAGTACCTGAGTGATGGGATCAATTGTACTGCAAACCTCAGAATCACACAATATATCCAGGTAACAAACCTGCACATGTACCCTCTGAAGCTAAAATAAATGTTGAAATTATTTTTTAATCAAATTTTAAAAAACTCTGTAAATTATTTCTCAGCAGTCTCTGTGGTTATGTTCCTGAGTTCAAAAAGCAGAAGAATGCTGAGGAGACAAAAAAATAAAAATAAGATTAATCCAGATACTGTCATTTCCTAGCTGTGTGACTTCAGGCAAGTCACTGCACTTTTCTGGTCCTGTTTTTCCTGTTCTAAAATAGACTCAATAATAAATAACCGCCTCCTGGGATTGCTGGGAACATTGAGTGCTGTCACGAATGAAAAATCCTTGTGTGGAAGTTCCTTCTTCCTTTTGATGTCCCACATCAGAAAGAATCAGTTTTCTTTTTCTCCCATGTTCATTATTCTTCTCCTAGCACAAGCTTTATTCTGCCAGGTGGGACGGTTTCTGGGTCACAGTCTGTTTCCCTACGAGTCCACAGCTATTTGGGGACAGGGACTGTAATACACACAGCTTCCTTTTCTCAGTCCAGCACGTGGGAGGGAGACAAGCCAGTATGCAAGGCAAATGTGGCCTTTGGGGTCAAGCAAGCTTGGGCTTGAATCCCACCTGTCTTTGCCACTTACTAACCATGTAATGTTAGCCAGTCACTTCGTTAACATTTGAACCTCAACTTCCTCAAAGTAAAATGAGCCTAATTACACCTACTCAGAATTGCTACGGAGGAAAAAAAAAAAAACAAAAAGTTAGACATTTAATGTCCCTAACATAGTATCTAGCACAATGGTAAGATCCTGATTGTTATAAAAGTTGCTATTATGATTATTATCACTCTTAATATTCAGTGCTCAGTAAATATTTTTGGAATGTAATAAAATGTCTGGTTGTATTGCTTAGTTTTGGCTTGAGTTCCAATGAAATACCAACAGGCCATTATCCCCACATGCCAGCCATCTGTGCAGCCTTCAACACACACTTACTGAAGACACCAGAAAGGAAATTCAAATGCTTTCAGGACACACTGTGGGCCAGGCACTATAGGAAGTGTTTTCCTTATACTGCTTTGCTGAAGGCCCACACTTCTATGAGATTGCTGTTATTGCTGTTATTAGCTTGATGTCTGCAGAAGAGAAAACTGAGGCTTTGTGGCTGGATATGTCTTTCCTTGTAGTTCTAGCAGAACCAGGGTGCAAACATGGGGGCGTTTGACTCCAGGCCCCTGCTCTCTCCACTGTACCATACCATTCTTTCTTTTTTTTGAGACGGAGTCTCACTGTGTTGCCCAGGCTGGAGTGTGGTGGTGCGATCTCGGCTCAATGCAAGCTCCACCTCCCGGGTTCACGCCATTCTCCCGCCTCAGCCTCCCGAGTAGCTGGGACTACAGGCGCCTGCCACCATGCCTGGCTAATTTTGTTTCTCTTATTTTTAGTAGAGACGGGGTTTCACCGTGTTAACCAGGATGGTCTCGGTCTCCTGACCTCGTGATCCGCCCGCCTCGGCCTCCCAAACGTACCATTCCTTTCTTGTGGAGGCACCAAGAAGTAGAAAATGTGAGAGTTCCCGACTTCAGGAAGAATCTAGACCAATGGTAGAGATCAGGTAAATTCCCAGAGGGAGAAAAGTCATAGTTCAAAATGGCTTATGATAAAAAATGTGCCAAACAACAAAAAACAACCTGATTAAAACATGGGCAAAAGACTTGAATAGACATTTCTCTAAAAATGATATACAAACAGCCAATTGGCACATGAAAAGATGACCAAAATGATTAGTGAATCATTAGCGAAATGCAAATCGAAACTACCTCACCCTCATTAGGATGGCTGTTACCAAAAATTCAGAAAATAATGAGTGTTGGTGAAGATGTGGAGAAATTGGAGCCCTTGCACACTCTTGATAGGATTGTAAAATGGTGCAGCTGCTATGAAAAACAGTATGGAGGTTCCTCAAGAAATTAAAAATAGAACTACCATATGATCTAGCAATTGCACTTCTGGATATATATCCAAAAGCCCTGAAAATAAAATCCTAAAGAGATATTTATACACCCTTATTCATAGCATTGTCATTCATAATAGCCTAAAAGGTAGGAACAACCAATGTTCATTGACAGATACATATACACACACAATGGAATATTATTCAGCCTTAGAAAGGAAGGCAATTCTGACACACGCTGCAGCATGGATGAACCCTGAGGACATTATGCTAAGTGAAATAAGCCAGTCACAAAAAGACAAATACTATATGACTCTATTTATATGAGGTGCTTATAGCAGTCAAATTCACAGAGATGGAAAGCAGAATGGTGGTTGCCAGGGGCTGGGGGAAGGGAGAATGAGGAATTATTTAATGGGTATAGAGTTTCAGTTTTGAGAGATAAGTGCTGTAGATTGGGTGTACAACAATGTGAATTTGCATCACGCTACCAAACTGTTCACTTCAAATGCTTAAGGAGATAAATTTTATGTTATGCATATCTTATCACAATTAAAACAATTTTAAAAATGTATTTTAATAAAAGGGAAGCAGAGAGTGAAAGGCATAATGGTTCCTAACTTCAAAGAAAATCTAGACCAACTGGAGGGACCGGATCAACCCCAAGAGAGAGATAAGCCATGTTTCAGGATGGTTTCTGATCAAGAGCAGTGCTGCAATGACAGCATGCTACTGCGTGGCTGGGTTTGCTCACACACACTGATCACAGCTAATTATCTGAATATATGCTGGCTACTTTTCCCATTAGAGGAGTCCCACGTAATTAGGGGACACAGGTTACCATCCTTGCTTTGGGCACATCCCTGCCCTTCTCTGGCCGTCAATCTTCCTAACTGTCCAGTGAGAAAAGTGGTAGCTGGTCCGTAAGGGGTCTCCCATCTTGGACATTCTATGGTTCTCTGCCAGTGGTCAATAGGAATTCCAAGGGAGGTAGGTTCTCGCAGTAGGCAGCACCTGCTCTAGTGCAAGTGGCTTGGGAACATGCTTGAAGCTTTCCCCTACAGCCTCTTAAAATGGCTGGTCAACCTTTTGGTGGCAGTCGCGAAGCCTTCTGCACACAGCAAGGGTTCAGTTCAACAAATGCCTATTCAGAACCTGCTGTCTTCCAGGAATTATAAAGCCTTAGCTTCATTCTCAAAAAAAAAAAAAAAAAAACAAAAAACAAAAAACAAAAAACAAAAAAAAACATATATTCTAATGGGGGGAGAAAAGTAAGTAAGCACATTCTTATAGTTCTCAAGGTTTTGTTTTGTTTTGTTTTTTGAGATGGAGTCTTGCTCTGTCACCAGACTGGAGTGCAGTGGCACAATCTCGGCTCACTGCAACCTCTGCCTCCCTGGTTCAAGTGATTCTCCTGCCTCAGCCTCCCAAGTAGCTGGGACTACAGGCACACACCACCATGCCCAGCTAATTTTTGTATTTTTAGTAGAGACGGCGTTTCACTATGTTGGCCAGGATGGTCTCAATCTCTTGACCTTGTGATCTACCCGCCTTTGCCTCCCAAAGTGCTGGGATTACAGGCATGAGCCACCGTGCCCAGCTGAGGATTTTTATAAGCACCAAGGGCTGAGGCAAGGGAGGCCAGGGAACACTTTCCTAGGAAAATCTGCCAAGACTCCTGAGGAATGTCTATTCAATACCTATCTGGTGATGATAATAAATAGCCTTTGTGTAGCTCATTAATAATAATAATAGCTAACACTTAATGGCACTTATCATGTGCCAGGCACTGTTTCGATGTGTTTTGAATATTAACTCATTATGTGCACAGCCTGATGGTATAGGAACTACTAGTCTACTCATTTTACAGAGAGGGAAACTATGGCACAGACAGCTTTAGGAACTTGTCCCAAGGAAACAAGGCAAGTGAGTGGCACAGCCAGGATCTGAAGCCACACTACGCTGCCTTTTACAATGTGTTAAGCTTTCTAAGTTACTTCCTCATCTGTTATATTTTTCTAGCCTCATGGAGAGAGGTGCTGACGCCATTTGGAAGAATAATATCCTGAGGTGCAGAGATGTAAGAGAACTTCCCAAGATCATACAGTGATTAGATGTGGGGCGGGACAGAGGCTCCACTCAGGTCTGCACTGCTACAAAGCTGTACCCTCTGGGCTGATGGCATGGCTCAGTGAAGGAGCTCTCTCTGTTCCCAAGGCAGAGGCTCTAACTGTCTTCACCTGGGTTCAAGGCGCTGGGAGGAAAATGAACATCTGTTGTGTACCCCCCATACACCAGACACACTGCTAGGCTATGCTAATTTATGAAATCTTCCCAACAACCCAGAAAAGAATGCACCATTATTTTCACCACTCACAGATGGAAAACAGGCTTGGAGAGGGAAGATGACTTGCTTCAGGTCCTCACCATAGATGCTTGGATGTCTTTCTGTTTTCAGAAGCCTCATGTCCTATTACTTCTCTGAGTAGCACAGAGCCGAGGGAATTTTGCTACAGATCAAGTGCAGGGAGGTATTTGGGGAAAATAGCTTATTGTGACATTGCCTGAGCACTTGACTATGAAACCAGGTCTCCTCCTAAGAGCATTGAATGTGCATTAACTCATTCCCTCCTCAAAGCAAACCTATGTGGCAAACACCAAACACCAATATCATGCCCACTTAACAGATGGAGAATCTGAAGCGCAGCACGAAGAGGTGTATTAACTTGATGAAGGTCACACGGCCAGTAAGTGGTGGAGCCAGGAAGCCTGGCACCTGAGTCTCTTTTCTTAGCCCTTCCGCAATACTTCCTCATACAACAACCATGTAAGGTAGTGTGACATAGGAAAAACAAACTCAGTTTCTCCTGTGATACCCTCTCACCACACAATCAACACAGAACACTTCTGTGACCTCTGGTCACCAAGAAGTGTGTGGCAATTTCTCTCTGGCAGCAACCAGTTCTCTGGGAGATCTTTCAGCAGACACCAGCTGGGTGTCCTCTAATTCAGTTCAATTTTGACACTATCTAACTGGAGATGGTGTCAGATCCCACAGGTTGAGTACTCAGTCCCATAAGACTGCCTCCAATTTCCACTGCCAATTCCAAGCCCCAGGTTATTAAACCTGTGCTTCTGATGACCAGCTATAAATCAGGGTTCCCACAATCCCTTCCTTGGGTTTCATGAACTTGCTACAGCAGCTCACAGAACTCAGGGAAATACTTATGTTCCCTGGTTTATTATAAAGGATATACCAATTATCACCAGATGGAAAAGTTGCACAGGGCAAATAATGTGGGAAGAGGCACGGAGTTTCCATGCCCTGTCTGAGCACATCGTCCTCCAGGAACCCCCATGTGTTCTACTCTCTGGAAACTCTTGAACCTAGTCCTTTTGGATTTTTATGCACACTTCAATACTTAGACAGCATTGATTAAATCATTGGCCACTGGTGATCAACTTAACCTTTAAGCCCTTCTCCCCAGTTCAGAGGTTGGGGGTGGGGCTAAAAGTCCCAACCCTCTAATCTTGTCTTGGCCTTTCCTGTGACCAGCCCTCACCCTGAAGCTACCTAAGGGTGGATAGCCATCAGTCAACTCATTAGTATACAAAAGACACTTATCACTTTAATGATAACAAGAATTTTAGAAGTTATATGCCCAGAAACAGGGATAAACACCAATATATATTAATTTGCAGGTACTATTATTTCACCCTTTTTTTGAATACTGGGAGATTAAGACTTAAAGAGGTTTAAAGCAACTTGTCTCATTACAGAGGAAGGGATCGAGACAGGATTTGAACCTGTACAGCTTGATACCAAATAACTTGTGCCTAGCAGTGAGTTACTTATTCAGGGGTCAGGGCCAGGCCTTCATTAGGGCAGGCTGGACATACGGACTTTTCCATGCTGCTAGGTTTAACAGGCTGGTATCGCTTCCCCATCTCTTGTCACTAAAAACTCAATTAGCAGCTTGAGGCTGTGTCCTCACATCACACCTTCTCATTGATCACTCAGACTGTGAGTGAGAAAGATTTTAAAGCTGGTTGGCTTTGCAAAGCATAGAGCAGCAACCATTGAGCATATGCTTCTGTGGGTATATATTTATTCAGCTTATGTTGAGTATAATTTTGGATGGTATGCATATTTTATTTTTTGTTGCAGAGAGCAATTTAAAAGAAGAAAAAAAATCCTTCTCTGAATGGAGACAGATGCCATATATGTTGGACCCTCAGGGGATTGAAAAGGATGAGGTTCCCAAGTCCAGTGTTCTGGGGACGGACGTGGGTGGAAGGAAACTCACAAGTGATGGGAATCCAGGATCAACTGCAACACCCACAGCAAGGCCAGCAAGGCACTAACCACCCAGTCCAGGGCAGGGCCCTTCAAGGTTTTATTCCCAAGGCCTCCCCAGTAGCCTGTCTGACTGTTCTCTACATGCTATTTACTGAGTACTAAATATTGAGTGATGGGTGAAGTGCACATCATCCCCCTTAACTTTCCCCACAACTCCATGTTGAGATGCTGTTGTACATATGAGAACACAGATACTACATTGCCCAATGTCATCAACTAGAACAGCAGGAATCTGTGTGCTGGGAAGCCAGACCCCAGAACCAGTGCTCTCAAATCCCCACCAATGTCATCTAGTGGTTACTGGAGTCCTTATTTTGGAGTCCTGATATCCATGCTACCAATTCCTATCTGAGTGACAATGAACATGTCACTTCCCTTTCTGAGTTGGCTTCCACACTCACAGGATGGAGACTGAGATACCATTTTGCTAGGGTGTTATCAAGATTCAGAGATCCAAAGTTACACTTAAAAGTCATTTGAGACATTTGTTCTTTTTTTCTACCCCACCCCCTGCCTAAAAGGTTCTCCTCTTACCCAGGATGAACTCAAGATGTAACATTTTAAAATGAGCCTTAGGAAAAAACCTGCAAGGGTTGGTACCAGCTGGAGAAAAATAAATACGCTCATGTGGGTGCCAAAGATTCAAAAGAGAGAAGCAGCAGCCCAAACCAGAGTCTACACCAGAGGGAATCATTATGGAAGGAGAAAGTTCATCCTATCATTGTGCAGAAAGGAAGGATCCATGTGTGACTCTAGGGAGTAGGATCCAAAGCATCATTTTCTAGCTCTGTAAATAGACTATGGACTCTTTGCTAGTTAGGACACAGTATCTTTCTAATGTTAGGGCCCAGAAGAGGGTCTTACACAGCAGTACTTAGTTGTTGAGCTCTGAATGCAGCTAAAATTCAACTGTGGGTTGTCTAATAACCAGTTTTTGCTTCAACCAAAGGCAAGTTTGATCTAGTTTGATAAGATGTGCTAGATGCTGGAGAATCCATTACCAACAGTCAAGAATCACATAAAAGAGCTGCTCTATGCATACCTAAGTGGGAAAACTGTAAAAAAAACATGATTAGCATAAAAGACAGGGTCTTGGCCACTTCCAGAAGGGAGGACAGGGTTACAATTGGAAATGGAGGCATGGTGGGTGTGTTGGGGGAGGGCTTATGGAATGCAGGCAATATTCTATTTCTTGACATGGGTGATGGTTTAGGTGAGAATTGCTTAATTCGTATCAAAACTGTAAATAATGTTTTACATATTTTTCTATATATTATATTGCACAGTAAAATTGCTAAACATCTATCTATCTATCTATCTATCTATCTATCTATCTATCTATCTAGTTATCTATCTATCTTATAGTAAATCTACTAAAAGGACATGTCAAAATGTTAGTAGTAGCTATTTGGAGGTGACATGACTATGGGTGATATTGTTCTTTATTTTTTCTCTATATGTCCTAAATATTCTTGTATGTGCATATAATAATTTCATAATTAAAAAAAAACACGTTTTAGTTGAATTGCTTCATTACCTAAATAAGGCAACAACAAAAACGTGAAGGTCAGTTCCACCACTTCTGCCTGAAATTCCTCCAATGGAGAACCTCATCTTCTCCCTAAGGTTCAATGTGCATGAAAGAACAGCTCTGCAGAGTAAGTTGAGGGGTGCCAAATCCCACTGGCTCTTATATAGGCCTATCTGCAGTGTCTTCCCCCTCTGGAACCAAGTACATCTTTGACTTAGGTACTGTGGCGGGAAAGGGAGATGCCCCAGAGAGAATCAAGTTTAACTCTGAATTTGTAGGAAGGACAGGAGCATAGCTGAGGATTCACAGTAAACAGAGTCATGTTGAGAAACAGGGTCCCTTCATCACCTCGGACTGTATTATCCCCATGATCATGGGCCTGAAAAATCACCTTTCCCTTTCAGTGATGATGAAGAAAATTTCTGAAAACCAAGGAAAGCCAGAAAAGGCTACTAAGTTTCCTAGCTCAACAAGCTCCTCTCTACACAATAGGACCTGATCTTAGGAAGGGAGGCCATGGCCCTGGGTTTTGCTCATGCCTGGCTACTTTCACTGGGTCCGGCCAACAATATTGTAAGGTGCAGGGATCATTCCCATTTTATGGATCAGATTAGAGGGGCTCAGATACATTCAGCAATTTGTCCAAAGTCACACAGCTTCCCAGTTACAGGGATGGGATTTGAATCCAACTCTGAATTATGGACAAGTCTATTCTTTTTACTGGACTGGAATTCTGATTAACTAGCCCATCTCTCTCTAGGAACGTCTGTCACTCAGTTCGGGTAGAATTTTCTCAATGAGGAGAAAGGCTATTGAGTGTTTGATGAAACCTTCTCACTGTTTGCTCCCTCAAGGGAAAGGGATTTCAAAATACCTGGGCTAGTGGGTCAAGACTTCTTAAAGCAGGGATCAGAGAGAAGCTGGAGAATACAGGCAAAAGGATACCTTTATTATTTGTAAAATTTAATAACAATAATAATAATGTCATTTGTCATCCATTTATCCTCAAGACCTATGATAAAAGACAAAAGAATGATGATAAAAATAAAAGCATGTTATCCTGGGTGGAAGAGAGTCCTACACTGGAATTTCAGACACCTGGGTTCTATCCAAGCATAGCTCTTGTGCTCTTTAGCCTCAATTTGATCATCTTTATTTATTACCCAAGGGGAAAATACACACACACACACACACACACACACACACACACACACACGGTTAAGATCAAGCTAGGAAGTCAGTTGTCCTAAAAAGAAAAAAAAATTGGAAAAGCTCTAGGAAAAGCAGAATGTGTAGTTCTGACTTAGAAAATTGTCCCGAAGAAACACAACTGTATGCTTTTTATGCTTCCATTTTTAAAATTACATATATAAATTCTTATTTATATTTGCATATGCATAGGGAAGAAGTGTATGGAAGGATATGTATCTATCTATATATACACCAAACCGTGGCACATTTATCTAAAGTGGGTGAGTAGTTAAGAAAGGGGGCCTTGAGTTTTTTTCTTTATACATTTCAACACTGTACAAATTTATTTTATTTTATAATGAGAATGAGCTACTTTTAGAAAACCAAAAAAAATTTTTAAAGGAAGATTGATGATCAGATGGAGAAAATACCTTATGAATGCAAAAATTCTATTATTATAATTAAGATGAACACAATTATTCCAGCTTTTCGTTTCAGAGCTAAGGAGAAGGTGTCTGATGATCAGCATTCTGATGCCTCAGGAGACACTCACTGGTGCTTGGCACAACCACTAAAAGTTCTGTAGTCATGGCTTCTGACCTCCTCAAACCCTCAAGGAGACAGCAGACCCACGGCCTCATTTACTCTCCTCTGCATTGCCTCTTGTATCTGGACCCTCTCTCACAGACACAGTGCACACCTCACTGGACTCCACTCCCACATGTACTACATTTATTTTATCACTCTCCTGATCAGAGACCCTTTAGGCCAAATACCCTAGCCCGCCCTTGGGCTGCACTCTGAAAGAAAAGCAGCACCTAAAACAGTGTGGAGCACCAGATGCTCTATTGCTCCTTTTGAAAAAATCCATCCCACACCTTCACCCAAATCATGAAACACTAATACAATTTGAAAACTGTCCTTACAGACTTCTGGGAATCTCTTCTAAAGAAACAGCTCAAAACACAGAAGGTGGCTTCTGCCCAAAGGTGCTCAGAGCAGCACGGTTTATAATAGACTAAATCTGGAAGCAATCAACATGTCCAACCAGAAGACAAAGCAAATGCTGGGATGTTCCCCTTCATGAAATATTAGGCAATATTAGTGATATATATGAATTTGTCCTGGTTAAGGGTTTTGTTATCAACCTGCTTTGGCCCAATTTGGCCCGAATTCCCTGCTCTAGAACTGAGTAGCTTTGTGGTCCTGAGCAAATTACCTAAGTTTTCTCTGGCTCAGTTTTCCCATCTGTAAGAAAAGGGATAATAATGAGATCCACCTCAGAAGCCTTGAATCATAGCAAGCATTCAAACAATTTTAGCTCTCATCATTGCCACCACCACCATACTCAACCCTGCATGAGATATCAGATAATAATAATAGCAACCATGTTTTGTGCCTGCTTAGGGCCATGTTCTAGCCCATTGCGTATGCATTCTCAGTTAGTCCTAACAGCAGCTTTGGCAGGCATAAGTAGTATTATCCCCATTTTACTCAACAGGAACCCAAGGCTAAGAGGCTTTAAGTAACTTTTCCCAAAGTCACATGGCTAGTGAATGACAAGGTAAGATTTTGGCCCAGGTTTCTCTGATGCTAAAAACTGTGTACTTAAGCACTATAGTGTCTTCCCAAAAGTAGGGGATGGTAGTGGGAGATGGTAGTGGGAGCAGTGATTTATGCAGGGCTTGCAGACAACAGTTGGGAAAACTAGGAGTGCAGCTTCCATTTCCTGCCTCCAATTTGGGGCTTCCTTCTCTCTTTTTTTTTTTTTTTTTTTGAGACAAGTCTCCCTCTGTCCCCCAGGCTGGAGTGCAGTGGCACCATCTTGGCTCACTGCAAGCTCCGCCTCCCGGGTTCACGCCATTCTCCTGCCTCAGCCTCCTGAGTAGCTGGGACTATAGGAGCCTGCCACCACGCTCTGCTAATTTTTTTGTATTTTTAGTAGAGACAGGGTTTCACCATGTTGGCCAGGATGGTCTCGAACTCCTGACCTTGTGATCCGCCTACCTCGGCCTCCCAAAGTGCTAGGATTACAGGTTTGAGCCACCGCGCCCGGCCTCCCTTCTCATTATTCCCCCCCCACCATTATTTCAGGAATCAAAGGGTAAAACCCATCACTTTGGAAAAAGGGGGGCTGCTTCCTGACTTTAACAGATAATGACTTCCACACAATAAAACCAGCTTACCAGAAATACCATCAGACCCAGCAAATCCAAGTCCCAACGAAATAAAATAAGGGGAAAAATAGAGAAGGCTTCAAATGTCATGAGAAGAAAAAAATATTTAATGTCATAAAAGGGTGCATAGGCTTTATGAGAATGCCACACACAATAATCTTGGAAACCCTATTACCCCACCTACCCACCCAGCCTGCTCCAAATTCATAAAGGAAAGATGCAAATGCACTGATTGGAAAGATGCAAATGCTCCTGATTGAGGAGCTACTCCCTCCTTTTCATTTCCCAAACTTTGAGTCCTGTGTGCAGGCATTGAATCAGTGGACACAGTACAGTTCCAATTCCCTTCTTTACTGGCTATTCTTATGTCCTTTTCCAATACAGTTCCAATTTCCTTCTTTACTGACTATTCCTATGTCCTTTTCCAATACTTAGCCTCTTTAGCTTCCTCTGGATCTCTTGGATGCAGTGGAGGAGAAATAAATACTGGACATTGATAGAGGGTAAAGAGAAGAAAGTGCCCCTCTCTTCATGCTTCCTGACATTGGGGACATTCGCCTTATCCCTAGGGAACTATTCTCAGCCTTGGGAGGGTGTCTTCTGATGAATTAAGAGAATGAGCTTTGGAGTTTGACAGAGTTTGGAGTTTCCTCTGCCTTTACCTGGCTGGTTGGATTTGGGCAAGTTTCTCATACTTTCTGACTCTATTTCCTCATGGATAAAATGGGAGTAATAATAATGCTTTCCTTATAAGGTAGCTGTGAGGATTTCCAGGGCCAGGCACATAATTAGTACTGAAATGTTCTCTCTATATATCCGTATCAGTAATACTAGGCCTGATATTATTTATAGCATTTATTCATTTATTTTTTAGTAGCTTTAATAATATTAGGCCTAGTATTACTGATCAAGGTATTCAATACATATAGAGAATTCTCTGTCTGTGAACCTATTTGACTAGAGGATACTTTGATGAAGACACCATGGGGGCGATATGTCATCCTGTAAATCCTGTTTTGCAACCCAAGAGCCTGAAGTTATTCCCATAAAGACACCTGCCTGCTGCCTTTGCATCTTTCTAATAATTTTTAAAAAGAAAAATAGGGCAACCATCAGTCCTCTCATTTTGGATTTTGGCAAAATCTGTCTCAGTTGTCTTCTGAATCTATCATACCCCATGTGGCTGATCTACAGGGATAAATTTAGCTTTGAAAGTCCATTTCTGGAAAGGAAAAACAAGTCTCCAAGGGCTAGATCCCATGGAGGCTCAGCCCAGCTGCACCGTGTAGGAGGGTTACATGCCCAGGCAGGCAGGGCTGGGCTTTCCCTGGTCAGCAGTGCCTGGGCTGTGCTCCAAGGTGATTTCTCACTCTGCTGACTCTTCTTGCTAGTCTTCCCCACCCCTCTTGAGTTTTGTTCCTTTAATTACACTGCAATTGAGTCATTAAGAGGGGGAAAGGATGAGGAATGGAGAAAAGCCGGTCTCTCTCCCCTACTGAACCAGATTCCAGCTTTTGCCTCCCTCTGAGCAGTGCTATAAGGTTCCTGGCCTATACTAAATGGAAATCCATATGTTTATTCATCTTGACTTTTAGAAAGGCAGCTCTTGTTGTTGTCTCTCAGCACCTGTGCAATCAGGGATCCTATGATCTTTCCTAATATCTGGCAGGCCAGATGGTTTTTTAGATCAAAATGAAAAAAGAAAAAGATGGGGCAGAGGCGGCAGAAATGTGACTGGGTGATTTGTAGGGTTGAGGAGTGTGGGATTGGTTTGAGATTGTTCTAGAATTCAGAGCCAGGGCTAAGAACTGACCACAGAGGCTCCTCCTGAAAGACACCATCACTCTAAGACCCAGCGAGTATGCAAATCCTTCCACTTCCCTTAGTCCTTTCTATGAAGGCCTTGACTATTCGATGTTGCCCCTCCTTTCTATCCTTTCCCATTATTTTTCTCCACATATCCCAGTTTCCTACCAGATAGTTTCATTTTTCTCATGTGTGAAGTGAAGGTAATAATAATATCTGGCTCATATTATTACTGTGAGCATAAGGTTGGTTAAAAGAAGCAAAGCACTTAGAACCGTGCTTGGAACAGTCTTTGTATGGATAGTTGCTTTTATATTACTAGCTTTTCTTTTTTGTAAAATGGACATGATAGTTCCGGGTAGGTGATAATTATAGGCATTAATTGCCATGAACATAGGCAAAATAACACATAGTAGGTGCCCAGTGAGTGCCAGTTCTCTCGTATGACCACTCTTTTCTCTGCAATATTCACACCAATCCTCTTAGAGAATTTTCACACAGAGAAACAAAGTGGTTTGTTCAAGATTATGCTGCAATCCTGCTGAAGTCTGTCTTGTCTTCTGAAGGGGCTTATAAAACAAGGCTTAACTCTTGTGGTGTTTTGCTCCTGGTCCATTCACAGTGCTGGATACAGGAATGTTGCGAAATAAATAATTATACTATATAGTGACAAAGCTGATGCTATGGGGCCATTAGGTGTTGGAATGTGAAACTGGAAGGGAGTCTTGGAATTAAATCTAGGTTGTATTACTACCTCCCTACATGAACTTGAGCAATTTCCGTATCTTTCTAGGCCTTTGTTTTTCTGTTTGTATAATGGGAGAGGGTCCTTTCTGGCTCTGGTAGCCCTTGTCTGTCTCCATGCAATGGGTAAATGGGTAGATTAAAGATGATCACACATTCTTTGCTACTCTTCGCATTGACAGGTGAAATCTAGCTCTTTCCCCCTTGAATCTGGGCTGACCTTATTGACCTGCTTGACCAATAGAATGTGGTAGAAATGATGTTCTGAGACTTCTGAGGCTGGGGACTAAGAAGCCTTGCAGCTTCTGCCTAGGCACTTAGAACGCTGGATCTTGGGATGGTCCCTTGGTAAGCCCAGGTTCCATGATGTGAGAAGCCCAAGCCAAATGGGGAGCCCAAGAAAAAATCCTCTATCCAGTTGACAGCCCCAGCTCAGGTCCAGCATAGCCAGTGTCAACCACCAATGGTGCCAGTCCTAGCCCCAGACAGGTAATAAAGGAACCCTTCTGCAAATGACTCCCCAGTCCCAGATGCCCCATCTGTCTTTGATCAGAGACAAACCAGCTGCACCCTCCACATAGTCCTGATTCACAAATCTATAGACAAAACAAGAGTGTGTGAAGCTACTGAGTTTTGGGGTAGTTTGTTATAAAACAATAGAAAGCTGGAACCAGGAAAGTGAGCTATGAACTGATACTTCAAAAAGGGTTAAGGAGGACGCATTGTGTTTACCAGATTGTCTGGTGTTGGGTTAATCAAAAGGCTTCCTGTGCTGGGAAAACCAGAAAAACATAAAAGAATGGCATTAGTGAAGTGCGTCAGGGGGCAGCAGTTACTTAGAGATGGTGGTGGAAGTGTCCTCCATACGATGCTGTGATTAAGTGCTTACAGTTTTCTTTGTTTTTATTCTCTATCTTGATTAAAATTTTGCAGTGTTTATACTGCCACACAGAATAAATGGACCCATAGCTTACATTTCAAACTGTGCCTTGCTGACATCATTATGTTTGTCAGATTTATAACATTTCTAATATACAACAATTTTTCACTCTTGGAACACTGAAGGGGAACACAGGCTCCCTCTCTTTTCTGATGTTTCATTCACTGTTACTTCCTCTATCACTGGTCAAGGGATATGGTCTCCTTGGAAATAACTGAAAACAAAAATAATAGCATAATTATTTATATATTATTTACTGTATCACCCTCCTCATATGATCTTTTACCTGTTATCAGTATTTTATTGCTATTGTAGCAAATTACTATGCAATTGGTGGTTTAAAGTAACGCAAATTTATTATCTCACAGTTCTACAATTTAAAAGTCTAACTTGGGTCTCAATGGGCTAAAATTTAGGTGTTGGCAGGGTTGCATTCCTTTCTGGAGGTTCCAGAGGTAAGTCTTTCTCTTTGCTTTTCCAGCTTCTAAACACCACTTCTCTTCCTTAGCATGTAACTCTCTTCCTCCAACTTCACAGCTGGCAACGCTGCCTCTCTCTACCCCACTCCTCTGCTTTCCTGAGCACACTCTGATAATTCAAGATATTCTCGCTCTTTTAAGGTCAGCTAATTAGTCATCTTAATTCCTTACGCAAATTTAAATCCTGGTTCTGTCATGAAAGGTAACATACCAGTCACAGGTTCTGGGAATTAGGATGTGGACATCTTTGCAGGGGCCATTATTTTGCCTACTACACATCTTATGGCCATCCTCCAATTGGCCAATTACCTATATGAGAAACATATTATCCAAAGGGAAGGTTACCACAGCAGAACCAGAAAGCTGAGCAAAAATATGTCAGATTTTTTAAATCTTGTGTTTCAAAAGTTGAGGTCTAGAAGGTAGAGCTATTTTAGAAGGTAAAATAATAATCATCATTATAATGACAATAATAAAGCAATAGAAGCATCTGTGATCTGTTAGAGAATTACCTTCCCTTGTATCCACAAAGAAGTAAAGGTCATCTGAGCTGGTGGAAGACAGGAATGTTGGAAGTCAAACAAAGTAATCTAGAAAATGCTAATGAGTGTTCTAAAAGGGGTCCCATCCTCTATCCT
The DNA here is from genome assembly GCF_000001405.40 of Homo sapiens. NCBI lineage: Eukaryota > Metazoa > Chordata > Mammalia > Primates > Hominidae > Homo > Homo sapiens. The sequence continues at coordinate 116,859,678 of NC_000009.12, forward strand.
TACCAGGCTACGCCCATGAGTGTATGAAGGGGATGAGGGGGTGCAGAATATCAGGTGGGTTTGAGGGCTATGAAGGCAAAGGGGTTCTGGGCGTCACTTGCTATATAGCACAGGTTGACAGCAAGCATGGTGAGTGATCCTCCCCACTGTGAAAACAGCCAACTACAGATCCTTTCCTGGCATGTCTAGATCAAAAGAGCTCTAGACAGCTTTCCTCAGATCCTCCAGGTGGAACTGTTGGACATTTCTCAGGCCCTCTGGAGGCTGGAAAAACTAGCTGACGCACAGAGCCAGCTGGCCTTAAATGACCTTGTGGTGGAATAAAGTGGATGAGGCAGCAGCTGTACTACACACCTGTGAGTCAGGTGGGAATGGAGAGGAAGGAGAGTGATGGACAAGGGCCAAGTGATGCAGCAGGTACCAGATTAAAAAGTGATGGCCCAGCATCAAACATGCCCTTAGCTCCTAGGCCTTACAGGTACATTGGCCCTTTGAGCTAAAATGTTCAGTTAAGAGGTGGGAGGCAGAAAAAAAACTGAAATTGACTAGAGTTAAGTTTCCACTAACAATGGAACAGAAATGAAATGAAATTCAGTTACAGAAACGTAATAGAACATTAGATACGCTGTGCTCCTAAATTTGTGTGGCCCCAAATATATCCACTACATACAAATATCAGTAATGTGGTCTCCTTATCTCACTCATAAATGGTACTTTGTAAATCCCAAATCATTGCCAGTTATATTCTTTGAGCTCTTTCAGTTTTTTGTTTTTGTTTTTAGAAAAATCTGTAAGTACTGTTGCTTCCTTTTGAAAGATTAAGAAACTGATGCTAATGAAGTCAACATAGACTCCAAAGCTATGGTCATTCTAATGCCTAAATCCAGGCTTTAGCCCAATTCACTCAGCCCAGCCTCCTTTCCATGATTCTTCAACGAGAACTCATCTCAGCTCCCAGTGTGGGAAAGCAAGCCAAAGTGGCCCTGGCAGAAGGACTGATAGTGAGACATGGTCTTGGTCCTCCACCCTGCCACCTGGTGGTAAGACCTTGGAAAGTCACTCTGCTTCCTGAGCCTGTTTCCACATTCCTGAGGGAATCTACTGCCCAGGTTTGTTGTGAGGATGAGCTCTTAGCTTGTAGACATGCTTTGAGAATGCTAAAGTATTCTAAAAATATAAGGAATTATCATGTAATACCTGAAGGAATGTCTTAGAAGGTGAGCTATGAGAAGAAGTTTCTCTTTACAGACATGATGGAGAGTCTACAGAGAAATGAAAGGGATTTAAAATCTCAGCATAAACGTGGTATTTCCCTGTCTATTCTGAAGCACAGAGAGGAGCTTGCCTTACATCCATTGAACCTTGAAGTAGTGGTTTTAAAATTACATCCTCAATCTAGAGAGGAGGGTCTTTGACAACTTCATCAGACCGTTGAATCTTCTCTTATCCCCTAGGGAATGAATGTTCTTTCTCTTTCTCTCTCTTTTAATTTTTCCAGTTTATATGAATAAAAGACAAAGAGAGACAAGCCCAAGCTACACACACACACACACACACACACACACACACACACACACACACACACTCCTCTGTATTTGAGGTTTCATTCCTATGGGATATCTATCCTAAAAGAGAAGGAGCTTAATTAATTTGAGAAAAGAGAACTAATGGAAAAGAGGAAAGAGGCAGACAACTTAATCCTTTGAAAAAGGTCAGCCTTACATTCTGGACACAACACAGAACATCCTTTTGAGCTGTTTGTCCACTGGCTGGGTTTCAGACTTCAGCAAATCCTCCTCTCCCCAACTAGCACTTTTCCAATGTGCTATATGAAGGGTTAGGTTTCAATGGTCTGAGGCAGACAGCTGTTGATGTATATCAATCTAGCATCTACAACTCCTGTTGCCAGCACCCCAGTTTTTCTTGAGAGTCTATGCCTTCCCCCATCTCAGGGCCATGCATTTCAGGTGTAGCTGCCTCCTGGTGCAAGCTCCAAGCATGGCTGTCTCTGGGATGAGCCCAGTTAATCCCCCTGACCAGCAATTGGTGCAGGGATAAATGGGCATGAGAACCAAGTTGGCACAATGAGAAGGAATCTGGTGACAGTAGTTGGAGGTACTAGGAAAGAAGTGTTTTTGTCCTGTAGGACTTGCATCCAGCCTGCAGCTGGCCCAAGAATGGCACAGTGCTAAGGAAAGCAGAGCTAAGATAAGGAGGGGGATTCCAATGACATTGCTTGAGTCCTTCAATCCAATTTTCTCCAGACTTCCACTTAAGCCAATGCATTTCCTTCTTCTTTTTTTTTTTTTTTTTGCCTATACTAGTTTGAGTTTAGTTTCTATCACTTGTAATCCTGAGAATTCTAATCACTAAAATTTCTAATTGCCCATTCACATCTGAAGAGCTATTAATCTTTGAGTCTCAGATATAGTTTCATTGCATTATTTCATTCTAGAAGCTTCTTCGTATTGATCTCCTGACCTTTGTCTGTTTCTCAGCTGGTGTGTAGCTGCACTAAGGGCCAAGTGTGTGTTCTGTCTCCCTTGGGTCTTGTTCAGAGAGCCTAGTCCAGAGCAGGATTCCTATCCCTGGTTCTATCCTTCCCTTCTTCTTTCTTTTTTCTTTATTTACTGAGATGGGTACTTCTGGGGTGTTGAGCCGAATCAACAGATTCCCTGGGTTCTCCCTCAGTTTTTTAAGAAACATAAACTGAAAAACCAGTCTGTGCTATAACGTGTCACAGGTGACTTAATAAAGCTAAGTACAGCATACAGTAAAGATACTGTATGGAAAAGAGGGTCACCTGCGGGGAGGGAAAAGGCTTCATAAAGGAGATGTCTCTGGAAAGATGTTCACTTGTTTGCTTCATAGACTTCGAAAGCAATTCTTTCTAGGCAGAGAGAAGGTACAAGAAAAGGTTCTGAGGCATGAAACATGCAGGCAAGTTCATAGAACTCCATCTAATCAGCTCCATTAGGCTGTAGTGTAGATTGAAATGAAGCGATAAGAGATGTGGCTGGAGAAACTGAAAAGGGACCACAGAAAGAAGAGCATTGAATGCCAGGCTGAGTTTAGCCTATGTGGCAATGTTTCCCAAGTGTATTTTCAAGATACCCCAACACACACAAATACACACACACACACACACACACACACACACACACATACACGTTAAAAAGTCAGGCTCCCGGGACCTAATCTCCTCTCTAGAATAAAAGCTTCTAGAGGTAGAACCCTGTATCTTAGGTCATTCTTATAAAACCATCAGTTTTGGCACACCCTTCTAAAGCAACAGGAACCCTCCCGCATCTTCTTGTGTGACCTTGTCCCACGCTAGATACTAAAATTCCAAGCAAACAAGGCTGCCTCTCCCTTCCTTCATGTCTTTGCTTGGCTGTCTCCGCTCTTTCCCTAATGTAAGTTGACTCATCTTTTGAAGCCAAAGCCAAAGCCAAAAGCCAACGTCCCAAGGAAGCCTTCTACGAAACTGAGGTCCCAGCTGAAACTTTCTCTTCCGGACCACACCAAAGCACCTGTCCATACTAGTTACACCTCATTGACATCCCGCCTACTATTGTATTCACAGAGGTAAGGCATGCCCTGTCTTACTCTCAAATGGACTGTAAGCTTCTGAAGGTCAGAAGTTCTCTAAGACCTATTGTGTGGTGGGCACTTAAGTTATAATATCTTGTTTCATTCTTCCAACAATTCCAAGAGGTAGGTTTAATGATCTCACTTTACAGGTGAGGAAACCAAGGTAGGCTGGCATACTGAAGGCCGCAGAGGCAGATAAGGGTAGTGTGGATATGATCCTCCTTACCAGCGTTCCCTCGCAGGGCAGGGCTTCTAGCAGGTGGCCTTAGCCCCTGGGCCACTGCCATGTTCCCGGGCCAATGGGCACTTACCACACATCCCGAGGAATCCACCTGCCGGTCAGACACACACTTGAAGTTGCGAGTGCAGCCCCCATTGTTCCGAGAGCAGTCACGAACTGGCCCGAAGGAAGACAGCAGGTCATTGATGGTTTCAAAGTATGTGGACAGCATCGCTTCTTCCCTTGGAGAGAAAGGGGATGGTTAAACCCCAGAGACATTTGGATCCTTAGATTAAAAAAATAATAATGTGAATTCATTACATTTGAAACCATAACTTACTTATAATCAGGAAAACAATAATAATCAATATTATAAAAAGGAAACAACAACAGGTATACCATCATATGACACGGTGCTTGTCAAGTTGTGATACAGAGAAATGGACCTAGAACTCTATACTCTTTATTTTATTAATACTTATGATTCTTGGAGGTAGTCATGAGATGTGCACTTTACCGTAAGGGAACTAGGCTTAGCAAGGTGAAGTATCTTGCTGAAGGCCAGCAGCTTACAATGTGACCGAAGTGAAGTTTGTATTAACTTCCAGCTGAGTCCAAAGAGAAGGCTCTTCTCACTGCCTAACTCTTAGCTTGCATCCTACCTGTTTCTACAGATTTCAGAGCTCCCTATAGCAACTCTGCAATTGGGCACATCCCTATTATTCCAACTTTGTGAATATAAAATTGAAACCATGAAAGATTGTGGGACTGACTCCAAATCCCACAGTCTATAAATAGCAGAGCCAAGACACAAACGCAGGAGTCTGACCCTCCAGGGCCCTAGATCCTTATTTTTCAGACTATTGTGTATAAGTCACTCCATCAAGACTATCAGCAACAGTTGTTGGAAAGGTCATGGGATTCCAGGGAAATACGTGATTCCTCCCAAATGAGGTTCTCAAAAGATAAGACTAGACTTGATACCATAATCCATGGATCTGCCAACATTTTATGAGATGGAATTCTCTACAATGGAGGATACAGATGGGAGCCTCTGATGCTGTCTTCTGCAGAAAGGGCCCGAAATAAGAGATACATTTGCTCTGGGGTATATGATTCCCATACTTACAGGAGATTTTAAAGAAGCACCATGGGCAGTGAGAAGCGGCACATATCCTTCCCTGGTCTGTGCCTCATGAGGCCCAGAGCTGTGAAGCAAGGGAAATGCCTGCAGCCACACATGAAGCAGGAAGAGGCTAGCAAACACTAGAGGGGGTGTCTCTGCACCATCTTGCATACCTTCTCCCATTCTTCTCCACCTCAGGCTTGGACCAGGTTTGAAACTCCTAATTCATTTCCTGCCTCCAGTCTTATCCCTTCTGTCCCATCTTTCATACTGACTGTCAGTGAACTTGGTAAATCCCAGCTCTAATTAGATACTCCTCTGATCAATAGCTTCCCAGTACTTAGAGAAGAAATATAAATTAGCTTCTCTGGCATTCGGACTTCATAATCTTGCCCCCAGTTACCTGTCCAGCCACATTTACCCTCTCCTCACATCTCTATCCACTAGGCACAGGCCTCGTCTCATTCCCTGAACACAGAATCTCTGAAAACAGGTTCTAAACTGGAAAGTTACATGCAGGAGGTTTATTGCCAAGCCCTCTTGGGAGATGCATCTAAAGATGGTGAGGAAGGGCTGGGCATAGTGGCTCATGCTTGTAATCTCAGCACTTTGGGAGGCCTAGGAAGGAGGCTTGATTGAGCCCAGGAGTTCAAGACCAGCTTAGAAAATGAGGCAAAACCCTGTCTCTACAAACATTTTTTAAATTACCAGGGTTTAGAGGAGCCTGCCTGTGGTCCCAGCTACTCGGGAGGCTGAGGTGAGAGGATCTCTTGAGCTACAGTGAGCCATGATCAAAACACTGTCTCAAAAAAAAAAAAAAAAAAAAAAAAAAAAAAAAAGGCAAGCGAAGAAGGCAGGATTTGGTAAAGAGAGAGACTGATCTACAGTGCGGGTCTAAAGTATCAGTTGTTCCTGCAGGGAGCTCTGGAGCTGAGAAGGCCCTTTATGGATGTCCTGAATTAAAGCAAGGAATCCAGGCCTTTGCATCCCCACAGTAGCCAGTCATTGGTGGGGCTGCTGTCTGGAATGGGATATACTAGGATAAACCAGTTCCCTGAGGCTGAAGGCAATGCCTAGTCACTGACAGCCACAGCTGGTGGGTGGGTGGGCTGGCCCTGAAGAGGGGATCTGTGTGTGGTACCTGCAGGCACCTCTCTCAATCCCAAATCATGCTCTTCCTTCTGCCTGGGATGCCCATTTCCAAATGCTTACGTGAAGAAATCCTAAGAATCTTTGAAAACTCTTCATATTCATTCATTCATTCATTTATTCATTGTACAAGCTTACTGAGTGTTTACCATATACCAGGCACAATGCTAGGTGCTGGGGATACAGCAGTGACATCAGGCAAGATCCTGACTCCCAATCTCCACAGTAGCTTTATGTTACCGCCTTTGTGAAACCTTCTCTGTTAATTCCCCCTACTAGAATTAATTCCTTTTCCCTGTGAGCATAGTGGCTAAATCTTTTAACTTATTGATCTTAATTATCAGCTTCACAGTCTCCCAGAGAGACTATAAGCTTTTAAAGGAAAAGGCTCAAGATTTATTCATTTCTCTTTAGTCCCCAGCACAGTCTGGAAGGAAAGTGTGCTAGGTAAACATTTTCAAATGAAACACAGAAAACACCCAAAGGCTTAGACGCAGTCTTCACCAATGAGTACTTTTACTAAGAACCTCCTCAGCAGGGCACTCCTCTCTGTCTCCCCAACTCTGGGTCCCCATTCCAAATCCTTTGTGTTCAGGGATGCAGCACAGGGACAAAGGAGAAGGGTGAGGTGCTACAGGATTATCCCTTGCTTCCTAACTTTGTAGGGAGTGAGGTGACAGGTTTATGGGAGGAAAGAATTAATAGTTCCTGAAATGAAGCTCTGGGGAGACTTGCCACTTTTGAATCATGAAGAGAGTTGAGGATCCTGGGAAGACATTAAGCCTATTAAAATATTAATACCCTAGAAGGGAGAAGAAGAAACAGAAAGTAAGAGGAGGAGATAAGGCAGAGGGACCAGGCTGGGCGTGGTGGCTCACACCTGTAATCCCAGCACTTTGGGAGGCCTAGATGGGCTAGGTCAGGAGATGAGGACTATCCTGGCTAACATGGTGAAACCTCGTCTCTACTAACAATATAGTAGCCAGGTGTGGGGCATGCTCCTGTAATCCCAGTTACTCGGGAGGCTGAGGCAGGAGAATTGCTTGAACCCAGGAGGCAGAGGTTGCAGTGAGCCGAGATCGTGCCACGGCACTCTAGCCTAGGTGACACAGCGAGACTCCGTCTCAAAAAAAAAAAAAAAAAAAAAGACAGAGGGACCTGAGAAAGTGAGAGAACAAGAGATAAACAGGTAGAGAAACTGCTGAGAAGGAAAGAAGAGACACAGAGAGGCAGAAACACATATAGCCACCTGGAAACAGATAAAGGGATCTAAAAGGTATAGATGGACAGACAGAGAGACAGAGAGTTATAGAGGGACACAGGTCATAGAGACAGACAGGAAAAGAAAGGCAAATAGAGGAGAGAAAGGATGTGAAAAGATAAAAATGAAAAGATAGAATTGGAAAAAGAAAGCAAAGAGAGAAACAGAGGCATAAGAAACAGATGAAAAGAGGAGGCATACTCAAGGTAAACAGAACAAATGTGTAAGTGTGCCGAGGAGAGGGAGAGAAGGTGGGAGGGAGAGTGAGAAAAGAGAGCAGGAGGAGACAAATGCAGAAAGACAGAATGAAAGGGAAGAGAAAGACACTGAGTAAGAAAGAAAACACACCCATCTCTACTAAAAATACAAAAAATTAGCTGGGCGTGGTGGCGGGTGCCTGTAGTCCCAGCTACTTGGGAGGCTGAGGCAGGATAATGGCGTGAACCCGGGAGGCGGAGCTTGCAGTGAGCCAAGATCGCGCCACTGCACTCCAGCCTGGGCGACAGAGCGAGACTCTGTCTCAAAAAAAAAAAAAAAAAAAAAAAGGAAAGAAAACACAGAGCCATGGAGAGCAGAGACAGACAACAACAAAGAAACAAGGAAAGGGAAGTGAAAAACAAGCAAAAACATGTCACCTTTCTCTGGAAGCTAGAGACAGTTCAAGCTATAAAAATACAAAAGCTGTCCACTTTTAAAAGGATTGATTCTGCATAAACATCAGTTACATGAGGGGAACATTACTTAAAACACAAAGACCTGACACAGGGGCCGTTACTAAGTCAAGAGAAGTGATTGTGTCAGGCTAGGGAATGAAGAATCTGAGCGCAAGACAGGAAAAAAAAGCTTAAAGCAGACACTGGCGTTTTCTTAACTCAAAGCAGACACTGGCGTTTTCTTAACTCGGGGGCTCAATCCTTCATCTCACTTGCGGAGCCCAGGGTTTAGGGTCTGTGGGATCTTAGAGCTGCCCCAATCTTGGGGCGGGGAGTGGGAGGCAGCAAAGAGATGAATGGAAGAGCACTGGGGGCGGAGGCAGGCTGGACTGAGACACTGCCCTGGGGTATCAGGATACCAGTGTGAGAATCCCAGCTTTGCCAGCAATCACCAAAACTACCAACATCCTCTTCATTATTTAGGATTTCCTGGGCACCTGCTATGTGTTAAGCATGGTGCAAGGTTCCCTTCCTGTAATATTCCCTGTGATTTTCACAAGAGCCCTAGAAATGACAGTTTTATACCCAATGTGCAGCTGGAGAAACAGGGGCTTAGGGAAGTTATGTCACTTGCTCCAGTTCTCAATGGCGTGATGCAGTGAGGCCAGGCTGTGCACTCGAATCTGCCTGACCTCAAGTCCTGAGTTAAACTTTAACAACTTACCCTGTGTCTTGGGCAAGTCAGAGCCCTCCTAACAGTAAGGCCCGTAAGAATGTGTGTTCAATCTCTCTGTCTTAGCAGAGGAGGACAGAATGGGCAGAGCCTGAGAGTTCTTTGTGTACCTCCCACAGCCTGATTCCTGGGCCATGCATGTGGTCCACAATAGCCTCAATCCATGCAGGAATAGAAGGGGAAAGCATAGTGTTTAAGTTTACTAGAAGGGCCATAACAAGTACCATGAATCAGGTGACTTAAAACAACAGAAATTTATTCTCTCGCCATTCTGAAGGCCAGAAGTCCAAAATCAGGGTTTGGTAGAGCCCTGGTCCCTCAGTAGGCTCAAGGAGAGAATCCTTCCTTGCCTCTTCAGAGCCTCCCATGGCTCCCAGCCATGCTTAGCTTTCCTTGGCTGGCAGTTTCAGGACTCCTGCCTCTGTCCCCATCATCATATGGCCTTCTTGCCTGTGTGTCTGTGTGTCCTCTCCTTTTTTTAAAATGACACCATTTGGGCTGGGTGCAGTGGCTTACATCTGTAATCCCTGGGAAGCTGAGGCAGGTGGATCACCTGAGGTCAGGAGTTCGAGACCAGCCTGACCAACATGGTGAAACCCTGTCTCTACTAAAAATACAATAATTAGCAGGGTGTGGTGGTGGGTGCCTGTAATCCCAGCTACTCGGGAGGCTGAAGCAGGAGAATTGCTTGAACCTGGGAGGCAGAGGTTGTAGTGAGCCGAGATCACAGCATTGCACTCCAGCCTGGGCAACAGAGCAAGACTCCTGTCTCAAAAAGAAAGAAAGAAAAAAAAATGACAGCATTAGTTGGGTTTAGGGTCCACCTTAATCTGTTATAACCTTTTCTTAGTTATATCTGCAAAGGCCTTGTTTCTAAATAAGGCCACGTTCTGAATTTCTGGTGAACACAAATTTTGGGGGACAAAATTCATGCAATTCCACAGGGCACAGGGGAATGTGCTCACATTCGCATGGTAGGACAGAGCCAGGACTAAATAAAACACCTCAGTCCTTGATTCTTATCAAAGTGTTCCTAATACTGCACTGGCTCTTCTCACTCTAGACACTTCATGTTTCATTGTGGTCCTTACAAGGTTTGAAAAATCTTAGGGAAAGGATCATGATGAAGTCACTCTCCATATTATCTGTGCCTTTATTTGGGAGGAGAAAAGACCAACTTTAATTAAATACCTACCACACTCCAGCAACCGTGTAGAGGGTTTTCAACCACTCTACAGAACAGAGCTTGGCAAACTTTTCTGTACAGGGCTAGATAGTAAAGATCTTAGGCTTTGCAGGCCATACAGTCTCTGTCCCAATCACTCAACTCTGCTTTTGTAATACACAAACAATCATAGACAATATGCAAAAGAATGAATGTAGCTATGTTTCAATAAACCTGTATTAAAGATGGGTGTAGTGGCTCATGCCTGTAATCTCAGCTCTTTGAGAGACTGAGGTGGGAGGATCGCTTGAGCCCAGGAGTTCAAGACCAGCCTGGACAACAGAGTGGGATCCCATTTCTATAATTTTTTTTTTTTTTTTTAATTAGCCAGGTGTAGTGGTGTGTGCCTGTAGTACCAGTTACTCAGGAAGCTGAGGTAGGAGGATTGCTTGAGCCTGGCAAGTTTGGGGAGGTGGGGGTCAAGGATTTCAGTAAGCTGTGAGCATGCTACTGCACTCCAACCCATGTGACACAGTGAGACCCTGTCTCAAAAAAAATAAAAAATAAAAAATACTGTATTTACAGAAAGACACAGCCAGATAAATTATTTTCTGTTTTAGGTGTGAAAACCCTGAAGTCAGTGTTGGAGTTAGGAGTTGAACCCAGGTAGGTCCAACTCCACATTCTTTCTCCTACATGAATCTTCTGAAACTCAGCCTTCTCATCTGTAAAATGGGAACAATATCTGTCTAATTCTCAGCTCTGTAGATGACTATGAGGATATAATAACATGATATAGAAATGTGTTTTCCAAACTCTAAAACCTAATGCAAACTTATTCATTGTTTATTCATTCAATAAATATCTGAGTACCTGCTGCATGCCACATACTGAGCTGATTATTATTATGGCTTTTCTTTGGCCTCCCAGCAGCTGTTTCTGTTCCTATATAACCCAGACATTGTGCAAAAGGTTCCAAACATCTCTCTATCTCTGACATACAAATTATTATTATTTTTTTCTGTTAATACTGGCTCCAAAACAGAGATAGCCAGACCCCACCAGACTGGGTGAGACAGCCATCCCCTAATTACCTGACCGGTAAAGTACAAATGCGTCACCTGGATTCCATTTGGCTGAGTCAGCCCAAGCCTGATGCAGGGTGAGCATTAGGCAGGGTGGCTGGGAACAGATGCTGACATGGCCTGCTGTTAATAAATACCAGGAAAGGTCTGTGTCACTCATAGAGAGATGTGAATGGATGATGCCAAGCCAAGACAGTGACAAGTCCCTCACTGATGCAGATTAATCATTCTCTGGTAATAGCCGACAACCTTGTTTCCTGAGCTACCTGGGAAGGAGGAACCTAAGACAATGTACTGATAAAAATCAAGCTCAGGGCAGGCACGGTGCCTCACGCCTGTAATCCCAGCACATTGGGAGGCCGAGACAGACAGATCTTGAGGCCAGGAGATCGAGACCATCCTGGCTAACATGGTTAAACCCTGTCTCTACTAAAAATACAAAAAATTAGCTGGGTGTGGTGGTGGGCACCTGTAGTCCCAGCTACTCAGGAAGCTGAGGCAGGAGAATCGCTTGAATCAGGGAGGCAGAGGTTGCAGTGAGCCGAGATCGTGCCACGGCACTGCAGCCTGGGCAACAAAGCGAGACTCCGTCTCAAAATAAATAAATAAATAAAATAAAATAAAAAATCCAGCTCAGTTTTTTTATTTTAAAGAAAGAACGCTTTGTTGAGATATAATTCACATACCATATGATTTACCTATTTAAAGTGTACAGTTTAAGCAGGGTACAGTTTAAGTGATCAATATTTAAATATTTTCATCAACCCAAAGAGAAACCCTGCCTCTATCATAAGTCCCTGCCTACTTCCTCCCAATGACCCTTGTGTTGGGAAACCACTAATCTTCTGTCTTTATAGATTTACTAACTCTGAACACTTCATGTAAATTAAGTTATACATTATGTAGCCTTTTGTGACTGGCTACTTTCAGTTAGCATAGTGTTTTCAAGGTTCATCCATGTTTCAGCATGTATCACTACTTCATTCCTTTTGTATTGCCAAATGATATTCCATTATATAGATATTCCACATTTTATTCCTCTATCATTAGTTGGTGGACATTTTGGTTGTTTCCACTTTTCAGTTACTATGACTAATGCTGCTATGAACATTCATACACAGGTTTTTATGTAGATACATGTTTTCATATATTTTGTGGCTCCCCCTGCCCTGGGATTTAGGGAGCCTTCTCAGCCCCTAATAGCATGAGCCACAGTGTAGAACAGTAGATAAGAGGGCAAGTTTGTCTGGAGTCAGACTGCCCTGAGGAGGAATCCCAGCTTCACTCAGTATGAGACCTTGGGCAAGCCTCTTCTTTTTGAGACAGAGTCTCACTCTCTCACCCAGGCTGGAGTGCAGTGGCGCGATCTTGGCTCACTGCAACCTCCGCCTCCCAGTTCAAGCAATTCTCCTGCCTCATCATTCCAAGTAGCTGGGACTACAGGAATGTGCTACCATGCCAGACTAATTTTTGTATTTTTAGTAGAGATTGGGTTTCACCATGTTGGCTAGGCTGGTTTTGAACTTCTGACCTCAGGTAATCCAGAGACCTTGGGCAAGTCTCTTAAACCCTGAGCCTCAATTTTCTCATCTGTAAAATGGGGATATTAATACCTAACTAGCAGAGGTAGCATGAGTGATAGATTAGGGAGCAAATGTGTCAAATGCCAGGCACACAGTAAGTGCCTAACAGCTGGTAATAAGTGGTATCATCTGAAAGTCCCTCAAAGTTGCAAGAACCATGCCTTGAGAATGTTGAGAAGCTCAATGTAGGAGAAGGGATGAAAGATCTGAGACCCCACATGGTCCATTTACTCAGTTAAAAATGTTTCTTTGGTGCTAGGCTTGTTCTGGGTACTCGGCTGGGTTCCTGGGAGACACAGGAATGGATGTAACAGAGCTTGTGCTAGGCAGGAGGAAAAACACTAAGCTAGCAAGATAAGTGAGGCCACAGGACCACAAAGATGACTCTCTCTCTCTTGCCAGACCTTGGAAGTAGGAGCTCAGAGAAGGCTTTTTGGAGGAGGTAATGTTGAGCCTGAGACATAAAGGATGGGTGGAAATTAGGTAAAGGGGGATAAATAGAGTGGGTTAAAGAAATTCTAGGGAGAAGGAAAGAATATGCTAAGGCCTAGAGGTAGGAGATAGAATACCCTGATTGAGGGGCTTCAAGAGATGCAGAAAAGCTGGACTGTCAAGGAGGAGGTGAGATATGGCAAAGGCTGAAGCAGAAGGAGTGCCAGGAGCCAGGCTAGAGAAGATTCCTGTGTGCCAGGCCATGGTGATTCTGGACTTTACCCTGGAAGCTATGGACTGCCACCCAAAGGTTAAAAAGCAGATCCTGCTTTTATTTAGAGTAATATCATAGATGAATAGTTTACACAAATCCTTATGGCAATAATAGTTAATGCTGATTGTGCATTCATAATATGCCAATAAATGGTTTAAGCACTACATGTATCAACTCACTTAATCCTCCCCCAAAACACAATGATGTAAATGATACATCCCCATTTCATAGGAGAAAGAAACTCAGGCACCATTTTGAGGCTGTTTTGAGACCTGTTAAGGATAATGTAGGTAAAGCATTAGGACAGTGCCTGGCACATGGTGACTGCTTTATAAGGATTTCTTGAAAAACAGCTTCCAGGGGAGGGATAGGGTGAGGTGGCACAAGCCACAGGTAGGTAGATTTGAGCTTTTCCAAAGCCAGAGACATTCAGCAAGGGAACACTGTCTTCCAAGTTACTGCTCCAGCCTTCAGGAATGCATACTGAGGAGGCATGGCCATTTTCCTGGGATAGTTGTGGCGGGAGTCAGGCCTCCAGTGCAGAGGGTGTACAATATCATGGTGATAACAACATTCACATGGGCTAATTATCTACTGAGAATTTATGACATGAGAACTTTGGCTTAACATAGATTATCTCATTTAATAATTGCCTATGGGATTGTGCTATTATCCCTGTTGATATGGTTTGGCTGTGTGTCCCCACCCAAATGTCATGTTGAATTGTAATCCTCAATGTTGGAGGAGGAGCCAGGTGGGAGGTGATTGGATCATGGCAGAGTGGGGAGGCAGTGGACTTCCCCATTACTGTTCTCGTGATAGTGAGTGAATTCTCACGAGATCTGGTTGTGTAAAAGTGTGTAGCACTTGCTCCTTCACTGTCTTCCTGCTGTTCCAGCCATGTAGGACATGTCTGCTCCCCCTTCCCCTTCTATCATGTTGTAAGTTTCCTGAGGCCTCCCCAGCTATGCTTCCTGTACAGACTGTGGAACACTGACCCAATGAAACCTCTTATCTTTATAAATTACCCAGTCTCAGGTAGTTCTTTATAGCAATGCAGAAACAAACGAATGCCTCTGTTTTTTCAATTTGAAAAGAAATGTACACACTCAGATGCAGGACTTGGCATTTACAGAGGTGAGAGGACTGGCAGTGAGTCCTAGTGACAGAGCTGGGTTCCACCCTGGGTGTATCTGACTTCGGACTCTTTAGTGTCCTGCCTTTCTCTTTAAGAAGTCTTTCCACCCAGAGATTCTGGGACTGGTGTTTTAGCTGACACTTAACATTCTCCTTCCTCTAGCAATTATGGTTTGCACTAATTTAGGTTGATATATATATATATTGCTGTTCAGAGTGGTCTCATAACTTCCTGGGAGTGTCTTGTGCTTCTGAGTAGCTTGTTAGCTTCCTGCATGCCTAGAGTCCTCCTCGGTCACATCCCTTAGTGCACTGGGCATGCTGCAGCTGTTCGCTGAATAAGGGCAGGTGTTGAAGGAAGAGAAGAAGGGCACAATAAGGCCCATCAGCTGTGCAGTCTTTAGAACAAAGAGAAAATGATTGTAATGTCTGTTGTCCATCTGTGTGATGGAGGCAATAATATTCAACTCACAGAATTGTGGGTCAGAATTCAAAGAGTTAAAAGATATGAAAGTCTCTTATCACCAGGCTCAAACAAATAAAGATCCTCAATAAAGAGCTGTTGTGTTTTGGAAATGAGTTTGTGCATTTCACAGATATTGACCCAGCACTCACCCCTGGAGTTGGAGGTTGGGTATAGACACAGCCTCGTTTTATTGTACCTCACTTTATTGCTCATTGCAGATATTATTTCTTAAAGATTGAAGGTCGGTGGCTACCCTGTGTCAAGAGAGTCTATCAGTGCCATTTTTCCAACAGAATGTGCTCACTTCATGTCTATGCATCAGATTTTGGTAGTTCTCACAATATTTCAAAATTGTGTTATTATTATATCGTTTATGGTTTGGGGAGCCCTCATTGCGCTCATATAAAGCGGCCAACTTACTTGGTAAATATAAGGCCTCCCTGTTTGCTGAGACACCACAATATTGAAATCAGGCCTATTAATAACCCTACAATTTCCTCTAAGTGTTCAAATGCAAGGAAATGTCACACATCTCTCACTTTAAATCATAAGCTAGAAATGATTAAGTTTAGTGAGGAAGGTATGTGGAAAGCCAAGACTGATGAAAAGCTGGGCCTCTTGCACCAGTTAGGCAAGATGTGAATGCAAAGAAAAAGTTCTTAAAGGAAATTAGAAGTGCTACTTCTGTGAACACACAAATGATAAGAAAGTGAAACAGCTTTATTTCTGTTATGGAGAATGTTTTAGAGGTGTGGATAAATTAAACCAGCTACAATATTCCCTTAAACCCAAACTAGGACAAGGTCCTAATTCTCTTCAATTCTATGAAGGCTGAGAGAGGTGAGGAAGCTGTGGAAGGAAAGTTTAAGCAGAGATTGATTCATAAGTTTTAAGAAAAGGAGCCATCTCTGTATCATAAAAGTGCAAGGAGAAGCAGCAAGTGCTGATATATTAATAGAAGCTGCAGCAAGTTATCAAAAACATCTAGTTAACATAATTAATGAAGGTGACTATGTCCAACAACCGATTTTCAATGTAGATGAAACAGCCTTGTATTGGAAGAAGATGCCATCTAGGTCTTTCATTGCTAGAGAGGAGAAGCCTGGCTTCAAAAATTCAAAGGACAGGCTGTCTCTCTCATTAGGGGTTAATGCAGCTGTTGAAGCCAATACTAGTTTACCATTATAAAAGCCCTAGGGCCTTTAAGAATTATGCTAAATCTACTCTGCCTGTGCTCTATAAATAGAACAGCAAAGCCTGAATGACAGCACATCTGTTTACAGCATGGTTTACTGAATATTTTAAGCCCACTGTTGAGAACTCCTGCTCAGAAAAATGAGCTGTGATGGAGATGCATAAGAGGTTAATGTTGTTTTCATGCATTCTAACACAGCATCCTTTTTTGCAGCCCATGCATGAAGAAGTAATTTCAAGTCTTATTATTTAAGAAATACATTTTGTAAGGTTATAGTTTTCATAGATAGTGATTTTTCTGATGGATCTGGGTAAAATAAATTAAAAACTTTCCAGAAAGGATTCTCCATCTTAGATGCCATGAGAAAAATTTCTGATTTATGAGAGGAGGTCAAAATATCAATATTAGCACGAGTTTGGAAGAAGTTGATTCCAACCCTCATGAATGACTTTGAGGGGTTCAAGGCTTCAGTGGAGGTAATAATTACAGATGTGAAAATTGCAAGAGAACTAGATTTAGAGGTGGAGGTTGAAGATGTGACTGAATTGCTGCAATCTCATGATAAAACTAATGAGAAGTTGCTTCTTGTGGAGGAGCAAAGAAAAGTGGTTTCTTGAGTTGTAAACTACTCGTGGTGAAGATGCTGTGAATACTGTTGAAATAAGAACAAAAGATTTAAAATATTACATAAACTTGCTTGATAAAGCAGTGGCAGGGTTGGAGTAAATTGAAAAAATTCACTTTCAAAAAGTTCTGTGGGTAAAATGCTATCAGACTACATCACATCCTACAGCAAAATCTTTTGTGAAAGGAAGAATCAGTTGTTACAACAAACTTCACTGTTGTCTTATTTTAAGAAATTGCCACAGCCACTTCAGCCTTCAGTAACTACCACCCTGATCAGTGAGCAGCTGTCAACACTGAAGCAATACCCTGCACCAGCAAAATGATTATGGCTCACTGAAGATTCAGATGACCATTAGCTTTTTTTTAAGCAATAAAATATTTCTTAATTAAGGTATGTACATTATTTTTTAAACATGATGCAATTGTACACTTAATAAACTATAGAGTAAAAAATAACTTTTATATGCACTAGGAAACAAAAGTATTTGTGCAATTCACTTTATTGTGATATTTGCTTTATTACGGTGTTCTGGTACCTAACACACAATATCTCTGAGGTGTGCCTGTATACAGAAAAGAGCAAAACAAACATGTGCTTTGTCCCTCTGGGGCTTACAGTTGTTGGGACAAGTAAGTTCCTCTTCAAAGACTCAAATTTCTGGTCATAAATTGTAAACCAAACCTATCCCCTCCTTTTTTCACAAATCGCACATTTACCCTATTTGGAAAAGTTTAAGTCTTAGCCAACGGGATCTGCTTAGATTGTGCGGTCTAACCCCAGCCAATAGGGGAAGGACACAGAAACAGGAACTGCATTAGGGTTAAAAACCCCTTCCCTCCTTTGTTAGGTGTGCTCTTGCTATTGTAACCAGTGCAAGCAGCACCCTTCTGCAGAAGTAAATGTGCCTTGCTGAGAAATTTTCTATCTAAGTGTGGGTTTTTTTTTGGCTATGCTGAGCACTTGTTTCCAACACAGGTAGTTATTGGAACAGTCACTCAACAAATAACTGCCTTAATATCAATATGTGTGTCTATATCTATGGCTATAGCTATGTCTATGTTATATCTGTATCTATGTGTATATATCTATAGCTATACATCTATGCCTATGCCCCTATCTATACCTAAATTTATAATTACAAACTGTGATAGATGCTTTAAAAATACTGAATACAGTAAGATCATATGGCAGAGGGGCCAATCTAATCTAGGGATTTGGGGATGGGAGTGTGGAGTGAGGCAGATTTCCCTGGAGAGTATGAGACCCTGAAACCAAACCAGCCTGTGGTATGGTGAGGTTTCATCACACCCAGGCTGTCCCCAGGAGAGCTGGGATGATGTGTATCCTCCATTCCCACCCCCACCATGCACAGTGATCATGGAGTCCATCATTCCTCTGGCAAAAAAAGCCATCTTCTCCTCCTGTACTTGTTCTGACCATTTAGTCATAGAAATTCTCCTCTTCACTTAAACACATTTACAAGAAAAGAACAAACAATCCCATTAAAAAGTAGGCAAATGACATGAACAGACACTTCTTAAAAGAAGACATTCATGTGGCCAACAAACATATGAAAAAAAGCTCAACATCACTGATTGTTATAGAAATGCAAATCAAAACCACAATGGGATACCATCTCACGCCAGTCTGAATGGCAGTTTTTAAAAAGTCAAGAAACAACAGATGCTGGTGAAGCTGTGGACAAATAGGAACACTTTTACACTGTTGGAGGGAATGTAAATTAGTTCATCCATTGTGTAAGACAGTATGGCAATTCCTCAAGGATTCTAGAACTAGAAACATCATTTGACCCCCTGTTACTGGGTATATACCCAAAGGAATATCAGCCTTTCCATTATAAAGATACATGGCATGTGTATGTTCATTGCAGCACTATTCACAATAGCAAAAACATGAAATCAACCCAAATGCCCGTCATGACAGACTGGATAAAGAAAATGTGGTACATATACACCATGGAATACTATGCAGCCATAAAAAGGAAGGTCATGTCCTTTGCAGGGGCACAGTTGGAGGTGGAAGCCATTATCCTCAGCAAACTAATGCAGGAACAGAAAACCAAACACTGCATGTTCTCACTTATAAATGGGAGCTGAACAACGAGAACACATGGACACAGGGAGGGGAACAACACACACTGGGGCCTATCAGGGGGCTGGGGGAGAGACAGCATTAGCATAAATAGCTAATACATGTGGGGCTTAATACCTAGGTGATGGGTTGATAGGTGCAGCAAAACACTATGGCACACATTTACCTATGCAACAAACCTGCATGTCCTGTACATGTATTCCAGAACTTAAACTTATTTTTTTAAAAAAAGAAATTCTCCTCTTCACCCACCCCTCTTTCTCCTACCCTTTGCAAATCTCATCCTTATTTTGAAAAAGAAAAAAAAGTTTCAGTGGCAAATGCTGAAGCTTGAGGATTATTTATTCATAAAGTACCCACATGGAGTCACTGAGAGCTCCTCCAAGCTCTCATCTCAAACAGAAGAGGCTCATTAAGATGGGAAGTCCTGGGGTCTCAGGTGTGATTGCTCAGAAAGCCAGCACCTTCCCCTGGTTCAGGGTGTGCCCTGCTGCTCAGGAGCCTGAGAGACTCTGGTGATCTGGATGGCAGAGGGGGTTGCCGTGAGCCAGGAGAGCCCAGCATTAGACAGTAAATGGGGCTGTGACCTCTAGAAGGAAGAGCACTGGCCTGGAGGCTCAGGTATGGTATCAGAGTCCAGCTCAGCCTCCCTCTGCTGTGTGTACCTGGGTGACCCTCCACCCTCTATGGGCCTCAGATTCTACATTTCTACAATGATGGGGTGATCTCTAAGGGCTCTTCCAGCTCCAATTTCTAATAACATAATGTGGCTTCCCAAAAAGACTGACAACTGCTTCCAGTTGTCAGTTTCACTTTCAGAAATAAGGTGAAAATGCAAGACTGGAGAGAGACAGAGACAGACAGACAGACAGACAGACAGACAGACAGACAGACAGAGAATTCATTGTTTTGAACCTGAGGAAATCAAGGGACTGTGTTATTATGAGGAAGCAGCTCTGGGCTCAAACTCTGCTGCTCATTTGCTGAGAAAACCAACAACTTATTCAACCTCTCTTGAGTCTCAGTTTCCTCATACATAAATCATAGATTATAATACCGAATTCTTAGTTTTCATGAGAATTACATTAGATAATAAAACTTCCATGAAGGCATGGGTTCTGCCATGCTCACTGAAGTCTAGTGCCTTAAACAGAGGGTCTGGAACACTGTGCAGGCAACCCAATTTGTTTCGGACAAATGAATGAATAAAAACACACGTGAAACACTCTGCAAAGCACTGAGCCCATAACGAAGATCAATACACTTGCTTGTATTGTTACAGTAATTGTTACTAACAATAGCCTGCTTTTCACCAATCCTAAAAGTTACTCAAGCCCTGAGAACAGGGATTCTTAACTTGGTGTCAAGACTTGTTTTCCAATCTGATGAAGCCTATGAAGCCTATGGACCACAACTTAGAGTTATGTTTTTATGTGGATAAAATCAAATGAAAAGGCATTCTAAAATAAACCATTTATCAAAATGTATTTAAAAATCAATTGTAACATAATCTACATGTTCCTTTATTGACATATTAAGTAAAAATATCTAGTAGCAGATATAATAATAACCATAAATTCAAAGCAATAATGAGCCAAAAATATATTTTAAGACATTTACAACAAATGCAATATGATATAAAACTATAAGTAATTTCCACTGGTGACAAAGTCACAGGTACTGCTAACACACCTATGTTTGTTGCCTATGTTTGTAATAGAAAGAAATGTTAAATTTCAATGAGTGGCTGGCAAAAGTAAAGATGTATGATTTTCCCATGAAATTTCATGAAACTCCAGCATAGACCCCAGATTAAGAGCTGCTGCCAACAATGACACTTTATTGGAAAAAGCTTTTCTCTGTATAGCTGTCACTGTGAATATAATCAGAAGCTTGGGTCCTGATAGGAAGACAGGAAATTAAAACTCAACTATCATCACACCAAAATAATTCTTTCCTGAAGGGGCATATGTGATGTGGTGAATTAACAGACTTGGGCTTCAGAAAATAAATAAATAAATAAGTAAATAAACAAAAGCTTTCAGGGGTTTGCCCTTGCGCAAATGACCTCCCACCTCAGAACTTCAGTTTCCTCATCTGTGAACAAGTTGTGGTAATGTTTCCTCCAAGGGTGGCTGGAGAATGGGGTAAAATACATAAGATAATGTCCCTTGTGCAAATATGCAAATACTGGCTCTTCTGTGTCTCCCTTCCTGTTCCTTCTAGGGCAAAAGAAGTTTATTGCAGCCATCCATGGCTGCCATAGGTGCCATGATGGGGATGAATTTCTGAATTTCTTAAGGACTTACTAGGTTCTAACTCCATGCTAGATACTTGGCACTCACAGGTGCTGAGACATGACCCCCGCCTTCAAGAAGGGCACAAGCTGGGGCAGAGATAGCAAGTAAAAATTTACATGGTGAAGCTGAGTAGACACATATTATAGACACATAAAGACGTCATGAGGTCCTCAAAATGAAGCGATGACTTTTCCTGGGCTGGCTAGAGAAGGCTTTCTAGAAGAGGTAGCCACACATGGATCTTGAAGAAAGATGAGAACATGAGGAGGAGAAAAGGAAGAAAATAGAAAGACAGGATGGCTGCTAGACGACAGCACAAACAGAGTCACAGAATGTGGAAGAGGAGGAGGAGGAAGGTGTGTTGCATAAATACCCATACCCAATGAGCCCATTATTAAAGTGTGGGATGGGTGGGAGAAAAGGGAGCTCACCAGGCCCAGTCACGTGTGTTTTATAGACATTTTCTAGTTCACAAGGTGGATCTCATTACCTCATTTTGCAGATAAAGAAACTGAGTCATTTAAAAGTCCTATAATTTCCTAGTGGAGCCCTAGTAGGAATGCAACTGCCTCTGACTCTGAAGTCCATATTCTTCTCCCAGAATGCCACTTGTTGAATTTGAGTTGGAATCCCAGTTTTGCTTTGTATCTCACTGTGTGACCTCTTGAAGGTCACTAGTCTCTCTGACTTCAGCTTCCTTATTTGTCAAATGGAGACTATAGCACCTACCTCTCAGGACTGATATTAAAACAAAAATGATAAGCCACTTAAAGCACCACATGCATTGCTGGGCATAAAGCAAAAATCCAACCAGTGTAAATTCCCTTTTACTGCACTTCTCCATTTGCACCTGGAGTGGCCACTGCCTTTGCATGGTTTTGACAGGCTAGTGGAAAGTGCAATTTCCCAAAAGATCCCAGCTTATGTAAAACACAAGGCACCTCAATTGCCTACAAAGAGTTGGTTTCCGTAATGGAAATCATAGGCAGCAACAGGCCGTGTTCAATCTGTCAGCTACTTGCAAAAATTTTAGTAGTAGACAGTGAGTTATGGAAATTAAATAGTAGTAATTTCATTTGCTGGATAAGAACTATTTGATGTTTCGAAGCATCAAGAATATTTGTAGCACAACTTAATGAATGGAGTTTTTATGTGGTGAAAATCACAAGGTAATTACCCAGTGATCATCAATAATTGTAAAATTGTTAAGCACTCAGTGCCTCAAGTGATGATTCCTAATTTCTTTTGGAACAATAAAAGAATTATCCATCTATCCATCCATCCATCCATCCACCCATCCATTCATCACTCCATTTATTATTACAAATATATTTATTAAGTACCTGCTCTTTCTGGCCCTGCACTCTTAGCTGTCAGATACGAGTAAGCCATAGCTTCTGTACCCAACAAGGCCAACAGCAGTCTTGCAAAGTAGAAAAGACATGGCAGAAAGACTATTAGAGAGGTCTGTAGGAGCTCAGAAAGGGAAGAGGTTACTTCCAGTTTGAGTTCAAGAGAGTGAGTGAAAGTTACTGTATGGATTTCAAAAGACTTCAGTCTTTTTGTATCTGAAATTTTGAACCATGTGATTAAGTATACTTGTTAAAACATAAATAAATATGTTATTGTTTCAAAGATCAGTGATGACACTGAGAAAGAAGGAAAAGGTGACAACAGTGGAGGCAGAAAAGGAGGAGGAGGAGAGGTAGAGGGTCATGGACTGAGAACAGTCATTATGTTTGAGCTAGTGTCATGAGTACGGAGGCAGAAAACAAAAAACTGGGAGACTGCAATCAAAGTGAGGTGGTGGAAATGAAAATCTTGAGTGTAAACTATTCTCCAAAAGCTTGCCAATGTCTTCATTTGTATTTATTTGACAAGAAGATATTGGCAGACCATAGTGGCTCACTCCTATGATCCCAGCACTCTGGGAGGCCAAGGCAGGAGGATTGCTTAAGCCCAGGAGTTCAAGGCTACAGTGAGCTATGATTGCGCCACTGCACTGAAGCCTGGGTGACAGACAGAGACCTTGACTCTTAAAAAAAAAAAAAAGTATTCATTTTCATCAATCAAGTTGGCAAATATTCTTGCCAAATGATAATTCTCAGTGCCGAAGGGGGTGTAGTGAAATGCTATTTTCGTATTCCACTGTGGGAGTATAACTTGCCAACATTTATGGAAAGCAATCTGGCAAAATGTATCAAAACTCGAAGTGTTCGTACACGTTGACCAAGTGATCACAGTAATCAGTTCTAGAGGAAAAATGAGCAATGCAGATGATGACATATGCACAATGATGTTCGTCACAGCATTGTTTATAATGGGGCAAAATGAAAATGTTCTACATATCTAACAGTGAGGAAATGATCATCAACATATGGTTCATTCCCACAGTAGGATGTCCTGTGAAAGTTTAAAATCATGATTTCTATGTATAACTGATGATATGGAAAAAGTTTGTTATAATATTAATTTTTAAAAGGCAAGAAAAATTATATCGATATAAACACATGAATGCACATGCCCATATAATCCAAAAACAGATATTTTAAGGAAGAGGTAGCATTTAACTGGGTTGGATGTGTGGAGACAGCAGTGAGACTACATGGTGGACAGCCCTTATATTTGTTTATATAATATCCATGTCCCTTTCTTCTGATAACAGCACCTCCATTTTGGGTTTGCGGAAATTCACATCCCTCTTTCCTCACACACACACACTGGATACATTCTTGTAGATTTTTGAGTTAAGGTGTCTTGTTTTCCTCTGACTTACTGCTGAGCAGGTGAACTGACAATTAAGCCAAATAGGTATTTACTCTTGGGAATCTGAAACTACCCCCTCGGCCTTCCTAAGTGGCATGGAGGTTGCAGATGCAGAAATCAATTGTTCATAAACTATCCACGCTCTTCTAACTCTTGAAAGTTCTTCCAGGTAGCCCATGAAGGTAGGCCTACTTGGATTTGCAGACTGATGCAGGCCAGGCACAGGAGATTTCTAGACAGAGCAATGGCATAAATAGAACTACCATCTACAAGCCATTATGCAACACTTTCATTCAGAGCTTCTGGATTTGGGACAGCATGTCCTGAGTTTTGTCAGTAGAACAGACAAAGCTTCAGGCTTTTGAGAACAGTGTTGAGTGAAGATGCTGAGTTTCATGTAGCCAGACCAGAAGGGATGCTAGTCTTGTGGCATCTGAAGGAGACAGTAGAAGACAAAAGGCAGCAGAAGAGGGGCTTCCACCTTGCCTTGTCTCCACCCAGGAGAGCATGAGGCAAGTAGAAGGTAAAGATGAAGATCAAGCGGAGTGTGCCTAGAGTTCATCGTTAATAGAGATGCTTGGTGAATTCCATCCCACAGCCAGACAGGCAGGCTTCTAGACAGTCTAGAAGCCCATGTCTCTTCCAGATCTAAACTTGGGGACTTATGCTGCCTAGCAGGCCATGGAACACAGGAGAAAGCCATGGGACCTGGATTCCAAGAGAAGGGGATTCAAGTCCTTCTCTGCTGCTAGTGTGAGAGGACTTGGATAGTCACTTCCTGTGATAGTTTGTTAGGGCTGCCTTAGCAGAATACCATAGGCTGGGTGGAGGCTAGAAGTCCAAAATTAAGACATCAGTAGAGTTGGCTGTAATCTGAGGTCTCACTCCTTGGCCTGTAGATTTTTCTTTTCCCTTTGTCTTCACATGGTCTTTCCTCTGTGCCTATGTGTTAATCTCTTCTTTTAGGAATACCAGCCCATGGTATTCCTCTTTGAATACCAGAGGAATCTCTTGATTCCTCTGGGGAATCTCTTGAACCCCAGACGCAGAGGTTGCAGTGGGCCAAGATCGTGCCACTGCACTCCAGCCTGGGTGACAGAGCAAAACTCCATCTCAAACAAAACCTCCTCTTCTGGTAGTTTGCTAGCCATCTTTGGCGTTTTTGGCTTGTAGACACATCACTCTGATCTCTGCCTTGATGTCTGTATGACATTCTCCCTGTGTGCATGTCAATCTCCAAATATCCGCCCCCCCCCCACCCACTTTTTTTTTTTTTTGAGACGGAGTCGCACTCTTTCACCCAGGCCAGACTGCAGTGGCGCTATCTTGGCTCACTGCAAGCTCCGCCTCCTGGGTTCATGCCATTCTCCTGCCTCAGCCTCCTGAGTAGCTGGGATTACAGGCGCCCGCCACTGTGCCCGGCTAATTTTTTGTATTTTTAGTAGAGACAGGGTTTCACAAATTTCCCCTTTTTATAAGGACAACAGTCATATGGGATTAGAGACCACCACATTTAACCTTAATTGCCTCTTTAATGACCTTATTTCCACCAGAGGCTGGAAAGGGTGTGTGTATGGTCATGGGTGAAGAGAGGTTAGTTAATGGGTATAAATATATAGAAGGAATAAAGTCTCATGTTCAATTAGCTAGAAGAGAAGACTGGAAATGTCCCAACACATACAAATGAAAATTACTCAAGGTGATGGATATAATAAATACCCTGACTTGATCATTCCACATCCTTTACATGTAACAAAATATTAAAGGTACCCCATGAATAAGTATAAATACTATGTATCAATAAAAAAAGACCTTATCTCAACGGAGCACGGAGCACAGTGGCTCATGCCTATAATCCCAGCACTTTGGGAAGCTGAGGTGGGTGGATCACCTGAGGTCAAGAGTTGGAGGCCAGCCTGGCCAACATGGCAAAACCTCGTCTCTACTAAAAATACAAAAATTAGCCAGGCGAGGTGGCATGCACCTGTAATCCCAGCTACTTGGGAGGCTGAGGCAGGGGAATCTCTTGAACCCCAGACGCAGAGGTTGCAGTGGGCCAAGATCATGCCACTGCACTCCAGCCTGGGTGACAGAGCAAAACTCCATCTCAAACAAAACAAAACAAAACAAACAAACAAAAAAAAACCTCTTATCTCTAAATAGTCACTTTCTGAGGTACTAGGGGTTAGGACTTAACACACAAATTGTGAGGTGACACAGTTCAGCCCATATTACTTCTCTTTTCAGAGCCTCAATTTCTGTATGTTCAATAAGGCTGTTTGCTCATTCATTTCAAAGCATGTCCATCCATTCATTTACTCACTCATTCATTCATTCAATCATTTAGCAAATACCTATTGAATGCCAGGTGTTATCACCAGGTTTAGGTTTATGCAGGAAAATATGAAAAAAATAGTCTTTTCTTTATGTCAAAGGGGCAGGTGGGCTTTCTGTGCTACTATTTAGAGAAGGTTGGGGAGAAGACCTCAGGACTGATCCTCTTGCCTCTACTTCTTAAGAGTCTGTGAGGACCTACAACATCAGGCAGCAAAAAAGCCTAGTGCTGGCCATAGACCCACTGTCAGACAGATCTACAGTCCCAGGAAACATGCTATTATCTGTCCACAGGTCTGGTTTGCTCTGTCAGTTTCATTTTAGACAAGGCCACTAATTGGCCTGCCTGCCTTGCCAGTGGGAAAAGAAATAGTGTGGGGAAGGAATTGGTAGAGACAGTGCTGGTCTGTTAAGTACCTCAAAGGCAGACTGCCCAAGCAATGTGGGAAGACTGATTCCTCCTGCAATTGTTTCTTTTTTCTTTCTTTCTTTTCTTTTTCTTGAAACAGGGTCTTGCTCCGTTGCCCAGGTTTCACTGCAGTGGTGCGATCACACACTGAAGGCTCTATTTCTTAGTTTCAAGCAATCCTCCTACCTCGGCCTCTGGAATAGCTGGGACTACAGGCATGTGCCACTACACCTGGCTAATGTTGTTGTTGTTGAGATGGGTTTTACTATGTTGTCCAGGCTGGTCTTGAAGTCCTGGCTTCAAGTGATCCTCCCACTCAGCCTTCCCTAAGTGCTGAGATTACAGGTGTGACCTACTATGCCCGACTTGCTTTTTGTTGTTGTTTTGTTTTGTTTTTTAGTGGGGATAGAACTTGGCATTTCAGAAATAAAAGAATATTTTTTTTATTGAGCATCTATTACATGATAGGTACTGCTCTAGGTGCAGCAAAGGCAGCAGAGTATTAAAGAGAGTCCTTTCCCTCTCATGCAGGGGAGACAGATAACAAACCAATGAACAAGGATTAAAGACTTATGTGGTTTAAGAGTTAAATATTAACATGATGGGAGCTTGGGGGAGCTGTGGTGGGGCATGCTGATTTAGTAAGGAGGTCAGGGATGGCCTTCTTGATAAGATCATCATGGTGTAGGCTCATGGACATAATCAAATGGGAATACGAATGCAGTGATTAGCACAGTGTCTGATGTGAAACAAGTGCTCAATAAATTTCTGCTGTCGATGTTATTGTGAATAATGTGCTAAGTTCCTTATTTGAATATAGGGACATTATGCCTATTTCATAAGGTTGTTGGATAGATTAAATTTGGAAAAGCATATAAATAAACTTACATGGCAAATTCAACAATGGCTGAGTACTAGCTAGGTGAGACAGCCAGGGGAGACAGACATAAACACACATAGAAATACATGCAAGCACATCGTATAAAGTCAGAGCAGGGTAAGTGAAAGAAAAGAAGTCAGGGACTCAGGGACTGAGATGGAGATGCCTGGGGAGAAGGGACAAGCTGTTTAGGATGGGAGGGGTGCAGGATCCCCCGAGGAGAGGCTTTTGGACAGAGGGAGAAAGGGAATTCTGGAAACAACCAGCCTAGGAAAAAAACGTGTTACAAGCAGAGAGAGCAGCAGGTGCAAAGGCCCAGGGGCAGGGATGGGGGTGGCCCTTCAAGAACCAGCAGGGGCCAGGTCACAGATAGTCTCAGAGGTGACAGTAAGAATTTTGAGTTTTACTATAGGCCAAGAGATACACAATGCACAAGTGTTAAGGAGTTTTGAGCAAAGACTGCAATGATGTAATTTACTTTGTATTGTTGTTGTTTCGATTTTTTTGAGACAGGGTCTCACTCTGCCACCCAGGGTGGAGTGCAATGGCATGATCTTGGCTCACTGCAGCTTCTATCTCCTGGGCTCAGGTGATCCTCCCACCTCAGCCTCCCAAGAAGCTGGGACTACAGGCCCGTACCACCACATCCAGCTAAGTTTTATATTTTTTTTAGAGATGAGGTTTCACCATGTTGCCCAGGCTGGTCTCGAACTCCTGAGCTCAAGGGATCCACCTACCTCGGTTTCTCAAAATGCTGGGATAACAGGCGTGAGCCACTGTGCCCAGCCCCAATGTGATTTACATCTTAAAGGATAAATCTGATCGATTCATTCAGGTAAAATTTCGTATTGATAATATATATTTTTCATATATCATAAGATCAGCAGTAACTTATATAAAGTGTCTGACCCTCAATCTAAAATAAATGTATTCATTAGACCTGGCATGGTGGGTGGCTCATGGCTACAATCTCAACAGATTGGGAGGCTGAGGTGGGAGGATCGCTTGATCCTGGGAGGGTCAAGGCTGCAGTGACCCATTGCTCATACCACTGCACTCCAGCCTGAGTGACACAATGAGACCTTGTCTCAAGAAAAAAAACCAAAAATCAAATGTATTCATTCATGACTACTTTGTGTAGGCATGCCAGATACAGCAGTGTACATACAGGCAGTGACAACATATTGTTTTCTGGTGGATCTTCTGATGGTTTTATTGAAACAGTGTAGATGCTCAATAAATATTCTCATTTGATATGAAACTATATATTATGATATTATTCATATTTTTATCACTCTTGCTCTAAAAGTGATAGTAAGCCTTCTCCAGAGGTTCTTTCTTTTGTTTGTTTGTTTGTTTTTGAGACAGAGTCTTGCTCTGTCACCCAGGCTGGAATGCAGTGGTGCAATCTCGGCTCACTGCAACCTCCACCTCCCAGGTTCAAGCAAGTCTCATGCCTCAGCCTTCTGAGTAGCTAGAATTACAGGCACGCGCCACCACACCCAGCTAATTTTTGTAATTAAAAAAAAAAATAAGTTCTGGAATACATGTGCAGGACATGTAGGTTTGTTACATAGGTAAATGTGTGTCATGGTGGTTTGCTGCACCTATCAACCCATCACCTAGGTATTAAGCCCCGATTGTATTAGCTATTTATCCTGATGCTCTCCCTCCCCACAATCCCCCCTCAAGGTCCCAGTGTTGTTCCTCTCCCTGTGTCCATGTGTTCTCATTGTTCAGCTCCCACTTATATGTGAGAATATGAGGTGTTTGGTTTTCTGTTCCTGTGTTAGTTTGCTAAGGATAATGGCTTCCAGCTCCATCCACGTCCCTGAAAAGGATTTAGTCTCATTCCTTTAAAACACCCTTAATTTTTGTATTTTTAGTAGAGACAGGGTTTTGCCATTTTGGCCAGGCTGGTCTTGAACTCCTGGCCTCAACTGATCCACCAGACTTGGCCTCCCAAAGTGCTGGGATTACAGATGTGAGCCATTCTGCTTGGGCTGGAGGCTCATTCTTGAGGAAGAGAAGGAAGCAAAAGAAAAAAAAGAAGAGGAAAAAAGAAGGCAAGAGGGAGCAGGGAACTGCCATGTCTCACCACTATCTCTCTGGATATGTGGATGTGGCCTTCCTCTCATATGCCTATTTGGTGGACTTTTATTCATGTCTCAGGGCCCAGCTGAATTATCACCTCCTCCATGAAGTTAGAAGCCCTCCCTTCAACACAGGCACAGCAGTGAAATTGCTGCCGCTGGCCTGTTCACCTCCCTGGCTTCCGGGTCCATCTCTAATGAGGCCAATCCCACTGCATAGGAGTATGCTGTGTGTTTGCTCACCAGGTTGATGATTCTCATTTTTTTTTTGTGCATCCTCAGGAATTAGAACTGGTTTTCATGTGTGCCTGGTATAATAAATGTTTAGCGCCTGGTGCAGTGGTGGCTCATGCCTGTAATCCTAGCACTTTGTGAGGCCGAGGCAGAAGGATCACTTGAGCCAAGGAGTTTAAGACCAGCCTGGGCAACATAGCAAGACCTTGTCTCTACACACACACACACACACACACACACACACACACACACACACACACACACAAATAAGAAAATTAGCCAGATGTGGTGGCACATGCCTGTAGTCCCAGATACTTGGAAGGCTGGGGTAGGAGGATCACTTGAGCTTAGGACTTGGCAGCTGCAGTGAGCTATAATCTTGCCACTGCTCTCCAGCCTAGGCAACAAAGCAAGACTGTCTCAAAAAAATGAAAAATAAGAAAGTTTAGGAAAGAAAGGAAGAAAGAAAGAGAGGAGGGAGGAAAAGGAAACTAATTCTCTCCTCCTTATTTTTCCAGATAATGCTAAAGCTCATTTCAACCAGCAAGTGCTGAGTTTATTGATCAACATTTCAGAGGTATTGAACTGAGTTTGTATTGACAGAAATAACTGGCAACCAGGCAGGGGGAGCGAGAAATGTGCTGACAGTCAGCAAATCATACGCCTGGTATTGGAGAGCCTGTCTATGCCAAAGGGGACAATCATTAATTTCCTATTCCTTCATAGTTACATTCCTTGGGTTGACTGACAAGTTCATTTTGGGGATTCATCTGGCCATTTATAAATAAACTCCTTTCTTATTCCATATTCCTAACTGCACCTGCCACGCAGATGATCGGCTGCCTGGCACTCACATAAAAATTTCAAATTGCTAGCAATAGCTCAACATGGTAGTTAAAGGAAATCTTCTGGTTATTTTATGATATAATCAAGAGAACCCATTTCCCCACCATTGTAGATATCTCAGGTCCATGCACAAAACCCAAGTGAATTTCATTCTTTGCCCCCTAACCACGTTTAAATAAATGACATCCAAGTACATAGCTGTAAAATGATCTTTTGACACTTAAGCTTTCGAAAGTCCCCTGTCAAAGCTGTGTGACTCTGAGTAAGTCACTGAATCTCTCTGAGCTTGTTTTCTTGTTTGAAAGATGAAAATGTATTCATGGCACTGCTGATAAGGTCGACAAGGTAACAGAAGTTAGCATGTTTAAAGCTCCCCAGGGTGGAAAGAAGCTTCTAATATTATCTCATTCAGCTCCAAGAAGAGAAGTGACCTTTTCCAGGCTGGTAAGTGGCAGGGGGGTGGAGCGGGGGTATATGAACTCAGCACCGCCTGAGGCAGCTGCTCACAGAAAGAAAATGTATCATTGATCTTATTGGTGATTTTACTCCTATGCTTGGTCTGAAATTCCATTTGGTCTCAGCGGCCTCAAGGTTAGCATAGGAAGAATTAAGCTCTCTGTTAGGCTTCACATCAACAAGGCAATTCTAGTTCATCTAGAAGTAATTCCAGGGCCTCCAGGAGTCATCAAAGCAAAAGTTCTTAGAGCCCAAATGCCTGGTGCTGATGTATCTAATGTATTCATTGTTCAGTGTATTTTGCTAGCAGTAGCCAGATGTACCTTGATATTTGCATTAGTATACAATTTCTCTTAAAGACTGTTTATATTTTAAAAGGTTTTGAGTAGTGCTAACTATTAACTTGGGCAGGAAAAATTCTCTGCTGAAAGAAAATCGGGCATATGTGGTGGAGCTTTCAGGCTAAAGCAGAAGATATTTCGCTTTTGTTTACTCAACAGATATTTTCTGAATACCTGCCTGGGTTTGTGTTTGGTGGTATTCTGTCACTGTTGCTCTTTTTCAGCTTTCATTAGAGTGAGGAAGATGAACACTAATTGGATCATATGTTTATCAAGTGTTTACTATGTGTCAAGCAGTGAGCTAGGCACTTAGCATATGCTAGTTATCTTAGCCCAACTGTGTAAAGCAGCAACTACGTTACCCCCACTTTATAGATGAGGAAATGGGGGCCTAAAGAAGCACATGGGTGTGCACAAAGTCCCATCGCTGGGAGTATAGGGTCAGAATACAGATGCAGGCAGGCTCTATGACAATGGGCTTTGATGAGTCAGAGTCACTTGATGAACTTAACATTTGGCCTCTAGTCCACGAAGTGAGTTGATTTCTGCTGAGTGATGGGCACTTGGTCATCCATTTTACTATCTTTCCACTTTCTTTTATGTTTGACATGTTCCATGATAAAAATTACATATATGTTTTTAAAGTACAGTCTCTGGAGCTAGACTGCAAAATAGGAATAACAATACCATCATCCTTATGGGATTGTTGTGAGGATGAAATGAATTGATACAAACAAAGCATTTAGAGCTGATTGCATTGGAAATATTCAAGGTATATAAGCTATTACCTACTATAACTGCTAAGATGGAAAACCCTGTAGTGTTTAGCATATATAGCAAGTCCCCTGCATGAGGTCCTGAATATGACAGACTACTGCACATTTTCCTAAAATTTTAAGTTATCTGATATGCCTGAATACATAAACTTTGCTTAGAAATATAAGTGAACCAGTCTCATATCTAATTATAGTATTTCATTTACTACTTTAGTAATAGTGATATCTATATAATATTTAAAATCACTTATTTATAATAAATAAATTTAGAAATACTGTTCTTGCTCACTCTTTTGTTTCAGTAAAACTACTTTATTGCAATTCTTCACATATAATTCTTGATTCAGTCTAACGTCTCTTTCTCAAGCAGTTGCTATTTAAAATAAATTAGTTGAGAAAGTAACCTTCATGTGTGAGAAAGTCATGCCCAAATTGACAGAGTCTTAGCTTAGGAACGGTTTTAAGGTGTAGATGCCAGTCTTATATACCAGCATTTACAGTACTGTGGTTTGAGGGCTGATGAATTGTTGACCTGGCTGGTGAGAGTGGGTGGGGTGGCTGGGAGCTGGTTGCTGGAAGCTCTGAGAATGAAGAGGTGAGAGCAAAAGAGAGAAGGCAGATGAAGCCAAGCTGGTCCCGGTCAGATTGCACTGACTTTTAATCTATTTTTTTTTTCATTATAAAAGTAATACATTGCTGCTGGAAGGCATTTGGACAACATCGAAAAGTAAAAAGAAAAACAAATCCATTAATCCCACTGCAGAGAGGGCACTGTAATCGTTATTTTGCTGTCTTTGATCCAAGCATGAATGCTCTTTCTCTAGATAACCTCATGGCTCAAATGTCACCTGCTCAGTGTCATGGGATGACTGCCTAATATGAGGACTGTCATATTTAGCAAATAAAAATAAAGGCACCCAATTAAATTTGGATTTTAAACAGCAAATTTCTTTTGGTATACACACTTCCCAAATAGTGCAATTATTAATTGCCTGCCTGAAATTCAAATTCAACTGGGTACTCAATATTTTATCTGGCAATTCTATCCCATGGCCGATGGCACTTACACCCCTTCTCCATTCTCCGGTACTCCCAAACTCCCAACACCTAAAATAATTTATCACACTTATTATTTATTTTCTGATTCTTCCCATTAGAATGTAAATTACACAAGAGCATGAGTTTTTATCTGTTTTACTCATTGAAGTGTTGCCAAAATCTACTAAAGGTGTATCACACACACACACACACACACACACACACACACACTTTAGAATCTTACTATACATATACCTTCATATTCTTCTTTTTCCTTAATCTTACTCCAAGGACATTTCAGGACACTTTTTTGTTTCTTTCAAACACATTATTTTCATGGCTATTTTGAAGTTGCCCAATTAAATGATCCAATCCCCTATTAGAGAACATTTGGTTGTTGGAAGTTTTTCTCCATTATAATTAGTGCCCTGATGGGAAGCTCAGCAGGACTGCAGGTGCCTAAGATTCTGCCCACTCTAAAGCAGGAGAGATCTAGGAGTAATTCTGGCTATACCCTCTTACTAGCTAGGTGACTTTGCACAGGTCACTGACTCTTCCAGCCTCAGTCCCCCAGTTGTAAACCGAGATGCTAGTAGAACCTGGCTCTACTTGGTATTGTTTGAACTCAATACGATGATGTGTCAGGGTTCCTGGTAGGTGCCTGCATGGAGTGAGCACTCACCAAGACATGCAGTTATTATTAGTATCATTCCCTACCTCAACACCTCTCCCTCCCTCTCTCCTCTCTTCCCTCCTCACCTTAGTAATTATTTCCCTTTATGCAACAGGCCAAATCTATCCATTTCCAAGCCACCATACTTCCTGCTTCTTAGGTCCATAATTGCTTTCTCTATCCCAAGCCCACTGCCAGGTTAACTCCTGCTGATTTAGGGATACCAAGAGAGATCAGCCTTTGAAGCTTTTCTGAACACTCAACGTCTGCCCCCAGGCCCACGCTTGGTCAGAACCCTGCTTGAGCATCCACATTTTTCCCATTAGCACACTGACTACCTCGCCACACAATGGCCTGGGTGTTTGCTTTTCACTTCATTTGAGTGAGCATCTGCAGAAAAGCAATGACTAGCCTTCCCTACTTCCATTCTAGGACTGACTGAGAGCCTTCTTAGTGTCCTGCCCTGCACAAGCACAGGTTAGAGGGAGAATCCACTACCAAAAAAATCCCAGACATTTACTTGCCAGTTCCTAGATCAAAAACATGTGGGCCTCCTTTCTGCCCCTGAACCCAGAGTTTAGTTGGGCATTATTCTTGTTCTTCAAAGGAAGTGGTAGGTAGGGACAGGGTGGATGGTAATTGATATTTCATGGTGACTGAAAGACTTGTAAGTACCTATTTAAAAAAAAGTCAATGACTCCATTACAATTTAAAAGAAAAGGAGAAAAATAGCCAAATGACAGTTATCACATAAAGATAGGAGCCAGTACCCCACTATGAGTTTGACCAGCATGATTTGTAATTCTGAGAAAATCCTGATGATAGATAAAATATTACCATTGTTCTAATTTTATTTGTTTATTTAGTTATTGAGACAGGGTCTCACTCTATCACCCAGGCTGGAGTACAGTTGCATAAACATGGCTCACTGCAACTTTGACCTCCCAGGCTCAAGCGATCCTCCTGCCTCAACCTCCCAAGTTGCTGGGACTACGGGTGGGTGCCACCATGCCTGGGCTGGCCTCCTGGGATCCTGGGCTCAAGTGATTCTTCTGCCTTGGCCTCCTAAAGTGCTATGATTACAGACGAGAGCCACCGATGCCCAGCCTATTCTCATGTTGTAGGTCAGTAAAGAAGTTCAGAGAGGGTAGGTTATTTGCGCAATGTCTCATTTAATCAGGGGAGGAGATGGGATTAGAATTCAAGGTCTTCCTGACACCCAAACCTCTGCAAACAGTATGAATTTAAGGCTCCACAATAGATACTATGATGTAGAAGCAACTGATTTTCCAAAAGGTTCTTGGGTTATTTATTTATTGCAAAGGCATTTTACCTCCCTGCACATTTATGTAAGTGGTCCCATGAGTTGGTAGAATTCTCTGAAAACCAATACATTCTGAAAGCAAGCTTAATACATTTATTTGTACAGATTGAGCATCCCTAATCCAATAATCTGAAATTTGAAATGCTCCAAAATTGGAAACTTTTTGAGTGCGACATGACACCTCAGGTGGAAAATTCCATACCTTTTCTTTCTGCCGGTTCAATGTACACACACTTTATTTAATGCACAGGATTGTTAAAACTATTGTATACAATTCCCTTCAGGCTATATGCATAAGGTGTATATGAAACATATGAATTTCATGTTTAGACTTGGGTCCCATCTCCAGGATATTTCTTTATGTCTATGCAAATATTCCAAAATCTGAAAAAGTCAGAAATCTGAAACACTTCTCTAGTCCCAAGCATTTCAGATAAGGGGATACTCAACTTGTACTTAGTAAGCACCAGGGGTCAAGTCTTTGCTAGGAGACCAAAGGGATGCTCTGTATCTATTCATAAGAGGGTGGAAGTGGAAGCGGTCATGGTTTTGGCACAGGGGCAAAGGATGTGAGTTAGAACTGGATCCTGGAAGGCTTTCTGAAAGGAGTTTGGTAGTAGTATCCTATCAAGGTCTTAGTAATCTGGGCATAGTTTCTGCAGAATCAAATTCTCCTATATTCAACAGGACAGCAAATGAAGACTGTATTGATTTTCTGCTTAGATCAATAAATAAGATAAATTGACCAGAAGGGCTAAATACTGATCAGGGTGAACTGAACATCAACATTTACTAAGAGCAGAGGGAGGAGAAACATAAATATCAGAAAAATGGAGATGCCAATAGAGCACTGGGGCAGTGGCTCAGTTTCCAGTTAAAATGTGTGTGTAAGGATTATTATTTTAGTCATGTCTTTACATAAAAAAAGGGAGTGGAATTAGGTTATTACAATAAAACTTCATTTAGTCAGACTGTGAGAAGACCAATTGATTTTTAAAAAACAATAAATGCCATTGAATTTAAATGCATGGATATGATATGGCAAGACAAACAAATAAACAAATAGTCAGAAGACCTGAGTCATTAAGTGTCCTTGTTAAGTGCAGAAAATCACATATTATTCATAAGTGTATTCTATTTGCCAAGCACAGAACCTGGAATATAGATGAAATCTTGGATTGAGTTCTATGAGAGCTGACCCAGAGCTAAGGAATGTGGTAATAGTAGTTGATTTGGGAGGTGATTCCAGGAAGCAAGTGAGGGACTGAGAATTGAGCCAAGGAATGGAGGAAAGCAAACAAGGGTGTATGTATTAGTTCATTTTCATACTACTATAAAGAAATACCTGAGGCTAGGTAATTTATTTTTTAAATTTTTATTTTGATTTTTTTATGAGATGGAGTTTCCCTCTTGTTGCCCAGGCTGGAGTGCAATGGCATTATCTTGGCCTACTCCGCCTCCCAGGTTCAAGCAATCCTCCTGCCTCAGCCTCCAGAGTAGCTGGGATTACAGGTGCCTGGCTAATTTTATGTGTTTTTAGTAGAGACAGGGTTTCACCATGTTGGCCAGGATGGTCTCAAACTCTTGACCTCAGGTGATCCGCCTGCCTCAGCCTCCCAAAGTGCTGGGATTACAGGCATGAGCTGCCGTGCCCCTCCTAGACTGGGTAATTTATTAAAAAAGAGGTTTAATTGACTCACAGTTCCACATGGCTGGGGAGGTCTTGGGAAACTTACAATCATGGCAGAAGGGGAAGCAGGGACGTCTCACATGGTGGCAGGTAAGAGAAGAGGGCAGGGAAAACTGCCATTTATAAGACCATTAGATCTCATGAGAACTCACTCATTTACCATCATGAGAACAGCATGGGGACACCATCCCAGTGATCCAATCACCTTCCTCCCTTGACACATGTGGATTACAATTCGAGATGAGATTTGCGTGGGGACACAGAGCCAAACCATATCAGTGTGTTAATGAGGGGGCTACCAGGTGGGCAACAAGAACTCGATCTCGTTATGGTCTCTCTGAGAGACTGGGTAAGATACAACCCTGAATCTTTCTGTGAAGGGGCAAGAAATGTGGCATATTTTTCTACCAACCTCCTGTTCATCTTTTGCTGTGGATTGTGCCTAAGGCCATCATCACTGCCCACCTGCTCCCAAAAAAATAACCTCAGGCAGACAGATTTAGGTGCAGCGCACTGAAGGTGCAGGTGACAGCTGTCAAGGACCAAATGTAGATGGGAAGGACACATGGCAAGTGGTAATACCAGGCGAAGGACTGCAAGATCAAGCTCTGTGCTCTGTGACGATTGTCAAGTCAATCTCCTCTCTGGGCAATCAGGGTCTAACTCTAAAAAGCGAGGCTTGAATCTTCACATTCCCTCCCAGACTGAGTGCCAGTAATTCTGAAAACCAGATGGTCAAACTCACAATCAAGGATTACAGGCCATTTAGGAAACTGCTTCTCACACAGATAAAAATGATACATGATGAGCATTCCACTTGTTAGCGTTTAACTGTGAGCTTTTCAAGTGCTTGAACATACACACAAAGATGTACATGCACTAAGTGATCACTGAGGCATTGTTTGTAGTAGCAAAAAACTGAAAACAACCTAAATACTCTTCAGTTAGGACATCGCTGAATAAAACTGGCATATTCATATGCCGGAATGTTCTCCTGCACTTAAAAGGAACGAACTGAATCTATATGTGTCACCATGAACAGAGTTCAAAAAATATTGCTGAGAGTAAAAAAAAAAATCAAGATGCAGAATGTTATATATAGTCTGACACCATTTAAAAAAAACAAGCACACATTACAGCATTCCTATGGGTAGGTTACATATCTGGAAAAGTATTTTTAAAGGACTGAAGTGACAACACAAACTCATTTAAAGTTATTTTGGAAATAACTTTTCCAAAAATCACATTTATATGAGTGGCTACTTTTGGGCAGGGAGAGCTGGGACAAAGACTAGATTAGCAATGACAAATGTGGATGGGGTAGTCAGAGTGATTTTAGTTATAGTGATATTGTTCTAATTTATGAAAGCAGAATTGATTCATGCATTTTTAAGTGAACTTAAAAAAAGAGAGAAATGTCTAGTACGTAGCCTAGTATCACAGGAGACTACACGATAATGTGGAAGGAGTTTGAAGCTGGATGCATTGGCTCGTGTCTGTAATCCCAGCACTTTGGGAGGCCAAGGTGGAAGGATCGCTTGAGTGCAGAAGTTTGAGACCACCCTGGGCAACATAGTGAGACCCTATCTCTACAAAAAATAGAAAAAATAGCGCCAAGCATGGTGGTGTATGCTTGTGGTCTCAGCTACTCGGGTGGCTAAGATGGGAGGATCACTTTAGCCTTGGAGGTCAACAGCTGCAGTGAGCTATGATCACACCACTGCACTCCAGCCTGGGTGACAGAACAAGACCCTGTCTCAAAAAAAAAAAAAAGAGTTTGGAAAATAGAGTCAGAAAGACCTGGTGAACCTACTTCGCAAATAACTTCTCTGCTAAGAGCCTTCACTTCTTCAGTTCCAAGATTGACAAAACAGACCAACTTCATGAAGCCGAGTGACCACAGGGCAACCTGTAGTGTCTTCTGTCTGGATCATAAATTTGCATTCATCTCCTGTTTATTCCCTGCTCTCTTATCTGTGTTTTTTCATATTTTAAAAAAGTGTTAAAAATTATTCCTTTTATGTTTTTTATTTTTTTGAGACAGGGTCTCGCTATGTTGTACAGGTTGGAGTGCAGTGGCACGTTCACATCTCACTGCAGCGTTGATCTCCCTGGCTCAAGCAATCCTCCCATTTAAGCCACCCAAGTAGTGAGACTAAAGGCATGTGCCACCACACTTGCCTAATTTTTTTAAATATATTTTGTAGAGATGGGTCTCACTATATCGCCCTAGCTGGTCTCAAACTCTTGGGCTCAAGTGATCCTCTTTCTTGCCTTGACCTCCTAAAATGCTGGGATTTCAGGCATGAGCTACCATATGCAGTGTTATTTCTTTATTGAGTTGAAAGTTGAGGTTCCTGCCTAACCCCCATGGAATCAGGTATTTGATTAAATAGACTCAGTATTAACAAGGTTTTGATGTTTTCTTAATTCCTATAGTGCCAGTTGATATTGGAACTGAGCAACCATTCAGCTACACATGAATATACCATTTTACCTGGCTTTGTGGGTATCAGTGATTATCAATGAGGAGGCATTCCACAATGACAACACTAGGGGGTCTTATCAAAGTCAAAGGGACATACCATACACCTGAGTTAGAACTGCTGGAGTTAAATCCAATCAGGAGAAGCTGTTAGGGCAGACTGGCCTTTTCCATAATGGTGTCCAAAGGTGTTCAGGCCTCTTGCTTTTACATGGGCTGTTTCCTCACCTGGAACTCTGTTCTCTCTCCCAACATTCCCATGCCCACATCCTATTTTCCTTTAGGTTATTTTCTCCATGTTGCCTTCATGAATAAATTTCCTCCCCACAAAATAATAATGATCATGAACCATCCTTTGCAAAATTATAACAGTGAGAAAAACCCAACATAGGAGAAATATGACAGTGGAAGATATCTGACATAACCAACTCCATCTTGCTTCTAACCTCCAAGCTATCCTTGTTTATTCCTGGTGGAGGCTATGGTAACCTCAGGAGGAATTCAGTTTACAGTTTAACTTTGAAACAAAGATAATAACAGCTCCTTCCTGAAACAAAACCCATCCTTGCTTGGAGACCACACTGCCTTTGTAAAACAAACAAATTAGCCACAGGATTAAAAGTTATGGCTCAGGAGTCATGCAGCCAGAGATCACAGGATTCCTAACCTCCCCAACTGCTCCTGCATATAACACTACTGTTGTAAAACCTAAGATTGGTATTTGAGGTATTTTTTCACATCCTGCATTCCGATATCCAAGCAGACCCGTAAAAGTGGCTCATCTGGTATTGTGGCCCCCACCTAGGAACTGACTCAGCACAAGAAGACAAGATTTAACTCCCTATTCATTTCATCCCCAACCCAACAAATCTGCATTCCCCATTCCCTAGGCCCCTGCTCGTCAAACTATCTTTAAAAAACCTTAGCCTCCAAATTTTCAGTGAGGCTGATTTGAGTAATAAACTCCTCTCCTATCACTTAACTGAATCTGCATTTATTAAACTATTTCTCTATTGCAATGCTGCTGTTTCAGTAAATTGACTCTGTCTGTGCAGAGGGCAAGAAAAACCTGTTGGGCAATGACAATCATGATGATGATAGTTACCATTTGTAGACACCATGCTGGATCCTCATCTAATCCTCATAGCAACCCTGACAACTAAGCCTCCATATTCCCATTTTATGAAAGAAGACATCAAGATTCAGAGAGTGTGGAAGGACATGACAGAGAAGGGTTTGTCATTTTTTTCAGGGGTGATGCTTTTTGATCTTCTCCCCCCTCACCACATTTATGGCTGCCTGGAGTCTATGGTTTCTGTGATATGTAATTTGTAGAGAGAGAAATCATTTTGAGGATTTTTTCTTATTGAGAGCTATATTCCTAGGCTTAACCCTCAGAAATGAAAAGTTTAAAAGTTAAAGTACAAGTCAGAGAGAAAAAATAGAGCCCTCTGA
This sequence comes from Homo sapiens, assembly GCF_000001405.40. Taxonomy (NCBI): domain Eukaryota; kingdom Metazoa; phylum Chordata; class Mammalia; order Primates; family Hominidae; genus Homo; species Homo sapiens. The sequence continues at coordinate 116,900,591 of NC_000009.12, forward strand.
AATGATCTAAAGTAAGAAGTCAGACCGATTCTTCAAGGCAGCACACACAGAATGGAGGCAAGGCAGGAAGCCTACCATTGGTTCCAGCTCATCCTGCAGGAAGGATGAAGAGGAACTAAGCCATCACCTCACCTGCTTCCTCCCTCCCTTCTCCATCTCCCTCTTTCCTGCCCCCCTCTTTCTTCTCCCTCCACCTTCGTTTGGTTCTCAGGCTCCACAGGAAATAAGTGGGAGGGGACAGCACATTTACTTTGTAAAGCAATAAGGAGACTGCTTCTCTACGGGCTTTATTTTATTTTTGCCATAAGCTTCTCCCGGCTTGCCAGCGGGTAAAACGTTTTACCATATCCAAGAATTTCTTTCTTTCTTTTTTTAAACTGGACTTCCTAAAAATGAAGAAAGAAATGTGAAAAATTTGTTCAAAGTTAAACATAGAATGAGTGGCTGTGGTTGCAATTTTACCTAAATTCCGACTCCAAATCCTATTTCCGGCTACTGATTGTGTGTGTGTGTGTGTGTGTGCGCGTGTGCAAGTGTGTGAAAGCTGCATTATTCATATGGCCATTTTTACTTTAACTCACCTTATATGCCCATATGCCCAGGCAATAACGCATTGCATATATGACAGTGGTCCTTTAAAATTATTTTGGAAGGCTGGGTGCAGTGGCTTACACCCATAAGGAGGCTGAGGTGGGAGGATCCTTTGAGCCCAGGAGTTTGAGACCAGCCTGGGTAACATAGTAAAACCTTATTGCTACAGAAAAAAAATAATTTATAATTAGCCAGACATAGTGGCATATGGCTGTAGTCCCAGGTACTCAGGCAGCTGAGGTAGAGGGTTGCCTGAGTTTAAGAGGTTGAGGCAGCAGTGAGCTGAGATCATAATGGAGCTGAAAAATTCCTGTTGCTTAATGACATTGCGACAGTCTGCATAACATTGTAACAATGCATTAATCACCTGTTTGTGGTCATGCTGGTATAAACAAACTTACTGAACTGCCAGTTATATAAGAGTATAGCACATACAATTAATGTGCAGTATATAATAGTTGATAATAATAATACATGACTATGTTACTGGTTTATGTATTTATTATAGTATACTATTGATTGTTATTTTAGAGTATATTCCTACTTATATCTTTTAAAAGTTAACTGTTATAGGCCAGGCACGGTGGCTCACGCCTGTAATCCCAGCACTTTGGGAGGCCAAGATCACCCGAGGTCAGGAGTTCCAGGCCAGCCTGGCCAACATGGTGAAACCCTGTCTCTATTGAAAATACAAAAATTAGCCAGGCATGGTGGTATGTGCCTATAATCCCAGCTACTCAGGAGGCTGAGGCAGAATTACTTGAACCCGGGAGGCAGAGGTTGCAGTGAGCCAAGATCATGCCACTGCACTCAAGCCTGGGCAGCAGAGTGAGACTCTTGTTTCAAATAAATAAATAAATAAATAAACAAACATAATATAAAATGAAATAAAATAAAATAAAAGTTAACTGTTATAAAGCCTCAGGCATGTCCTTCAGGAGGTATTTCAGAAGAAGGCACTGTTACCATAGGAGATGACAGCTCCATATGTGTTACTGCCCCAGAAGACTTTCCAGTGGGAAAAGATATGGAGGTGGAAGACAGTGATATTAATGATCCTGACCCTGTGGAAACCTAGGCTAATACGTGCATTTGTGCCTTAGTTTTTAACAAGAAAAGTTTAAAAAATAAAAATAGAAAAAAGGTTTATAGAATAAACATATAAAGAAAGAAAATATTTTTGTACAGCTGTACAATGTGTTTGTGTTTCAAGATGTGTTACATAAAAGTGTAAAGTTTGAAAAATGAAAATTTTATAAAGTAAAAAATATACCATATTTTGGTGTACATTTTCTATGCTTAGATACACAAATACCATTGTGTTACAATTGCCTACAGTATTCAGTACAGCAATTTGCTGTATAGGTTTATAGCCCAGGAGGCTGTGTCACATAACTAGGTGTGCACTAGGCTATACTATCTGGGTTTGTGTAGTATAATCTAGGATGTTGTCACAATGACAGAATCGCCTAATGGTACATTTCTCAGAAGATATCCCTGTTGTTAATCGATGCATGACTGTATATCCTTTTGGTTCTGCTTTTTCTAGAGAACCCTGATTAATATAAGTCTATCCTCAACAAAGCTGCCAGAGGATTCCTTTTGAAACTTAGGGTAGATACTGTTCCTTATCTGTTTAAAGCCTTCCACTGGCTTCCAGGAGTAAATGTTTTTTTACTTCTTTACTTTACAACTTTTTACTTCTTTAAAAGTAAAAGTTAAGGCTATTCCCATGTCTTTGAAGAGCCCAGTAGGATCTGACCATCCATTACCACTTTGACCACATCTCCCATTACTTCCCCCAACTCTGTCTCTTGAAACACCAGGGATTTTCTGCCTCAGGGCCTTTGCACTTGCTGTTGTTCTCTTTGGAATGATATTTTCCAGACATCCATATGCTGCATTCCTCCTCCTCTTCACTTCCTCCTCCTCCTTTTTATTTGCCCAAATACTGTATTCTTGGGAGAGCTTCCCTGATTCTTCTACTTAAAATTGTGGCTCTCACCCCACCATCATCACTCTTAAGCCCCTGCTGTAATTTTACCCTGCTGTACTTTTATGGCACTTATTACCTCGAATCTACTGTATAATTTACCTGTTTATCATGCTATTTTTTGTCTTCTCCCCCTAGAATGTAAAATCGTTGTTGGCAGAGATCTTTGTTTTATATACTGATGTTTACTTAGCATTAGTATCTAGTACATAGTGGATATTTGCGACCAATTGGATTTTCCAAAGCTGGCCACAACAGTATCTCCCATCTCACACGTACCTCTTGCAATGTGACCTTGAGTGTTAGGGTCTCTTAAGAAATGGAAATGACCCAGGACTTTCTGCTGTAGAAAACAGACATAGATACCACTCAACAGGTGAATTAATAATAACTGACACTTCTATAGCAAAACTTGGACATATCCTGGCCTGGGTGCTGAACCCACCTCCTCCTCTTCTGGATATGAGACATACTCTCTCTCTGGGCCTTAGGTTCCTTGTTGAGATGGACTAAATGAGATGATATAGGGAAAGAGCTCAGCCCAGGGTGTGGCATGTGAGAGTCATGAGGCTGTATTAATAGTTTGACATTTGTTTTTTTCCATGCAGAGGCCTGAGGCCCAAAGGAAAGAGGTCCAAAAAGGCCTGTTTACCTCTACATCAGGCTGATGCCCTGGGGATGTGCTTCACAGGGGACTGGCATAGCAGATGGGCAAGAAGGGGCCAGCTCTCACTTGCCTTCTAGTCTCTGCCAGGAACACACCCCTCCCTCAGCTTTTGGGCTTTCCAATGCCTGATCAATGTTCATGTCTCAGATCATTAGTTGCATTTGAAAGCCTCCCCTAGTCTCCCAGGGTTGAGAGTTTCTGCTGTGCGCCACAGGGTCCCCATCCTTCTACCATCCTTGCCAGAATCATGTCAGAATGTGAGTGTTGTATGTCCCTCTCATTCAACTGCACATGGGTGAGGACAGGAGTAGAGACTCCCTTGCTTCTGGTACAGCTCTAAGGCCTACCACAGGGCCTGGCATACATACGGTAGAAATTGAGCAGCTCTGGGAAGTGTGTCTCTCCAGGACACAGGAGCATCAGGGGTTAAGGCTGCAGAAGGCTCCTATGTCCTCGTGGCAGACAGTCTCAAAGGGCTGCCTGATGGGGTAGGACACAGACAGTCTGAGGAATAACCATGAGGTGGCAGGTGGGACCGCAGAATGACACTCACAGTCTGGTCAGGCTGTTCATATTTAAGAGGCTGTACTGTGTTGTGGTTCAAGTCCTGTCCTGGGAGCCAGACTGCCTGCTCTCCAATCCCAGCTATGTTGCTTACTACCTATGGGACCTCAGACAATTTACTTCAGCCCTGTGGGCTTCAGTTTCTTCATCTGTAAAAGAGGAATAATGAGGTTACCCATCTTAGAAGGTTGGAATCACAAAGATCAAATGAGTTCATTAATACATGTAAACCACTAAGAATGGCACTTGGCATAGTTGGAGTGCTATAGAAGTGTCAGTTATTATTAATCCACCTGTTGAATGGTATCTATGTCTGTTTTCTGCAGCAGAAAGACCTAGGCCATTTCCATTTCTTAAGAAATTCACGACAAACAGGATTACAAAAATAAACTCAAGATTAAGGCTGCGTGATGAACATCTCTCAATCTTTCTGGAGTGTACAGTGGCTGTGCACTCTAGAAATTCATTTGGTGGTAACGTTACAGCTCTATGTTTGCAGCCATTTGTGACTATGAGGCCCAGGCCAAATGCCCTTCCACCCTCCGCACCCCCAACTCTCCTCCAAGTCCTCCAAAGGCCCCTCTGTGGTCCTATTTTTTGGCAGAGAATGAGGAGCAGGCCTGGCCTTCTGAAACCCTCTCCACTCCCAGCCTTGGGAGCCTCTTGTCTCCCCCTCCTTCCTTAGAGTCTTGGCTATTTGAGGAAACTGAAAAGACTGCCCAGGGAGCTAATCTTGGGCTTCACTTCTGGAGGGGCCGCGGGTGGGTGGGGAGGCAGATTTTCCTGTACAGAAGAGCGTGTGCTCCTTTTGAAATGTCCTAGCGGAAATAAATGTACAACCTATTGTATGCTGCCAGGAGCCACCAGCAGGAGTTGGTGTGATACAAAAGCGGCATTTGTAATGGCACAAAACACTTAGCACTTTACCAAGACATGCACAGGATATAAAAGGAGACGAAGGGCCTGACGAATCCGCCAAGAAAGCAGCGTGTCCTGAATGCAGGAGAGCCAACCACTACACCCCAACACACAGTCTTTATCCTCTTAACCATGCTACCCTTTCGTTAGTATAGAAGGGAGTATTTGGACACAGGCAGGAAAGACCAGGTCGGTCTCCTTCATGTGCCTTACACTCAGTCACTTGCCTTTGTCTTCCTAAGCAGATGGGCCCGCCCCTCACATTCACAGTGCCCAGGGCAAGAGAACAAATTGCCTAGTACAATAAGACTAAATAATGGAAAGCTATATATTAAAGTAACAAGACACTAAATGTGTTTTATGCTCTTACAATGACAAATATACCTTCATAACAACCTGGAAGGTGAGGCTCAAATTTAGATTTACTGAATTTCCTTGGAAGAGTGGGTGGCTTAAGGGTAGACCTCCAATATTCACGGTGCTCAGGGCACCCAGATACACAGGGAAGCACAGCAGTAAGTGATCCCTGTTTTTTTTTTTTTTGGGGGGGGGTGCGGGGGGTGTGCCGTTTAAGAGCCTAGGAGTCAGACATCCTCATTCAGAGATGTGGAAAATGCTTTCTCTGTCTCTCTAAAGCTTTGTTTCCCCATTTTCCCCTTTGCACTTGTGCCCTTCACAGCCTTGGAGAAGCAGCAGGTTCCTGTTCTCCACTGACCCTCCAGACCTTAGATTTCTGCCAAAGCCAGAGGAGAGACCTCCTGTGCCTCACGCTCAGTGCTTGGGGCTCGAGATGACCAGGGAAGGTTGCAAGGACCCTGCCCCCAAAGAATTCACAGGCTCTTGGGAAGACAAGAAGCCCAAATTCACCTGAGCTACTAAATAACATAAGTGATAAGGATCAAAAAGAGTGGATGGTGTGCAAGATAGTCACACTTGAGGACCAAATCCTGGGAAAGTGGCCCAGAAAGGAACCAGAGGAACCTTTTTGTTCAATGTTAGGGAAAAACAAAAGGCAGAACCTTTCAAAGGAAACATGACTTTATGTGGAATCTGGACATAGGAAACTGAAGAAAGCAAAGCTGTGCTTTTCGGGAGAAGCAGGATGGGAGTGGGGAACTGAGATTCCAGCCCCCCCAGACACTTTTGTCTTTCCCCCTTCCATGGACAGAAGACCCTTCTCTCATTCCACTCTTCCCAACGCCCATGGAATGCCAGGTGTCTGGGCAGCCCTATGTTAAATACTGTTGGTCTAGTCTAATCTTTTAAAGTAAAAGAAGAATGGTTTTCTTATGTGCCCCTCACCACCTATAGACTGTCAGCTTCTAGGAGACAGCTTCTGGACCTTGTTTTTGTTTTTTGGTTTGTTTGTTTTTGTACCTCAGAGTCTGGTATTTGGTGACTACTCAGGGAGTGTGAGTTGAGATGGGTTGAAGGGGAAATGTCAGCCCAGAATCAGAATATGGAGGGAAAGACTTGAGGTAATTCAACCAGCAAAATACCGCAATTACTTTTGTGCCAACCTAATACCTTGAAGTTAGAGTTTTATATTATTATCAATAAATATCATGAAATCTATAGCCCCTTAAAATGTCTCTATTAATATTTTTCTAGCTCATTTCCCTGTGTAGTATTTGTCCATTAATTATCTTACAGTAACAATTGCTAACCTTTATTGAGCAACTATAATGTAATCTTTACTACGAGCATTGCATTCATTTTCTCATCTGACTCTCAGAACAACCCCTTCAGCTAGGACTATGATTCCCTTTATGTAGATGATACACTAGGATTCAAAGGGCTTAAGAGAATTGTACGAGATCACTCAGCTACAAAGTGTGAAACGTGGAGTAGGACCCACAGTGTGTGTTTACTGATTGTTTAAGAAGAGTAGGTTGTAGAGTCAGTAATGTGGGGGACCCGTTCCCTTTTCCCTGGCCTGCAGCAGCAGAGCTGGGTAGTGAATTTCTCTCACTGCAGCTTAGAAGCCTGTGTCTCAGGCTTTCCTCAGAAGCCAAGACACCTCAGTTTTCAGTACTGGCCCTGAGGCACATCAGAGAGTATGAGACAACCCCTCAGGGAAGTGTCCGAGGCAGGCTCCAAGAAGTGACAGCTTGCTCAAATCCCAGATCCAGGAAAAGCTTCTGACCTCTGTTTCGGAGTGTGCTGCACCTTTGTCTGGAAAGGCAGACCTGCCTTCATGGGCTCTCCCATTGGTGTTAAGCAAGGCTAAATGGGGGCTATATTTCACTCTAGAAGTGGCTGCATTTCAGGAGCAGAGTGTGATTAAGAAAGATGGATGGCGGGTAATATCCGTTACCAACACCTGTACCGTGCTCAGGGATCTATTTGGCAGAAAGGGGCTATGTAAGAGCAAGATCATTACCATTTGAGCTAGAAAACAAAATGTGGTGGAGGTGGTGAAGGATGGGCGGAAATGGGAGGGAATGGAGGATGACAGAAGGCGGGAGGTAAGGTGCTGCAGGAAAATCCTATGCTGCAGGACGTGGGTCCGAAGCCTCCTGGGCCTCAAATTCCCCCTAGTAAGATGCTGACAGCCTTAGAGGTTCTGTCTTGCTCATTACTGAAGGCTGTAGGAGGCATCGTTTGGAGGCAACCACACCCAACAGTAAGACTAGGTCAGCTCTCAAGAATAGCCAGAACTGAGTTATTAGCTAAATGCGGATAGCCTCACCCCTCACATTTTGAGAGGCAGGATCTCTGGCTCTGGAATCTCAAACCTGAAGCATAAAGGCTTGCAGGGTGAGGCGTGTGGGCGAAAAGAAATGACACAGTCTATAGATCTGGATGGGTTGTGGTCCAAATTCTTCCACATATCTTCTAGGTTAACAAATTTGAGTCAACATTTTCAGAAAGGGAGAGAAAGATAAAAGGAGCTTGGATAAGACTAAAATAGACTTTAGGGTTTATCAGATAAGGGCAGGTTTCAGTTCTGCCACTTGTTTGCTCTGTAAGCCCAAATGAGTTGTAGTTTTTCTCTAAGTCAGCCTTTTCCTCATCTGTAAAATGGGGAAAAAAGACCCACCTCACAGAGTTACTATGAGTATTAAATGGAGTAATGATTTATAAATTCTTAGTACAGAACCTGCCAGACAATTGACTCAATAAATGGAGGCTATCATTTCCAACCTCTTCCTCACCATAAAAACATGATGGTCACCACCACCATCATTAGCCTGGATCAAGAAAGCTTTCTGTTTTTATTCTGGTTGTTTCCTTTCTTGAAAGTCTCTCGCAGAGCCAAAGGAGAACCTTGTTCTGTGTGGCTCCAGAAGGAAGACAAAATCAACTGGCATCAAACTACAGAGAGAGGTGGGGAAAGAGCAGGGTGAGAATTAGCCCACATTTGACACTTCCTTTTCATTGTTCAGAGCAGCCACTATTTTCTGTTTGAGAAGCTGTGTATGCAGAGATGCATATCATGTGCCTATACCATGTGTGGCATTATAATGTATGCGTGTATAATATGTACATTATAGATTATGACATACACATGCATGAAGTAGATTCAGGAGACCTGGGTGAAGTGATGGGGCTACTTGTACATCTGGGTGAAGTGCATTTCCTGATGAGGAAATGGGAAAGGCAAAGGCCCTGAAGCAAAACTAAGCATGGAGTGCTAGAAGGACAACAAACAGGCGAGGGACTGGAGTGGGATGGTGGTAGGAACTGGTAAAAGTAGGCAGGGGTCAGATCAGAAAGAACTTCATAGGCAGTGGGGAGGACACTGGATTCATTCTAAATGTGCTAAAAAAGCCATGGCAGGGAGGCATTTGGGCAGGAGGTGAAATGATCTGATTTTTATTTTAAGTTGATAATTCCAGATATTGTGCAGAGGTGGAGAATGGATTGTGTTAGAGATGGGTCAGAGGCGTGTGTTAGAGATGGGTTAGAGATGGGCCAGTCAAGAGGTCACCATCTTCCAAGGTCAGTGATGATGATGGCTTGGACTAGGAGAATGAATGAGTGTGTTGAGACATACTTGAAAAATTGCTGCATTTTCAAGTTGGAGCTGACAGGATATGCTGATGGTTTGACTATGGGTGTGAGAGACAGAACTAGTCAAGGATAACTCCAAGTGTTTTGGCCTGAGTAATAGGATGCATGTTGGTTCAATTTCCAGTGTAGGGAAAACTGTGGGAGAAACAGGTTGAGGGAATAATGAGTTCCGTGTCAGACATGGTACGTTTGAGATGTCCATTAGCTGTCCAAATGGAGGCATTTACGATGAGATTGGGACTGGAGCTATTGGCATTTAGAACTTCAGCATTGAATGAAATCACCTGGGGAGTGAGAGGTCTCAGGATTGCACCTTGGTGCCCTCTAACACATAGAGGTCAGAAAGAAGGGAGGATATAGCAGGGAGAGTGAGCTGCCTGTGAGGTAGGCAGAAAACCAGTAAAGAGTGTTGTCTTCGAAGCCAAATTAAAAACAAACAAACAAAAAGATTTCTAACAGGAAGGAGTGACCAGCTATTTTATATGAGAGAAAGCATTCAGCAAATGGAAACTGAGAATTGGTCATTGGATTTGGCCAGATGGAGGTCATTGGGAACATCAACGACGAGATTTTATAATATTCCTGGGAGACAGGGGAAGGATGAGAGCCCTGGTGGAAGGGGAATCAAGGCAGAAAGAAGGCAAGGAATTGAAGATGGTGCAAACAGGTAAGTCTCTGGACCAAAATAGGCATGACCCAGTTGAGGGGAGAAATTGCAGGAGCAAAGCCCACCATGGTGAAAGGAATGTCTAGGGCCTGAATACAAGTACAGTCCAAATTTTTTGGGGCCTGAGCTAATGCAATTTGAAGTCCTCTTTAAGAAAAAAGAATACAAAGTTATACATTCAAAAATTAGGCATAGAATTGAATATTTATTTAGTACAAGAAGAGAAATCATGACAAATCGACAGCACTTTAAAGATGCGTGTATCTTTCTTCTGAAACCTCTTTAAGCTAGGATTTCTTAACCTCTGCAACACTGGCATTTCGGGTCGGATAATCCTTTGTAGGGGACTGTCCCACGCGTGATAGGATTTAGCAGCACCCCTGTCATCTACCCACTAGGTGCCAGTAGCACCTCCCAAATCATGACAACCAAAAATGTTTCCAGACATCGCCCACCACTACCTTAAAAACCATTGCTTTAGGTTATTTACTTGACACGCTTACATACAAACGTTCCTGATTACAACCCCCATCTTTAACATTCTGCAATCCTCAGTAACCTTCAGCACTGGCTGGGGCCGGAAGTGGAGGATCCTGAAGCTGAGGCTTCTGGTAAATCCACCTTTGCCTGAGTTGAGGGACTGGACTCAAACAGACACAGGAAGAGTGCCCATCATAAAAGAAAAAAAAACCAGAAAAGAAGGGTTTGGATGCCAGTAGTTAATAGACTTGATTCTTCTCATTACTTATATTTTCTCAGTGCAATAAAAAGCAAGGATATCTGTTAAGAGGGTGACAGTGGGAGGCTGTTGGAGTTTTGCATGGAGAGAAGGGATGAAATAGTCATTCTGCAAAGTAAGAGTGAGCGGACTGGGATTCTTACGAATCCTGCTAGAAGTAGGGTAGAGCGAGACCAGTCTGAGCAGCTCAAAGACGGCTTGAGCACTTTATAAAGCAGCATCTGCCTTATCACCAGAGGTACCTGCCTTATAACAGGTATTCAAGTAGCAATGGAAAGTCAGACCAAATGATCCTACTAGTCCTTCTTCTTCTTTTGTGATTCTGTGATTTTTATAGCAAAGCAACCTGATGGCCTCCAGTATATCAGACAAAATTATTCCATAGCATCTTCATTCGCAAGCGAGTAAGATCCATCCCACGAAATAATGATCCTGATGGCTAAGAGTGCATGCCCAGGATAAGAGCTTTCCATGCTTTATCTTATTTAATCATACTCACAGCATGGGAAGAAAGTTTAAGAAAGATCAAGACGCTTATCCATTGACACACAGCTGGTAAAAATTATATTACCCAGATTGAGGAACATTCTACAAAATGCCTGACCAGTTTTACTTAAAACTCTCAAGGTCATGACAAACAAATGAAGACTGAAAAACTGTCTCTGGCCAGAAAAAAACTAAGAAGACATAATAAGTAAAAGTAATTATAGTATCTTGGATTGGACTCTGGAACAGAAAGAGGATATTAGTGGAAAAACTGGTGAAATTCAAATAAGGTCTGGAATTTAATTAATTGTACAGCACCAATGCTGGTTTCTTAGTTTTTACAACTGTATCATGGTAAAGTAAGTTGTTAACATTAAAAGAAAATAGGTGGTTTATGCGCGGTGGCTCACGCTTGTAATCCCAGCACTTTGGGAGGCCGAGGCAGGCGGATCACGAGGTCAGGAGATCGAGAACATCCTGGCTAACACGGTGAAACCCCGTCCTACTAAAAATACAAAAAAGTTAGCCAGGCGTGGTGGCAGGCGCCTGTTGTCTGGGAGGCTGAGGCAGGAGAATGACGTGAACCCAGTGGGGAGCTTGCAGTGAGCCAAGATTGCGCCACTGCACTCCAGCCTGGGCAGCAGAGGGAAACTCCACCTCAAACAAACAAACAAACAAACAAACAAAACCTCTGTGTATTATTATCTCTGTAATTTTTCTATAAATCTAAAATTAGTTAAAAAAAACTTGCCTAGAAACAACAACAATGACAAGTGTGTGACTAACTCCCTGGCATTCTAACTCCAGGAAGCTTTGCTTCTCTGTGATGGGTCAGGGCACTGGAATCTGCAGGTTATTCTCCTCTATTCAATGTGACTGTGTCTAAGGTCTCTGCTTTCTGCTTTTACACCTACATGTGTCCTCCAGCTGCAAGGCAGCCTGGCACAGTGGAGAGAGATTGCTTTGAATCCATGCAAACATTGGCTGAACCTTAGTTCCCCTATTACTTAACTGTGAGTGTGGAGAAACCACTTTCTGTCTCAAACTTTTGGCTTCTTGCAACTGTACCATGCAACCCATAATATCTCTTTCCTAGGCTTAGAGTCAGATTCCAACTGGCAAGTGAGAAAAGCAAAGCAGTTGGCACCCAGTAGGTGCTCAGAAAACACAAGGTCCGCCTTCTTCATTCTCAGTGCTAAGAAAGTGGGAGCTCACCCAGCCTCTCTCTTTCTGACAAGAACTTCTCATGTTTAATTTATAGGCTGGTTTAGGTAGTTGAATTTTAAATAATTCATAGCCTTGCTGTTAATATTTGTAGTTGTTGAATTCCTTTAATAAAACATTTAGGGATTTCTTCCCCCTGAAGTGTATTTCATCCGGAGAATGATTTGTTTTCTGAAATCTGGGACTCGGCTGCCCTTTCGTTATTTTCTTTTCTGCATCTAATCCTGTTTATTGCTGTGGCAGAGGTAAGAGATGCAAGCTTGGGTTTTGCTTTGCATGGGTATGCAGGCAGGGATGTCAATTCATCTGTGGCTGGGGCTCGTGAGGTGGGTTCACTCTAAGTGGGGGTACCATGGCGGTTAAGAACATCAACTTCATACTGTATTAGGTTTGAACTCAGGCCTGCACTTCCTTCTTCCTTGCTGTGAGATCTCATCCAGGTAATTATTATTATTATTTTGAGATGGAGTCTCACTCTGTCGCCCAGGCTGGAGTGCAGTGGTGTGATCTCGGCTCGGCTCACGGCAACCTCTGCCTCCTGGGTTTAAGTGATTCTCCTGCCTCAGCCTCCCAGGTAGCTGGGACTCCTGGCATGTGCCACGACACATGGCTAATTTTTGCATCTTTAGTAGAAACAGAGTTTCGCCATATTGGGCAGGCTGGTTTTGAACTCCTGACCTCAAGTGATCCACCCACTTCAGCCTCCCAAACTGCTGGAACTACAGGCATGAGCAACCACACCTGGCCTTATCCAGGTAACTTAACATTTCTGAGCCTTTGGTTTCTCATATGCAAAATAAGAATGAGAACACACTCCTTTTACTTTCCCTGACATACCTCTGGATTTCAAAATTCTGCTTATATCCATGGAGGCTGCTTTTTCTAATCTCTCTCAGCCTCAACCCCCACTTAGTGCATTTGATGTGGCAAATAGACTCCCTTATTAATTCTGTTTTCTCATCACCTTGGCTTGAGCCATTTCCACAAGAACTCCAGGCTCTTTCCTGATTCCCATGAAACCCCGCTGGCTTTGTCATTTCTTAGTACCCCTGGGTTTGAGGGAAGGGGAAGGATGATTTGGGCATGCTGCAGCCTTTTCTAAAAGGAGGCTCCAGCTCCCTCTTGAAGATGCAGAAGGATCTGAAATGCAAGGCAAGCTTCACAGGTGCCAACTGTATTGTTCAAAGAATATACTCCCTTTTATAGCACTTATATTTCATTCTCTACTGCCAGAATGGAGACACATGCTGGGTTTCTGCATTCGTAATTGGGGAAGAACAGATGGGAGAGACGCAGTTGGAAGTAATACTGTCATTAAAGTAATCTATACTGCTCCTAACTCTCAGGCATGTGTGAGAAGGTGAGTGGAGCCACATGGACCAAGTTCCTTTCTGTTCAGTCCTCATGGAAATTATGGGGTGGCACATGACTTTGGAAGAATCAGAAAATTCACATTCACTTATGGTATTCCTCTGTGAGTATGTTTCTAGCTCCAGAGCCTCAAAGACAAGAAAAGGAACAGATTGATGATAGTTTCCTTAGGTAAGGAGTGGAGTAGGCATTCTAGATAGAGAGAACAGCATATGCAGAGGTGTGGAGCCTGGAAATAGGAAATGTTTTAAGTAATAGTAAGTAGAGAAGCTGAGCTGGTCTTGTTAGGGAAGCAGCAGAGGATATGGCTAGAAGAACTCGTGCTATGGGGACGAGGTTCTTGAATACCAGGAAAGAAGCTGAAGGAGAGTTGCTGTGGCATGGCAGAGCAAAGGCTGCAATCAGGTTCAGTGCAGGCTGTTACTGACTAGCTATGTGAACATGAGAAAGACACTTCTCTTTTCTGGGCCCCAGTGCTTCATCTGCAAAATGGGAATAGAATAAATGGTCTAAATAGAACTTCAGTGGCTTGAAGGACAACAGCTCTGAACTTCAGGAGAATGCATCTAATTCCTGAGTCTTTTGGTCATGTAAGTCAATTCTAAGCTGAGCATATCCCAGTCCTTGTTGACTGAGTAATAATAATAATAACAGCATTTGTAAAATAATAGAGTGACCCTTTGCTGAGGTCCTACTCTGTGCCAGACACTGTAAAGTGTTTTATTATTATTATTATTATTATTATTTATATATATTTTTTTTTACAATCTCAATCTCAGTCTTCATGAGGTGGTCCTGAGAAGCCCACTGTACAGATCTTCACATCTGAGGCTCAGATAGGGAAGAGGATAGGAATTTATGCCACCCAACCCTGGGTGGCAGGACCAAGAATTATGCCAGATGTCACTGGCAGCTGCCACAGCAGTAATGGCACCTCCTAAGGCAGAGCACTCTGGAGAGGTTTAATGTTCGCTGGCTAATTTAATCCCTCCCACTGCACCTCAAAGTGGATCCTGGGATCCCCATTTTGTAGATGAGCTAACTAAGGCTCTGTGAGAAGCAATCACCAGCTCAAAGTCATAAAACCAGTAAAGGCTGAAGCTGAGCTCTGGCCTCAGGTCTGCCTGGTATTCAACCTCCAGATGCTGCCTTAGGATACTTCAGCCTTCAAATTCACACAGGAGGAGCCCAGGATTAGTGGGCAGCTCCACAGCCCCTTCTCCCAAAATGTGAGATGTTCTTTGCAAACTTTTCTTAGGGATGCCTCATTTTGACAGAACACACTGCCCTCTCTTGCCCTGGGGAGCAGTCCCCATTAAGATATGTCAATGCCATTGAATACAAAGCAAATATCTGGGCTGATATCTTAACATGTCTGTAGCAGTGACTCTAGACTCCCTAAAAGACCAAAAAGTTCTCATGGCCATGGTCATGGACAAACTTCTTGGGAAGAGGCTTTTGCAGACTAGCACATCAGCACAAGGTCTCAAAGTTGACTTTTCACTGTTTACTCCTGAGGAGGTGTGGACATAATAAGAACTATGTATTTGGCCTCTGCCTCAAGTTCCTGACATAGAGCTCCCAAAACCCTTGTAATGTCCTGACTGGTAAGAGCATATTTTGTTTTAATGAGGTGATTCTTGGTGGGATCCTGGATAGCTTCAGGATGGGAGCTGGTCACCAGAAAGGGCAAGCCATGATTAGAAACTTGGAACTTTCAGCCTCAACTCCCCATTATCTGGGAAGAGAAGAGGAGCTGGAGAGTTAATCACGTCAATCTTGGCTACATGATGAAGCCTCCATAAAAATCCTTAAGCTGCAGGGCCTGAAGAGTATCTGAGTTGGTGGATGCATCCATGTGCCTGGAGGGTGGTGCACCCCAATTGCATGGGGACAGAAGCTCCTGCACTTGGGATTTTTCTGGACCTCACGCTATGTACTTCTTCATCTGTCTGTTCATCTGCATCCTTTAGAATAAACCAGTAAAAATCAAAGTAAATATTTCCCTGAGTTTTGTGACCTGTTCTGACAAATTATTGAACCTGGATGGGGAGTGAGGTGGAAAGTGGCTTGCAGTGGGGTTATGGGTACCCCTGAATTTGTAGCCAAGTCAGAGGGAACTGTGAGGATACTTGTGTCAGGTGTCTGAAGTGAGGGCAGTCTTCTGGGACTAAGATTTCAAACCCACATGGAGTTTTTGTCAGAACTGAATTAAATTGCAGGACACTTAGCTGGTGTCCAGAGAGTTAGAAAACTGGTTGGTGTGGGGAAAACAATCCCTACATTTGGTGTTGGAAGTGTGGTGAGTCAAGATGCAGGTTTTCCTCTAGAATGTAGCCTTATTTCCACATGTTGGGGTTTCATGTTGTTGTCTGTCCCTGACCATGAATGGCCCACCATCAGTGAAAAGTGTTGAGCCGTCAAAGCAAGATCACATCTCCTCAGACACCCAAAGTCTTGTGGTAGGAAGGCTGGGAGAGAGAGTGAAAATTCACAGAGTAGCAACTTTGTCCAAATTAGCTCAGAAATGTCTCATCACAGCCATGAAAGATGGTTACTATATGATTGTTTCCATCTTACAGGTGAGGAAAATAAGCTCAGAAAGGTGTAAACAGCTTGCCCAAGATCAGTGTTAAGTGATAGAGGCAAAATTTTAAATTCAAGTCTTTGGCCGTCTGACACCAACACCTGGACCCTTTGGCCTACATTCCATTTCCTCCTATAGTAGAAAGATGTGGGCCAGGTGTGGTGGCTCATGCCTGTAATCCCACCACTTTGGGAGGCCAAGGTGGGCAGATTGCTTGAGCTCAGGAGTTTGAGACCAGCAACAAAGTGAGACCCGTCTCTACAAAAATTACTAAAATTAACTAGGTGTGGTGGTGTGTGCCTGTGGCCCCAGCTACTTGGGAGGCTGAGATTGCTTGAGCCTGGGAGGCAGAGGTCGCAGTGAGCCAAGATTGTGCCACTGAACTCCAGCCTGGGTGACAGGGTGAGACCCAGTCTCAAAAAAACAAAAACAAAAACAAAAACAAAACCAATATGAATGTAGTTGGTCTTCCCTTTCTCACTTCTATCCCCATCTTTCCCATTGATCCAAGATTCTATAAGAGTTTAAGAAATGTTATTGTTCCAGCCATTGGGGCTGGAAAAACCCTCTATGGAGATTTTTTTTTTCTCCCCTCATTATTTTGCTTAAGTGACAGGGAAGTCTTGTGGACTCCTGTGGATTGCAAAGACCCCATTCATATTCATCACATTCTTACTGCACACAGTCTGTGCATGTTGTTCCTTCTGCCCCAAGAGCTTTTTCTCACCTCCTTTCCCTTTACTCCTGCTCATCCTGTAGATGTTAGATCAACTGTGACTTTCTCAAAAAAGCTGTCCAACCCTCTCCATAGGTCCCTTGATCCCAGTGAACTCTCATAACATTGCACTACTTTCCTCCCTGGCACATAGCTCAGTTTGCAAGTATTAATAATTGGTGAGTTTTTGAGTTAATGTCAGCCCCACCCCCCAACTAGACCATAAGCTCTAAGAGGGCAGGGTCCATGTCTACTTGGATCATGATTGAGCCCCCCGTTCCATGCACAGGGCTTAGATTACTATAGATGACCCATCAATGTTTACTGAGTGAATAAACAAATGCGTTAAAGCATAGGACGTAAAAACTTTTGGGTCTGGAGACAATAGAATTTCTGAACTTGTGTCTTAAAGAGGAATAGCTTTTTCCTCATAACTTGTTAGAAATGCAGAATCCCAGGCCTCATCCCAAACCCTCTACATAAGAATCTGCAACTTGCCATGTTCTGGTCCCCAGAGGATTCCTATGTACATTAATGACTTATAAATACTGCAGAGGAGAAAAAGTTGGAATGGAAAGGTGAAGTAGCCTGTGTTAATTAATTGATCATGTAATTGGTTAATTATAAAAGTTTGTAAAATTATTCTGAGCACCTTCTATGGATCTGGTACTGTGTTAGGCCCTGGGACTCTGGCATGAACATGGGAGATATGGTACTAGCCTCAAGATAGTGCCTGATATGGTTTGGCTGTGTCACCACCTAAATCTGAACTTGAATTGTATCTCCTAGAATTCCTATGTGTTGTGGGAGGGACCCAGGGGGAGATAATTGAATCATGGGGGCTGGTCTTTCCCATGCTATTCTCATGATAGTGAATAAGTCTCACGAGATCTGATGGGTTTATCAGGGGTTTCCGCTTTTGCTTCTTCCTCATTTTCTCTTGCCGCCACCATGTAAGAAGAGCCTTTCACCTCCCATCATGATTCTGATGCCTCCCCAGCCATGTGGAACTGTAAGTCCAATTAAACCTCTTTTTCTTCCCAGCCTTGTGTATGTCTTTATCAGTAGCATATATATGGACTGATACAGTACCCCATACCTGTGTGGATGGGCAAAGCACCCAGAGCTAGCAGAGTAGAGGGAGAGGCTGCTCATTGAGCAGGAAACAGGGAGGGCTTTCTGCAGGTGACTAGCAGTGGAGGGCACAGGGGGCAGCCTCATAGACAATGAAATTTCCTGTCCTGTGTCACAGTCTTGAGGCTGGGGGATGGAGTCAGCAGGTTGTTGTAATAATCCAGACTAGAAATGTAAACAGGTCACCATTCTTTCTCTCCCAGCTCTTCCCTGAATTCTCATGCCATTCTGAAAAACCTGCCTAAAACCCTTTATGAATCAGATAAGGGCCAGATTCCATAGGCTTCTTTCAAACTTTTTTTTCATATTTTTTCATTTACATTCTGCCTCTAAATGTCAATCTTCTACCTTCTTTTCTCTCTCTGTGTTTCCCTCCTTTCCACTGTTTGCCTTGCTAGTGTCCCTCTGGCATCTCCATTACACGGACTATTATGCAGCTATCAGAAATGATGTTTACAAAGACTGTGTAATAAACATGGAACATGCTTAGGTTTAATAGGAAGCTGGTGCAGAGTTGTATAGACATATGATTACAGTCTTATAAACATAAGTCTATATAGTTAACAAAATTTTAAAAAGCAAACTCCAGAGTGAGTCAAACAATATTTATATGTGCCTGGGGTTTAAAAATATATATATTTGAGATGTTTATTTTCTATCTTTTTATGACTAGGGATTTCTTTTTACATAATAAATAAAAACCACAAATTTAAAATTGTTGCTATTTATTCACTGTATCATTTTGGGCTTTTTTTTTTAAACTTCCCTGAGCCTCAGTTTTCTCATCTCTAAAAGGGAGCTGACAGTTGGGCTTCCCACAGAGGATGTTTTGCGATTGTACTCACCAAGTGTGCTATGGCACAGAGCCTGGCATGAGAGTAAAACCTAACCCCATAGCAGTAATTATCATGTGAGGATCAGTTCCCAGCTTACCTGATTGGTATAGATTGAATCAAAAACAAGAAGTTTGATGTGGTAGGGATGGAGGTGGAGGGCAAGGAGTTATCCATTTGGAAGTCCTGATTTTGTGGCTATGTTTGCCCCTAATTGTTGTGCGACCTTGGCAATTCTTCCCATCTCTGGGCTTTTGTCTCTCCAAATGTAGAAGAGAAATGGAACCTCAAAGATCAACATAATTTCCTCTTACATGTCTAAAAGATAATACCTCAATTTCCTTGGGAACACACTGTGAACGTTTTAACAATCCTAAATATTCTACTGGACAAATACTGCAGCCTCTTTCTAATGTCCCTTAACTCCCTGAGTTTCATGGACCTATGAATTTTTCATCCTTGCTTCTTAAAAACAACAAGGTCCCTCCTCCTCTGATGACCACAGAACAATTCTTGGTTGTGTCAATTGTTTACAAAAACATCATTTTTTTTTTTTTTTTTTTTTTTAGCTGAGAGCAGTAGCTCACACCTGTAATCAGCCCTTTAGGAGGCTGAGGCAGGTGGATTGCTTGATCCCAGGAGTTTGAGACTAGCCTGGGCTACATGGCAAAACCCCATCTCCACTAAAAATACAAAAATTAGCCAAGCTTGATGGTGGTCTATAGTCCCATCCTCTTTGGAGGCTGCAGTGGGAGGATTGCTTGAGCCCAGGAGGTGAAGGCTGCAGTGAGCTGAGATCACACCACTGCACTCCAGCCTGGGTGACAGAGCGAGAATCTGTCTCAAAAAAAAAAAAAAAAGTAATTTTTTAATATTAGGAATTAGAGTGTGGTGGTCATCAGTTCATGGCTGACAGAAACAGCACTTCCTGCTCTTTGCAATTTAGTTCTTATAATGGACAAGTCTTGTTTCAAATGCTGCCTCCTTGGTATTCTGTGTACAATGGAAATGGGGGTTGGATTAGATGCTCTCTAAAGATGGTCTGAGCTCTAAAAGTTTTCTTCCTGGACAGCAGCAGTTTCCCTGGATAAAGGACCTTTTTCCTGAGCATGTGGCTCTGTCTCAGAAGCAGCCCCTCTCCCTGGTTCCCCAGTAGAGCTTCCAGGCTCAGATGAGTAGGGCCAGCTGGCTTTGCTCTACATAGAGGCCCTAAATAATTTTAGTGGCTTAAAAGCAGAAGAATGGTTCTCCAGCTCCTGTAAGAGGCAGAATTAACAGAGAATAACTTAAAGGGAACAGCATGAAAGAGGCCAATGGAAAGATAGAAATAAAATGAAGAATGGGGGCAACCAACTTTCAGGGTCTCTCAAAAAAAATCCTGGGTCAGGATCCCACCTGTCTACTGCAAGCTCCCTTCTTCCTGCTCACAGTGCCTTCTTGCCTTAATAGTACAAAGAAAAATGCTTTACCATGATTTAGGTACTATGCTAAGCTCTTGACCATACATGCATCATTTAACCCTCAGTTACAATGTTGGCTCCATGAGGGCAGGGGGATTTTGTCTGATTTGTTTACAGTTGCATCCCATTTTCTAGAACAATACCAGGACCCCGGTATGTGTTCACTGAGTATTTGGTGAAATGATGAATGATGACTTGCTGAGGTCACTACGATTACTAACTCCATTTTACAGATGAATACACTGAAGCTCCTAGAGGTTAAGTTACCTGCTCAAGACAACGTAGCTAGTAGGAGCAAAGCCAGGATTCAAGTCTAGCTGATCTTAAAGCCTGCTTTATTTTAGACTATGTCCTCACAGGAAATATCCATCTGTTTTAGTCTATTCTCACACTGTTACAATGAAATACCTGAGACTGAGTAATGTATAAAGAAAAGAGGTTGAACTAGCTCACCGTTCTACAGGCTTTATAGGAAGTATGGCCACATCTGCTTCTGGGGAGGCCTCAGGGAGTTTCTACTCATGGTGGAAGCAAAGTGGGAGCATACATCTGACATGGTAGGAGCAGGACCATGAGAGAGATGGGGGAGGTACCACACACTTTTAGACAACAAGATCTCACAAGAATTCACTATCATGATGACAGTATCAAGGGGGATGCTCTTAAACCATGAGAAACAGCCACCATGATCCAATCACCTTCCACCAGACCTGCATGAGCCTGTTCTCACACTGCTATAAAGAACTACCTGGCTGGGCGTGGTGGCTCACGCCTGTAATTCCAGCACTTTGGGAGGCTGAGGCGGGCGGATCACATGGTCAGGAGATTGAGACAATACTGACTAACACGGTGAAACTCTGTCTGTACTAAAAATACAAAAAATTAGCCAGGTGTGGTGGAGGTCGCCTGTAGTCCCAGCTGCTCCGGAGGCTGAGGCAGGAGAATGGTGTGAACCTGGGAAGCGGAGCTTGCAGTGAGCCGAGATTGGACCACTGTACTCCAGCCTGGGCGACCGAGCGAGACTCCGTCTAAAAAAAAAAAAAAAAAAAAGAACTACCCAAGACTGGGTAATTTATAAACAAAGGAGGTTTAATTGACTTACAGTTCTGCATGGCTGGAGAGGCCTCAGGAAACTTACAATCGTGTTGGAAGGGGAAGCAGGCACCTTCTTCACAAGGTGTCAGAAAAGACACAGTGAGAAAGGAGGGAGGAACTGGCTAAACACTTATCTGATCTTGTGAGAACTCACTCACCATTATGAGAACAGTATGGGGGAAACCACCCCCATTATCCAATAACCTTCCACTGGGTCCCTCTCTTGACACATGGGGATTATGGGAATTAAAATTCAAGATGAGATTTGGGTGGGGACACAGCCAAACCATATCAGGGCCCCACATCCAGCTCTGGATATTACAACTGAACATGGGATTTGGGTGGCAATACAAATCCAAACCATATCACCATCTCCTACTTCTCTATTCACATCTCCTTCCTCTCTCACAGAAGTTCCTCTGCCCTAGAACCTCTTCCTTCCGGAAGTCTTTTCTTACTACTTCCTTTGAAGGTGGGACTCCTCTTGGAATGACATAACTACAACCCTCCTATGCATTACTAAGTCAAAAGCTATCTTCCCCAGAAAGGGCACTTGTTATTTTCCCTAAGCTATGCCTGAATACTTTATACCTTGAATTATTATTGTTCATAAACATGTGTACCCATAACAAATTATAAGCTTTTCAAGGAAGGCCCTGTGTTTGGTTATGATTAATTTTATATATTGCTACAATGCCAGATTCATAATGAGTTTTTAATCATTTTTTTCAATAATGACTCATTTAAGCCTTGGAATCATAGACTCAGGGGGCAATTTAGGTGTGCCTATCAAAATGTCAAATATTTTTACACTTTAACATATAATTCCATTTGAAAATACTTAAAAATACTAAAACCTAGTCACAAAAATGCATGCACAAGTCTGTGTATTGTTGCATTGTTTGTAATAGTAAAAACATGTGATAATGTAAAAGTCCATTACTGGCTGGTGGTGAAATGAATCATGATACATCTGTGTTATGGAATATTAATGAGCTGTGAAAAAGAATATTGTAGATCTGGATGAATTGATATGGAGACATCTTTAAAACTTCGTATTAGTAGAAAAAGCAAGTTTCACAAAAACATTCAGTGTGATCCCAATCAGATTAAAATTTACCTATGTAAATTCATGTCAACAGTTCTGGGGATAAGCATATCAAACTGCTAAGAAATATGTACTTTGGGGTGGGCTGGAAGTTTGGAGACTGAAAGAGATTTCTGCCTTTTTATTCTGAAAATACTTCTTAAAAAATGGTGGCTTAAAACAATAGACTCACAGGACATGAAGATTGGAAGGGGCCTTATAGGGCAGAGGTGGTGCAGAACCTTCCACAGGCAGTATTAGGTTCTTTGCATATATTTCTTACCTATATCTCATAACAAACCCCAACAGGTAAGGTTCAACAATGCCACTTTACAAACAAGGACATTAAGGTTCAGACTCAAACAAAGCCCGCCTAAATCTCAACCTTGTCCCCTTCTTTCCAAGGTTATAACAGTACAATTCTAACCAAAATTTTATTTTTTAGATAGGACTTTGAGACCTGTTCAGGCTCAGCCAGAAGTCTGGAAGTCCTTCCTGTGCTGTCTCTTCTAATCACTTCTAACATCTGGAGGTTATCACCACAGCCAGCCAATTTGTTCACTGAAGGACAGAAGCTTTGCATTCTGTTTCTTCGCCCCCAGGTTTGGGTTGATCATGGTACCAGATGCTCCTTAACCCTACAATGAGATAGTCACTCTTGGAGGGGCCAAGTCAGCTATTAGACGGCTTCTCTTGATGCCCTTGTCTTTACAGTTGTCCTGGAAAAACCAGACTTCTGCCTTAGGCAGAGTGGTTCCATTTGAAGTTATGAGAAAAGGTGAGTGAGGAGTAGATAGCTATACAAAACTATTTTGTGATATGACTTGGTGTTCTTTGATGAGGCTTGGCAGAGACGTACACCAACTTTCCTCAGCTTTTACCCCTGGAGATGGAGATTTCTTTAGGGACTCAGATGAGTGGTTGTTCTGCATTAGGGCTGGGAAAATCTCAAAAAGAGCTGGAGGGTGGAAATGAAGAATTCAACTTGGAATCCTTAAATCTCAGACTTGGAAGAAAGCTCAGCAGAGGAGATTTAATCTAACTTCTGACCCATGCAAGGGTTCTCTCTGGAGTGTCCACATAGAGCACACCTTGCTCCAGTGCCAGGGAACTCACCACTTCAGTGTTGAACAGGTCTTACTAAGAGAAGGCACTTGCTGATGGTGCCTAGATCTGTCTCTCCAGAAGCCATCTCCCATGTGCTGTGGAGCAGGGCCCTGAGGTGAAGGCACTGGAAGCTTCTCCTCTTGTTACTGGAAAGGGGTCCCAATCCAGAACCCAATAGAGGGTTCTTGGATCTTGCACAAGGAAGAATTTAAGGTGAATCCGTAAAGCAAAGTGAAAGCACGTTTATTAGGAAAGTAAAGGAATAAAAAATGGCTACTCCAGGCTAGGCACAGTGGCTCAAGCCTATAATCCCAGCACTTTGGGAGGCTGAGGCAGGAGGATCACCTGGGGTCAGGAGTTCGGAACCAGCCTGGCCAACATGGTGAAATCCTATCTCTACTAAAAATATAAAAAAAAAAAAAAAAAAAAAAAAACTTAGCTGAGTGTGGTGGCACGATCCTGTAATCCCAGCTACTCAGGTGGCTGAGGCAGGAGACTTGCTTGAACCCAGGAGGCAGAGGTTACAGTGAGTAGAGATTGCACCACTGAACTCCAGCCTGGGTGACAGAGCAAGACTTCATCTCAAAAAAAAAAAAAAAAAAAAAAGAATGGCTACTCCATTGGCAGCGGTGGCATGGGCTGCTCAGCTTCTTATACTTATTGTTACTTCTTTATTAATTATATGCTAAACAAAGGGTAGGTTATTCATGAATTTTCCGGGAAAGGGGCAGGCAATTCCTGGAACTGAGGGTTCATCCCCTTTTTAGACCATATAAGGTAACTTTCTGACGTTGCCATGGCATTTGTAAACAGTCATGGTGCTGGTGGGAGTGCCTCTTAGGATGCTAATTCATTATAATTAGCATATAATGAGCAGTGAGGATGACCAGAGGTCACTTTTGTGGCCATCTTGGTTTTGGTGGGATTTGGATAGCTTCTTTACTGCAACCTGTTTTATTAGCAAGGTCTTTATGACCTGGATCTTGTGCTGACCTCCTATCTCATCCTGTGACTAAGAACGCCTTAACCTTCTGGGAGTGCAGCCCAATAGGTCTCAGCCTCATTTTGCCCAGCCCCGACTCAAGATGAAGTCACTGTGGTTCAAATCTTCTAACACTCTGACTAGTATACGACTTCCAAACAAGTCACTCTTGCCACTTAGGAGATCTGAGCTGAGAACCCTCAGAATCAAATCCCTTATTTTACAGTTGGGAAAAATGAGGTCCAGAGAGCCAATATTTTATTAATATCTAAGTCTCATATACCCATATTTGCTTTCTTAATATAAAAGAATCATTTCCTGTCTTACAGTTAACAAAATATCAGATATTTTAGTACACTCTGCTCAGAGCTACAGCCCCTGCTTAGTCATCAGCACTACCACCACTACCATCATCATATTAATAATTATTCAGTGTCTCCTATGTGCTAGGCATTCTATTAAGTGTTTTACATTGAATGATACCTCTTGAGAACCTTATGAGGAGGAGTGAGGAGTCTCCCAGTTAGAGAAGGAATGCCCACCTATCATGATAGTCATTTTTCAAGTAGCTGTGTAATGGGGCAGAAGATGAGCTTCTTCCTGCTAGATTTCATCACCTGGGGCTTGTAGTCTCAGAACAACAGACAAGTCAGGCTCCTTTTCCAGTGCCTGGAAGGACATGCAGATGTATGTGTGTACACACATACTCACATGTACTCATACAGGCTCTCTGCTACACAGATACGATAAAGGAAGCTTGGGTCTGTCTCTGGGAACCACTCTCTTATTAGGCATTACCTGCAGTTCCTGAGTACTTCTTCCAGTTTCTCAGACAAATCTAAATAGAAACCCTGCTACTCCTATTTTTCCATGTGTGGGGGGTGGGGGGATGAACATATTGTAGGCTGTGATTAATAATTTAAAAAATTATTAAGAAAGATCAAGCTTCCTGATGTTCAGCTTAGACCATATGTACCTCACCTTCCCTGAACTATCCCTGTCCTGCCCCCATATGCAAGGAGATACACAACACAACACACACACACACACACACACACACACATATATACACATGCACACATGCACATAGGGATGCTCATACATTCAAAAACATCCAGTGTTCCTTCACTGCCTGTAAGGTAAAGCTGAAACACTGTAGCCTGAACATATGACCCTTTATGATTTAAATTCCATCCTTTCTTCTGAAACTTTCTTCCTCCATTCCTTATCATGCTCCATCCAAACTGGTCTACTGTGCATGCCATCCCATCCTGGCCTCCCAGAAAGCTCTTTCTCAGGTGGTGCCCCTGTTTGTAATGTTGTTCCCTGTATGATCACCAAGACCAAGTTCAAATACTACAGTGTCTAAGAAACCATCAATGATGTCTTCAAGCTTCCTGCTGTAACCTCTTTCTCATCAGAGCTCTTAAAATCATTTTCAAAACTGCTTCAAAAACATATTGATTTCAATAATTTATGCAGTTCCCTTAATCGTTGCCACCCCCTGCCACTGCAAGTTAGAGCTTTCTTTTTGGTGCATAGATCTCTTTGGTGCTATATCTTCTATAGCCTTGCCAGCTTCATCTGCTCTTGTAGAAACTTCTCTGCTCTTTCCTCCTTCTTTTTGGTCCC
The DNA here is from genome assembly GCF_000001405.40 of Homo sapiens. Lineage (NCBI taxonomy): Eukaryota > Metazoa > Chordata > Mammalia > Primates > Hominidae > Homo > Homo sapiens. The sequence goes on from NC_000009.12 coordinate 116,926,460, forward strand.
TGCCTTCATGTTATCGAGTTCCATTTCAACCTCTTTACCTTGATAAAACACATGTACATAATTTTGGCATTGCTATTGTTTTTCACTGGAGTTACAAGAGATGTTTGACCAATGCTCATAATAATACATCTAGCCATGCTGATAATAATTTAAATATGGCATTTAATTACTAAGCTCCAGGCACTATCTTATGGACCTTATATACTTTGCTTCATTTAAGTCTTTTCCAGGATCGTGAGTGGGTAACTCTTTTAAAATTCCTATTTTACAGATGAGAAAACTGATAACTGAATAAGTTAACTCAAGGTCATCCACAGAGTGACACGGCTGAGATTTGAACTCATGTGTAGCTGACTCCAAAACCCAAGTTCTTAATCACTTTATCAGAAAATTACCAAAAGGCATCTAATTAGTTGCATGCAATTAAATATATATGAGGGAGAGGGCCATCAGGAGATTATTTAGAAATAGAAACAAAATAAGATGTATGAAAACAAAGATAAAAGCAAGAACAGTTGAACAGAGTCTGAGAACAATGAATCGTGGTTTACAAGTTTTAGAAAAACTAATTAGCTGGAATATAGCAAAGAGGTCAGCTCTGAGACATCTATCCTTGAGAAGGCTAAGGAGGAGTACCAAAGAAACCCATTTTCATTGCAGATTGCAGAAAACCTTGAGCGTTTCACTGAGGAATGTATGTGGCAGGGTATCTCTGTTGCCTTCCATCCATACCTCTGCTTTTATTGGGGTGGTCTCCACCACCTCCCTCATCAGAACCTCTCCCTAGGGTGCATGGCTTCTGATCTCCCAAAAGACTGGTTTCTACTGTTAAAGGAGATCGTGCATGTGGAGTCCTTAACAGGTGAGACAGTCACATGGCCATCCTGAAATAAATGTAGAGCCATGATAAGCCTTATAATCACGGGGTGTCTTGTTTTCATATATTTATCATTACTAACAGGAAGCTGGTGGGTTTTGCTTTCCTGGCTTTTGCTGGTGTTGAGATTCCTTTTTTAACCAGCTCTGGTAACTCCCTTATGTAACAACACATGCATAAGTATTCACACAATTCACTGCTTTGGATTGATCAGCTCTATCTATGAGAATTGTCTTGGCCACAGTGAATGGATTATAGTTACAATAGAAGTCTGTACTAGGTGGTCCTTCTTTTGACACTTGCGGACTCCCAAGGAATGGTGGCTGGACTCTATTAGGCTCCAAACTCTCATGTGCCTGAGCGCCAGCTCCCTCTCTAAACATAAGCATCTCGGGGCTGGAGGTGGGGGGAAATTTTCTGATGCATCTTTCTTTGCCATGTAATTCCTACCCCAGGATCATGCTCACATAAGTGTTCTTGGAATATGTGAGTAAGTGACTGAAAACTCCATTGTACTGCCCTGTTGCTGCATAAAACTGGTTGTCAATGCCGACAGCTCCCTGTGGTGTTTTTCTTCCCTTTGGGAAATCACACCAATTTAGCTTTGGCTACTGTTCCCTCCGTATACCCTTTCATGTGTATGCAACAACCCACAGTATCTCCTCCTTGCTTTCAACTTGCTAGAGACCAGCCTTTCTCATGACACTCCACAGCTTGACTCAGCTTCCCTCCCTGTTGCTATCCCTGATCTCCCAACTGCCTCCCTCTTCCAAATTATGTGAAAACAACGACCATTTACTCAATACCTACTACCTGGCAGATGCCGTATGTGAAAAACCTTTCTGGGTCCTCATAACAGCCCCCAGGGTAGGTCTACCAGTGTCTATTTTACACATGAAAAAACTGAGGCACAGAGAAGGGACTTTGGAAGCCTCAGAGAAACAGCTGAAATGCCAGTCAGCTGTGATTGACACCAAAGTCCAGCAATTTAACCATTACAGTATAATATATCTTTAAATAGAAATTCCAATTACATTTTTCAGATATTCTAAAAAAATTCCACATATAGATTTGAAGACTAATGGGCAGTCATACACCCCTGAGCTCATGTTTACTCAGAAATCTTTGTCGTAACAGCTGTTCCTCCCCTAACCTTGTATGTACTTCCAGTTTCTGCAGCAGATACTCAAGCCTACCACGTGCAAGGGAGATTGCTGGGCACTGCTTTGGAGCAAAGTGTAATATGTTATAAATCATACACTCCATGAGTTTACAAAAGAACAGAGAAATGAAGGGGAAGAAAGAAATAAAAGAAAACTGTATTAAAAGAGTTGATTATTAGAAAATGCTTAGAAAGGCAAAGACTTGTGGAGGTACAAAGGAATTTGTCAGGTACAGGGTAAAAAAAAAAAAGGATGTTTACCTAGCTGACCTGTAAGTTAAACACTGTATTAAGGGCGTTCATAGCAACAGTGGCCATTTTAAAGCATCTATTATGTACTATGAGTTTTTTATGCATTTTTCATCCCTTCACAAGAAGTGAACAAAATAGGAATTCTGATCTCTATTTTACAAAGGAAGACACTGGAAGCACAGAGAGGTGAAAAAAATCACTTAAGTGTACACAGCCATTAAATGGCAGAATCAAAATAAGAATCCAGGCCTGTCGTGGCCTGCATTTCTGGCATTCCTCACATACGCCTCCCAGTGGGATCCAGCATATTATCCCCATTTACAGGTAAAGAGGAAGTGGCAGAATGTCAGTGTTGGAAAGGACTTGGGAACTAGAATGCTTGTTTAGGGGAAACAAGGAAGGCTGTGTGCAGATGTGCTGGACCTGGAAGGACTAATAGGACTTAGTACACAGACACTGTAAAAGCATTCTTGAGAGAAAGGTCTTCATGAGAAGAGGCGGAAGTGTGGCAGATGCAGGACGAAAAGAAGATGCCACTGACTAGTGTAGCAGCACTTTTAGGCTGCTGGAAGCTGACATGGCTGGAATCCTAAGTCAGGCCTAGCTACAATGCATTCCTTTGGTATAGATTATTTGCTTTGAATCAAGGGTATTGATGCTGCAGAGTCAATTCTGCAGGAAGTGAACCCTAAGGAGAGGCACTGAGACTTTTTTTGGGAGATCCTAAAAAAGCCAGTTCACCTGCTCCAACCACGAGGCACATTTGCTCCCAAACATTGACTCTGTGCTGCATCTTGGAATATTTTGCACGTATCTCTCCCTAACCTGGAGAAATACAGTCCATGGTGCCTTTGGGAAACAAAATAGCACTTCTTCCCCACTATCTCATCTAAACAACCCTTTGCTGACTAATTGAATTACTCTGGCCCACAAACTGATAGACAGCTGCTAAAAATGGTTATTGCATTATTAATTCGCTCCAGCAATTTCACATTAAACCTATACTGTTAATAATTTTTCCCCTTCTATTTCTTCCCTCTTAATTAGACTATTTAAAACTTTGAAGGAATAGTCTTTCCATGCTAAATGGAGGCATCGGGCAAATTACATTTTTGATTGAATACTTCTCTGATAGGCCAGCAAATGAGACTGTTGAGTTGTTAATTATTGTCAGAGTTCCACACGACACCTGCTAATGAGGCAGTCAATCTCAGCTGTCAGTCCCCTGATACTAATGGAGGCTGATGGGATGTACTGGGAAGGATGCTTGCTGGAGGTCCAGGGTGTCCAGTTCCCTGGCTGTAAATGCAAGGCCAGTGACTTCCCAATTGCTAAAGCAAATGGGAAACTGTGATGAGTGGGGAAGGGGATGGGCAGTGGAACAGAGGTGAGGACAGCCAGGTGAGGAGAGCACCAGGTGGGCACCATTGGGATGGACCACTTTGTTGTTGTTCAGTAAATACTGCTGGTATTTTTAATCATTGCTGATAGGGCTGTGTGTCTGCAGTTTCTTGGAAGGTGATGGATATAAGGAGGTGCCTATTGAGCAGTCAGAAGACTTCTTAAGACCCCTGACCTGGACTCTGAATGACCTAGCCCCAGGCTCCAGAAGATGTTTTGAATTTTCTTCCTTATGTAACCAGGGTTATGCTGGTGTGGACTGAGAGAGGTGTCAAGTCTCATTCAGCAAGACTGGGAGTGAAAAAAAGGGGATGGCACCCAAGATTGGGTACCCAAGAACTCTATATACTTTTTAAGCAGGGTTATGCTATAACTCTATATACTTCTGAGCAGGGTTATGCTGGTGTGGATTGAGAGAGGTGTCCGATTTCATTCAGCAAGACTCGGGGTGACAAAGAGGGGATGGCATCAAAGATTGGGCACTTGGGAACTCTATATTTAGTCTGGGACAAAGCAAAAGCTCAGTAGAAGGGCAGGGAAGGGAGAAAAATTGGATTTGACTAATAAATATTTACTGAGTACTTTGTATGCATGATAAAGACTTAAGTTGTCTGTGCAAACTCCCAAGGCAGACATTTTTTGGGAATCATCCTTGACCTTTACAGCGTCTACTTCACAACTACCCACTTCCCCCGCCCCTCCATTAGATTGCTTCCTGAGGCTCATGGATTCTCCTTCACCAATGCTTCGGAAACTCATTATCTTCTCCCTCTCAATTTTTCCTCCTCCAGGCCCAGTCCTTCCCATCAACTTCTGGGTTACTGACCCCAATCTAATTATTGCTGAATCTACACCTCCCACCCTCTGCCAAGTGACATCTTCGACCTCATCTCCTACTACTCGCCCCAGCTTATGCAGCTCTCCAACATGCCACGTACACTCCCCTGCTCTCCTCTGAGCTTTTGTTTCACCATCTCTAGAACAGGGCATCAACCTGCTGTGACGTACCTGGCAGGGTTCTGATCAACACACACTGGCTTCCTTCTCCTTGAGCCTTTATCGCTAAGCCTCATCATTCAAACTGATCTTTATGCTTTCCTGCCATCGGCCTATCCCTTCGAGCCTATTCATTTTATTATGGTGGAGACATGGGTTGTGGGTGGGGATGGGGAGGTTGGCAAGGAAAGGCTAGAACATCCCTGTCACAGGTGCGAGTCACTGCCCCACAGGGAGACTTCCCTCTCATGGGGGAAGACATGAAGGCAGACCCCTAACTTGGGAGGGGCATCAGGCAACAAATTATTGAATTCTTATGAGTTTTAAGGCAGATTCTTAGGTTTTACTTTGCAACTTTGTGGGGGAATATAGTTAACTACATTGAGCAAAAGATTTTAACTTCTGAAGATATAATCTGGCCACTTTGTTAACTGCACATCGATGCCACAAGTGATTGTTGACAGATTGCAAGGTACTGGACACTGTCTTAGGAGCTAAGATATCATAGGTGTCAAAGCAGGCAGGATCTCTGCCCATCAAGAGCATATATTCTAATTTGGGAAGCAAAGGGCCAACGAGTAAGCAAGTAAATGTTCGATAATACTAAGACATACAAATATCACATCTCTTGTGTAATTATGAGGCATGGGAGTGATGGTGGTGTGGGGTTGAGTAATTTCAGGAAAATATTAAGAGGTAGATTTGAGCTGAGATCTTAATGAAGAGAAATCCAGGTAAATGAACGTAGGGGTAGAGAGAGTAAGCATCCAGGCAGTGGCAATAGCAATCACAAAGGGATGGAGAAGAATATGAGCTTGGATAGTTGCAGGGTCAGAAATAACGCTGGTTTGGCTGAACTGTGAGAATGAGGGGTGGTAGGGGGAAGGGGTAGTAGAGTGTGAGTTTGAAGAGATAGGACCTTAGAGGCCATGGTAACACACTTGAATATGATGCCAAGGCCAATGGGAAGCTGCTGTGAGTTTAAAGCAGGGGCATGACATGATTGGATGCAGGTGCTTTCTGAAGATTACTATGGAGCACCTCTTATATGTGAAGCCCGGTGCCAGGTGGTGGATGCACAATGATGAAGTAGATACAGACATCACCTTCTTAGAGTGCCATCTAACAATGGAGACAGACACACAGCCAGGTATCTGATGCAATACAAGGACAAACAGCCTGGTAGTGGACCCTAATGGCTGCTCTTTCCTCTGATAGTAATAGACAATTTCATTGGGTTTTTGGCTTCCACATTTCCTAACTTTCCCTGAAGCTGGGTGTGGCTGTGAGATTACACTGTGGCTAACAGGATATATGTGGAAGTAAGTGATAGCAGCTCCAGGTTTCCTCCTTCAGAGGCAGCTGGTTCTACATTCTGCTGCTCTTCCCCCTGCTTCCATCCTACTGCTTCAAATGTGGATGGGAGAGTTACATGCATGTGCCCTGGAACACCCCATGAGAGCTAGACATCAGGGACGCAGGAACAGAAAGCTACAGGAACCTGGAGTTCTGCATGGAGCACTCCATGCAGGAGCCATTCAGTTCTGCATGGACACAGTAAAGAGCTGCAATTCCAGGCCGGGCATGGTGGCTCACACCTGTACTTCCAGCACTTTGAGAGGCCACGGCGGGTGGATCACTTGAGGTAAGGAGTTCGAGACCATCCTGGCCAACATGGCGAAACCCCGTCTCTACTAAAAATCCAAAAATTAGCTGGGCATGGTGGCACGCACCTATAATCCCAGCTACTCCAGAGGCTGAGGCAGGAGAATCACTTGAAACCAGGAGGTGGAGTTTTCAGGGAGCCAAGATTGAGCCACTGCACTCCAGCCTGGGTGACAGAGCGAGACTCTGTCTCAAAAAAAAAAAAAAAAAAAAAAAAGAGCTACAATTTCAGTCCTAGGTTGTTACTTCTGTACTTTTACCCAAAAGACAAATCTCCATCTCATGTAGAAGCAGGCTCTATTTTGGGTCTATGCTATTGTAGACTAATTTAATCCTAAGAGTTAGCTGTACTAATAAAGTGTTGGCAGGAGAGGGATTTTTTACAGACATTCAAAAAGAAAGGAACTAACTCCAGCTTCCTTAAAACAAATCGAGCACCCCTCCTGGATTCTTCTTATTACCTACTCTTCATACCTCCCAGTCAATGCTGTAAAATTGGTTGAGACTGGCTTTCTCTGAGAACTCTGGATGCTGATGTTTTTTGTTTTCTTGTCTTCCCTCTAGTCTACTTCAAGCAGACAGAAGGGGAGCCGGAGTGAAGGTGAGTATGAGGCAGTCCCTTCCCGCAGAGAAGTCTGGAGATTCTGCCTCATGTTTATGAGAAAGGCAAGCCAAGACAAGTTTGGATGGGAAACAGGAGCACTTAAGGAATTAAACTACAGCATTCATTTCACAAGAGGGGGAAAAGATGGAGAGGAAAACAGAATCTAACAAAATGGAGATGGCAACCCCTTTAAAGCTATTACTTATTGGCAAGGATTGTTCCTGAATTTTATTAAGGAAAAAAAAAAGGCAATGAAAATTCAGCATTTACTAAAACACTACCATTTAAATGGAATAGGAAGAACATACCAATTATGCTGGAACCCACATGAGTCTGTACAGGATGCTACACCAGGCAAAAACAAAAAACAAAAACAATACTGACAGGATGATGTGGATGGCCTGTCTGACTGTTCTGGACTGCTCTGTCTTCTGGCTAAATAATGTCTTCAGGCAGAGATAACAATAAAAAAATTTAATACTTGGTAAATGGAGGGTACCACCAATCAGCCAATCTGAATATGGTGGGGCCCTGGAGACCTCAGTTGTGCGAAGTGTTAGTCCTTTTTTTTTTTTTTTTTTTTTTTCTGGATCAAGGGCAGGTCTGGGGAGTAACTAGCAGAGGGATGGAGGTGATCAGGGCACTTGGGGGCTCAGGCAGCAGCTATTTAAAAACCAATCCAGATGCAATTCAATATTTTAACAAAACCACACAGTGTGCTGTTGTATATTTGCCGAATATCATCAGCTCCATTTCCACAAATGAGAAGCTACTGCTCCAAAGAGGTGCCTCGATGCCTTGGATCAAAGAAGCCCGATTTCTTTTCTCAACAGTCACAGAGGTGCCAATGTTCTGCAAATTTTCTTCCAAGCCCCCTAATGAGCCCAGGAGTCCCCATCAGGAGCAATGCCAGCTGCAACTAATGCACACAAAACACTTTGCAATTAACAGAGTCGAGTGTGTCATTAAGACAACCTTATGAGGAAGACAATACTCCCAAGTAAGCCCGGAAGCATAATGAAGCTAGGAGGCTAGTATACACCTAAGTGATGGCCCTATAGCAAAATGGCTTTTTTGCTTAGCAAACTAACACAGGAACAGAAAACCAAATACAGCATGTTCTCACTTACAAGTGGGAGCTAAATGATGAGAACACATGGACACATAGAGGGGAAAAACACACACTGAGGCCTTTCAGGGAGTGGAAGGTGGGAGGGGGGAAGAGGATCAAGAAAAATTACTAATAGGTACTAGGCTTAATACCTGGGTAATAAAATCTGTACAACAACCCTCCATGACATAGTTTACCTATGTAACAAACCTGTACTTGTACCCTTGAACTTAATATAAAAGTTAAAAAAATGGCTTTTGAATTCATTTAGCTCCACTGTCTGAGGCATGGCACAGACAAATGATGGTTGTTCCGTGATTTTCTGTTGATGTTTATATACCCCCCTGTCCATATACAGTGGCTGTTGTAGAAGCAGGTTTGGTTGCCTAGAGTCAGGTTGTTACGTGTGTACATCCCAGCTGTTTTCCCGTTCTAGATGTGCAAACTCAGGGAATGTTCTTAAACTCTCTGAACCTTTATTTTTCTTACCTGTAAAGAGGTTAGGGGAGTACTATTTGCCCTGCTAGGTTGTTGTTAGGAGTTACGCATTAGGAGTAATTACAAAGGGTGCCAATTAATGGTAATTCCCTTAGCAAATCTTCATGTCTGTGCTGGTTGAACATACACTTCTAGGTCTCACATTTTAAATGAAATAGATAGCAGACTGAATTCCAACAAGTCCATCTCATGGTTCAATACATAGAGGATTTGAGGCTGAGAGAGTCCAGTGACGAGAATATGGGTTTTAAAGTTCTATATACCAGAATATGAGTCTTATCCCTTCTGTTTAAAATAGCTGTGTGACCTTGGGCAAGTAACTTAACCTCTCTGAACCTTATGGTCTTTAACATAAAAGTAATACTGCCTACGTTATGGGAAGGTTGTGAGAATTAAGTAAAGTAAGCTATGAACCTAGTATATAGAAGACACTCAGTAAATGTGAGCTTTTTAAGACATTTCTGTATTTCCAGAAGCATGTTCCTCTGCAAGTCACAAATGGACTTTGGCATGAGCCAGAAAAGAAAGAAAAAAGCAAAAAGCAAAAAAAAGAAAAAAAAAGACTTCCAGTCACACAGTCTAAAGCACTGGTCTTGCCATCTGGCAGAACAGGATTCAAATTCCATTTCCATCCTTTACTTGCTGTGTAATAGAGGCAACTTACGTCACCTCTCTGTGTCAGTTTCCTCAACTGCAAGATAAGGAAGTGATACTGCCTGAACTTGGGGGTATGTTTACATGCTCCCTCTTGTTTTGAGCATTAACTAGTTCATGTATTTGTTTAGTACGATTTATGTTTACCATGTTTCAGGCACCGTTATCACACTTTACCATCTCAGCCCACTAAATTTAATCTTTATATGAACCTTTGAAGTAAGTACTATTACTATTCCTATTTTACAGGTGAGACATTGGGAAAGAGATGTTGAGTAACTTGCCTGGGTCACATGGTTAGTGAATGGCAGACCTGGGATTTGATCCCACTGCATTCTGGCTTTGGTGTCAGTGGTCTTAATTACCGAGCTGTGGGGCAACTAACATCATCACCACCATCACCACTACCACCACCACACCACTACCACTAAAACCACCACCACTACCACCACCACCACTGCCACCAATACCACCACCTCCATCACTACCACCAACACCATCGCCACCACCAGTACCACAACCATCACCATCACCACCACCACCACTACCACCATCACCACCACCACCACCATCACCACCACCACCACTACCATCACCACTACCACCCACCATCACCACCACCAACATTCCAACCATCACCATAATCAGAATTATAACCACTCCCACCACTACAATCACAGCCACCACTACAACCCCAGGTACTGCCAAACCACATTTATTGTGTGCTGATGAGGTGCCAAGCACTTTACATGCATGGTCTCATTGCATTCTCACAACAATCCTATGGGGTAGGTTAAGCAATTTGCCCAAGGTCACTCGATCAGCAAGTGCTAGTACTTGCACTTGACTTAGGTCCTCTGGTCACCAAACCCATGCTCTTGGACACTTTATTAGATTGCTGAAACTGCAAAAAGCACCCAACATGTCATCAGGCACATAACTAACATTTTCCAGAGACATTTCTCTCTTCCAGGAATTTTCAAGCTGTAAAGTTTGGGTTTTCTGACAGCCCTTGAGCACTTCAGTATCAATCTTTTCACCTTGTCTAATTTGAAGGGTGAATCTGGTGGCTTCAGATGACAAATGAACCCACACACAGCTTCACCTCGTTCTCATTTACCAAAACTCTGCCCAAGGCTTGGCACACCTTGTTTATGTCTTTGGAAAAGAAAAAATGATGAGCAAAGGTAGGTGGCAGAGCCCTGTCTAGCTCCTTAGGGGCTGGACAAATTGTTAGATGTGAGAGCACATTGATGGGAAACATAGGACTCTAGGGCCTTGAATATAAGAGGTGTGAAGGACCCTTCATTGTTTGAATTGTATGTGTCGGATTTTTAATTTGGTTTAACTTTATAAACACAGGCCTGGTAACTTATGAGAGGATCCTGGGCTCAGCCAATGCTAGGACAACAACCTTGATTTCCCCTTCTATCCATCTTTCATACTGAGCTAGAATAATGGTTCTAGAATGGAGGTCTGGTAATTCTTTTTCCGCCTTAAAATGCTTTCATGGTTTCAGATTGCCTTCAGGAGAAAGACAGGACCCCTGAACATAATCTAAGAGGCTCTTCATGGTTGACTCCTGAGCAACCACTCACCCCTCAGCTTCCTTCTCCCACCTCCTTCCTTATTCCCTGTCACCACCCATCACTCTAGTCATCCAGGGCAATCTGCCTGCTCCTGAACATGTTAGATATTGCATCCTCTTGGTCTTCTTCTGACTCTCACACTTCCCTCAGATCTCATTTGGGACTTCATTTTCCTCTGGGACAGTTCACATCTGCCTATTCTCTAAACCTTTATTTACTGGCACTATCTATTATTTCTCTACCAAGGCCAGGGACTTGTATTCTCTACTGCCTAGCCCAGAGTCTGACACATAATGAGTAGGCCTTCCATAAATATCTATTGGTTGAATGAATAAATAAATGAGCATGTCCAAGGATCAAGTTCAAGAACTACATTACTTTTGGGGGAGTGGGTAGAAAGATATGCATTTGAGGTTTAGGACAAGAAAACATTGCAAAAGGAATTGAAATTAAAAAAAATCAGTAATTGTTCTCTGATTCCTATTTGACCCTGGTATTATACATAATTAATTTGATAAATATGTGTTAGTTTTTACTGAATTGCCAAGCAACATGCTGCCCTCATCTGCAGAGATAAATGTGACATCTTTTCTGCCTTCATAAAGTTCACTGTCTAACATGGGAAGCAGATACACTGAAACTAAGCTCACAAAATATCTGTCAGCTGTTTGAAGACATACTGTGTACCAGGCCTTTTCATACATAATTTCTAATTTTCTCGGCAACCTTTGTGAGATAGGCATTGATTCCATTTTTACAGATGAGGAAACAAGCACGCGAGGTTTAAGTTGGTAACTTTCCTTTGTTCAATCATGCAGTGGAGTGACAGAAATATGAAATGACAACTTCTTAACACCTGTGGTCTTTCTACTATACTACCTTACTTCACCCTCTCCTGTACTGTAATACACTAGAATACCACTTTGCACATTTGCAATCATTTTTATGCATGCCGCCTCATGTCAGTGCCATGAAGCACTGTTTGCAATGGTAGAGAAGGATGCTAATACAATCCTTGGTTGACAAATGGGAAAACTGAGACCCTGAAAGTTTTGGTCCTATGTTAATGCAAATCAGAACAGAATCCTGGTTTCCTGATGGTGGAGACTTTTCCTTGTTACTCTAAAAATACACCCTCCGAAATCATGCACCTCCAGTTCCAAATACGTAACTCCTTTGGTCCACAAGGAGCACTGACATTACCTCCCCAGGGCGGATCAACGGCACTGCCCTTGAGCTGGCTGCTGGCAGTTTCACAGGCCCCCTGAGTCCTCAACAATACCCCCCACTCCAAAGCAGTGCTTATATGAAGTTTGATTTCAGGCCTTTATCCAATTGCTCCCCACTCAGCTAGCTGAAAGGGCCCTGGAGATCATGGCCAGCCCTTTGCCCCATTTGAGGACAATGCATTGGCCCAAAACACAACACATTATCTGGGCTTCAATATATTATCACAATATTGTTTTCTTCAGACTGATAACAATTCATTGCTTTAAGTACACAGGGGCATAATTCCAAAAGAGAATTGATTATCTTTCTGAGATAACTCTTGCTATTAAAAAAAGGGAATATTCCCAGGAAGGGATTTCCTTTGCCCTCCTTGTTTCTCTAGGTCTTATTTCCACAATTTAACTCAACAAACATTTACTTTCTTTACTATGTGCCAAACACTGTGTTAAGATTTGAAAGGACAAGGACAAATATGAATAGGACACTTCCTATTAGGGTACCCACTCTGTTATAAAAAGAAAGATGTGTGAAACAGTAGTACTAACTCAGAAATGCTGGAGAACACGGTGGTAATCAGCTCAGGCTTTGCTGGTGGGCCAGTCATGGGTTCAAATCCCGGTTCTGTCACTAGCTGGTACAATTTTGGGCCAGTGATTTAACCTCATAGTCTCAATTTTCTCATCTGGCATAATGAAGACAGTCATAGTGCCAACACTGTGGCCTTATTTAACAATGAAATAGTAGCTAGCTATTAGTAGTAGTAGTAGCTATAGTAAGATACATGGTAGCTAGCACACAGAAAATACTCAATAAAATAATCACTTTTATTATAACAATAAAATTATTGTTTTATTATTTAAATAATTTTAACTTTAATAAAATATTTGCTTTTGTTATTTAAAAAATTTATTATTATTATCATTATTCCAACTCTTCTGACCCTCCAAGAGTCACCCTGGAGGACAGGCATTATATGCTTTTCTTCTTTGTAACTCCCCATCCTTCGTGTCTACCAAAGGGCTCATCACACATTTGATTCTCAATAAGATTTAGCTGACTGTATTTTAGACAGATACAGCTAAACAGAAATAAAATCATTTGTGTCATTCTTTTGTATTTTTTTTTCCAAATTGAGCTAATCACACACACATGCAAATCTTGGGTGGCAAAAACCTACTATGTACAGGCCTGTTCTGAGTGCTAGAGAGGGAAATGAATACAATACCAATGTGGTCTCATAAAGCTCACAGCTCCACAGTGAAGGGAAGCAGTCAGTTTTCACAATGACTCAGGTGGAAAAATGATAACAAATACGTCATGGGCTGCATGATGACGTTTCCGTCAACCATGGACAAAATACATGATGGTGACCCCATAGCATGACAACAGAGCTGAAAAATTCCTCTGGCCTAGTAACATTGTAGCTTTCCTAATGTCCTAGCACAATGCATTACTCACATGTCTGTGGGGATGTTGGTGTATGCAAGCCTACCACACTCTCTGTTGTATAAAAGTATAGCACATACAATTATGTACAGTACATAATACTGGATTATGATAATAAACAACTATGCTACTGGTTTAAGTATTTATTCTACTATACTTTTAATTGTTATTTTTATTATTTTGTAGAGACAGAGGTCTCACTATGTTGCCCAGGCTGGTTTCAAACTCCTGGCCTCAAGTGAGCCTCTCGCTTCAGTTTCCCAAAACACAGGGAATACAGTTATCAGCCACCATGCTGGGCCTTTTTATTGTTATTTGAGAGTGTAGTCCTACTACTTATTAAAATCAGTTAACTGTAAAACAGCCTCAGACAAGTCCTTGTAACTGTAAGACAACCTCAGACAATACCTCCAGGAGGTATTGCAGAAAAGGCATTGCTATCATAGGAGATGACAGCTCCATGTGTGTTATTGTCCCTGAAGACCTTCCAGTGGGACAAGATGGAGGTAGAAGACAGTGATATTGATGATCCTGATTCTGTGTAGTCCTAAGCTAATGTGTGTGTTCATATCTTAGTTTTTAATAAAGGAGTTTAAGAGTGAAAAAAACTATTTATAAAAGCTCATAGAATGAAGATGTAAACCCTCATGTACACCCATATGTGTGTTTTAAGCTAAGTGTTACTACAAGTCAAAAAGTTTAAAGAAATAAAACATAAAGTTTTAGTAATCTAGGTTTATTATTGAAGAAAGAAAATTTTAAAATAAATTTAGTGTAGCCTAAGTGTACAGTGTTTATAAAGTCCCCAGTAGTATCCGGTAATGTCCTAGGCCTTCACTTTCACCCACTACTCACTCACTGACTCACCCAGAACAACTTCCGGTCCCGCAAGCTCTACTCATGGTAAGTGCCCTATACAGGTAGATAATTTTAAAAAATATTTTAAAATTTCTACTGTCCCTGTTCTATGTTTAGATATGCTCAGATACACAAACATTTACCATTGTGTTAAGTTGCCTACAGTATTCAGTACAGTAACAGGCTTTACAGGTTTGAAGCCTAGGAGTAATAGGCTACATCATGTAGCCTTGATGTACAGTAACCTTTACCATCTATTTTTGTGTAAGTACATTCTTTGATGTTTGCACAATGACCAAATTGCCAGACAATGCATTTCTCAGAACAAATCCCTTTCGCTGAGTGACACATGTCTGCAGAAGACAACTGAGGATACCAGTTTGAGATCCATTAAGACTTGGTTATGGCATATTGTTTAGCATGGTATTTGACTCTGCTAGTGTGCTTAGAATTTTCTGGTGAATTATCCTGGGATAATCTGGGATACTTGTGATTCTGGCCTGACTTTTTTTTTTTTAAGTCTTTTATTCTGGAATAATTTTAGATTTACAGAAGAGTTGCAAAGATAGTGCAGATAATTTCTGTACACCTTTCACCCAGCTTCCATTCAGCTTAACATGTTACATAACTATCCAGGAAGAACAGATGTCCTAGTTTGAGGGCTGCCAGCAGGAGAATCCCCTCTTACTCAGAGAAGGGTGAGCTGCTTGTTCTTTTCAAGCCTTCAAGTGATTGGATGAGACTCCCTACCCCCCACATCATGGAAGACAATCTGCTTTACTTAAGCTACAGAAAAAAAAAAAAAAACAACTTCACAGAAACACCTAGAATAATGCTTGACAAAATAATTGAGCATCTCCATGGGCCAGTATAGTTGACATATAAAATTAACCATCACACTCTAGTACATTTATCAAATCTAAGCAATTAATATGGAACCAATACTATGAACAAACTACAGACTTTCTTTGGAGGCTGATCATTGTTTTTTCATTACAACAGCCTTACGCAGACCAAATGACCTCAGTGTTAGATACCAGAGTTGAGACTATTGGATCAGTACTACCAAAACCAAGCAAGATAGCCAGACGACATGAGCAGAGAGGTAGGAAGAACACTGGGCCAGCAGACTACTTGAATTCTAATCCTGGCTTTGCTACTGAAAGGCCCTGAGTCCTAGATAAGCTAAAAAAAAAAAAAAAAGTCCCTTCAAGCTCTAAAAGTCTATAGAAATTTAAGAGGGAAAGTAAAATATGTATGTGCATGCAAGTGCACGTACGCACGCACGCACACACACACACACACACACACACCACACACACACACACAATGTGGTCCTGCTTCTCTGAGGTCTCTCCTCTACCCAGTGCAGTGCGGCAACGTGGGATAAGATTATTATCACTCAGGCCCTCAGATCTCAGTGCTGATAAGTTCAGCTAAGCCTAGGCCCTCCTCCAACTGCAGCTAACCACCGTCTCAGCCCACCTTGAACCTCCACTGAACTCACCATTCTGATCTCCCAGCAAGACGTGGCCCTCTTCTCTGATCTATCTCTCTTCTCTGATGCCTGGCCTTCCTACCTCCTTTAGGGTTGGTGGCTTCTCATTCTTTCTGCTGGTTTTTATGACTTGGTCATTGGCCCGGGGAGTCCTGGGTGCTAGATTGAGATAGCCCTCTGTAGGATATGGTCCCTGCCCTGCATCCAGCTTCAAAATGTTTATCATATCACCACTTGTATTTTAGGAATATGTGCCTGCAATGAAAGTCCTCCCTTTCTTGCACAAGGTGGAGCACTGATTTGCTGCTCATGTGCATGTGTGCACACACACACTCAACCTGAAAGGAACGGATCGTGAGGGCTTCCCTGAGCAGGTGTCCTTTCTGCATATAAGGAAGCTAGCCAGAAATAAGTGGTGTGACATTTAGGGAACATTTCTAGATGACTTTCAGATGAGGAAGATTGAAACAATAAGAGGCCAAGTTCAGCCCAATAAAAGCAAGGACTTCAGGGAACACCAGTCAGCCTTAGCCCAGAGGCAGCAATGGCAGAAGAGTGTGCAGCTGATGCACATGACCTATAATTGCCAAATGGGCAGTGATAACTTAAAGCCTTTATATTCATAACTCTCCTCTTTGTGGTCCCATTTCACATCCTCTTCTGGATGGTTGTACACTACAGAAATGTCAGCACATTTCCACTGAGGGGGTGATGGCAGAATTAGAAGTTATTACGTGTTTGAGTTTCTTAACCATATTAAATCTGCACCTACTATGTACCAGGTCTTGTTGCCAGTAGTTATAGACCGGGGATAAAAAGATGAATAAGGCATGATTCTAAACATCAAGGAGCTCATAGACTGAAGGGAAGGGGCAAATGGAAAAACCATGTAGTAAATTGTGTATAAATGCTGGGCTCTAGGGGTGAAGGGGAATGAGTGAAGAAACCAGCACTCCTGGCACACCTGTGAGTATAAAGATGTGAGGTTAGTGCCCACACTTTCAGCTCAGGCTCAGAGTAAAGAGACACAGATACTCATTCCTACTGCTAGCACCTTTCTTTCTTCCCTAACCTGTAAGACTGGACCCCAACTAGCCTGCTTACATAAGTATCTACAATTCAACCTGTAATCTAAAAAAGCCAGATTCAGAGGTTCTAAAATTAGATATTGGTAATGGTTACACAACTCTGTAAATTTACCCAAGCTCCTTAAAAATGTACATTTAAAATGGGTGACTGTTATTGTATGTACATTATATCTCCAAAAAAAGCTCTTAAAATAAGGCAGATTCATGTTCTGGATGCATGTAGGATTGTGCAGTACTGCAGATCAAAATCATCACGGCTTCCCTAATTTCCCCAACATAAAATCCCTATCTTTGGCCTGACATTCAAAACACTGCAAGAAGTAAGCCTCAACTCTGGGCAGTGTCTTGTGCCTTAAATGTGCTGGTCTCCTGCATGGCCAGCATGTTCCATTCCATTGCAACGCATTCTGTTTCTTTCCATTCTATCTTTTTCCATATTATCCCATCCCACAAGATTTTGTTTGCCTCTTTGTTTGTTTTAAGAACTTACTTTAGCAATGCATAGCTCTATGATGAGTACTAAAAATATAGAGATGAAGAAAACAAAGTTCTGCCCTCCAAGAGTTCACAGGTGCACTTGTTCATTGTGAAGACGGATATAGAAACCGACAATTACAACAATAATAGCCAACATTAATGTAGTGCTTACCATGTGCCAGGTACTGTTCTCGGTGCTTTTATAAATATGAGCTCGTCTCATTTTTATAACTACCTTATGGGGAAGTACTATTATTATCTCCATTTTACAAAAAAGAGAACTAAAGCAGAAAATGATTAAGCAAAATGCCCAGCGTCTTAATATGAGTAGGTAGCAGAGCTCAAATTTAAATCTGGGGATCCTGCTTCCTGAATTCATGCTCTTAACCTCCATGTGATGGAGAGATCTACACAAATCAGAGGTAGAAATATTTCCCAAGGAGGTGACATCTCAGCTAGTTTTGAGAGAGGAGATGATGAGAAGCCATGTGCCACACAGACATGGGAGAGAAGATCAATTAAAAGCAGATGCAGGCCAGGCACGGTGGCTCATGCCTGTAATCCCAGCACTTTGGGAGGCCGAGGCAGGTGGATTACCTGAGGTCAAAAGTTTGAGACCAGCCTGGCCAACATGGGGAAATCCTGCCTCTACTAAAAATACAAAAATTGGCTGGGCATGGTGGCTGCATGCCTGTAATCCCAGCTACTTGGGAGGCTGAGGCAGGAGAATTTCTTGAACCCAGGGGACGGATGCTGCAGTGAGTCGAGATCATGCCACTGCACTCCAGCCTGGGCGACAGAGTAAGACTCTGTCTCAAAAAAAAAAAAAAAAAAAAAAGCAGATGCAAAGATATGAATGTACATAGTAGGGTATGTTTGGGAAGCCATAAACAATTTAATGTGGCTGAAATGCAAAGGATAGGGGGCAATGCTGGTTGGATATGAGGCTTGAGCTGTTATGAGGAACTGGATTACATCAGATTGAGGTACTGTATCAGTTAGGATGTGTTTGGCCTAAAAGAAGCAGAAAAGCATGACCAAAACTGGCTTAGACCATAAAGATATGAATTGTTGCTTATATCAGAAAGTCCAGAGATAGTAAGGATTTCAGAGTCGGTCAAGTCATCAGCTCAACTGTGTCATCAAGATCTATCCTTTCCATCTATCCACTCTGGCATGTTCAGCGGTGGTTTATATCTCAAAATGACTCCGTTCAAGGTCTCAAGAAGGCAAAATATTTTCAAGATTCCTAGCCAGATGTGGCAAAGTTCAAAATCAGTGAGCAACTATAACAGTGTATCCTTCTTAAGAGAAAGGTGAACTTTTCCAGAAGACCTCCTCCTGTCCCACTGGCCAGGACTGAGGATCACGTATCAACTCTCACAAATCACTGGGAAGGAAAATCCCTATATTGGTTTAGCTCTTAGAAAGGGATGGGGCTCACCTTTCCCTGAGTCACACATGCAAATGGTAAACATTTGCACCAAATTCATGTTCTGTGAGTAATGAAATGGGGACTGAATGTCAGGCAGCCAGTGAGAATAAAACTCAGCCTTTTAACCTAAAGGCTATGAAGGTAGAGGGTAGGGAAGGGCAGGATACCAAAGTTAAGACAAGTCCAAACTGAGGCTGAGAAGCAATCTTTTATTCATACATTCATTGCCTTTTAGCACTCTAGCCTACAGTCACATTTCTTCTTTTCTTCCTTTCCTTCCTCTTTCATTCTCTTTATGTTTCTCCCTTTCTCCCTCCCTTCTGCCCTCCCTCCCTTCCTTCCTTCCACTTTCCTTCTATTAAACACAAGTTTATCAAGTCCCACATGGTTTATTATTTGGCCAATATTTTTCTTAGTGCTGCTGGAATCACAGTTATGAACAACACACATAGAGTTCTGGATGTCCCGTGTTTTGTGTATCAAGGAGTCTTTGTTTCCCTTCAACTTACCCCATCCCACCTGTATTAGTCTGTTTTCACACTGCAATAAAGAACTATATGAGACTGGGTAATTTATGAAGAAAAGAAATTTAACTGACTCACTGTTCCACAGAATTAACAGAGAGCATAACTGGGAGGCCTTAGGAAACTTACAATCATTGCAAAAGGCAAAGGGGAAGCAAGGTCCTCCTTCGCATGGTGGTAGGAGAGAGAGAGAGCACGTGTGTGCAAAGGAGGAAGTGCCACACTTACAAATAATCAGATCTCTTGAGAACTCACTTACTATCATGAGAACAGTAAGACAGAAGTACACACTCATGATTCAGTCACCTTCCACCAGGTCCCTCCCTGACACTTGGGGATTACAATTTGAGATGAGATTTGGGTGAGGACACAGAGCCAAACCATATCAACACCTCTTCCTTTAGAAAGCCTTTTATGAACATCCCAGTCCCCAGTGATCTCTCCCTTCTATCAGAGTTTCTACTGTCCCTGAGGCTCCCCACTAATTCTTATGGAGCCTAGTGTGAAAAAATGCAGAGACATCCTGTGGAAGATTCTGTGGACATCAAAAGCATCCTGGAACAAGGGTATGCATGTTTATTCCCCCACCCCCAACTTAAACTCCCCTCTCCTTCTTTCACTGTCTTTTTAAATTCTCTGATAACGATTATTGGTTTTCTGTAGCCAAAGGGCAAAATTAATAAATTCCTTAGCTGTACAACTTTCTCGAAATCTAATAATGATCACTGAGTGTTAGAGCTGAGATAAAGAATGAGGACCATAAAATAGAAACAGGGAAGGAGAAAAATCCAATGAGCATGCTGGTGTGTGAGGGGTTGAAGGGGTATCAAGCCTGTCTACTCCGGGAGTGTTTTTCGTTAAGGTCAGGAATTTGAGCCTTTAAGAAAAAGAGGAAGGTCTAATCTTGGGGGCTTGAGGTGGGAAGGATGCAGGGCAGGAAAAGGGTGGGGAGGATGAGAGTGGTAAGTGCTCCAGGATCTCTGTAGACCAAAGGATTAATGTGCCACCTTTATCTTTTAAGGCTTTTCCCCATGCCACCCCCAACCTCCATAATGGGAATTGGGACTAGAGGATTCAACTAGCCTGAGTGGCCACAAGTACACATTTTTGTCAAAAAAAAAAAAAAACAACCCAGATTGTCTTTAAATTTCTAGGTGGGAAAAAGCAGGACAGAGTTCTCCAATGTGTATTAAGCCAAAGCAGGTTATAAGGAGAGGAGAGGAATGTTGCCAGGAGATATAGACTAACCCTTGATATTTCTTCAAGGGACATTCTACCTGATGTGTATTTTGGAAGGCAGTGGGGACTTGAAAATGGTTTTAGAATCTGACAGTTCCTTATTTTATTCCCTGATCCATCACCTGTTGGACGTGGGGCATTTGGAAGTCACTCAACTTCTAAGAAACTTAGTTTCTTACTGAGTGAAATGGGATTCACGTTTTCTGTTCATTCTGCCTCTGTGGTCTGTTTTCAAGATAATGAATGTGAACGTCTCACAGAGACATCTGAGTTAGGCTGATGAGGTTGTTATTTCTTCTGGGAAGATGCTTTTTGCTTCCCAAAGGGATTGCATTGCCAATCTCACTGAGTAATTTATGTGTAAACAACTTTGATTTTCCATCTCAATGACTTTCTTTTTCTATTCTCTGTTTCAGCATATCCCAGATCTGTATACTCCCTCCTAAAAGCAAGGGGGAATAAAAGTTACATGCATCTTTTTCTTACTCATGAGGATATGCAGAAGGAGATTTCTTTGGTCCAAATTTAGCTAGCAGACACACAGACTCATTCTCAAAGCATAAAATTTGGATTCAGGCAGTATTTTTATAGTCCTGGTCAGACCAAGGAATATTTTTCCATGAACCATTGGAGAGTAAGTTGCCAACCAGATGCCCCATTAATCCAAACACTTTAGTGCTATTTTCTACCAACAAAACAGTCTCATAGATAATAACAATATAGCCATCAAAATCAGGAAATTAACACTGATTCATCACTACTGTGGGATCCTCAGGTTCCATTCAAGTTTTGCTGAATGTCCTAATAATGTCCTTTAGGGAAAACTATTCAGGTCAGAACCATGCGTTGTTTTAATAGGTAATGTCTTTTAGTCTTTAAATTCAGAATGTGCTCTCAGTTTTTCCATGTCTTTCATAATCTTGAAGCTTTTGACCAGCAACCCTTTTCAATTTGGGTTTATCTGATGTTTCTTCATAATTAGGTTCAGGACTTACGTCTTCAGATGGAATATCACATAAGTCATGATTCTTTGATAGGGCATTCTATCAAGTGGTCCATGATTTTGATTTGCCCATGAGGGTGATACTCACTTTGTTCATTCAATTAAGATGTTGTCTGCCAGTCTTCCCTACTGTAAAGTAACTCTTTATTCCTTTGTAATTGTGAAGTCCTTTGTGGGGAGGTACTTTGAAATTATGTAAATATCTCTTTCCTCATCAAACATTAAATGTATTCATTTATTAGTGCATATCAGTATCAAATGGTGGTTTCTTGTTTACTGACTGGGTTATACTATATTAATATAATTATTTATTTTGATGCTCAACTTGTACCAAATTTGACCAGTGGCAGTGTCCCCAAGCTAACTCCTAGGTCTTTGAACATGTTTCCATACTTCTGACTTGCTTTCTGGAACAACAAGATATTACTGGTATAACTTTAATTTTCCTTGTTGTAGCTTTGGAGTCAGCCATTTTTCCCAGGAGCACTGATTGTTTTTAGTAGAAGTGGTACTTAGAGGCCAAGATCTGGATACTACATATGCTCATTGCTATTGGGTAATGGAGGGTTGGGGTAAGGAGGGTTGCTGTCCTTGAGCCCTTTCAGTAGATAGAGTTTGACTTATATGTGTGAGTGTGTGTGTGTGTGTGTGTGTGTGTGTGTGTAAGAGACAGAAAAACAGAGACAGAGAGAGAGAGAGAGGAGAGAAATAATTTGGTGTTTTTTTTTTTTTTTTTTTTTTTTTGAGAAGGAGTCTCACTCTGTCACCCAGGCTGGAGTGCAATGGCTCAATATGGGCTCACTGCAACCTCCACCTCCTGGTTTGAGCCATTCTCCTGCCTCAGCCTCCCGAGTAGCTGGGATTACATGCACACGCCACCACCATTGGCTAATTTTTTATTTTTAGTAGAGACTGGGTTTCACCATGTTGGTCAGGCTGCTCTCGAACTCTGGACCTGGTGATCTGCCCACCTCGGCCTCCCAAAGTGCTGAGATTACAGGCATGAGCCACCATGCCTGGCTTCTTTCTCTTTTTCAAAACAGTAATAAGACTAGTACTTCTCAAAATATATCCCGGCAAACTCTTAATATACACTCTGTAAATAAAAGAGATCCAAGGTCAACCAAGTCTGGCAGATACCAGACTTCTCTGAGGTTTGAAAATGCTCCTGAGCTTGGTGGCCACCCAAAGAGCTCTAGTATGTAGCACCTGTTTATGATATGTCAGTCCCAGTGCTAGAATGATTTGTTGCTTCTAAGTGATATAAACTGATATATTTTTAAAAAATCGTACTTGAACTCTCCACAATATATTTATCATCACTGTATGAAAATATACTAGAGAAGTACTGACCTCTCTCTCTCTTGCCTTTTCTTTGTTAAATGATGAAATCTCCTTCTCTTCTGGGGCGGAAGTAAAGAGGATGGGCTGAGACTGTATCAGAACTAGTGTAAGTGGAAGAGACTGGGTGAAGTTGATGTGAAGGCCCTGGTTCTGCCTGATTGAATCTTTGTGGGTTGGAATGGCTTGAGACTATGATTGTGACTTTTAGGGGTACAAGGTCAAATTGTGACCAATTCTAGAATTTAATGTCCAAGTAGGCCAGCCTAGGAAAAACAATAATGAAGCCTACATTTGTAGCTTCTTGGTGAATACACTAAGGGCTGGTTCCAGGGGTTATAGAGCCTTTATTGCTCAGTGGTTGAAGCAACAATCTTTGGAATCAGTTGGATTTGAGTTTGAAACTTTCTTTGCCCTGTGAGAAGGCTACGTGACTTTAAGTGTTAATATAATAATTGTACCTATCTCATAATGCGTTTGTGAGGATTAAATAAGGCAACTGTATGAAACACACTTAGACCACTGTCTAGCATATGGAAAATGTTCAATAAACAGCAAAGTTTTTCTTTTTTTTTTTTCTTATTTTGGTGGTGATTGTTATTTCAGTATCAGTTATGAGTTTGAATGTTCTCTTACAGAGGTCTATCAAAGAATATGCAAGGAAGCCAGGAATGAAAGAGATAGCTCTAGAAGAGGCCAAGCTTTCTCAATCTTGCCAGCATTGGTATTTTGGGTAAAATAATTCTTTGTTGTATTGTTTGTTCTGTGCCTTGTAGGATGTTTAGCAGCATCCATAGCCTCTACCAACTGGATGCCAGTAGTACCCTCCCAGGCAAGGCAACCAACATTGTTTCCAGACATTGCTAAATGTCCCTTGGGGTGGAGGTGGGAAAAATTGTTCCAGGTTAAGAACCATTGTGATAAAGGAAGTAATTTTCCAGTGAGCTGAGAAGTGGGTAGAAAATGAAGGAACAGAAATGACAAAAAGAAAGTAGTCAGTTAATAAATTTGCTGCTGAGGGAGGGAGGGAGAGAGAGATATATATTAATGGATAACTAGAGGAGAAGATTAAGAGGATTATTGTTATTGCAAATTATTATTCATTTTTAATAAAAGATATGGTTGGATATGTTTAAATACTGAAAGAACATAGCAAATACTGAAGGAGAAGTTAAAGTTTGTCACGGGAAGTTACAGTTTGTCATGGGAAGTTACAGTTTTCCTTTGGCAAGCTTCCCTTCCACCTTATTCTGGTAGGAACAGGAAACACCCTCCAGCCCCCCTTCTCTTTTCCTTTCATGTCTAGAATTACCTCTTTCTCACTCCATAAGGCTATAGGGAAAATTAGGTTACTAATATGTAAGTACCCTCCCTCCTGGCCATAGTACATGCCAGATCTGGCCAGTCATAGCACCTGATTCCCCTTTGCAGTAAGTGTCCTTGGCTGGGACAAAACAAATCCTTCCTTGGAATTTTATACAACATATGGAGGAAGATAGATTCTTTCTGTTTCCTTTATGTTAAAGATGTAAGAATGTGTCTCTACAGCTCCTGGTGCCCATGCCCCATACCTATGGAAGACACAGAAACAATGTGGTCAAGACAGAGATGGGAACTGAGATAAGACAGAAAGAGATAGAGAGAACTAGGCCATATGTGATGGCTCACGCCTGTAGCCCCAGCACTTTGGGAGGCTGAGGTGGGTGGATCACCTGAGGTCTGGAGTTTGAGACCACCCTGACCAACATGGAGAAACCCTGTCTCTACTAAAAATACAAAATTAGCTTGGCATGGTGGCGCACGCCTGTAATCCCAGCTACTTGGGAGGCTGAGGCAGGAGAACAGCTTGAACCTGGGAGGCAGAGGTTGCAGTGAGCCAAGATCACGCCACTGCACTCCAGCCTGGGCAACAAGAGTGAAACTCTGTCTCAAAAAAAAAAAAAAAAAAAAAAAAAAAAAAGATCTGTGGTTGTAGATACTGCCATGTATGAGCCCATCTCTCACACAGCATCATCACCAATCATGTGGAACAGTTGGTTCCCATTTATAGTTAAGTCAGTTAGGTTTGGTTTTGGCATAGACTGTGAATAGAGTCTACAAAGATAAAGGAGAGGGAAGGTATGATCAGTAGAACAAGGTCCTTCAATAAACTGAAGTGCATGAGATCAGGGTCAGGCAGAGAGATTTCCCTTAGATAGGAAGCAAGCCACACTCTAGAGATGAGTAGGAGAGGGTGGTATTGGTATTTGGTGGCAGAAGCTATGGGAGGCACCATGGTTAAGATCAGTAGGGGATCTGTAAGCATGCAATCACCAGCAAGTTATCTATGATCTCACTTTTCTCTCTTCCACTCAAGGTAACATTCCCCAAACACAAGTGGGAGATGTTATTTTACTTCTAAGGTCATATCCATTGCATTTTAAAAAATCCCTCCAAAAGACAAAATATTTTGAAACTTGAGTAATTAGACTATTATTAGCACTACATTTCTGACAACTTACCTAACCCCATAGTTTCAAATACTAAAAATCAGAGTAACTTGAGTAATGTGACTATTTTTGTTGTTACATTTCTTGGGACTTACCCAATAACTCATGTGGTCAAAGCCTGTGGGTTGTGCCACTATAGCTGAGAGCAACTGTATTGACTAAAATCACAATAATATGTAAGCTTTTCCATTACTTGATTATAACTGCATTACTGTATTTGTAACTGCCTTTTAGTTTATTCTTAATGCTAGTGAGCACTTGACATGATTTGAGAGTTGCAGAAAATAGCCCAACCACCACCACGACTTTATGAATAGTAATGCATGGGGTATGTCTGACTACTTACTCTAGACCTACCATAGACATGACTAATCAATTCTGGCATTCATTCCTATTGGGCTCGCATGCAGCCACAGAATCCTTCTCGGCCTTATGCTCCAGAGAGTATAAGGCTGGCCTCAAAGATGCAATGCATTTGCTATTGTTGATTGGCTTAGAAGCTCTTGGGGTTCATTCCTGTTCATTTCCTGGTGAAGAAGAAATGGCCTCCAGGATCTGGCAAGAATAAGGGCCCTGGAGCAGCCTTGAGCATCTGGCTCTCAATTTCCGCATTCTTTCTCTCCCTTTAAGAAGAGGTGAGATGTGATGAGAGGCACAGGCTGTGAGGCCTCAGGCTTTTATCTCTGGCAATGACATGGGCAGCGTGACATGCAGGGTAATGAATTGCCGTCTTTGCAGAAATGAATAAGTTGTGGTCAGTGATGAAATGATCAATTTGCTCCATCATGTTAAGCTGCCCATTCATCATCCACACCTGCTGTCAGGAGCCCAGGGCCGCTGATATTGGCCTCAAGCCTCTTCCTCAGCTAGCCGAGCAATCGCCGTTGGAGCTGCCTCCAAGCTCAAGGCTGCCTTTGATTACAGCCTTTGAGGAGGGGCCCAATTACTTACTGCTCAGCCACCGGTGACTCTGAAAACAAGGGACATTTGTGCTGACCTGGGCTGTTGACATGTAGCCTAACAAAATGTGAAAGACCCTCTGACAGGGATCCAGGTGGCCCGTCTTATTGTCCCACAGTGCGACCTTGGGCCAGGCCATGTCATTTCTGTTCCTTAGCTTCTCTATTATAAAAGGAAGGGGTGGAGGAGACTCCCAGTTCTCCATCTCCGACCCAATAGATCTGCAAATGTCTGCTATGGAAAGGACAGTTTGTGATTTTAACTCCCCCACCCACTGAGGCAAATAACAGCATTTATTAGCTGAGATTGTTTGGCAGCAGTGAATCATTCTTTGGCTTAACTGAAAATAAGGTGTAATTATCACATTTTACTGATAAGGAAACTGAGGCCTAACAAGGTTAAGTGGGGTGCCCAAAGCCACAAAGAGAGGTTGTGTTATAGTTACAATTGAATCTGTATCTGTTTGACTTCTAAACCCTTGCTTTTCCCACTGCAAATTGTTTTGGCTAGAGAGCAGGCTATTAAGACATTCTAGCCAAGCCAATTTCCTGAGAGTTCTGCAGGTACCAGGTGTTGCTGGAGCCCAGCATCTGCTCAGAGGAAGGCAGAGAGACCCAGAGGAACCCAGAATGAGACACTCATTTTTGCATCCTCAGTTTCCAAGTTAATTTTCTAGCTCCTGGTTAGGACCCGAATTACAGAGACCAGGCAGCTGTCCAACAAGAATGCTGACAGGTTTCATTGTCCTCTAGGGTAGCTGCTGCCTAAAGAATATTTGATTTTTTGTTTTTTTAACAACAACAAAAAAGATGGGTTCCCTGTATTGAGCATCTCCTGAGTGCAAAGCCCTGCACTATGTGCTCAACACTTGATCCTTGATGGTTTAAAGCCTCAACAGTGTGATCAGGTTAGTTGCTCACATTCTTGGATAGAAAAACTGAAACTTAGAGCAGATAAGAGACTTGTCCAAGGTCATTTAGCTCATTAGTGGCAGAGCTGTAGCTCAATCTGTATCCATCAGTCATCTGTCCATCAAGTCCAGTGGAGTAGAAGGGGTCACACAATGGGCTCAGAGACAGAGAACCTTGTGCTAGTTCACACCCTTGACCTGTCCATGTATGTATGGACATGTAAGCTTGGGCGGGTTACACAGGGCTTGGTTTTCTTATCTTTTTTTAAGGGCTTGGTGTTATTTTTAAAATAGCAGAGATTCTAATAACAGCAGCTACCTGTTATTCAACTCTTATTATGAGCTGGCATTCAGGTGTTTCATTTTATTTCATTTCTGAAAACAATCCCATGATATAGCATCATTATCCCTATTATATATATCCAACAACTGAGACTAGAAAGGGAATATAACTTACTCCAGGCCACAATGTTAGTGAATGGCAGAGCTAGGATTCTCTGACCTCGAAGTCAAAGTTCTCAGCTACTTAGTTATACAGGAGAAATGTTTCTTAATATTGAATGTGCAACTAAATCACCTGGGGATCCTGTTAAAATGCAGATTCTAATTTAGTTTGTCTAGATTGGGGCCTGATAATCTACATTTCAAATAAGCAAGGGATGCCAATGCTGCTGGTCCAAGGACCACACTTTGAGCAGCAATGCCCTGGAATCTAGTTAAAGCTTGACAAACTTTTTCTGCAAAGAGCCAGATGGTAAATATTTCAGGCTTACTGGGCCATAAGTAACTACTATTACTTTGTTGCAACTACTTAGCTTTGCCATTACTGCAAGGTATCAGTCATTGATAATACGTAAACAAATGGATGTAACTATGTTCCAATAAAACTTTATTTATTAAAAAAAAACAGGTGATGGGCCAAATTGGCTCATGGGATATAGTTGGCAAACATCTGAGAGAGTTTCCAGATCATTTAGCTTCCATCAGCCTCATTGTCTTTTCACACCCACCACTCTGAATAGTCTAATGCAATGGCTCTCAAAGTATGGTCCATTGATCAGTAGCATGAGCATCCCTTAGGAACTTGTTAGACATTCAAATCTGTAGGCCCCAACCCAGACCTACTGAACCAGAAAACCTGGAGGTGAGCCCAGCAATCTGTAGTTTAAAAAGCCCTCCAAGTAATGGTTATATGTGCCAAAGTATAAGAACTGAGAAAGAATTGACATCTCTGAAATGTAGGCAAGACCTCGTGCCTTCCACTTTTGGCAGAATGAGAAGGCACAAGATGACAGGGATGAGGACTCGAAGTCTGGTGTCAGATAGAGCTCTATTGAAATATTGGCTTTTTCTCTGATTAGCTTTGTGACCTTGGCCAGGTGGCTGAGGATCTGGGAACAAACCACAGCTTCTTCCTTTGCAACAACATAAGAATATAAAGTGTTTATGAAGGCTGAGGAGTCAATGAAATGAGTTGATGCCCACAAAGGATTTGGCTCAGTCCTTGGTTCATAAAAAGTCCTCATGAAATGGAAACCATTGTCCTCATTATGATGAAGAGAAGTCCTCTAAATAGTCCCAGATGGACTGGTATGAACTGTCAAATGGAGGCAACTGGGGGCTTTTGAATTTGAGAGCAGAAATAGTAAATGAGACCAAATATGTTGTGACTAAAAATATTGCATAGCTATTGGCTTAGCTGTTTAAAGGGACTAAGTTAAGAGCTAGCCGATCCTGTTCACCCTTCTGGGCACTCTGTAGTGAATGCTTGTCAGTTATTATAGTAAACCTTGATTTGTATCTTCTGAGCAGGGCTCTGGCCCAGAAGATGCACTGTGTGCTTGAGGCCCTGCTAGAAGTGGAAAAATTACCAGCTTTGGATCCATGTAGGCAAAGATTTGAACCTCCTGCTGCTCTAGCATCTGACTGTGTGGTCGTAGCAAGTTGTTTCACCTTTCTGGGCTTTATTTTCTCTTCTATAAAATGGGGCCAGTGTTAAAAACCTCATTGGGTTGTTGTGAGAATTACAAATGTTGTCATTTATTTTTTTTCAGTGTACTGTGTACCATGCACTTTCTGTGGATATAATGAGCAAGAGAAATAAGCCATCTCTGCATGCAGGAGTTTCAGCTTAACTGGAAAACTAAACAAGAAACTACAGTCAACATGCTATCATGGGGAAGGACAGGAGTCTCTTTCCGGAGAGGTTTGTCCAGAATTTCCCAACATTGGCTGTACAGCAGAACGAACTGAGAGCTTTAAAAAATGCCACTGCCTTTAGTACCACTGCAGACCAACTAATCAGAACTCTTTTTTCTTTTTCTTTTCTTTTTTTTTTTTTTTTTTGAGATGGAGTTTCACTCTTGTTGCCCAGGCTGGAGTGCAATGGCGCGATGTTGGCTCACCGCAACCTCTGCCTCCTGGGTTCAAGTGATTCTCCTCCCTCAGCCTCCCAAGTAGCTGGGATTACAGGCATGTGCCACCACGTCTGGCTAATTTTGTATTTTTTTTTAGTAGAGATGGGGTTTCTCCATTTTAGTCATGCTGGTCTCTAACTCCCGACCTCAGGTGATCCACCTGCCTCGGCCTCCCAAAGGGCTGGGATTACAGGCATGAGACACTGCGCCCAGCCAACTATTCAGAACTCTTGGGGCAGGCCTTTTTTCATATATATTATATATAATATATATGAAATATGTATATTAACTTTTTATTTAACATAATATCAAACTTACAGAACAGTTGTAAAATTAAATATAAAATATTGCCACTTCTTTCAGCATTGTACTGGAGGTTTTAGTCATGGAAATTAGGCAAGAAAAATAAACAAAAGACATTCCGATTGAAAAAGCAATAAAATGATCTCCATTCATTCATGACATAATTTGGCATCTACAAAACCCCAAGGAACATACATACATACATACACACACAATTAGAATTAATAAATAACTTCGGCAAGGTTGCACAGTATGGGGTCAACGTATAAAAGTCGATTGTATTTCTCTACACTAGCAATGAGCAAACAAAAAATAAAATTGGAAAACCAATTTCATTTACTGTAGCACCAAAAAGAATGAAATACTTAGATTTAGAAATACACTTAACAAAATAAGTGTAAGACTTCTACATTAAGAACTACAAAACAATGTTGAAAGAAATTAAGATCTAAATAGAAAGACATCCTATGTTCTTGGGTTGAAAGATTTAATATTGTTAACATGGTAACAATCCCCACAAGGATGTACTGATTCAATGCAGTCCCTATCAGATTCCCAGTTAATTTTTTTTTTTTTTTTGCAGAAATTGAGAAGCTCATTCCAAAATTCATATGAAAATACAAGGAACCCAGATAGTCAAATAATCTTGAAAGTTGCAGTACTCGCATGTCCCAATTTTTCTTCTATTTTTTCCCTGCTACTTTTTCTCAGTCTCTCTTTCTCTCTACGAATACATGTACATATGCGTGTGTATGTTTTTATATACACATGCATACATACACATACATACACACACTTTTTTCTTTTTTTGAACTGGGAATAAGGTAAAGAAAGACAATGCTTTTTGTTTTCTTAAATACTTTGGGTCACATTGCTTCAAAACTAAGATATTTTATTTATAACTCTAATATAATTACTGACATCAGGAGGTTGCTATTAAGATAGTACTATTACCTAATCTATACATTTCTTCAAGTGTTCCACTAATGTTTTTACAGCAAGAGAAAGTCCCAGCCCATGTGTTGCACTCAGTTGTCATGGTCTCTTGGGATCTTTGAATTTGGACAGCTTTCAGCCTGCTTTGCTTTTATAAGCTTGATGTTCCCAAGGATATAGGTCAGTTATTTTGTACGGTGCCTCTCAATCTGGGTCTGTTTCATGTTTCCTCATGATTAGATTCAGATTATGTTTTTGTTTTTGTTTTTGAGACGGAGTCTCGCTCTGTTGCTCTGTCACCAGGCTAGAGTGCAGTGGTGTGATTTCGGCTCACTGCAACCTCCGCCTCCCAGGTTGAAGCGATTCTCCTGTCTCAGCCTCCTGAGTAGCTAGGACTACAGGCACATGCCACCACATCCAGCTCATTTTTGTATTTTTCACTGAGACGGGGTTTCACCATGTTGGCCAGGATGGTCTCGATCTCCTGACCTCGTGATCCACCTGCCTTGGCCTCCCAAAATACTGGGATTGCAGGTGTGAGCCACCCCGCCTGGCCTAGATTCAGATTATGTATTTTTGACAAGAACACCACAGACATGATGTTGTGGCTTTCTCAGTGCATATCAGGAAGCATGTGATGTTGATTTGTGATGTTAACTTTGGTTAAGGTGGCATTGGCGAGGTTTCTCCACTGTAAGGTTATTATTTTTACTTTGTAATTAGTAGGCTACTTCTAGGGAGATACTTTGAGGCTATGTGAATACTCTGCTACTCTTCAAATTTTCTACTAGAATTGAGCATGCCTCTGTAATTTTTAAGAGCTCATTGGGTTGTACGAATGTCACCATGTTTGAGAGCCACTCACTTAAACTAAAGAGCCAACACTGGCCGGGCGTGGTGGCTCACGCCTGTAATCTCAGCACTTTGAGAGGCCGAGGTGGGCAGATCACAAGGTCAGGAGATTGAGACCATCCTGGCTAACAAGGTGAAACCCCGTCTCTACTAAAAATAGAAAAATTAGCCGGGCGTGGCGGCGGGTGCCTGTAGTCCCAGCTACTCAGGAAGCTGAGGCAGAAGAATGGCATGAACCCGGGAGGTGGAGCTTGCAGTGAGCCGAGACCGCACCACTGCACTCCAGCCTGGGCGACAAAGCTGGACTCCGTCTCAAAAACAAACAAACAAAAAAAAGAGCCGACATCTGGCCTCCTGGAAGAAGAGATGTTTAAACTGAGGCCAAAAGGATGAGTAGGAATAGCCCTAGTCACTGGAAATTGGTGGGTATGGCACTGGGAGTAGATGTTCTAGGATCATAATAGTCCCAGAGACATGCAAACATACAAGATACCTAGAAATAAGCCGGGTCTAGCTGGCCAGCAGAGAGTACGATATAGGATGCAGACAGCAGGTGCAAGCAGGGGGCATTCAGTGAGTTTGGACTTATTACAAAGGCAAGGAAACACTATGAAATGGGTTCAACCAAGGAAATGATATAACAATTTTTGTGCTGAAAAAACTATTCCCTGACTGCCATGTGGGGCCTCAATTTGAGGGTGGCAAGAGTGAAGGCAGGAAGTGCAGTGAGGAGGTGAGAAGGTGATAAGTGCCTGGAGAGAGGAAATGACAACCGACTACGGCAGTGAAGATGGGGATCGGCAGATATACAGCAGCACTGAGACACAGAAGCACTGTGTGGAGAGGGTGAGTGTGACCACTGGGAGATGGCAGAACATGACGACAAAGGAGAAAGGGCTTCTACAATGGATGTGTGAGATCAGATAAGGCTTCCTGGAGGAGGTGGTGTGTGCCAAGCCCTAATGGATGAGTAAAACGTAGCCAGATAAAGTGGCAGGTGTTGCCTGTGTTCTAGGCAGAAGGACAAGAGGTATGAGGACCTAAAAGCACTCAAGAAGGCTGAAACCTCCAGAATGGAGCACGTGGATGTGACTGGAGAGAGAAGCAGGGCTGAGTCCTCAAGGGCTATGAGTGTCACACTGAGAAGTGTGGGCTTTATCCTCATAGCAACAGCAAGCGGAGCAATGGAAGGGTCTAAAGCAAGTTTGCGGTTTAGATGAATCCACTCCAGTGGCTCGTGGAGGATGACCTGAAAGGCAGGGGTTAGGGAGGCAGGAAGAACATCTAAGGAGCCTGTTTGCTAAAGGTATAGAAGAAATAGCTGCCGGGGGTCCACACATGCAGACGCTCAACACTGGAAGTTGTCACCATAACTCCCAGCTCAGAAAGGACAGCCAGGCAGATCCATTGCAAGCTTTAATTGGGGTCTTTTCTGTAAACCTTCGGAGAGCAGGTCAAAAGATGAAGAAAACACCTTCCCATGCAGAAGACAGAAAGGAAAACAACCTGTTGGCTGGGGATGGGGAGAAGAGAGAAAAAGCAAGGGTCTCGCTCCAGTGCAGAATGAAGACAAATGGGCAGCGAGTTCCGGAGAATACATCCTTTCTCCAGAACACTTGCCTCTCCATCAGGGCCACGCAAAGCCCTGTCAGTCGCGAGCAGAGCTTTTGTGTGCGTGCCGGCTGCGCTCCCGTTGCCATGGCGATGGGGCCATAAGTCATGTCTGCTGGTGCTGCACAGAGCCGCTGTGATTTATGCCTGTCTCGCTGGGATTGTAAACTTTTTTTTAATGTTCAAAATCCGTCACAGCCAGGGAGGGCAGGGTGTCTCTGGCTCACTTTGGAGGAGAGGAGGTGTTGTCAGACCTTGCCTGACTCTCTGCCAGTGATGCTCCTCCGAGCCCTGCAGCTGGGGTCGCTGGACCATCTAAGCCAGGCTCTGCAGAACTCCCTTCTGACTCCAGCCAAAGGGTTTCAAAAACCTGAGGTTGATGCTCATTCCTGAGGCCAGGCTACTACCTCAGGAGTATCCTGTATTCAATTCTTTGTTTTGCCTCCCCAGGCTTAGACTATGCATGCCAGCTTTTTATGCTTTAATTTGGCTTAATAACCTGCACTATATCCCAGCCTCTTTACAACTGGATTTCTAGAAGGTGCAATGGAAAGAATGTGGGTTTGAAATCATACCTTCTAGGCCTGATTTTTTTTTTTTTCATCCATTCAATAGGACTAATATACCTTCATCTAAGGCATGTCTTCTCAACTTTAGCCTTTTGCTATTGGGGGTTGGATAGTTCTTTATTTTAGCCCTGGGCATTGTAGGGTGTTTAGCAATATCCCTGACTTCTATCTACTAGATACCAATAGCACCCTCCCAGTTGTAACCCCCCAGAAATGTTTCCAGCGATTGCCAAATGTCTTCTGGGGGACAAAATCCCCCTCTTTAAAATCCAGTTTAGAGATGAAGGAAGTGAAGATTTTCCTCCTGACCTATACTATTCTCAGCTTACACAGGAAACCAAAATTTCCTCCCAAAGACCAGGCTGATCATTCCTTCTAGATGCCATGTTTACCTGACTGGACCAGACACCTGCACAGCTGACTCAGCCCCCAGAACCTGTGAAGTCCAGTGTGTGAATCCAGCCAGATCCATGTCATGAATCTCCCCAGGCTGCCCCATTTCAATACAGTTAACTCAGTCCGGTCACACCTAGGAGGAGACTGCAGGGCTGAAAGATGCTGTAAGAGGAGGAGAGAAGAGGTGTATTGTGGAGCCATACTGTCTGTTCCAGGGACTCTGCAACTAGAGTGCCTTTAAGGTGTGTGGCATAATTTGCTAGAACTGGCAGGGATGGCCATGCACCCTTCCCCCAAAACCATTCTTTTTTCTCTTATTTCTTCCCCCCACCCAGCCCCCCACCATTTTTTATTTTGGTAAAATACACACAACATAAAATTTACTATCTTAATCACTTTTAAGAGTATAATTTAGTGGTATTAGTGTATTCATATTGGTGTGCCATCATCACCACCATCTATCTCCAGAAGTCTTCTCATCTTGCAAAATGAAATTCTATACCCATCAAACAATAACTCTCCATTCTCCCCTCCCCCAACTCTCCGCAACCACTATTCTACTTTCTGTTTCTATGATTTTGGCTACTCTAAGTACCTCATATAAGTGGAATCATACAGTGTTTGTCCTTTTGTGCCTGGCTTATTTCCCTTAGCATAGTGTCCTCAAGATTCATCTATGTTGTAGCATATGTCAGAATGTCCTTCCTTTTTAGGGCTGAATAATATTCCATTAGATAAACTGTTGACAGATAGTTGAGTTGCTTCCATGTTTAGCTATTGTGAAAAACACTGCTATCAGTCTCATATTCTTTTTGGAAGCATCTTTGAGTCTCACTCCAATGACTCAATCATCATGTACTTAATGAACACTTATTGGAGGCAAAACCTTAGGAAGGGCAAGTAGAGTATGCAGAAAACAAGAGTCACAATAATTTCTGAAAAGGCATGAGTTTAAAAATATCCTAATGAAGGATTCCTACACCAGATCAAAATCTGGGCTAAATAATTGTAATATAATGACAACAACGGTAGCCAATCTATTTACGCTAAATGCATCATGCATCAATTCACTTGATTCTCAACAGCATTTGCACAAGGTAGCTACAGTTATTTCTACATTGCAAATATGGAGAATGAGGCAGTGGGATATGTTAACTTGTCCACTGTTACCCGCATAGTGAATGGCAGAGCTAGGATTTGAGGCAGAGCATTTAGCACCATAGCCTGTACCACTGATGGGATGCATTAGGCTAAAGGGTTTCAACTGGCAGGGTTGCTTCTTCTTCACTACTCTGTCTCACTTACTTTTCTTCCTCTGTTGATTCTAGGAAATGTTATAGTTCTACTCACCTGGGACTTGTTCTCTTTCTGGAATATCCCAGCATGGGCATCCTATCCACACACTGCCTCCCCAGTGAGGACCCTATGTCTTCTGCAGAGTCAGGGAAATTAAACAGGGAGCTCAGAGGTTGGCCAGCTTGACTAAGCCAACAGGAGAGAGACCAGTTCCCTCTGCCCACTCCCAAAATATGTGTGTGTGCTTCAAAAGATGCCCCATAGGAACCAAATCCCTCATTTTCTGATGTTTGGTTTAACTTGTGTAGCCTCTAAGCCATGATGGACTCATCTGGTATTACTTGATGTCTTCAGGAATGCTGGTCTTGAACTTGCTCCTACTTGAGTAGTGTTGGAGAGATTGTAGTATATAGACTTCATTTCTTAAAGATTTATGACATTTGTTCACATATTAACATCCCTGGGAAAACTGCCAGCAAGGAAATCAATGTAGCAACTTCATTTATAATAGGGTTTCTCAAACCTTTTAAATTATGGAATCCTCCTTTTTAATTTCGTTGCATCTACTAACCCCAAAGTACTAGTGTTATTTGGAACCGCGAGATAATGTGTGTTGTCATAATATAATACAATAGGCACTGGGATGCAAGAAATTTTGATAGGACTGTTTTGATGGTAGAGTGTTTATAGGTAAGGGGATTGAATGATACTTTGAGATAGCGTAAAGGTGTTTGTTAAGCAATTTAGTAGTAATATCAAAACATCTTCGTGAACATACAAGCAGAGCCACATAAAATTAATGTCATTGCAATTTTCTATATCCTCTCTCTGAGCTATTTACTGTGCTTAGAACTGGGAATACAATGATGTTAAGATTCGATCCATGAACTCCAGGAACACATAGACTACCAGGTGAGGGCAGAAAGGGATACTAAACTACAATTGACTCCAATGCAATATAAGGCAATGCCCTGACCCTTACATCTGGAAAAAATATTTTTGCAGCATGAACATAGCAATGAGGTGCCTATGATTCTGGAGGGCACATTCTCAAAAGGATGCTCAGAGGAAGTGATGCTTCTGTAAGGCTGGGATGGATAAGGAGTAGTGTGCTAGGTACACTGGGGACTGTGAGTTTTGGGCTATTTTAGGCAGAGGGAGAGCACTGGCAAAGGCAAGGAAAATGGAAAGTGTACAGCATTTTGAGGAAATAGCAATTGAGGACATGGTGGGAGATGAGATCAGAGGGTATTATGGCCAGATTGTGAAGTGCTACTGAATGCTGGCTGAAACAGTATGAATTTTTATTTTGAGGCAGTTGAAGGATGGGGAGGGCTCTAAATGGTTTTAAGCAGGAAACAGCCATGGCCCAATTGGTACAGCGGTTGGATTGGGGATGTGCACAGAGTGTGGTGGGGACTGAAAGCAGTGAGACTACGTATGAGGGCCTGAGCCAGAAAGTGTCCACGACGATAGAGAGGCATGACCATTTTTGAGGATATTTTGAAGGTAGGATGAAAGAACTTGGGGCTTTCCTCCATTTGCTCCTCCAAGCTCACTCTCAGCTTATTCTTCTCTTCCCTTGTGCTCAGGAGGCTGACTTTGATGGATGGACTCGATGGGCTTTTGTAGTTGGCTTCTCACTGGGTTCAGCCAATGGCAGCACCAGCAGGAGGTTTGGTGAGAAGTGGTTGGGTGCAGTTGGGACATTTATTTTCCTGGCTCTTTTGCGGCAGAGTCACCATGAACTGTGTGTATCCCTTGACTAAAGGCCTCAGCTCCATGGAATTCCCTCTCCATGTTTTTGTAACTTCACCCTCACCTTGACCCAGACACTAGCCACAGGGCACTGCAGATCTCTTGTTGCTTTTCTGGAACTTTCCCTCAATTTTGTGCATAGTCCCCTTTTAAATCTCCCCAAGCTTGAGCATGCCACCTGTTTCTTGCTGGGATCCTCTTTGATATTAGTCTTCTTGTTTGGTGAGAGGCAAAGGAGTTGAACCTAAGGTACAGATCAATTAATTATTCATTGACATATCCAACTCATCTTTCTGACTAGACTGCCCTGGGGTGTGTGTGTGTGTGTGTGTGTGTGTGTGTGTGTGTGTGTGCGCGCGCGCGCGTGTGTGTTGACTACTGGGTGGTTGATGCCTATTGGGCAGAGTAAGATACGCTAAGGGAAACATGGTTCTACTCAGCTGCAACGAGTGGGCCTTAAAAGGCAGAATGATTTCTCATCTTAGCTTATCTTGGTGATCACTGTCCCTGAGCTGCTGTCTGCATAATTGAAAGTATGGCCTGTTTAGGTGAGACAGAGTGAGGCTTTCCAGGAAACAACACTGTGAGACCGTGGCAGGCAACGGAGCAGGAGGCAATGAGATGTCTATCAGCAGAAGGTAGATTCCATCACTCAGGACTGTCCATGCAATGGCAGAGGATAAAAAATATGCGTCAGAAGATCCCTTCTAGTCTGTGAGTTTATAATTGTTTAAACAAGCCTTTGAAACTATAGGACACAATTCAAGGGCCCTATGATGTGGGTAGTTTGTTCATAGCTTTTAAATATAAGTGACAATGATAGTGCCAGACCAGAGAGTATCTAGGAAGTACCTACATGGAGGCCTTTACTCTGCTACAAGCCAGAAATTTATTTCAGGAAATGTATTGGTAACAAGATAAGATTATCCAAATATATCCTCTGAGATAACATAGATGGATGGAAACTTGTGGATAAGACAGTTCCATTTCAAATTCATCCTCAGTATCTCCATTCACATGACTGTCCTTTCTCTCATGTCTCAGCAACCAAAGTTATCGCTTCATTTTGTAGGGGAACACAATGAGGTCATGACATAGGAAATAGGGAGGACTTCTAAATACCATCAGGTTCAGAGATGGCAAACACATGACCCTTCTGTTACAACTCCTCCTCCAACACTGAAGGTGGGCAAATGAGTTCATCATGATGCTTTCCCCAGCTTAGTCTGTTTGTAGTCTCAGAAACCTTCCCAGCATAATATCTTAGGCAGCCCCTAACCATGTATCTGAGTTGGCATGTAGGCTCGGTTAATGGCTGCCGTCTTTGATTTAGTCCAACCTGTTAGATGAATAAACTTAAACATTCAGGGAGAATTTTGAAGACATGGGTTGGAATAGATTTGCAGTTCATGGTCCTCTCAATTATTTCCATGGCTGTATCTGTACATGGTGACCCTGTCCCCTAATGATAAGCCAGGGTTGGACTCCTAACATGTGACAGACTTCTCTAGGATTTTTCGAAAGGAGACTCAGGGAAGAGAACTATTTCTCCCTGGTGGTAAGAGTCACAAAGAGCTTGGGGAGTCATGATTATCACAACCCCTATCATGACAAGATGGGGAGTACAGAAAGAAAGTGGTTGTACAATAGAAGAGAATGAAGCCATCATGGAATGATACAGAGAGGAAAAACAGAATCCTAATATTATCTAACTCCCTCAACTTTCCTCATTCCTGTGGCTGAGCTGATCTCTTTCCCTTTCCATGATGTCATTCCAATAGAGTTGCCATTAAGCTAACTTGAATTGGGCCTCTGTCCCCTGAATCCCAAACCATCCTGATTCATACAGAGCAGAAAGGGCTTCCATGCAGGAAGTGAGGGAGAAGCCATGGAATGATGAATGGGTAGATGGATGGGGTCTTGAGGTCAGAAGTCTATGTTCAAATTCTAATTCATCCCTTTACCATCTGTGCTTCCTAAGGCCTTAGAATGTCAGCTTCCTCATCTGTGAAATGGGAGATAAAAATAGCTTCAACTTCAGAAGATGGCTGTAAAGATCACTTACAGGAAGCTGAGCGGGAGGCCTCTGCCCAAAATGCTGCTTATCACTATCTCCAGTTTGGGGTCAGGCTTCAAACCCAGGTATACTAACCCCCAGCCCAGTATACATGCCCAAAATCATACTTTCATGTGTCTCTCTCTTTCATCTAAAGATCTGTAGACGTGTCTCAACATCAGAAGTCCCCTTTTAAAAGTGTTTAACTTCTAATGCAGATATAACAACTCATTTCTCAGTTTCACTGTATCTGCAAAGCTTTCTATAATTCAACATCAAATATTTATTATTACATTTATTAAAGTTTTAATAATTTAGCATTTCCTGCATGTAAGATAGAAGCTTAGCTAACTGGTTCCCCTTTATCCAGCCTGGGTCACTTCAATATTTATATTCCAAAGTCTCCATTTCAGTTTCATTTAGCAGAGGCTGTGTCTTGAGCCCTCTATCTGAGCTGACAGTTGGTGCATGCTACAGTCTCCCCAGTGGCAAAGACTTACAGAAATTTGGTGCTGAACAATGTTTGAAGAGATTTACTGAGCCTGGGCAGAAACTCATCCTAATAGACTTCACTTTTATTATGATTGCTAAGGTAAAATGGGGAAAAATATATATGTCTCCAGGCTCACTGGCTGAATGACAGGTAGTGGGGCTGGAAAGAGTGGAGGGCATAGAGTACGTCCACCTGGGAGGAAGTGTGGTGGCCTTTTATAGTAATGTTTCTCAGACGGGCCTCATTTTCTTTAAAAAAAAAAAAAAGGAGGGATGTGGAGGTACCACGAAAATGCTAATGCCCATATTCCATGAACCTAGCTGTGAGTTACCCACACTCTTTCCCCTTCCCCATTTGATATTTCACCTTCCACTTGCATAAAGAACACACACACTTAATAGACCAAATGCTCAACAAAGACCAAGATATAAAGTCCAATGAACCTATTCCTCCATCTTACAGAGAATGCCCCTTCTTCAACAACAGCCAACATTTACTGAGCACTCACAAAACATCCTGAGTTGAAATCCTGATTCGGCCACATACTACCCATGTGACATTGCATGAATGACTTAACATCTTTGTGCCTCAGTTTCCTCATCTGTAAATAACAATAACTACATCACTGAGTTGTTGTGAGGAGTCAAAATGAAAACATGTAGAGCACTTAAGACATTGACACCAAGCAAGTGTGATCAATAAATGTTAGTCATTAGTATTGATGACTATGGGGCTAAAAGTTTAAGTGTTATCTCATTCCATTCTCAAAAAAACATTCAAAGATAGAGTGTTAGTTATCATTCAGATAGGAAACTGAGGCTCACAAAGTTTACCTTACCCAAGGTCAGCTAGTCAGTGGTGGAGCTGGGATTTGAGACTAAGCAGTTTGGCTCCAGTATCCATGCTATTCACTTCGCCCAATACCTCTTCTGTGTTTCAAGCAGGTAAGTGGGTTCCCTATTGAAGTTCTGTCACCCTTTGGGAAAGGAACATTTGTGTGAGTA
This sequence comes from Homo sapiens, assembly GCF_000001405.40. NCBI lineage: Eukaryota > Metazoa > Chordata > Mammalia > Primates > Hominidae > Homo > Homo sapiens. The sequence continues at coordinate 116,967,458 of NC_000009.12, forward strand.
ATAGGTGAGAAAAGGAAAAGTTTAGAGGAAGCATGATGGACTTGAGAGTCTACCTGAAGAAGCCACCCTTCTATCAACATCCCTACTGAAAAGGAAAGCACACTTCTAGGTTGCCTACAATGTGTGCACACATATGCACACATAACACGCATGCACTCATTAATGAAAGCTTGTAAGAGAGCTGCAAGGGCAAGAAGTCAGTTTTGCTCACCTCCAACAGGACAGAGATATCTTGAATATTAAATGATGTAAGACCGGTATCAAGGGCCTTCCCCCCATACTCTGCTGCCGGGATCCTTCTCAAGCCAAGTGCCCCCATGCAATTCATCGAGTGACTGGCCCCGACTCCAGCCTACTCCACGTGTCCTGCTGCCCCAACCCTCCCTTCTGCCATCAATGCTCCTGCCATCAATGCACAATGTGATCCAGAGAAAGGAGGCACACATCCCTTCTTTATACCGCTCTGAACCATGAACTACATCTTTTAATCACGGACACACTGCATCACATGGTTGCTTCCTTAACTGTACTACAATTCTACAATTCCTACTGCTTCTAAAACTTCTCATTCATTGAATATCAGTTACATGTAATATGCTGTACTAGTAACCCTATACACATTATGTTATCCTAATAACCACCGTATGAGAAAAACACACAAATCTCCAACTTCCTGGTTCTGACATTGAGGCTCGAAGAGGTGAACAAACTTTGCTCAAGTTAATTCTACACTCTTTCCTACTCCTTCTTCTCTTTCTGGTTTTTCTACTTCTAGAGCCTAGCACAATGTTCATTACACAGTGAAGTACCTGGTGTGCATTTGTTGAGGATTGCACCTGAAGATGTATGGCCCATGTTTCCAGAATGCACTGTATCTGACTAGGGGTACTGCCTAGTCCCAAGCCAGATTCCAGTATCTGGAGCAGTCACACAGGAACATCTGTTGGGGACCCTGGAGCAGTGAATGAATACACTACCCTAAAGTGCTCCAAGAGTCATTGCTGACTCTGCTAGCCCAGGTGGTTAACAGCTGAAAAAAGAGAGAAAAGAGGAGAGAAAAGAGCATGCATGTTCTCTCTGCTGTCCTTCTCTCCCTTCATCAACTGCCATGCATCCCTTGGCACTACACTGCAGCCAAACTGACATGGAAGTTCCTCCTGGCTGGGTGTGGTGGCTCACAACTGGAATCCCAACACTTTGGAAGGCCGAGGTGGGCAGATCACTTGAGGTCAGGAGTTCGAAACCAGCCTGGCCAAGATGGTGAAACCCCGTCTCTACTAAAATTACAACAATTAGCCAGGTGTGGTGTTGTGTGCCTGTAATCTCAGCTACTGTGGAGGGTGAGGCAGGAGAATAGCTCGAGCTTGGGAGGTGGAGGTTGCAGTGAGCTGAGATGGCACCACTGCACTCCAGCCTGGATGACAGAGTGAGACTCTGTCTCAAAAAAAAAAAAAAAAAAGTTCCTCCTTAGGCATGCCACACTTTGCCAGTTCAAGGTCCTGTGCCTTGCCCATGAATAAAACATCTCTGGGTTTTTCTTATCCAACATCTATTTGCTACCTGTCCTGCTTTTTCACTGGGGAACTATCCTACCTGTGATCTCAATCCAGGGGTTAAGGTGCTCCTCATTCAACCCTGGTTTCAAGGGTAAGTTGGTGACCCAGGTCTGCCTACTTAGAACACTTTGTCTCTTGAGAGATTGATGTGGGATATTGGCAAAGATCCCAAAATAGGCCAAAGAGAGGCACCATAGCTTAGAGATGAGGAACATGAACTCAAGAGTCAGACTCTCAGATTCCAAACCTGGTTCTATTACTTACTGGCTGTGTGATCTTGGGCAAGGTACATAATCCTCTTTGTGCCTCAGTTTCCTCATGCATTAAATGGAGCTAATAATGAGTAAAGACTAAATGAACTTATTTCAGTAAAGCACTTGGAACAGTGCCACCTAAGGATGTGTGATTATTGCTGTTCCTCAGTGACAGGACTTCTGCATAAACCATTGGGAAAGGGGGCATCTCATTACTCTGGCAACACTTAATTGTGGTTGTAAGCCTGGAGAGGTCAGTGAGAGTGTGCCTGAAAAAGAAAAACAGAAAAACAGAGTGCACCAGAGAAACACAGAGATGAGGGACGAAAAGAAACAGGAATAGTGAGTCCCAACATTTGGGAGCATATAAACCTTACTATGCCAAAAGCCATTGGCACTCTGGAGTTTTCAAGCCCTGATATCTTTTGTTTTCTACTTAAGACTAAGTAGGTGATCCATTCCTTGTTTTGCTACCTAGTGCATTTGTACTCAAACTTTAGTGAGCATTAGAATCACCTGAGGACTTCTTAAACCAGAATTCTGGGCCCACCTCCAAAATACCTAATTTAGTAGGTATATTATTACATAGTTTCTGTGGCTGCTGCAACAAATCACCACAAACTGGGGCAGCTTCAAACAACCAGAAATCTGAAATCGGTATCCCTGGGCCAAAATCAAGGTGTCAGCAAGGTGGTCCTCCCTCTGGAGCCTCTGGGGAACAATCTTTTCTTTGCCTCTTTCAGCTTCTGGCGGCAGCTGGCATTCTGTGGCTTGTGATTGCCTCACTCCAGTCTCTAATTCCATCTTCAAATTATGTCTCCACTGTGCATGTCAAATCTCACTGTGCTTCTTTCTTATAAGGGTACTCATTATGGTGTTTCAGACCTGTCCAGATAATTCAGAATAATCAACCTATGACAAGATGCGGCATAACATCTGCAAAGACCCCTTTTCCAAATAACATAATATTTATAGGTTCTAGGAGTTAAGATCTGATGATACCTTTGGGGATCATTATCAGTCTACACTAGATATGAGAATTTACATTTCTAATAAGTTTCTAGGTCATGCGAATGCTACTGGTCCAGGGAATACACTTTGAAAACCAGTGAGCTAGTGACTTCCTGCTAACACTTCAAAATTTGGCATAGAAGTTTTGAGTCCTTTCTTTTAACCTCCAGGTGGGTTTGACCACCTCTGACTTTGTGTCTTTTTTCTGCCTTGAACTTTCCCTCTATTCTTCTTCAACTGTCAAAAAGTATGACATTTTTTGTTTGCAATTTTG